>NC_000012.12:15209650-15834650 GCF_000001405.40 Homo sapiens | reverse complement strand
ACTGTTTATATGAAAGTGCATAGCACACAGATGGGTACACAATTATTAGTTCAAATATTAGTTCAAGTCTAAACTGTTTAATTTTTTATTGTGTAAGTGGAAAAACATTCTGTTGAAAGGTATAACTAATCAGAGGTTATTTTATTAATAAATCAATTATAGACACAAGTGAGAGGATTACCCCTGAAATCTTAATGGAACTCAGAGGACTTTGAATCAATGTCTTCCTTAGACCAAAGGGGAAAATTGAGTTGCTTATTTTTCCAAGGCTTCTCAATCTTGATTCTGGTCTGGGTACACTGAAAAATTAATAATGAAAGATTTTTTAAAATTTCCTTATTATTGGTATTTATTATCTTCATAAAATGGCTATCTTTAGAATTAAACAAATGAATTAAAAACATGATGTGTAATGCAATTAAAATGCTGATGCTCTTTCCCAAATATTTTTTGGTAACTGTTTAATATATGATTTGACAAATATTCAGAAATTATTAGAAACATTTCTTAATGGAAATCCCGTTAATTTGATTTAATTAAATTTGAAAAGCGAACACCTAGCACAAACTTTTAACCACCAATAAATAGGATGCTATGTGATTTTACTTTTCTAGGTGCTGGGGATATAGCTGTCAGGAACTATAGACAGTCTGGGATTTTACTCTACTTTCAAGCTAATAGGCTAGCCTGTTACTGTATCATGGACACTGGGAAAAGGTATTAGACTCTTGAATCGGAGATAAAGGACTCTATTACTTATGATGTAACAGGCAGCATGATCTTCACATTTTCTTGTATCAATTTTCCACGACCCCCAAATTTCATGGGGATGACATAGGGGGGCCTGTACAGATGCCTACACACTCATTAGAGAGAGGAACACTGTGCTTAGAGAACTTTGAGTGCAGGGTAACAAGTCTGTTCTTTGTCTAGGAGAAGATACTACCTTATCCCTCCAAGGCTGTTGCTTGCTACAAACATAATCCTGAAGAAAGGCCCAGGTGAAGACCAGTGAGAGCCGTGAATTCTTGGTATATCCAGCAATACTGGACAGGGACTCTTAGGGCCTGTTAGCACGTTGCCTTTCCTAACAAAAGCCTTAGTTTCTTGCACTTAAAGAGCTTACATTTTGAAATTAGAAGGATTCTTCCTGATTAAAGGATTTCATCCTGGGCTGTTTTACTCCTTCTCAACTATGGCAGCGTGACCTCGAAGCTTGCATTGGCCTTTTCCCCAATTTTAGTTTTATACTCACTGTTTCTCCATCTTCCATTGCTATTTACATCTTCCTTGTTAAGTCTCATGCATTAGTCAGATTTTGCCTACATCCCAGGAGCTATATTGCCGTCACAAAGGCTGGACTGAGTTTCTCAAGACATTCCCAGGCAATTTCCTTAAATCCTGACCATCCTTTCTGCATAGTCAGTTACTCTTGCCCAAAGCAATTGCATAGAGCAAGTGCCCCATGTAGACCTGAAGACTCAGGCCAGTCACAGTTTTGTAGGCCATGATACAACCTGGGTCACCCTGAGCTAGGCTTCAAGATTCTGGGCATCTGTGTCTGCTGTGTCCAGCTAGATGTTACATGTGTGTGGCAGAAGAGGACTGTCTTCTTCATCTATTGTTGTAAAACAAAATGTGGAGTTTAATTGAAATCAGAACAGGGATACATTAAACAAACACAAAGTAGTTTTCTGATTATCAATTTTTGGACTCAAAGCATCTTCAAAACATTGGGGATCCAGCTTATCCCTGAGAGACATCATCAAGCATTACTAAAAGTTTTCACTCTTTGAACTATTCATTCACATTTTGTTGCAGAAAACAGGACAAAGTTCCAGACATATCCTTCCTTTCTTCTTTCTAAAATACACTCACAAACAGGGACTTTTCATAGTTCAAAAGAAAAACAAATAGCTTTCTTTCTTGACTAGTTGGCCTGTTACTCTCACCCTGGAATCTCATCTCTCAATAAGAGGGTCCAGGGCACCAAATTCAAGCAGAAATTCCAAGGACATCACTTTACTTGTCTTTCTATGAAGTTAAGTATGCGTTAGTCTTTCTATGAGGGAGACAATCTTCTGGGATTATTAACACCAGTCAATAGTCCCAGGAGGGTGGGGCAGGGAGTGGAAAGGAGGGTGAATGCAATAGTTAAGGTGTAAGGGAAAAGAATTTCTTGCTATCATCAGGTCTAGTTCTTTAAAGCATGATCGTGCATTGAAATTTTGCTATGAGTGGTGACCAATATTAGAAAGAAAAAGGTTCGTTTGTCTTACAGTTGCTTGACTCTGAAGATTCTGAGCTGCCCAAGCCTATGTCCGTGAAGGATTGTAAAGAGCCCTCAATTCACCTGTGCTCTCCCAAGAGAGAGCTAGCATGTTATGGGGTGGTGGCAACCCACCATTTTTAGCACCAACTGCTGAAAGATAGAAAATAAAAGAATTGAGGATTCTTAGAAGAGAGAAGACTTGAAGGTGACCATGTAAGGCTTATTCTATAGCCTCAAGTAAGATGATATAATATAGAAATTTTTTTAAAAAAATTTGCACCGTTCTCTGGATTCCAGCTGTGTTCATTCTGCAAAGCAGTGTGTCTAAATGTTTTTCCAGATATATTGGGCATGATAGCCAGTTTACCCAGTATGTCATAGTCCTGGTTATGATGAACATAGTTAAGAAGTAGAAGAGACGGAGAAAGATTGGAAGAAAATGGAAATGTGAGAGATTGTGGCTGTGCAGCAACAGTTAATTTATATGCATGGCTGTGTATATGAATGAGAATGTATATGATTCATGGTTTAAAGATGGTAGTGTAATACATGTACCTGTATGTATGTATGATGGAACTAACTAGCCCATTGTATATTAGCTCCAAGCTACTATTGTGGTTTTAAAAAGCTGAAACAGTCATTTCCTTGCCAGCTTCATTATGTCACATATAAATATATGTTCTGTGTGGGAAAGAAAAATATTGTATAGGCAAAGGAATTTCTATGAGAAAGATACAGAGTCTTTGAAAGAGACTTAAAATCTATGACTAAATGAGAGAAATAAATGACATTTCTACTACAACGCCCTTGTCAGGTTATATTAGAGAAAATTTATGTCACTGACAAGCCAAAGAAGGAGGCATTTGTATGCTACTGACAGTTGGTACAATATGTGTGTAGAAATGAACTTAAGTGTGGGAAACAAAAGAAACAAAAAACCTGGAAGAGAGCTGACTAGAAAGAGAACAAATAGGAAAAAGTGAAATACTTAGCTATATGAAACAATTTTTAAATAGTATTGTGTTAGATTCTCAAGGACGGATATGTGCTGACACAGTGTCTGGGATTTCAGACCAAGTACTCAGGTTCACATTGGATTAAACTTATCACCCCAGACTTGAGCCAAGAGCTCACCTTCGTCATGACCACTCAGCTATTAGCATCATGGAGTATAGCAGTGTAAATCGATCATACAGAAGTCCTTCTGGTTTTAGAATAAAATGGCAAAGTTGGAGAGAGCCCCCATGAAGATAATGCTCTAGTCAGACCTGCAAATATTGGCTGAATAGATGGTTTGGACAGAAAGTTTCAAGCAAAGAATCTGACTAAGTACTATTATGGGTTAACTAAATTGAGGAAATCTAAAAATTTCTCATAAAGATGCCCAGTTTCTTAAGAAATTGCCCTTGTTTTTGGACAATGAGCCACATCTTGTATTCATTCGAGGCCTCCATGTTGCTCCACTGGATGAAGCTGACTGCCCTGGCAATATGGCTGTGACTACACAGCTTGCAATGAAGTAGGCTTTGGACCACTGGTAGGAGAACTCCCTCCTAGAAACCAGAGAAATTCAAGAGGGGTTAGAGAACTATGAGTTATATTTGGCACCTACCAAAAAGTCATGCTGAAAACGTGGGATTCAGAGGCCAAGGAATGAGGGGGATTGAGAGTCCACACCGTCCAGTACTGGGGATTATTTTGCTAACATGTACTATACACAAGCAGGAATTTAACAAATACTTGGTTGATGAGCTCATTATGTATTTTTTATCCTCATGAATTGTGGAAGCTAAAACTGGATTTGGTGTATTAATGTCATTATCATTTTTGTATTACAACACTGAGCAAACAAGTAAGTAGTTTTTGTTGGTAAGACATCTTTTTTTAAAAAATGACAAGGATAAAAAGAAATATTAGAAATGACTCTGTCACTAAGGAGTTATACCTTGGGAGACAAGACATACTGGCAAAGAAATAATAATGCAAGTCATATTAGATCAGTTCCAAACACATTTGTTCCCCCACTCCTTCCGGAGACTTGAAAGGCAAAGCCTTACTCTTTTGAACTAGTTTCTCTTTTCTTTTATCCCTCTTCTATCGTCTCTCTACAATCCTCAATCTTCAGTGTTGAGTTGGAAAACTTAGATCATTTATAAGTTCTCATGATAATTTGGTTTGAGAAACACAGTGTAGGCAGCAATTGTGGGGGAGGAACAGTCCCAGGGGAGTGGTAGTTGCTGGGCCTTTTACAGAAAGAGCAGGACTCTGATAACTAGATATAAATGCGATGGGTATTTCAGGAAGGAGGAAGAGCCTGAACAGATCATGTCTCAGGAATGAATGAGACCTGTTTTGCTGCAGTGAGTAGTGAACTCTGGAAAAGAAAAACTGTGGCAGAGAGATGGGGCAGTGGGCAGGTGGTTAAAGGTCTCTAATAGGGCCTTATTTAATCCCTAAGCAGTGAAAAGTCAATGCATGCTTCTACATAAGAATTTAATTTATACCAAACAGGTTTTAAGAATAATTCTGGATTGATGTATAGAAGATGTGAGGAAGCAAGAAACAGACTGCAAAATGGTACTAACAAGAACTAGAAAGAAATGTAATAATCATCTTAGTCAACTTACTCAATTTCTGGTGTCTGGTGTGTATGTGTGTTTGTGTGTGTGTGCACACGTGTGTGTGTGTGTGTGTGTGTGTATTGGGGTGGAGAGCAAGGAAATTTAGCAGAGAGGTTGCCTAAGGTCATAAGCTAATTAACAGCAGAAATAGACTAGACCTGACTCACAGTTTAGGACAAGATCCCCTATATCAGGGGTCCCCAAGCCCTAGGCCACAGATTGGTACCGGTCTGTGGTCTGGTAGGAACTGGGCCACACAGCAGGAGGTGAGCAGTGAGTGAGTGAGTGAAGCTTCATTTGTTTTTACAGCTGCTCCCCATACCTCCCATTACCACCTGAGCTCCACCTCCTGTCAGATGAGCCCTAGCATTAGATTCCCATTGGAGTGCGAATTCTATTGTGAATTCTGCATGGGAGGGATCTAGGATCTAGGATGCAAGCTTCTTATGAGAATCGAATGCCTGATGATCTGTCACTGTCTCCCATCACCCCCAAATGGGACTGTCTAGTTGCAGGAAAACAAGTCCAGGGCTCCAACTGATTGTGCCTTATGGTGAGTTGTATAATTATGTCATTATATATTACAATGTATTAATAATATAAATAAAGCACACAATAAATGTAATGTGCTTAAATCATTGCAAAACTATCCCCCACCCCCTGGGTCTGTAAAAAAAATTGTCTTCAATGAAACCCATCCCTGGTGCCAAAAAGGTTGGAAACCACTGCCCTATATCATTGTTAGGAATCTATGGCAACATCCAGGAGCTAACAAATGAAGGCAGAAGTGGGGCCTGCCATTTTATCCAGATTGTAAAGCCATTTGAGAGGAAGTAGAACATAAGAATCAATTGGCCAGGCATGATGGCTTACGCCTGTAATCCCAGCACTTTGGGAGGCTGAAATGGGTAGGTGGCTTGAGCTCAGGAGTTCAAGACCAGCCCGGGCAACATGGAGAAACCCTGTCTCTACTAAAAAATCCAAAAAATTTAGGTGGGTGTGGTGGCTGGTGCCTGTGGTCCCAGCTACTCGGGAGGCTGAGGTGGGAGGATTGCTTGAATCCAGGAGGTCAAGGCTACAGTGAGCCAAGATGGCACCACTGCACTCCAGCCTGGGTGATAGAGCAAGACCCTGTCTCAAAAAAACAAACAAACAAAAAAAGAATCAATGAAGATATGATTAGTAATTGAATTGTGTATTCGTTTCCTATTGCTGCTCTCCTAAATTACCACAAACTAGATGGGTTAGAGCAGCATAAGTTTATTATCTTACCATCCTGAAAGGTCAGAGGCCTGAAATTGGTTCCACTGGGCTAAAATCAAGGTTTCAATGGGGCTGCCTTCCTGCCGGGGGCTGTAGGAGATCTGTTTTCTTGCCTTTTCCAGGTTCTAGAGGTTGCCTGCATTCCTTGACTCCTGAATCTCTATCACCTTCAGAGCCAGATATTTCCTGCTGAGTCTTTCTGAGGCTGCATCACCCTGACCCTGACTCTTCCATCTCCATCCTTCATGCTTAAAGG
This sequence comes from Homo sapiens, assembly GCF_000001405.40. Lineage (NCBI taxonomy): Eukaryota > Metazoa > Chordata > Mammalia > Primates > Hominidae > Homo > Homo sapiens. The sequence continues at coordinate 15,828,238 of NC_000012.12, read as the reverse complement.
ATCCTGGTGATTACATTGGACCCTCCCGTACAATCTAGGATACATTTTTAACCTTAAGGTCAGTTTATTAGCAACCATAATACCCCCTTGGATATAACATAGCATACTCATAGGTTTCAGAAATTAGGACATGGACATCTTTGGGGGAAAGGGAGGAAGCCATTATTCTGCCTACCGTAGATAGAGTATACAGAGGTAAAATAAATAAAAGATAACATCAAGCTTTTATAATTGAGAAACTGTAAAGACAAGGGTACACATGACAGAAATAAAGAAGCTGAAGAGGGGAAGCTGATAGGGGGCGCAAATCATCTGAGAAATGTCGTGTTTTAATTTGTGGTGTTCTATTCAGATGAAATATCCCAACAGGCATTACAAAAGCTGAGGGTTAGAAATGTTCCTATTTAGTTAGTGCTAATTCCTACTGTGTAGTAAGACGTTTTTCATGTTCTTATTTTTTTCTATCAGTATGTTTCCTCATATTCAAAACTTTTTGGCAGTAAAACTTAAAGACAGAATATATATAAATGTCTGCTATGCATGACAGATTTCCTATTATGATTAACATGTCTTACTATTCCAGAATTTAGTTATCTTGCCTTTAAAATGGTTTTCTCATGGACACATAGTGTTATATTATGTATAAGAAGCTTTAAAAAGGTTCTGTGTGTTTCTTATAGCTCCAGTGTTTTAATGGTATTCTATACAACTTCAGATGAAAACTCTTCTATTTAATAGATGCAGTATTCAAAGTCCAAAGGCAGTTATCTTTATAAACTAAAATCATAGCAGTTGGCTGTGATTAAAAACATTTTCAGATAGTTGCACATATCACTAACAGGTACCACGGTAAATTATTCCAAACAGCATTCCAGAGCCAGTGCCAACTTCTTATCATTTTGAGAAATTTATTTCCCCAAGTATACTGCTTCTCAAGTTTATTCTGATTCTGTGATTGGTCAGTGCTGATAGGGTACAAGAAAAAAACAACAAGATAGCAAGACTTATATGGTATAGCAATTAAAACAGCATTTTATTAACATAAGGCAAGACAAATAGACTAAGGGGAAAGAATAATTCAGAAACACAAAAATCTATACAGGAAACTTGATATACAACAATTATAAATCAGTAGGGCAAGGGTTCTGGGACAAGTAGCCATTTGAGGAAAAGAATAAAAGTATTTATCTATTTTATAAATACAAAAAATAAATTTCAGGTGGATTAACATCCATATATGACAACAAAAACCTTACAATGTTTAGAAAAAATACAGCAGAATATGTTCATATCACTAAAATTCCTGGCCATTAGGACATGGATGGTTAAATTTAATTATATAAAAATTTTAAATTTGCATCTGACAAAGATGCTATTTAAAAATTTAAAATGCAAGCCAAAATTGGGAAGGATTTTTGAAATATGTATAACTAACAGAGGATTATTATCCAGACTATATAAACAGTCCTTGCAAAGGAAAAGAAAAACATTTACAGAAACAACACCTAGAAAGCAACAAACACATGAAAAAAAGTTCCATCTCACCAGAATTCAAGAAAATAAAATTAAAATGCAATGAGATATTATTTCATTACCATCAAATTGACAAAAATTTGAAATGATGGTTTTAAATCATGGCCAGGGGTTGGAGGTAATAATATTTCAACCACTGCCAGCAAGATGTAATTTGGTATAAATGATTTGAAAATAAGCTTATACTGTACTTTATTTAAACTGATCATAACCTATAACCTAGAAACTTCCAACTTCAGGTATATACCCCTAGATAAGGATATGTAGACATGCCCACAGAAACATATTCAAGGAATGTTTTTTTCCCAGTATTTTTTGTACTGCTGAAAATTTGGAAACAACTTATATTTTCACCACTAGAACAATAGATATTAATTGTGTTATTTTAGCACAATGGAATACTATACAGAATTTAAGTACATAACTAGATCTACATATGTTTATATGGACAGATTTAAACTTCTTAAACACCACGCAATGTGTAAAAAGCAAGCTGTGAAGGCTATTTTTTTCATTATGCTATTTATGTAAAATGTAAAAAACATTCAAAATAGACTCATGTTTTATTTATAGACACACATATAAGTAGTAAAAGGACAAAAATATGGACTGCATACAGTGATGCATGCCTGTAGTCTCAGCTACTCAGGAGGCTGAGGTAGGAGGATCCCTGGAGCCCAGGAGTTCAAGACCAGCCTGGTTTATACAGCAAGACTACATCTCAAAAATTATAACACACATGAAAAAGACAAAAATATAGATGGAAATGATGTGTACCAACTTTATGATAGTGGTTCTTTCTAGGCAAAATGGGCAAAGTGAAAATAGGGGATTTCAACTTATTTTGTAACTTTTTGTTTCTTAAAAAAGGGGTGCAAAATTGGCAAACAAATATATTAAACTATATATATTATATAAATATGTATTTTTAGACAGAGTCTCACTCTGTCATGCAGGCTGGAGTGCAATGGTACGATCTTGGCTCACTGCAGCCTCTGCCTCCAGGGTTCAAGTTATTCGCCTTCCTCAGGCTCCCAAATAGCTGGGATTACCACCACGCTTGACTAATTTTTGTATTTTTAGTACAGATGGGGTTTCGCCATGTTGGCCAGGCTGGTCTCGAACTCCTGACTTCAAGTGATCCACCCACCTTGGCCTCCAAAGTGTTGGGATTACAGGCGTGAGCCACCGTGCCCGACCTGGCAAACATATTTTTAAATGTTGGAGATATTTTAATGAGTGTCTACTACATATTGCCTATGTAATTATTTAGGGTTTTAAAAATTATTCATTTTATTTATTTCCTAACATTTCTACTGAAATATAACATATTCCATATATATTACTCAATTTGAATTGTAAAATTCAAAGGTTTTCAGGATACTCACAGAGTTGTGCAACTATCACTATGATCAATCTTAGAACATTTTTGTCATCCCAAAAAGAAATCATGTACCCACCAGCATTCACTTCGCAGTTTCCCCCAACCCTTAACAACCCTAGAAAACCACCAATCTACTTTTGATCACTATAGATTGACCTATTCTGGACATTTCATATAAAAGGAATCATACACATGTAGTCTTGTGATTGGCTTTTTTTTCGCTTAGCATGATGTTTTCAATGTTTCATTTCTGTTGTGGCGTATATCAGCACTTCATTCCTTTTTGTGGCAAAATAATATTCCATTTTGGGGTATATTACATTTTGTTTATTCATTCATCAGTTGATGAACATTTGGATTGTTCTGCTTTTGGCCATTATGAATAATGCTGCTATGAGCATTTGTGTACAAGTTCTTATGTGAACATATGTTTACATTACTTAGGAGTGGAATAGGTAGGTCATATGAGAATTCTACATGCAACCTAGAGGACCTGCCAAACTTTTCCAAAGCAGATGCATTATTTTACGTGCTCACAAGCAATGTGTGAGGGGTCTAATTTCTTCACATCCTGACCAACACTTGTTATTGTCTGTCTTTTCTAATTACAGCCATCCTATTGAGCGTGAAATGGTACCTCATTGTGGTTTTGATTTGCCTTTCTCTGATGACTAATGGTGTTGAGCATTCCATTTGCTAATTATCTCTATCCGCCTTTAAATGTATGAAATATTTTATAATTAAAAAATAATTTAAACAACTGTTGCAAATGAAATCTTGGTATGGGGGCTGATGGCATATAGAGCCTGTTAACATTGACTTGGGTGAGTGTTGAAAAAAGAATAATATTTTTAATACTTTTTCGGACACATATTTGGCGAAAATTGCACAGACCATGAAGTGAGAAGAATACAAAATCAGTGGTAAAGTAGTTAGTAGATTGTTAATGTAACTACATAAAAACACAAAACTTCTATTCCACAATTATAAGGAAGGAGTGTGTAAGGTTGTCAACCTCATTAATGAGTCATTATTCATAATCATTTTTATGCAATGAAATACTAGCAGAATAGTAGAATTGGAACACAGTGAGACAAAGAGGCTAGTGGGTGCTCTCCCCCAATAATTAAAAATAGAAAGATGAAGCCAGTTGTGGTGGCTCATGCCTCGAATCCCATTACTTTGGGAGACCGAGGAGGAGGATTGCTTGAGTCTGGGAGTTTGAGCTAGCCTGGGCAACACAGGGAGACTCTATCTCTACAAAATAAAAAATTAGCTGGGGATGGTGGCATATGCCTCTGGTCCCAGCTACCCGGAAGGCTGAGGCAGGAGGATCACTTGGGCCTGGGAGGTTGAGGCTGCAGTGAGCAGTGATTGTGTGACTGCACTCTAGGCTGGGTGACAGAGGGAGGTCCTGTCTCAAAAAATATGCATATATATAGAGAGATCATAAAATCTGGGACAGAACTTCTAGTGAAAACAGTCTGTTCTGTAAAAATACATTGTTTAGAAAGCAAGCACCAATCTCTATTCTAGACTGCTGTAAATCAAATTTGTATAAAAGTTTGATGAAATTTGATTATTAGGTCAAGAATCAGATCAATACATTCTTTTACCCCATGAACAGGATGAGCGTGCCAGGAAATCACATGATTGTGAAACCCTTATTTACAAAGAGCTGTGTTGAAGTCACAGTTGGTATGAATGGGGAGAGTTAATCCAACCTTTGTTTCCTAAAATACTCTCATTCATTTCAAGTACTGTACCTTGTTTAAGGGGACCTTTTTGTGTGTACCTTTTTGTGTGCATGAGTGATAAAGGGGCACTAGGAAAGTGTCCATTGTGAGAAAAGCAGTGAGCAAGCGAAAAGAAAGATCCACCTCCTCTAGCAGCCATAAAGGGAGCCACAAGCAAGATATCTATATTTTAAACATTTGAACATGGTCTAAGAATGATCAATTTAGTTAATATAGTACATGAAAGAATCAGCAATAATGTCAATGACTGCAGCTAAAGAAGGAAGATAAAATATTGTCAGAATGTTTAAGTCCTTTATGCCCTCCTCACTAATTTCAATTTTGGTTAAGTTAATTTGCAAATTAAAGGAAGAATCAGCCTCCAGGATACATGATTTCTCACAAAAGAAACAGCACATGCAAATCTCTGAGGACTACAGCAGCTACTGTGCATGATCAAGAAAATTACCAGTCATTCATTCACTCAACAAATATTGTTGCATCCTACCATGGGCCAGGCACGCTAGAAGCACATGATGCAAAAAGGAAGCAGATTGTAAACATAGCATAAAAATACAGAGTGATCAATTCTGAAGTTTTCTAGCCGGGTGCGGTGGCTCACGCCTGTAATTCCAGCACTTTGGGAGGCTGAGGCGGGTGGATCACCTGAGGTCAGGAGTTCGAGACCAGCCTGGCCAACATAGTGAAACCCTGTCTCTACTAAAAATACAAAAAGTTAGCTGGGCGTGGTGGCGAGCACCTGTAATCCCAGCTACCAGGGAGGCTGAGACGGGAATTGCTTGAACCCGGGAGGCGGAGGTTGCAGTGAGCTGAGATCACACCATTGCACTCCAGCTTGGGCAGGAAGAGCAAAACGCCGTCTCAAAAAATAAATAAACAAATAAATAAATAAATAAAGTATATGTTTTCTTAGGATCTTAATAGGAAATTGAAGAGATCACATAAGTTGCATTCTAGTCAAAGACTCTTTTAAAAAGGAACTTTTGAGTTAAGCTCTAAAGAATGAGTTTTAGGGCAGAAGCAGTATGGGGAAAAGAATTAGACACAGAGAAAGCATCATGTGTTCAGAGGCAAAAGAGGACAAAAGCCCACATTTGGAGAAATGCTCATAATTTAGTACATTTGAATTTGAGGGCCTCTGTGTGGTGTCAGAAGGCTGGTGAGAGAGGACATTAGCAATGGGGCTGTTCATGAATTGCCTTGTTTGTGGGATGCTCAGGAACTTGAACTTCCGTTTGAAGACAGTAGGGAGGCACAGAAGATCTTAAAGCAGGGCGTCAGTACGATGAATGTGATTCAGCGGTCTAAGCCTCAATGGTCTGCAACTAAAAATAAGATCACATTTACTTTCAATGATCAATGTATGCTGAACCATTTATTAATTTGTTGAATCCATCCTTCTCTACTTTGTATCTGTTGGGCTGTTCTGTTGCCCCTGACCCTCATGAAACATCAGCCTTGCTGGGCACAGTTACCTTCCCTTGTTCACTGCTTTTGTAAGCTGTACTGCTCTGTACTCTTTTGCTTTGTTGAAAGCAAGGCCGCAGGCTTCTTCCTGATTTTTTTTTTTTTTTTTACTCCTTACAGAAGAAGTGAGATCAGACTGTATGGGCAACTATGGAGAGGGGATACAACCCTGAGAATTAAGTACAACTTTGGCACCAATCCCTGTTCTTGTCCCCCATTTCTGATCAGGCATATGCCTTGACTAGATCTATGTGTCAGGGGCAGCTCCTCAATTCCCACAAAACCATTCAGGTGTGTCCTTTATTGGAAGACAAAAATCAACCACTTTCTAGCCCAAGAGAAAGGAAGCATCTCTTCCTTTCTATGTCCATCTAATGTCGGCTGTCCAATCCTGTGAGCCTGAGATTTATTTAGTGGATAGGTGATCAACAGCGGAAGCATGTTCCCTTCAGGGAAAAGACCATTCCCACCTGTTGCTCTTATGATCCCAAGAGCAAGGTCACAAAATTTCATCTCATCCATCCAACTACTGAAATTACTATAAAGTTTGGTTCTGATATGATTCTTAATTTCTCCTCATAAGAGACTGTAGAAACATGGTCAAACATGGGTAAGAAATTGTCTCTTTGTATGTAATAGATAAGAGCTTGGGTTCCCAAGTCAGAATTTAAGATGTGGTACTGTCACTTACTGGACTATGTGACCTTGGTAAATTAAGTTGATCAACCCTTCTAAGACACAGGTTCATCATCTACAAAATGAGATAAATAATAATAATATCTACATTCAACATTACTGTGAGGATAGAAAGATAAGATTGTAGAGTTGCAACACAGTGCCTGTCATGTCATAAGCAATAAATAGTAGTGATTATTATTACTATTATTATATATAATTTTGGTTCTTCCTTTTCTGTATTATTTTATGTGTTTCACATTGTTCTGCATTATTATTTTACTAATATCAAAGCTTTCATATCATAACAAACAATTTTTAGTCTTTTCTGCCTCTACAATTATTCTAATACCAATTATTTTCCTTTTTTTCTAATACATGTTTTCTGAAAATTTCTGGCTTTGTTACCTAGGAAAGCATCTGATGTTAAGTATTAAAACCTGATAGACTTTTTTTAAATTGTGACTGGATTTCAAATTGTTACTTCTTCTGGATATTTGAAGTTGAAGGCTTTTCTCTGTCAAAGTATAAGGTGTCTCTTACTCTTGCAACATAATTTCAGAAATTAATAAGCATTTTATAATTAATGTAGTTTATCTTCATATTTTTCTTTCATTCATTCTACACAGCTTAATTTATAGGTTTTGTAGAGGGTAATGCCTCTAGATGCTGCTAGTAAGTAAGTCATGTTTCCTATCTTTAAACAATTGTAATTTTTGGCCAGGTGGGTTGGCTCATGTCTGTAATCCCAGCACTTCTGGAGGCCGAGGCGGGCGGATCACTTTGAGGTCAGAAGTTCAAGACAGCCTGGTCAACATGGTGAAACTCTGTCTCTACTAAAAATACAAAAATTAGCTGGGTGTGGTGGTGTGCACCTGTAGTCCCAACTACTCAGGAAACTGAGGCAGGAGAATCACTTGAATCCGGGAGGTGGAGGTTGCAGTGAGCCGAGATCATGCCACTGCACTCTAGCCTGGGTGACAGAGTGAGACCCTGTTTCAAAAAAAAAAAAAAAATTATAATTTTCTACAGAAGACAGACATGCAAAAGATAATAGAAATACAATCTTGTAAGTGCAATAATAAAAGTCATGTTTGATTTAGGCACACTTAGCAGCACAGTGTAGGGAGTGGTAATAGTGTAGCAGGCAGCAGAGGTGGAAGAGTAATAGAAAACTTCAAAGAGAAGGTCATGTTTACACTAGATCTTGGCAGAGACACTCTGTATACCAATAAAGAGAGGGAAGTCATTCCATTTAGAAAGAGTGTGTGTGTGCATTTATATACGTATACATACATATTACATGTATGTATGTGATGTGTGTGCACTTATATACATATACATTATATGTATATATGTGATGTGTGTTTCTGTGTGTATGCATGCATGAAGGCATAGGAGCAGGAAACAATATGATGGATCTTTCAGGAAATTGGAGGGAGATGATAATAGAGAGGAAGACGTATCATGGAGAATTTATTCTATCTGATGACAGAGATTGGACCCTGCTCTGTAAACAATGAAGGATGATGTTTTACGTATGGTTGTCACATTATCTTCTTTGTATTTTGGGGACAGTCAGTCTGGAAGCAGTTTGAGGGATGGCTTAGAGTGAAACTGGATGTGGTTTGACCTGTAAGGAGACCTTTGTAACAACCTAGGGAAGAAATGCAAAAAGCCTGAAATAGGTTAGTGGTCATGAGGATGAAAAAGGATGGGGCAAACATGAACATATTTTGAGAAGGAATTGATAGGACTTAGTTACCTAGTAAATATGGGTGAAGAGTAGCAACTCTTAATTAATGATTTTGGAAGAAGGATGATGATTTTAATCTGGGGCTGACGAGTTGGAGATTCCTGTAGGATATACAGATAGCAATGTGGCTTATATGTATGGAACTCAGTAGAGAAGTTTGGATTAGAGATACAAATCTTGAGAACTATGATCAGGAAATGTAGAATTATAATAGAAGACCAGGAGGAACACTCTGCAGAACACCAACACTCTCCAGGGAAAAGGAGGACAAAGACCATCAGAGACTGTGAAGCCATTGAATAGACAAAATAAAGCTCAGGTGAAAAACCCCAGAAGCATAGCATCATCAAAACATTCAAGGAGGAAGTAGTCTCCTAATAGCACCAGAAACTCTGAAAAACTTATCCTTGGAAGGAAAGACACTACCAATCCCTACTCATTTTTTTCTTATTCTTTCACTTTGTTCTTCTGACTGTTCAAGCCTAACCTTGCACATTGTTGTTGAACAATAACTGACAAACGATATTAATGATGCTTGTAAAACTAGAGAACATAGAGTTTTCTCACAAATCAAAGAAATAAAATGGCATTCTCCTCTTCAACAAATAGAAGAAAAAGCCATAAGCTTTGTCATTTACTGTATCATGAAATCTTTCAATTTCTATTAAATCCAAGCACATCATCCTCATAAAAATAAAAAAGTAATTGAAAACTACCTCACTATGCCTCATATTTAGTACTATTCTCTCACTACATAATAAAATTTTTCATTTATCATCAGAAGTGATGTGCTGTGTTGCATTTAACTCTACACAGAAAATTTTTCTATTCTTGTTTACTTTTTACTACATTATCAAAATACAATTTAAGAATATTCAACAGAAAGAGAATTAAAATACTGCCTTTTAAAAGAAAAAATGGTCTACCCAATAAAAAATGTTTAACAAAAATTAAAAAGTATAGCAAGGAACATTTCTTACTTTGTTTTTATTACCATAATAAATACAACACCATTATTGTATCCTGGTGACACAATATTTGTTCTGACCAGTTTTCTGAGTAGAAAAGCATTAGTTATACATGAAACTTGAATCCTGACTCAAGTTTAAGTAATCCTGATTCAAGTATAACTTTGGACCTTACAACTCTGCTATATTTTTATTGTGGTTACATAAACCACAATAAAAGTCTGCCATATTTTTATTGTGATATAAAAATAAATAAATTTTTTAAACCGTGATATTTTTATTGCAGTTTTATTTACAAAGCAAGTCATCTTCACAGTTTGACAGTATTATATAATAAAGAAGAAAAATTTTCCATGGGAATGAACGTTGAAAATAAAAACGAATCCTCTTTCAAGTCTATAGAGATTAAAGATGGTTACATTTAGTTTTCATCCTCTTATCAAAAGAAGGAATTTATGTCCACTTGCTTTAAATCTGGGCAGAGTCTGTGTGACTGCTTGACCATTAGCATATAGCAGGATTGATGCTAGGCTGAAGCTCTGGGCCCAATTTGTAAAATACTGATAGTTTCAACTTCCTATTGGAATATTTGTTTCTGGAACCCAACTGCCATGTTGTGAGGAAGCTCAAGCAATCTCATGGGGAGGTCCACATGGAGAAACTCATGTGGAAAGGAGCCAAGGTACCCATCAGTATCTCTCTTTCTCTCTCTCACTCCAACTTGTAAAGATATAACAAGAGCACAGCCATCTGTCCAGGAAGAGGGCCTTTACCAAGAACACAGTTATGCTAGTACCCTGATCTCAGACTTCCAGCCTCCAGAATTGTGAGAAAGAAATGCTTGTTGTTTAGGTCACCTATTCTGTGGTATCTTTGTTAAAGCAGACACTAGCTATGTAAGTGAACTAACTTGCAAGTGGATTCTGTCCCAGGAAACTGCCTCAACTGATGCCATGGGAAAACAGAAACTCACCATCCCAACCCAACCTTTCCAAAATCGTAAATTTATGAGCAAAATAAATGATAACTATTTTGTTTAAAATTTTAAGTTGAGGGGTACACTTGCAGGTTTTTTACCTAGGTGAACTTGTGTCATGGGGGTTTGTCGTACACATTATTTCATCACCCAGGTGGTAAGCCTAGTAGTTATTAGTCATTTTTTCCTGATCCTCTCCCTCCTCCCTCCCTCCACCCTCCTATAGGTCCTAGCATGTGTTGTTCTCCTCTATGTGCCTATGTGTTCTCATATTTAGCTCCCACTTATGAGTGAGAACAAGTGGTATTTGGTTTTCTGTTCCTACATTAGTTTGCTGAGGATAATGGCCTCCAGCTCCATCCATGTCCCTGCAAAGGACATGATCTTGTTCTTTTTTATGGCTGCATAGTATTCTGTGGTGCATATGTACCACATTTTCTGTATCTAGTCTATCATTGATGGACATTTAGGTTGAGCCCATGTCTTTGCTATTGTGAATAGAGTTGTAATGAACATACACATGCATATATGTTTATAATAAAATGATTTATATTCCTTTGGGTATATAGCCAGCAATGGGATTCCTGGGTCGAATGGTATTTCTCTCTTTAGGTCTTCAAGGGATCACCACACTGTCTTCCACAATGGTTGAACTAATTTTCACCCCCACCAATGGTGAGTAAGCATTCCTTTTTCTCCACAACCTCACCAGTATATAGAAAACTGTGGTTTTAAGTTAGTAAGTTTTGGATGGTTTGTTATAGAATAATAGATGACTGAAGTATAATTTTAGAAATATTGCAATAAAGCCAGGCGTAGTAGCTCATGCCTGTAATCATGAGCTACCACACCTGGTGAGGGCAGGAGAATCACTTGAGCCCAGGAATTTGAGACAAGCCCTGGCACCATAACCCCATCTCTATAAAAAATTTAAGAATTTAGTTGTGTGTGGTGGCATGCACCTGTAGCCCCAGCTACTAGGGAGGATAAGTCAAGAGGATTGCTTGAGTCTGGGAGGTTAAAGCTGCAGCGAGCCCTGGTTCACCCTGGTTGCACTAGAGTGCTCCAACCTGGGCGACAGAGAGATACCCTGTCTCAGAGAAGAGAGAAAAAGGAGAAAATACAAAAATTATCCGGGCATGGTGGCGGGCACCTGTAATCCCAGTTATTCGGGAGGCTGAGGCAGATAATTGCTTGAACCTGGGAGGCGGAGGTTGCAGTGAGCCAAGATTGCACCACTGCACTCCAGCCTGGGTGACAGAGTGAGATTCTGTCTCAAAAAAAAAAAAAAAAAGAAAGAGGGAAAGAAAGAAAGAGAAAGAAAAAAGAAAGAGAAAGAATGAAAAAAGAAAAAGAGAAAGAAAGAGATAAAGAAACAAGGAAGAGGAAGAAAGAAAGAAACAGAGAGAAAGGCAGATTTATCACAGTATAAATAAAGAAGCCCTTAAATAAAACATTTGTATTGCAATTTCAATAGTCACATGATATAAAAACAAGGATTTTCTACTTTTTTAATGGTTAAAACAGTTTTATCATACTACACATAGTATATAAACATCCTACTTTAATGTTTGTTCTGAGTGAAGTGGAAAGTTGTATTCCAGGAAAATATGAGAAGTGTAAGAAATTAACACGTTAAATTCAAACAGAGAGTTACTCTGACAGGTATAATGTTTTCAAATACGCTAGCCATATTAATTTAATTCCACTGGCCATGAACTTTGCTATAACATTTCAGTAATAATTTCACATGTGTTACTTTTCATTCACTAGTTCCTAGCTGAAACAAACTGACTCAGCAAAATTTTAGGATCACAGATTTGGCAAAAGAATGACAAAGACATTAAACAAGGCTTCACCTTGGCTAGACACAGTGGCTCACACCTGTAATTCTAGCACTTTGGGATGACAAGGCTGGTGTATTACTTGAGCTCAAAAGATCAAGACTAGTCTGGGCAACATGGCAATACCTCATCTCTACAAAAAATTAGCCGGGCTTGGTGGCACATACCTATAGTCCCACCTACTGGGGAGGCTGAGATAGAAGGCTCACCTAAGCCTGGGAGGTCGAGGCTGTAGTGAGCTTTGATGGAGATACTGCACTCCATCCTGGGCTACAGAGCGAAACCCTGTCTCAAAACCAAAAAAACTAAACAATGGAAAAACAAAAAAACTTTACCTTAATCAATCACTATTTCTATCTGTAGAATGCTTATTGTTTCTTGGCCACTAAAATAAGATTAATATACCTTTGTGGGACTAAACTTTGACCATGGCTGACAAATAGAAAATATCTTAATAATTGTATGTAAAGCAATAATTTTAAGGTTCCATTATCAATGCAAACATAATTGCTTATTTAGACTGGAGTCTTGGGAGATAGTGAAGAGGCATTCTGTGTGATGGTTACTACATTATGGCAATCCTCTTCTCATTCATCATCTATTGCTCTAGGCATGGGTATGTGAACCATGTCTAGCCAAAAAGACCTGGGGAAGTTAGCTGGAGACATTTGGAAAAGATTTCCTCCTATGTAACAGAGAGAGGCCCTTGAAGAGAGTACCTCATTTCATCATAATTTTATTATACATATATATGAAGATGTGTCATACATGATTCTAGAGAAAGTCCGCTAGTCTTCCCTCGATCACAAAATTGGGAGGGGGAATGATGGAAAGAACCTGTGTCCTTTATGACATTGTTAAATCACTTCCCTTATTCTTCAACTGCCTGCCTCCAGACTTCTTTTTGAGTGAAATAACTAATGTCTCACTATTGTTTAACCAAGTTGTAATAGAGTATTTTGATACTTATAGCCAGAAGCAATTATAATTGATTCAATAGCGCTATAAACTGCCTACACAATGCCTGAAAAAATAGCACATGTTTAAATACTTTGGTTATTATTTCTGTAAGTAAAATATAAGGTAAAATATAAACACTAATATGTCAAAATCATTGATTCTGCTAGCTGCTCATAATCCTTCCCTACTCTGATCACTCAAAATACTTTGTCCTTTTTTTGACAATGATCTTACATGCTTTACCTTTCGATCATTTGTGAACATGATTTATATTGCCTTATAAATTATAATCTCTTTTGTGCCTTCTATACAGTATGTACTCAATAACTATTTGTTAACTGAATTAATGATTAAGTCATTGTATTTATTTATTTATTTACTTTTTTATTTTTTATTTTTTTTGAGATGGAGTCTCGCTCTGTCACCTAGGCTGGAGTGCCGTGGTGTGACAGCTCACCGCAGCCTCCACCTCCTGGGTTCAACGATTCTCCTGCCTCATCCTCTTGAGTAGCAGGGATTACAGGTGCCCACCACCACTCCTGGCTAATTTTTATAATTTTAGCAGAAACAGCATTTCACCGTGTTGGCCAGGTTAGTTTCAAACTCCTGACTGCAAGTGATCTGCCCACCTCAGCCTCCCAAAGTGCTGGGATTACAGGGGTAAGCCACCACGCCCAGCCGTAAGTCAATGTATTTAATTGCATTGTTAGCCAGGTGTGGTGGCTCATACCTGTAATCCCAGTGATTTGGGAGGCTGAGGCAGGAGGATCGCTTGTGGCCAGAAGTTCAAGACCAGCCTGGGAAACTTAGTGAGACCCCCCCATCTCTAAGAAATAAAAATACTTACCCAAGGGTGGTGGTGCACCTGCAGTCCCAGCTACTCAGGAGGCTGAGGTGAGAGAATCTCTTGAGCGTGGGAGTTCGAGGCTGCAGTGAGCTATGATTGGACCACTGCACGCCAGCCTGGGTGATAGAGCAAGACCCTTTATCTGAAAAAAAAATAAACACATATATTACAGAAGTGTGCAAAAAGCAGACATCATAATTTCCAAGGACTGTACCCTTGTTTTGTGTGTGTGTGTTTGTGTATGTATGTGTAAAATTTAACAGATTTACATAATAATTAATGAGTTTGCTGGTAGTTGTCTTTCTTTTTTCACTTTTAGATGCTACCATTGAATTTAATTATGATGCTGTCTTCAACATGGAAGTTACATAAGAAAATCTGAAGCCATTGTGTATTTCAGCTAGGCTTCTTCTTAGGAAATAGAGGTCAGCCTAGTGCAGTGAAGTCTGATTGGAGGTGGACAATGAGGATCCTGCCAAGGTGCTGTCCTTAGCTTCTGTTCAGCCTAATGTAAGTTCATTCCTTTTGATTACAGTCATTTCAATGACTTTTTTTGCCCATAAAATTATGACCACATAATTCTTATAGACTCTTCTAGCTTTTCAATGTTGGGGAAGAAAGCTCGCCTAATAAGCAACTTTTCAACCTCAGAAGCTTAAGTATTATGAAGCAATAAGACCCAAGATTTGATGAAAGAAAAGCCAGAATTTAGTATGGCTGAAGATAGGTGGGGATACAGACCATGGCAGGTAGGCCCTGGATGAGGGAGGGAGTGTCCACTGTAGAAGCTTCTGAGGTTGGTTGGAAGGATAAGTCAAAGGGTTTGGGCACTAAAAGTTAGTTATTAAGTGGAAAGGAAAGATGTACTGAAAATCTACTCTATTTTAAAGTTTTGCCTGGGACCAGCCATGATAGAGGAAAATGGGAAAGAAAGTGTTTGTATGGTTTATGTTTGTTTTTCATGTTATTCAAAGAGCCCATCTTTGGAACTAAATAATTTGCAACTTTCTACCCATGTAAATTTGTATTAATTACTTCTCTCTTTCCCAGAGTTTCTGTTTCCTCAAAAGTAAAATGGCAATAATAATGTCTACTGCACAGAGTTCTTGAGATCACATGACATAGCATATAATCTATGCTTAGCACAGTGCCTGGGACATGAAATCCCTGCCAAGCAAATGTTAGAGTTATTTAATAAATGGTAAATGAGTGTCTGCCAGGTTCTCTGCTTTAGGCACTGGTAATACAAAGGTGAACAAGATTCGGGCTGCATTCTAAAGTATGAATGAATAAAAAAGTGTGCTTATTAGAAATGACTGACCAAATTTAGAATCTAAAGAAATATTCAAAGCAGATTCTTGGTGTTCAGAAACTCAGGTATAATGTAAAATGAAGACACATACAAACGGTTGGGAAATATTTATAAGGGAAAATACATATTGAACTTTAGTACACAATAGGTTTGTTCTGTTCAACTTAAAATTTGCCTTTCAAACATTTGCATTTCTGGATCATAGTGGAAATGGGAATATGATCTGCTAGAAGACTTTGTAAAGAATGAAAGGGAAAAGCTGAGTATCTGGAAAAGTCGAGGAGTTAAAAACATAAATGGAATGAAAACATAGAGGTTTTAAATTCAAACAGGGTTAGGATAAAGATCACAAAGTGAAATCACGAGGTATAGTGAGGCAGAAAGAAGAAATATTGTATTGTTTGGCAGTTGATTATAAAAAAATAAAAATCATCTCTTTAAATTATGTAAACATTAAATGAACAAAAAACAATGACAACAAAAGGGTGGCTAGAGCTTAACTAGGAAGAAATAGCTAAAGTAGATGCTACAGAAGTGCTGAAAGTGAGATACTGTAAAATACTTTGCATGCTATACAGGAGTCATTAAAGGGAAGAGGTTTAAATATGTGCTGGGCATGCTTATATCCTACCAGGGTGTCATTTAAGTTAAGTCAATGAAAAAGCTGAGAAAATAACAGGAGCATAGATGGTCTACCACCAGTAGTTATTTACACTAAGAGGATTGGGAATGTTTTCCTGTTTGCACTATATTCCTTTCCAAGAGCCTATGTGTATACATGTCTGTATGCCTGCTTTAGAAAGAAAAAGAATCTATTTTACACCATTAGTCCAAGGCCATGTCTAAAATGTTTTGGTAATATGGATTAGTTAAGATAAATATTATTGTTTTCATTTATGTCACAGACCTATGTGTTTTCTTAGCAAATCAATTTTTGAGGCAGAGCAGATCAGAAAGGAAGCAGTTGTTTAGAGTTTCAAAACATCTGGAAAGTTATTCTGGCAATAGAGTCAAATCCACTAGCAAAACAGATGTTTTCCACTGTGGCGGGAAAATGCAACTTTCTTATATGTGTTGCATATGGTCCAAATCCATTTCAGAAATAACACCCCACCTCTTAAAGGGCCTTGGGACCACAGTGCTCTCATGGATTCTGCCAATGTAAGCATGGTGTGTTCGAAAGGCAATATTTTATAATAATCTTTCAATCTTGTGTTTTATGAAACAAAAGAAAAAATTTAAAAAGTCTAGGTTGCCTCTCCAAGCCCTCAGTTGAAAAGTTAAAGTTGGGTTAAAGCCAGTTGGTAACCTTTGGAAGGACTTCTGGGAGCTAGGAGTGAGGAAGGACAGGAGGTCAGGAGAGAGAACTGCAGCCTCAGAGTTCTTCTGGCTTTTTCTCCCAGAAAAAGCAAAGAGAAGCTTCTTCCTACTAAACATTTGGAAAGAGTATCAGAAACTCTTGGAGACAAGACTTGTCAAAAACTCAGAAACTGTTGTGACCAGGAATAGAGGAAATTGATTCCTTCAAAAACTCATTTAGGGAAAATGTTTCCTTTTACAGAAGACTTTCACATTCTCACATACAGAAGAATTTTAACTATTAGATGGTATAAAGCACATATTCTAGTTTTTTTTTAGCCCTTGTAAAAATAGAAGTAAAATTTTAATAAAAAGCATTTGCATCGGTCATTTGCCAATTAATTGTTTTAAGCTAAAATGTTCCGTATCCTAAAAATTGAAGACTTTCCAATGGAAAATTTTCATGGTTTAAAAATTAGGTTTTCAGCATTCTTGATTAAGAAAAAAATAAAAATAAGGAGAAATAGCCAGGCGCAGTGGCTCACGCCTGTAATCCCAGCACTTTGGGAGGCCGAGGTGGGCGGATCACGAGGTCAGGAGATCGAGACCATCCTGGCTAACACGGTGAAACTCCATCTCTACTAAAAATACAAAATATTAGCCGGGCATGGTGGTGGGCGCCTGTAGTCCCAGCTACTCGGGAGGCTGAGGCAGGAGAATGGTGTGAACCCGGGAGGCGGAGCTTGCAGTGAGCGGAGATCGCGCCACTGCACTCCAGCCTGGGCGACAGAGCGAGACTCCATCTCAAAAAAAAAAAAAAAAAAAAAGGAGAAATAGAAAAACGAATGGCTTTTTAATTGTATTAAATAATGTAAAAATATGTTTTGCCAAGAGTAAGATGGAGGAAAGTATACTTGATTAAGCTAATTACATGGTTTGGAATCATCAGGGTGGTCAATATTTGAAAATGTTGCTCAATTATATAGAGAAGTACTTAGTTTGTCCCAGAGGCTGAGTATTCTAAAATATTTTATAGTTTTAAAAGCCTGTTCTGTAAAGATAAAGGATGCAAATCATTATTTAGATTTAGAGATATTGAGATTTCTGCTATTATTTCTAGAGAAGGATTGCCTGCTGTCACAAAATGTTTTAGATCTCTTTATAATGAGGTTCCACTGTGGTGTAGGCTACAGTACTGACAGAGATTATTTGTGCTCTGTTCATCTCAGCTTGGTACATATGCCTGCCAAAATACGGTAACTACAATTATGAATGCTGGGATTTGGATTTACATGTGTCAGGGAAAATGTGAATTAAGTCAATTATTGATACTAGGCAGCCACATTTCATTTCCAACTTATTAACATTATAACCTGATCCACTTATGATATCATCACCATCTCTGTTTACTCTCATTCTTGTCTGAAGCTAGCTCATCAGGAATTTCAGAGAGAACACCTTTGAGCCTGAAACTCTTTAATTATCACCTGGTTCCAGGGAACTGTGAGCTAGAAAGATACCATACTTTAGAGAAAAACATAAAGATCTCTCTATGAAGATTATTTGCATTTGTCTGAGAGATAATGCTATTCATCCATTGTATGGAGGAGTGCCCAGAATAGAAATGAGCAAGGAGCAAAGATTTGCTAAGTGAATAGCTCTCTAATTCCTTTTGAGACCTGTCTTCCAGGTGTAATGTTACTTTGTCTGAAGTATAGTGAATTTCCAAAACTGGGGATATACCAATTTTGGTAGGTGCCAAAACACATCTGAAAGCTGGAAAAAATGAGTTCTATATTTTTTGCAGCCGTCTCTCCCCTTCTTATAGCCCTACTAGGGGATAATTGAAAACTGAGGTAAGGATAGGAAAAGGAGTAACTGGAGATAGGAAAGTGCAAAAAGTATGAAAAAAATAGGAATACGTATAATTGAAGCAGGTGTGCTGAGAAAGGGCTTTGTGCAGTGATGTAGAGATAAAATGAGGCTCTGGGGTAATTTCTGGGATTGACATGCATACACTGCTATTAGTCTATCTAGTTACTAGTCTATCCTTCTCTCTTGCTCATAGGAAGAGAAGGAGAAAAGAAAAAGTTTAGCATAAGTGAAAGATACCAGGTTCGGAGAAAGCTGAAGTGTTTCAAGGGATATTTAGTAGACAGAAAATTGCAGAAAACACTTACACGAGTGATTACATTAGTTTAAGATGTATTGTGAAAGAAACATGGCTTTTTTTTTATAACCGCCTGCACTTACTTTTTTTTCTTTGTGTGGAAAGAGGGGCAGAGAACAGAAAGGAAAAGGCAATGGAGAAAAAGAATATGAACCCAAGATAACCTTGACTCTTTCTTTCCTAACCTTAGACAGGAAAGCAGAAACATGTCATTAGGCCAAATCTAAAGACAATAAAAACTTTAGATTTCTCTTTAGGCCAAGAAATGTCACAGACCAGCTTGGGAAAACATTAAAAGCTCATGAATTAAAACGATATTAGAATAAATAGGTCTTTGGGTTTCTATTTAAATACCTCATTAAAAGTGTAGTAAATGATTTTTTCCAACTAATTTTATCAAGTAAAATCTTCCATCTGGCTTCACTGAGAAAGAATTTCAAAGTTGTGGAATAGTAGACTCAAAGCTGGAAGGAATCTGTCTTTTTATCCAACCCCCTCGTTTTCCTTGAGCAAATTCTACAGTGTAATGTAAACAGAATCTATCGAGCCCACATGCTCCAGACTTGCTCATTAAAAACACAAAACAGCTTCTGTCACTCCTATGTTCCCTTCCAGCTACTAGTCTATCCTCTCTTCCTAGCTAAGCTCCTTGCAACAGCAGTTTACCTTTGCTCTCTCCACTTCTTCACCTTCCTTTCAGCTTCCCAGGCCACAAAGCTGCCACTCCATTGAAATTGCCCACACTTAAATTCCCTCAGAAAGCACACTCTCCCATCTGTGCAAATAAATGTTGGCTTTGAAGCAGGACAGTTGGGTTTCAATCTTGCCTCTCTCATTGATTTCCTGTGTCACCTTAGGCAACTTCACCTCTCTGTGCCTCATTTTCTCATCTGTAAAGTGGGGATAATAATAATCCTTACTTTACAGGGTCTTCATAAGAATTGACTAAATTAAGCTATGTAACCTGGTCAAAACGGTGTCTGGCATGTTACTAAAATACATTTCGGACTGGGTGTGGTGGCTCACACCTGTAATCCCAGCACTTTGAGATGCTGAGGCAAGAGGATCTCTTGAGCCCAAGAGTTTGAGCTTGCAGTGAACTATCATCCTGCCACTGCACTCCAGCCTGGGTGACAGAGGAAGAGCCTGTCTCAAAAAATAAATAAAAAAGGCTGGGCACAGTGGCTTATGCCTGTAATCCCAGCACTTTGGGAGGCCGAGGCGGGTGGATCACCTGAGGTCAGGAGTTCGAGACCAGCCTGGACAACATGGAGAAAACCCGTCTCTACTAAAAATACAAAATATTAGCCAGGCATGGTGGTGCATGCCTGTAATTCTGGCTACTCAGGAGGCTGAGGCAGGAGAATGGCTTGAATCCAGGAGGCGGAAGTTGTGGTGAGCTGAGATCACGCCATTGTACTCCAGCCTGGGCAACAAGAACAAAACTCTGTCTCAAACAAACAAACAAACAAAAAATTAAAACAAACAAAAATAAATAAAATGAAATAAATTGTATTTTGAATACTTAGCTTTCACTATGTTTCTTGCTACATTTGTAGTTTTACTGTTAACCAGTTCACTCCTTCCAAGCTCCCTTCCATCCCTCCCTCTTCCCTGCTTTACTTGGTTCAGTTTTCCTATGTATTTGAGTCTCTCCTGTGGGCCAGGGCACTGGGACTAGTGAGCTAGACAGCACACTGCATGTTTTCATGGGGCTTGAACCCACAGTTTTCATCTCATCACCCTAGTAGCTGCTGCTTCTCAGTTTTCTGTGGAGGCTCCTTTTCTTCTTTCTGCCTCTTGATTTCTTAAATGGTCCTTACATTTTGTCTTCTTATTCCAGTAGAACATTCTGAAGATGAAGACATCCATGCTATACCAAATCTGTCTTCTGTCTTGACTATACTCGTAGGCCTACACTTTACGCTACATATTCGTTGTCTTCACCTGTTAAAAAGGCACTTCAATCCCAAGATCTCCAACATGGAATGGATTACCTCCCCACTGTAGTCCCCTTGCCTGGTTTTACTCAGTAGCCGATGGCACTGCCACCCATCTGGACACCCATATCAGAATCCTCTTTCCTCTTTGACTCCTCCACATCAATCATATGACAATCTGGCTTGCTTCTCAGATGTAATCTCTCTTCTCTACTCTCATGTTTTTAGTTCAGGCCTTCATTATTTTTCTATTTCTTCATGGTTCAATCTTGGTAGGTATTATATGTCCAGGAATTTATTCATTTCTTTTAGGTTTTGCAACTTGTTGGCAAATAGTTGCTCATAATCATCTCTAATTCTTTGCATTTCTGTGGTCTTAGTTGTTATGTCTCCTTGTTTATTTCTGATTTTATTTATTTGGTCTTCTCTCTTTTTTTCTTTTTCTTTTTTCTTTTCTTTTTTGAGACTGAGTCTTGCTCTGTCGCCAGGCTGGAGTGCAGTGGCATGATCTTGGCTCCCTGCAACCTCTGCCTCCCAGGTTCAAGCAATTCCCCTGCCTCAGCCTCCTGAGCAGCTGGGACTACAGGTACGCTCCAACATGCCCAGCTAATTTTTTGTATTTTTTGTAAAGATGGGGTTTCACCGTGTTGGCCAGGATGGTCTCGATCTCCAGACCTTGTGATTTGCCTGCCTTGGCCTCCCAAAGTGCTGGGATTACAGGTGTGAGCTACCGCGCCTTGCCCTTTTTTCTTAGTCTAGACAAAAGTTTGTTGATTTTGTTTATCTTTTCAAAACATCATCTTTCTGTTTTATTGATTTTCTGTATTTTTTTGGTCTCAATTTCATTTATTTCTGCTCTGACCTTTATATTTCTTTCCTTCTACTAATTTTGGTTTGGTTTGTTCTTGCTTTTCTAGTTCCTTGAGGTGTATATTTAGATTGTTTATTTGAAGTCTTTCTACATTTTTGATATAGGCATTTATTGCAATAAATTTCCCTTTTACTGCTGCTTTTGCTGTATCCTATAGATTTTGGTATGTTGTATTTCCATTTTCATTTCTTTCAAGAAACTTTTAAATTTCCCCCTTAATTTCTTCACTGACCCACTGGTCATTCAGGAGAATGTTGTTTGATTTTCACGTGTCTGTGTATTCCCTGAGGTTTCTCTTTTTATTGATTTCTAGTTTTATTTCATTGTGGTCAGAAAAGATACTTGATATGATTTCTACTTGTTTGAATTAGTTGAAACTTGTTTTCTGGCATGAGATATGGTCTATTCTGGAGAATGTTCCATGTGCTGATGAAAAGTATGTGTATTCTGCAGCAGTTGGATGAAATGCTCTGTAAATATCAATTAGGCCTATTTGGTCTTGGGTGTAGTTTAACTCTGTTGATTTTCTGTGTGAATAATCCATCCATTACTGAGAATGGAGAGTAAAATCCCTTACTTTTATTGTATTGCAGTCTATATCTCCTTTTTCATCTATTAATGTTTGCTTTATATACTTGGGAGCTCTGGCGTTGGGTGCACTGATATATAAGTGTTATAAAATTGTTATATCCTCTTGCTGAAATGACCCCTTTATTTGTTTTTTGTTCCTGGAACACCAATAATTCCTGGATTTGGTCTGTTGAGGTAATTTTCTGTATCCTGTGGGTGATCTTTGTTCCTTTTCACTATGTTTTCTTCTTAATTCTTTGACTGTGTACTTTCACATAGCCTGTCTTTAATGAGGGAGGTCTGAAAAAGGATATCCTATTAATATGGAAAGGATTGTTAGGGGTTTGTGCCTAGGGGGACCAACCTGTGGAATGTACCTCCTGCTGCATGGTGCTGCTGATTGGACACTCTGATTTGGTGTTTCCTTTTTTTTTTTTTTTTTTTGAGACAAAGTCTCACTCTGTTGCCCAGGCTGGAGTGCAGTGGTGCAATCTTGGCTCACTGCAAGCTCCGCCTCCTGGGTTCACGCCATTCTCCTGCCTCAGCCTCCTGAGTAGCTAGGACTACAGGCACATGCCACCACGCCCCGCTAATTTTTTTTTTTTTTTTTGTATTTTTAGTAGAGATGGGGTTTCGCCACGTTAGCCAGGATGGTCTTGATCTCCTGACCTCGTGATCCGCCTGCCTCGGCCTCCCAAAGTGCTGGGATTACAGGCATGAGCCACTGCACCCAGCCTTGGCATTTTCTTTTGCCAAGTTACAGAGCAGAGTGTCCAGGGCTGGGGATGGTAGTTCCACTTCCCTTCCTTGTGTCTGGCAGCCCTCAGGGATATTTCTACCTACAGCACCTGGTATGCTTCCTGTGGTTTGAGGCAGGGACAGGTTTCCAGCTAGGGAACCCAAGATGATAGAGAAGCTTGTTGCCCACCTTTATCTCACTTTTCCCGTGTAGAAACCATGAGTAAGGGAAGTTTTCCACACTTTTGGTGCCAGGAAGGAGGAAGCATGTGCTGGATATGGAAGTCTGATTTTCTTACTCTCTGCTCAAAGTTGTTTCACTTTTCTGTGGTCTCGGGAACTATCTCCTCCTCATATTTGAGTTCTGTATATTGCTAGTGATAATCTCAGCACTATATATTTGTTTTTGTTTTTCTGTGGGGTTGTTGAGGGGAAGGGGCTAAGGCCATTTTGGAGCCTGATTTTTCTCTTTATAGAAGACTAGCCTTTGAGATTTCTCTACTTCCTACCTTCCATTCCATCAATCTATCCTACACACTTTCTTTTTTCCCCCTCCAGACAGTTTTAGTGAATGGTAGTACTGTACCACAAGGTATACCAGTTCAGTGTGAGAATTTTCTAATAAATCTTTTCTAATACCTAAAACCGCTTCCTTTTATATCATCCAAATGTCCAAAATCTTTTCTAATACCTAAAACCGCTTCCTTTTATATCATCCAAAGGTCCATCCCAAGCTGAGCGAAGAGAAGCCTGGGTCCTAAGTTTCTTGGACGACGTTTCCAAGACAATGTGCTCTCTCTTTACAAGGAGAGGGGGACAGAGGGAGAGCAAATTTTAGCCTCAAAGAAAGAAGGATTACCAGGCAATAAATATGCTGCTCCATCCTTCTCATGAGGCCTGCCGGCCCTTAAAAAGGAACTACATCCTTAACCCACAGCTATTTTTTGAAGTGGCAGTGGCTCACAGTATTTCTTGCAGTGGAGGGCCCTGAGCTCCTTCTGGAATCTCTACCGCCAGCAGTAGTGGGCCAGGGCATGGTTGGCCTTGACCATCTTGTGCATGTCATGCTTCCTCTTGATCACGGGGCCCTGGTTGCAAAAAGCCTCCAGCAGCCCATGCGACAGCTTCTCTGGCTGGCATCAGCATCCCCTGGTGCCACTTAGTGATCATCCACTTTATGGCCAGGAAGTGGTGATATTGGTAGGGTGAGGATCCAGGGATCCAGGAGAAATGGCCTCCCTTGAGGATGGGTATCAGCCCAATCACAGGCTCATAGTTTTTCACTGCCTAGTTGAAGACGGTGTAGGGCAGGAGTTCCCAACCCCCAGGCCATGGACCCGTGGTAAGGTTCATGGCCTGTTAGAAACCAGGCCACACAGCAGGAGGTGAGTGGCGAGCAAGCAAGGTGAGAAAGCCAGCATTACCGTCTGAGCTTCACCTCCTGTCAGATCAGCAGCAACTTTAGATTCTCATAGAAGCACGAACCCTATTGTAAACTGCACATTCGGGGATCTAGGTTGCATACTCCTTATGAGAATCCAGTGCCTGATGAAATCATCAATCCCTTCCACCCCTCTCCCATCAACCCCCTCTCCCCTGTCGGTGGGAACCAGTTTCTGGTGCCAAAACGGTTGGGGACCTCTGGTATAGGGGTTGTGTTCAATGGTTGCCTGTTCCCCTGCAGAAGCATCATGGTACTTCTCATAGCTTCCAGAACCTGAGTCATGAAGGATCTGGCTAGTACTTTGTTTTCTCCCTTCATCATCATGTTGGTGAATTTACTGATTGTGGGGTCTTCAAACACAGAGCTCGTTGTCATTGTTGGAGCAGCTTTGATGAGCTGAGTCTCCTTGAGTTCCTGATCATTCTTCTCCTCCTCAGTTACTTCAGCCACTGGCTTGCCATAATGTTCCTTGTCAATCAAGGGATCTCTGAATTCAGGACCCTAGCAGCTCCACCTCACCTGAGTTAGCCCTAGAAGCTGCAAGACAGTCTGCCGCAAATCCAGCACAGGCCTGCCCCCTTACACGCTTTCTTTTTCTTTTTTTGAGACCAAGTCTCACTCTGTCACCCAGGCTGGAATGCAGTGATGCGATCTTGGCTCACTGCAAGCTCCGCCTCCTGGCTTCCTGCCATTCTCCTGCCTCAGCCTCCCGAGTAGCTGGGACTACAGGCACCTGCCACCACGCCTGGCTAATTTCTTGTATTTTTAGTAGAGACAGGGTTTCACCATGTTAGCCAGGATGATCTTGATCTCCTGACCTCATGATCCTCCTGCCTCGGCCTCCCAAAGTGCTGGGATTACAGGTGTGAGCCACCATGCCCAGCCCCCTTACACACTTTCTAAAGCACAACTCTGTTTATTAATTCAACCATTTATTCACTCATTCACTCATTTATTTAATAACATGGAATATAAACACACTGTGTGCCAGGAACAGATTATTTTATTTCCCTCTTTAAGTTCCTTTAACAGTGCCTTGACTCCTTGTTATTTGTGTCTATGTACATTCTGTGTTCCTGCCTCCACCTCCTGCCCATTCCCTTGATAAACTGCTACATGTTCTTCATAACTCAGCTCAAATTTCTCCTTATTCATTCATTAAACTCTGCCCAGCACTGGGGATATATAGCAATAAACAAAACTGACAGATATCCCTGCTCTCACAGAATTTACATGAGGGAAACAGACAATAAATAATTGAACGAGATCTTCAGATTGTGATAGGTGCTGTGATAAAAAAGCAATGTAATGCAATAGGGAGAGAGAGAGTGAGTGAGTGTGTGTGTGTGTGTGTGTGTGTATGGGTTTAGGCAGGGTAGGAGTATAGTTTAAATAGGGTGGTTCGTCAGAGAAATCTTTTCTGATGAGGTAGCACTTGAGCTGAGAACTGAATGAAGTGAGTGAGCCATGTAGCAATCTGGAAGAAGAGTGCTCTAGGGCAAGGGAAGAGCAAGTGCTAAGGCGCTGTGGCGAATGCATGTCAGAGCGCTGGAGGAGCAGCATGGAAGTTGGAAGCCATTCAGTGAAAGGAAGCACAGCAAGTCTCTGTGATGTCACTGCTGGTTTTGCACAGCAGCGTCAGGCACTCATTTCCCTGTGCTCAGGTAGCACCTGGTATTAAATTGTACTGGTATGACATGGTATATGGTTGTCATTATTTGTTTATGCTTGTCTAATTGCTAACAACACTGCATGCCCTGAAGGGTGGGGACCATTTTGTACTTTTTTTTTTTTTGTATCCCCAGGGCCCATCCCTGTGCTTGGCAGGTACTTGGACCTTTGCTAAATGGGTGAGTCAGAGGCCCTCAAGATGCTTTCTTATGCTTGAGTCACCTGATTGGGTTTCTTTGTTCTTACTTCTCCTGGTACTCTTCTGGAGTAGGGCTTTCATTACCTCTCTCTCTTAACACTTGATACTGATGTTCGACCAGCTTTGGCTACTTCCCTCAGGGAACCTTGAGTCTTGGACATTCCTGTGTTGATTTCTATTTGTGACCCTCTACTCCTCCTCAGATTTTTTTTTCTTTCTTTTTTTTTTTTTTTTTTTGAGACGGAGTCTCCCACTGTCTCCCAGGCTGGAGTGCAGTGGCACGATCTCGGCTCACTGCAAGCTCCGCCTCCCGGGTTCACGACGTTCTCCTGCCTCAGCCTCCCGAGTAGCTGGGACTACAGGCGCCCACCACCACGCCCAGCTAATTTTTTGTATTTTTTTAGTAGAGACGGGGTTTCACCGTGTTAGCCAGGATGGTCTCCATCTCCTGACCTCGTGATCCGCCCGCCTCGGCCTCCCAAAGTGCTGGGGTTACAGGCATGAGCCACTGCGCCCGGCCTCCTCAGATTTCTTATGTGTTGCAGGGATAAGTATGGCCTGTGTGGGCATTGCCGCTGAAGGGCTCTACATGTTGGAGCTGTGGAAAGGCTCACACTGACAGCAGTAATAAAGGAAGATAAATGCAGAAGGCAGGGGCAGAATATGGAAGGACTTGCAAGTTGAGCGATAATAAAAATATTGGCAATTGACTGTTATTGTTTACAAAAGTCATGCTGAGATTCTACTTTTAATATTTTACAAATACTTCACTATTTATCGTCATAATCTTTTTTGTGCTAGAGTGAATAAGTTTTAAACTTTAGCTTATTTTTCGATGACCAAAATGTCATATATATATATTATAATAATATGGTTTTATAAGATGTCAGATCCTGAAAATAGATGACATCTATAAAATGAGACAATGTATCTCTCTCTTTTTTTCTCAGAGTGGGGAGTGTTGGGTTTTTTTTAAAGATAAGTATCTCAAAAATTGCAAATACAGGTGCGAATCACTAGCAAACAAAAAAGCCTCTAAATGGTTGAAATAGCTTTTATCATGAATATGAGCAAAGTTTATATACCTTATTATAAAACAACTTTTGGCCTTCTGATGTAAAACCTACTTACTCTAATTTCATACATAATTATAATGTTAGTATCTATTTCATTAAGTCACAGCAGATTAAAAGTGATAAATTAACAGGACAGGAAAGGTGGTAGAGGAAATCACAGCAACAAAACAGACGGGAGGATGCCAGATTGCATAGAGGCAGGAAGACTTAGAGAAGCAGACCTCGAGTCCTCAAAATGATAGCCATGACCTCTACATCCAAGACAAAACAACTCAGGCACCCTTTTAGTCACTGTTACATAAGTGCGCAGTGACTTATCTGCAGTATCAAAACAAAAGATTCATTTTTTTTTTAAGTTTGTTTGGTTGGGTTGTTTGTTTTCAAATTCCATTTGGTAGCAAAGCCTGACTTGTCTTGTACTTGTTTGGCAGCAAATCTTATCTGAACTGATGTGAGGCAACTTAGGAAGTTCATTCTAATTTGTGGGAATATGTTTTGCTGCAGAAATAATGTGTTAATTACAGACCTTATTTGGGGTGGGACGAATATATGGTATAAGTACCATGTTCCCTTTACAAAATTAAAAACATCTGGTTGCAAGGGTTTTGATTAAAGGGTCGTGTACCTCTGTAGTACAGTCATGAATGCCCAGAATGATGAGTGTGGTTAATAAGATCAGAAATGCATCCTTTGGCCAGGTGCAGTGGCTCACGCCTGTAATCCTAGCACTTTGGGAGGCCGAGGTGAGCAGATCTCTTGAGGTCAGGAGTTCGAGACCAGCCTGGCCACTATGGCAAAAACCCGTCTCTGCTAAAAATACAAAAATTAGCCGTGTGTGGTGGCACATGCTTGAAATCCCAGTTACTTGGGAGGCTGCGGCAGGAGAATCGCTTGAGCCCAGGAAGCGGAGGTTGTAGTGAGCCAAGATTGTGCCACTGCACTCCAGCCTGGGTGGCAGTGTGAGACTCTGTCTCAAAGAAAGAAAGAAAGAGAGAGAGAGAAAGAGAGAAAGAAGGAAAGAAAGAAAGAAAGAAAGAAAGAAAGAAAGAAAGAAAGAAAGAGAGAGAGAGAGAGAAAGAAAGAAAGAAAGAAAAGAAAGAAAGGGAAGGAGGGAAGGAAGGAAGAAAGGAAGGAAGGATGAAGGAAGGAAAGAAGAGAGGAAGGAAAGAAATGCATCCTTCATACAATAAAGTGAAGAAAATACTTTGAAAGCTTTGCATTTAAAAAGTGTTCATTAAAGTGGTACGAAACTTAATGTTTTTGGAAAGCCAACAAGTGTTTATAGCACACTTTAGAGATTCTCTCTTTCTTTCTCTGTGTGTGTGTTGGGGGTTGTGGATGTGTTTCTGAGTCCTTTAAGATGAAGTTACATTTAAAATCTGTGGGATATATTTGCTCTTGCCTTGCCCAAACTGGGATTTCTTAGCAACCAATGAATTTTTGATTAAAAAAACCAAAGCAAAAACGAAACTGGGATTTCTGTGCTGTGATCAGGAAAATGATCTTTAAGGTTGTTGGAATTACCTTGAGCACAAGTGATCTCGGTGAGATAGGTATTGATAAATGTGCATTTGCATTTTAAAACTTTCCAAATTCGTAATAGGAGTTTTCTTTCGTTTTATTTTCCCTGCTGAGGATTCTGCTGTTAAGGAAGAAGAAAGTTTGGGTGCCAACTAAAGGAAACAGTGTCTGTGTTTGCAATGCCAATGAGCTTACCCAGGGGGAATTGTTAAATAGCCTAAGGATTATTCTAGCTCAGCAATCCTAAAGATACAAAAATGCAACTTTGGACATTAGGGATGGGAGTTTTAAAAATCTGCCCGAGTTCTAGCAGGAGTAAAGAATTGAGAAACATGAAAAATCCACAATGAATAATAAAATATTACTAAGTTAAATTTTCTCTGCCACAAAATAATACTTTTTTGTAGTATTAAAAATGGCTTAAAATTCAATTATAGAAATAAATTAACTGAAATAGTGAAAGTGACTCCTATTACACTGTCACCCCTCTCCCATAAAATACTGGTAGAATGTTGGCTTATATTTATTTGTTATTCTTTTTTATATAAGTTAATTCATACTACATAATGTATTGCAACATGCTGTCTCCCCCCACCTTAATAAATATATATCTTGCTGTCTATCCTAGCTAGTAGTTAATGTCACCACCTCATTCTTTTCAATTGTATAGTAGAATTCCACTTTAAAGCTCTACTATAATTTTAAACAGATAGTTTTTTGAAGATTCCCCCCCCCCACAGTTATTTTATTTTCTTCCCTTTTCATTCTCATCTGCTTTTCTTTTTCTTTCTTTTTTTTTTTTTTTTTGCTTAGGCACAAGTAGGAAAATAAAAAGCCTAGATCTGATTAGAAAAAGCTGTAAATAGTGAGATAAGTGCTGCTCATAAATGGCAAATTTCCAGTTCTGCAGAACAAACAGCACCATTCTCTCAAAAAGATAAAACAAATGTCTCTTTTGCATTTTAAGGAACATTCAGCTGTTACTAGTAAATGGATCAATAACTCTCAAATTCAAAAATTAAATTTCTGTTAGTTATACAGAACATTAAAATTGCTGGAGGAAATCAACCTTTTCATAAAAACCATAAAAACAAACTTTCACATTTAAAATTGGAAACAGAATACCTGTGCTCTTGTTCAGAAAGGAGTTTTTTTTTTTGTTTTAAATCTACAGAGCTCATCAGTCATTCAAAGGTCAGAGATAATAGGGAATGAGACATTCTGATGACCTGAGTCCAGGTAAATAAGAGAATATGACTGGAGCACTTTCACCACAAATTAGAGCAACAATTCCATTGTCCTTCTTCCGTCATTCTGTCTCATCTCTTTTAGCCTTTCCCTAGCCATGGCTGTCTCCCTGCATTAAGGTCCTCCCTACCGTATGCAATTCCACAATTTTTCTCCCAGGAGGGACAAGAATAGTAATTAAGATGAGCACCGATGATTCACCTTACAATACTATTGCAACTTATCTGTGTTAGCTTCCTCATTTCATTCCTTTCCTGCCTTTCAGAGGTAACTACTATTCTGAATTTTGTGATAAACATTCCTTTGTTTACAAACAAATTTTTAACAAATGTCTGCTGCTCCTAAATAATAAATCATTTAGTTATGCTTTTCTGAGCTCTCTAAAAAGGATATCTTATCATGCATAATCTTCTATGACTTTTTTCACTCAACTCTAAGTTTCTAAGAGTAATCTATACTGCGGAACATAGTGGTTGCTTCCTCATGTTCACCGCTATAGAATATTTTGTTAACAGAATATACTAGAATTTATTTCTCTTTCTTGCAGTTTTACATATTTATAAATTTTATTATTATGATTTCTTCTTCTATTCATACATTATTGGGAAGTCTGTTTTTTTTTTTTTTTTTTTTTTTTTTTTTTAGATGGAGTCTCGCTCTATCACCCAGGCTGGAGTGCAGTGGTGGGATTTCAGCTCATTGCAACCTCCTCCTCCTGGGTTCAAGTGATTCTCCTGCCTCAGCCCCCGAGTAGCTGGGATTACAGGCATGTGCCACCACACCCGGGTAATTTTTTTTGTATTTTTAGTAGAGACGGGGTTTCACCATGTTGGTCAGGCTGGTCTTGAACTCTTGACCTCGTGATCTGCCCGCCGTGGCCTCCCAAAGTTCTGGGATTACAGGCATGAGCCAGCATGCCGGGCGGGGAGTCTGTTTTTAAATCCCATTTAAATTAATCTTTAGAAATTAAAAAGTACAATTAATTAAAATTTCATTTTAAACTTAAATGTTTTAAAAATTAGTCGGCTATTGATTTCTAACTGTACTGCCTTACAAACAGATGAGTCAAGATCAGAGGTCAGTGAATCACCACCCTATGGGCCACACTTGGCCTGTCACCTGTTTTTCTACAGCTGGCAAACTAAGAATGGTTGGTACATTTTAAATGGTCAAACAACACAAAAGAAGGATAATATTTTGAGGTCTGTAAAGATTACATAAAATTCAAATTTAGTGGGTCTTACATTAATTGGAACATAGTTAAGGTCATTTGCTTATGTATTGTCTATGGCTGCTATTGAGTTACACAGTGGCAGAGTTGTGTAGTTGCAATAGAGACCACTGACCTCCAAAACCTTAGCTTTTGTTATCAGGTCCTTTACATAAAAAGATTTTTAACCCCTTTTCTAGATGATGCAAATTCTCAGAAATGTATTAAGGTATGCTGGTTAATTTTTACAAATATTTCTTATGGGTTTGTTGAGTATGTGTATTCTCTAATTGCTATATGCCACATATGTATTATATATATGATATATACATATATCGATAGATATAGGTCTCTATATAAGTAATCTATATATATATTGAGAGATAGAGATAGATATAGAGAGATATCAATAACTTAACAGTGGTTGAATGGGTGTTGAAATAGCTACACTATGATAATGAGTTTTTCAATTTCCTCTTGTAGATTTTATCATTATGTGATGACCTTTTCTAGCCACAATAATGCTTTTTTATCTTGAAGCTCATTGCGTGTGATGTCAACATAGCTATACCAGCTTTAATTATTATATAATTGATATATCTTAAGCTTTCCACGTTCTTATGTTTGTAAATAACATATAGCTATATCTTTAAAAACTGCCTTGACTCTGTCTTTTAACTAGAAAGTTTAGTCCATTTATATTGTGATTATTTACATGCTTGAATGTTTTTCTCCTCAGTCTTTACCTTCTATCTATGTGTCTCCTTTCCTTCTACATTTCTTTTTTCTTGCTTTTTTGTGGCTTACAGAGGAAGATTGATTGTTAATATTTGTTTACCTCTTATTCTTTCTCCCTTCCTCTACTGGTTTGGAATTTCTACATCACATTTCCGTTCTTTTAGAGTCTTTAAGATATTGTAGAGCATAATGGTCAAAACCACGTTCTCTGCTTGAATTCAAATCCTAGCTTCATCACATACTAACTCTATGATTTATTATCTTTGTGTGTGTGTGTGTTTACCTGTAAAATTGAGGTTGTGAAGTACCATATGGATCATTTCTGTTAAAATCTTATTGTGAATATTTTTCTTAAGGACACTTAAAATTAATATATTAAACTCCTCAGAACAATACAAAAACCTTAGAATGATTTAACTCTAATTATCCTCCTTCTGATTTGTAAGTTATTCTCTAGCATTTAAACTGTGTCTTTTAAGCCTCACAATTTCATATTATTTATTAATATTATTTTGTACAGACCAGGCCTCTTTATATTAACCCAAATGTTAATCAGCTTCTTTGTTCACCATTTTTTCTTGTATTCCAGTATTTCCTACTGGGTCACTTTCCTTCATCTGAAAGTGTACTTCAGAAGTTCATCTAGTGAAGGCAGTGAAAAGAATAGTTTTTAATCTAAAAATGTCTTAATTACATTTTTGTTCTCAAAATATAATGTTTCTGGACACTAAATTATAGGTTGACAGCTATTTTCATTCAACATTTTGAAGATATTCCACTCTCTTCTGGCTGCCATATTGCTGTTGAAAATTATTCAGTCTACTTGTTTTTCTTTTGTAAATAATATTCCCCCCTTCGATGCTTTTAAGATTGCCTTTCCCCTGGTGTTTTGAAATTTCACTGTAGTTTATATTGGTTTGCTTTTTTTCATGCATCTTATGTGATACATGTATATGTACTGCCTCTATTTCATTTTCTTTTCAGGTATCCTACTTGATACATGTATATAGCCAGGACTTCCTCTTTTTGTAGATTCATGTCCTATGTTAATCTGGGAACAGTGTTAGCTATTGTGTCTTCTCTTGTCTTTACTCCATTCTTTGTGGTCTCTCATTCTGGGATTCTAATTAGAGATGAGTAATATCTTAACATTCTCTATATTCCATATCTCTTAATGTTTATTATTTTCTGTCTTTTTTCACCTTCTGTGGTGCATTCTGCATAATTTCTTCATATGTAGCTTACATTATTCTTTTCAACTATGTTTAATCTACTCTTTAACTCATTTATGGGGTTTTATATTTTAGCAGTTATATTTTTCTTTTCCAAAAGTTCTAGTGGGTTCTTTTCACGTATGCCTAGTCATCTTAGATATTTATTTATGATTTTAATTTTTATTTCTTTATACAGCCAGATAATAGCTAATTAGTTTTTTTGCCTCATAAATCGAATTATATTTGTTTATTCTGCTAACACTCATGTCAGCAGAATTTTCTTATATGGCTTGAGATCTTTGATTATGAATTCCTATTTGGTTGATGTTTATTTGTGGGAAATTCTGGGACACTAACTTGAGGTTATTTTTCTCCAAAGAGGATTTCTGTCTATCTCTCTTGGGAACTTGTGGGCCCAAGGACCTGAAACCGTACTGACTTCCTTCCAGCAGAGTCAGCTAACATGGGATTTAAAAGATTAGCTTCTTCACCTTGTAGCCGGTTTAAGTCTTATTTAAAAGATTACTGCCTACCCCACCTGCTTCAGCAATTTTGTTTTGTTTTGTTTTCATTTTGGACCCTGAGAGATTCCCTTTACTGTCTCAGAGTCCTACAATGCATATCAAAGTATATTTTATGCGGGATCCAGGTGATGTGTAGCTGGAGAACTTTTCAAATAATCTAATTTACCTTTCTGTGTGAAGCTTAAAAAAAATACATGCCAACTCTCTACATGCATATAAGTATAGTGTATAAGATGGGGAGTTCTTTGCCTGAAGGAGCTCCCAATGTCCTCTACATTTTGTTTGGTTTCCTCTTTTTTCTTAGAGTTTCATTACCTTTTCCATGTGTTTCATTTGGTCTCTTTCCCCTTTTTCCTTCTTTCAAAGGTCTCTCTTGATTTACCCTCTTACCTCAGCTACACTATTGGATTCAACTACATTATTATTTCAAATTATAATTATTAGTTGAGTCCAAAAGTATTTGTTGAATGAATGACCATTTCACACTCATTAAATTCTTCAAAAGACTCAAGTTCTTTTCAGATGCTTTTTACTCAAGTAACACTGGTTGGATTTTCTTCCCTTTGTGGAAAACTAATTCTTGATTATTAAAAAAGATGGAAAAGCAAAAGATTTCATCCATGGGTAAGCAAAGTTGTATATTCATTTATTTATTTTTAACTAATATAGTTTATTTTTGGTGAAAATAGAGGTTATATTTGGAAAAAATTTCCATGTTAAGAATACTTCCTATCATGCTTCAAAATTTCCATACATTTCTAATTACATATTACAAAAGAAATTAGGGCATTTTGACATTTGAAGGCTAAAGCAAATTGAGTTTGTTAATCCAAATGGGTGTAAAGAAACATAACTAACAAGAAATATAAACATCAGTTACAAAGTAAGAAGCAAGCCCAAGCACCTCCTAAAGTGAGAACAAATATAATAATCCAAGCAATTTGGTTTGTTCTTTCAACAGTGTGAAATAATAACAAGGGTGATAGCCAACCTGAAATTACTTGTCTACCAAGTTACACTTAGAAGATTTAGATCATCATAATAATAATATTCTAAGCTACAGTGTACCTTTTCTAGATTTACTCATGGATATGTTTTATGTTATATGGCTTTAAGGCTGTGAGTCTACAGAGGTATACACAGCAGTCCCTAAATTATATTCATACATCAGATTGGGGAGTGGGAGTGAACAGGGATGTTTGAAGAATTCTGACTCTTGGGTAATGTGGAGATAGCTCTTACTCCCCAGATAGAATTCAGTCATTATAATTTCTCCACATTTTCTGTATGTAGCATTTATACCCAGCTGTAGACTCTGCTCCTATATTTTGGGACAGAGTATTGCTCTGTCACCCAGGCTGGAGTGCAGTCAACTGATCTTGGCTCACTGCAACCTCTGCCTCCTGTGTTCAAGTGATTCTCATGCCTCAGCCTCCCAAGTAGCTGGGACTACAGGCGTGTGCCGCCAAGCCTGCTAATATTTGTATTTTCAGTAGAGATGGGGTTTCGCCATGTTGCCCAGGCTAATCTCCAACTCCTGTCCTCTGGTGATCGTTTGGCCTCGGCCTCCTAAAGTGCTGGGATTACAGATGTGAGCCAATGAGCCTGGCCTGCACCATATTTTGAATGCCCCATTCACTCCAGGTATCTATCTCCATTCTACATCATTCCTACATCATTTTCATCCCAAATGCCAACATATACTAATGAGATTTTCAAAAAGGAAAAACTTGTGTATAGTGATACTCTAAATAGGTAAGTTTGACATAGATTCTTAACAAAAGTATAAACCAGATTATTAACAATGGTTTTAGTGGGATCACTAATACCAGAATGGGTTAATCTGAAAACAGATCTTATTTAACTAGCTTCCTTTTTTTTTTTGAAAGAGTTTCTTGGACCAGTAGATTTGGGGATGCTAGAAACAGTAAATCTTTATTTCAGCAAAGCATCTAGAAAACCTTCATGAACTCCATGTTGGTTATGGTATGGGTGCATGGACTAAAGTGCTTGAAAAGTGTTGGTTCATAAATGACTGTTACCTTGGAGATCTATTTTGGCAGTGGGCTGTCTGAAGATACAGGGGAAAAGAAACCCCAAACCTAAGTGTTTTTTTCTGTTCTCTTATTCAACAATCAACATAGAAGACTTCTGTAAGCTCTGGTTACCAAGAAGTGTGTAAGAATTTCCCCTACCAGCAATCAACCAATCAATCCTGCAGCAGACACAAGCTGGGTGTCTTCAATTCAATTCTGAAACTATCTACCTGGAGATAATGTCAGATCCTACAGGTTGAGGGCTCAGTCCCACAAGACTACCCTGACTTCAGATGCCAAACAAAAAAGCCCCAGGTGGCTTTACTTGTGCTTCTGGCTGAACAACTAGAAATTAGGGTTCCCGTGACTCCCTCCTTGAGTTTGGTTATTTTGCTAGACCTGCTCACAGAACTCAGGGAAACATGTTTACCATTTTCTTATAAAGGATATTACAGAGGATACAGTTGAAGAGATGCATAGGGTGATTTATGCCCTCTCTGGGAGCACCGCCATCCAGGAATCTCCGTTTAGTTATTCATGTTCCCCTCTCTGGAAGTGCATGTAACCCATTCTTTTTTTTTTTTTTTTTGTGGAGGCTTTATTGCGTAGGCATGATTGATCAAGTCATGGGCCATTGGTGATCAGCTTAACCAGCCCCGGAAGTTAGAGGGTGGGGCTGAAGGTTCCAACACACTAATCATGCCTTGGTCCTTCCTATGACCAGTCCCCATCCTGAAGCTATGCTGGAGCCCCCAGCCATCAGCCAATTCATTCAAATACAAAAAGATGTTCATCACTTTGGAGATTTCAAGGATTTTAGGAGCTATATGTCTGGAAATGGGATGAAGACCAAATATATATTTTATAATATCACAGGCCTTTTTAAAGCCCGTTCTGTGTTACTGTTTCTTACTAGACGTAAATGGAGCCAAACAAGGCATACTTATTAAATTTACAAATGTTAAAAGTGATCACTAGTATTTATCTGAAATTGTGTCCTAAAACAAACACGATAAAATTTAATAAGAATAAAACAAAAATCAAGATTTAAATACATAGAAGTATAGACTATGAAAGGTGGAAGATACGGTTTAATTTAGTTGATGTGAAATAGACTTGGGTGTTCTGTTTGAATCTAGGTAGTGTGTGCTTGCATCAAAGGGGTGGCTGATCAGCAGCTGGAGAACTGGAACTCAGTTCTTGGCCCACTGTATTTGAATATTGTATTCTCAGTGCACAATTTAGAGAGGAGAATGAAAATCAAAACACATTCAAAGCAAGGTGAATAGTGTGATTATGGCAGCTCACTGCTATTTGAAAAACACTTAAAAGAGAATTTTTGAAGAAATGTATTAGATCTGTTGGTTACTTAATAGTTGCCCCTACTATTTCAAGGCTTGCAGTGTCTATAAAGAATGAGATTCATATTGTGTTGTTCCTAGGGGCAGAACCAAGACCAGTAGTATCAGGGAAGTTGATTTGATGTTCATAAATGATACAGGCTATAGTGTTAAGCAGACCTGGTTGTTAATTCTGGCGTCAGCATTGGCTTTGGCAAAAAGAAGGAAACTTCTGGGTTTCATTTTCCTAATGTGTTTAATAGGTATAATAAGGCCCATCTCATTTTAAGGACTAGGAATAATGTGTGTAAGTTGCTCAGTTCCTGGCATAGGTAAATATTCAACAAATAATCATGGTTATATGTAATGATAAAAATAGAAATTTACAACATTGGAAATGTTCAAGTGGATAGTGGTCTGGTGGAAATATTGGAGAGAGTATTCCCACTTAAAATAGGGGACTGGACTTAGCCGTTATATCGATTCCAACTTTTAGAATGGTTTGAATGTCCACCTTGGCATGTTACGTCGTTTCTCCCTGACTGTGCTTTTATTTGCTTCACAAAGCAAGCAAGTCCAATCTCTTTTAACCAAGTTTAATTTATAGGCTTTCGTGGACTTCTGGAAGTCAACTGACTTCGAAGTTAGGACAGCATGGGGGGATTGGGGGAGTAGCTATGACAATGAGGAGTTTTAAGAGTGAGAAAACACAATGTCTATGAGAACATGGACTTCTCTTTTAGAGGCTCCATGAGCTACTCAGAGAGGAGGTTATGAGGGTTGGTTAAGGTACGAGAGGCACAAAGTGAAAGAAGCCTCCACTACTTCAAACCACATCAGGGCTTTTGGCAAGAGCTACATGAAAAATAGGCTCACAGGCAGCCTGGCGAGGCGGGTCTGGGCTTGCAGGCTGGCGCTAAGGACCGGCAGTTGGGAGACTCTCAGGGACCCGATGGAGGGCCTTGGGCACCACCAGTTTACCGCATGGGTTGGAGAGACAAAAAAAGAGGAGAGCGACAAAAGGGGGAAAATAGGTCCGATGATCAGAGGAGGAAGACGAAGGCTGGCTGGTCATTAGATGCGTCTTGTTTGCCGCCAAAGGGCAGGGGTTACGAGCTGTGCAGCCAGACTGGGTGTTGCAACCCGAGCGCTCCCTCCGCCCGGGGCGTCCATCCTCGCCGGGGGCGAAGCTCTCCACACGCTCTTTGCCCCTTCCTGCGCCTCCTGGCTGCTAGTCAGTCCTGTTAGGGCACTTCTGGAAACCTGCTGTCGACTCGCTGCCTTGGTCCGACTTTGATCGCGGCCTTGATAACTTGGCGCAGCGCCCCGTCTCCTTTCCTCCGGTCCCTCTCCCGCCCACCCGGCCTCACCGGCCACTTCGCCTCAAGCGCTGGAGTCGACCAGAACTCTGCGGCTCGGCTGCCGGCAAGACCCGGATAGCGGATTTCGCTCCTGGCTGCGGGGCGCGCACTCGCCCGCCCGCCCGCTCGCTCGTTCCTCGCGCGGGCACTGGGCATGCGCGGCGCGCGGTTGGCACTGGCTGCGAGCGGGCGGGCGGCTCCAGACTTCACAGGCAGCAGCTAGCGAGGCGGTCTCGCCCGGCGCGAGGCCGGCGCTGTGCTCGCCTCGGAGATCGCTGCTCTTTAGCTGGGTGCAGAAGGCGGCTCCGCGGCTCGCGGACGACTGGCTGGGCGCGAATCAGATTGGGGGGCTTTCTCCCGGTCCCCTCCCACCTCGTCTGGGCTCGCGGCGTCTCCGGGGAAAGCCGTGGCCCCGAGGGCGGATCCGAGGTAAGAGCCCCTTGGCGAAAGGCGCCGGTCCCGGGGTCCGGCGGCTTTGACTTTCTCGATTTTAAAAATCCGCCTTTGTGTGCTGGAATCGGAGCGGTGCCAGGAGCCGCGTCCGCCTCCCTTC
Source organism: Homo sapiens (assembly GCF_000001405.40). Lineage (NCBI taxonomy): Eukaryota > Metazoa > Chordata > Mammalia > Primates > Hominidae > Homo > Homo sapiens. Next base: position 15,789,036 of record NC_000012.12, on the reverse strand, counting down.
ACTTTGACTGCTTTCAACTGGTGTTGGCAGCCAGGTGCGGTAGGGCGCTGCGGCCGGAGGCGTCCGCTCGCCGGGTCCGGGCAAGCTGTGGGGCCCGTGCAGACCCGCGCCCAGGGCTCCGGGAGGCTGGGCAGGGAGGGTTCGCCGTGGCCCAGTGATATTCATGGTAACCTGAGCTTCCGCAGATACACCTGCGCTCATCTGGTCCGTGGGGCGACTGCAGACCGAGTATCCCGATCTCGGCTTATTACGTTAGACTTGGGATTTGTGCGCTGCTCTGCCAACCCGCCTCAAATGGGGAGGGGTTCTTTTCAAAATGACCCTTTAGGGCAGGGTCCCACCCCCGTTTACCCCCTCGAATTAACATAGCTAATTGTTTCGGAATCGTTGTCAATGCCTAATGGCTGTTGACTTTCTTAGCTTGCTCCACTTTACTCACCATTTTACTTTTGGGAAGACAGACGGCCTTTCTCCGGTTGTGGTCAGTTCATGCATTTGAAAGGGGTTTCCCCACCCATGTACTCCCTGCCCTCTCCGATGTTCTCACTCTTACTTTCCTTCCTAGGACTACCTGTTTGCAAAATCTTTGCACCGACCGTTCTCCGGCAGTGTTTCTCAAATCCTCCTCCTCCCATAGGGCCCGTAGTACTGTTGGAATCTCGCGGGGGGCAGGACGCCGTGGTTAGGATTTGAAATCCGCAGACATCTAGAGCGGTGAAGGATTAGGAATTAGAATCCTCCTTTACAAAATATGTTTCAGTGAAATGTGTTACTGCTTCTCTTTTCAAGGTTTCTTGCCTTAGATAGTAAGGGGAATAGGTAAAAGAGCTAATATGTTAGGATGAGTTCAGGTAAAACTTGATTTCAGATGTGTGAAGAGTGTGACTTTTTGGCTTTGTCATTTTTGGGAAATAGGAGAGTTAGGATTCCGGGCAATCTTCTTTATATTGAAAAAGCCCCTCAAAGTAACTGTGTTGTGTATTGCCTCTAGTTTATTTTCATTGAAAGGACTCCATTCTTCCACAGCTCCTTGGGTTCTGGAAAGTGAGCACTAGTAATGGACGTCATGTGGTAGTGAGTCTATTGGAATTAAAGTCAATGTCATCCTGTCTCACCTAGTATAGATTTTTTGTTTGGGATCGCAGTTTTCTAAACATATTGCTGTAGTTCTTAAGTTGCTGGTGTGGAAAATTTTTGGTCACGAATTCACACTTTTACTTACAATTTGACAGTTAAAACAGTATAGAATTGTCACATAAAGGGTAAGGTAGAATGTATCACAAATGCAATAGTGATAATATAATGCCTTTATTGCAGAATACACAGATTGAGACTTTGTAAGATTGCACCACAAGTCATTCACTTTATAGCAGAAAAAAAAGAAGGAAAATATAATTTGCTTTTAATTCTACTATTCTGAGATAACCGCTGTTTACAAGACTTGGTGCATTCTCTTTGTAATTTTTTTCACTTCCCAATGTCATTGAATATTATATAGTAATTTCCAGTAAGTGTAATTTAACTTATACTGTTAGTAGCCCCACTCTTAATAGGGTGATGTTTCTTTTGTTTCCTGTCAGGAACCTAATGTCTAATTTTGAATATTTTGCTTGTTTGTGATCAAACTTAAAGATTTATTTTGTTTTTATTTCTAGCTTTTTCCTGCTTTCAAGGTTTTATCAATACTGATTCTTTTCAGATACCAGTTCTTTTCTATGCTATGGCATAGGCTTGCTACTCTCTACTTTGTGTTTATTACATTCCAAATCCTAGTTATTTTCTTACACTCTGTTTCACACCCTTTACCCTACTGCTTTTTATTCTTCTCTCTACTCCCTTCTTTTACATACCTCTTTTAATTCTGCAGCAGGTCACTTGAACCAAGGTTTGTATAAGAAAACATAGTATCCAGAATAGGAAATGATAGGTTTTTAAAAGTTGTCTCTTTAAATACTTGAAGTTCTATTGGATGAATATTTTAACACTGATTTATGTAATATTTATATACAACTCAGCTTTCCTGAGTTGTGTGAAACATACTTGGTAGTTACACGGATCATCACAAAACAACATAAGTTAATGATAAGGTACAAACTTTTGGACATCTGTAGAGGTATGTCGGGGGAAAAAGTGGAATTTTAATTAAAGTATTCTGGCTATAGTAAATCCCTCCTGGGAATTATTAATACTACATGAAATTGTTTGCAGCTGTTAGTGATTGAAAATATTTTTGTAAGAAAAATTCTGCATTGGAATAGTTGCAAACATTTTAAGTTGAATATATGCAAGAAAGTTTAAGGGTCTTCAGTGCTTCACTACAACCTTTTCAGTATTTTCTAGATGTATTCCTAAATGGGATTTAAAAAAATAGACCTTATTTCTCAGAAGTTTTGGATTTACAGGAAAGCTACAAATACGGTGTCTATATACCCCCATACCAGCTTCCCCTCTTATTAACATCTTGTATTATTGGTATTTGTTACTATTAATGAACCAGTATCAGTACATTAGTATTAACAAAGTTTATACTTTATTTAGATTTCCTTAGTTTTTAATGTCCTTTTTCTGTTCCAGGACCCTACCATCCAGGACACCACTAAATGTATTTCCTCGTAATGTCTCCCTAGGCTCCTCTTGGCTGTGACAGTTTGTTAGACTTCCTTGTTTTTGATGATGTTTGAGGAGTACTGGTCAGGTATTTTGTAGAATACATTTGCATTGGAATTCATCTAATGTTTTTTCTCATGATTAGACTGTGATTATAGGTTTTTGGTAGAAAGATCACAGAGGTAACGTGCCATTTTCATCTCATATCAAGGGTATATACTATCAGTATGATTTGTCACTGTGATACTCATCTTTATCACCTGGCTGAGATAGTGTTTATCAGATTTTTCCACTTTTCTCCACCTTTTTCATGCTGTGCTCTTAGAAGGAAGGAACTGTGTATAGCCTATACTTAAGGAGTAGAGAGTTATGCTTCCCCCTTTGATGGTAGAAATCTATATAAATTATTTGGATATTTTTCTCCGTGGGAGATTTGTCTCTTCTCCCCCATGTATTTATTTACTCAATCATATTTATTTTGTTCTGGACTCATGGATATATATATATTATATAAATATAAAATCTATCTATCTATCTAAATATTTTGGGTTATAATACAATGCTACTTTGTTACAGCTTGACTCCAGTGCCTCTTTGACATACTACCATCAATGTGAATTTTGTTTTTTTGGAAGCATTTCCTTACTTTCTGGTATTATGAGATGCTCTAGGTTCATCTGTATACATCTTGCCACAGTCCTAGAATCAGTCATTTCTCCAAGGAATCTGGATCATTTTGTTGGGGAATGGTGTTAGAAACCAAGATCTGGGTGCTAGGTGTGCTTGTTGCTACTGTGGTATCATTGCTTCTAGGTTCTCTCATGTGACAAAGCAAGAAATACATGTGTGTATATGAACATATCTGTACATATTTTTATGTAACAGTTTGTATCCATGTTTAACTATGAATTTACATTTTATCTGTAATGCTAATTCATTACCACAGGTATCATTCTAGCCTTCTCCCTTTGTTTATATGTAAACTTACTCCAACAGTGAGAAGAAACCTGGTTTGCACCATCTGCCATACATTTGCTTAATCATTCATTTCTATCATAGATGTATAGCAGCATTGGAATTGTTAACCTGTGCTCCCATGGGAAACAACTTTAGCATCAAGAGTACAGTGTTTATGTACTATTCCTTTTGCTTTTAGTCTCACAGCTTCTACTCATTTCTAGAGTTAGTCAGCTAAGCACCTTTCCTCCTATCCTTTTCAGTGAGATTGTAGCACACATTTATAATACAGTTAGATTTCTTTGTTACAATCTGCATTCCACCTTGGGATTCCTTGACCTTCTAAATGATTTGCTTACGTTTGCATACATTAAAGTTTACTCTTTGTCCTGTGAAGTTCTTTGGGTTTTGACAAATACTTAATTTGATGTAGCTATCCTTATAGGATCATAGTATCATACCGAATAATTTCAACACATTACAAATCCCCTGGGCTTCACTCATAACCTCTGTGAGCCCCTCTCCCAGAAAACCACGTATCTTTTTACTGTCTCTTTACTTTTGCCTTTTCCAGATGTTGTATAATTGGAATCATACAGCCTTGCCAGACTGGCTTCTTTCATTTAGCAATACACATTTAAGGTTCATCCATGTCTTCCTGAGGTTTAATAGCTCATTTCTTTCTATCATTATCAGATATATCATGGTTTGTTTATTCACCTATTGAAGGATATTTTGGTTGCTTCCAGTTTTTGGCAAGTATGAACGAAGCTGCTATGAATATTCACATGCAGGTTTTTGGGTAGACATAAGTTCTTATATCCGTTGGATAAATATCTAGAAGTGCGATTGCTGGATCCTGTGGTAAGATTATGGTTAGCTTTGTAAGAAATTGCCAAACTGTTTTCCGAAGTGGCTGTACTATTACATTCTCACCAGCAATGAATGTGAGTTCTTATTGCCCCACATCTTTGCTAGCATTTGATTTTGTCAGCTTTTTTGGATTTTACCCATTCTAGTAGGTGTGTAGTAATATGTCATTGTTACTTTAATTTACTATTTCCTAATGACATATGATGTTAACATCTTTTCACATACCCCTTTTCATCTGTACATCTTCTGTGGTGTGATGGCTGTTCAGATCATTTGCCCACTTTTTAATGGGGTTGTTTTCTTATTGTTGATTTTAAGAGTTCTTTATACATTTTGTATACAGGCACTTTATCAGATATGTGTTTTGCAAATATTTTCTCCCAGTTTGGTTTGTCTTTTTATTTTCCTAACAGTGTCTTTGTCAGAACAGATGTCTTTAATTTTAATAAGGCCAACTTACCAATTTCATGGATAGGCTTTTGTGTTATATTTGAAAACTCATTGCCAAGGCTACATAGATTTTATCCTGTGTTTTTCCTAGAAGTTTTATAGTTTTGCATTTTACATTTAGGTATGTGATCCATTTAGAGTTAATTTTTATGAAAGGTATAAGGTCTGTGTCTAGATTAATTTTTTTTTTGCATATGGATTCCTAGTTGTACCAGCACAAGTAAATGTGATTTTTAAATTAATAGATTATAAATTGCTTAGAATTGAAAATGTTTTTATTAAAATTTTTATTACATGTTCTGCAAAATTACTTACTGTAAACAGTTGAGAAATGACTTAGAAACCAATATATAATACAGCATGTACTGTGTGCTGAGATTTATTTCTAGACATTGTACATAATTCATTTTCCTCTTTTTTTTTTTTTTTTTTTTACTAACTCAGAGATGCTTCTTTGTGAAAATGGAATTGTTAGTATAGAGTAACATCTGTCAGTTCTTTTAGATCTTATCATAGGGAATAATAGTTTGATTTTTCACAAAAAGGATCTGGAATAAAGGATTTGCAGGGTGTATGTTGAGAAGAGGCAGTTGATGTATGCACCAGCTAGAAATCTGAGACTTAACTATGTGGTCTTGAATCTTTTCCCATGCTATTCTTCCTGCTACAAGTGACTTTTTTCAAGTACAGTTGACCCTTCAATAGTGCAGCGGTTAGACTCACTGACCCCTGCACAGTCAGAAATTTTTGTATAATTTTTGACTTCCCAAAAACTTAACTAGTAACCCTTCTGTTGACTGGAAGCCTTACTGATAACACAGTCTGTTAACACACATTTTGTATATTATATGTATATTACATTGTATTCTTACAATAAACTACAGAAAAGAAAATTTTATTAGGAAAACCATAAGGGAGAGAAAATCCAGTACTGTATTGTACTTATTGATATTGTAAGTTTTTGTTTGCTTACCAGATGACTCCTCTTTCTGAAAAGGTGGGGGAATGGAGGGGCAGGGCTGGGAACTGCAGCTGCAGACCTCAATCTATGGTACATACCAAGCAATTCAACTTTATCTCTCATAATGTCATGACTTTTCTCTGTTTCTTGGGAGCATTTCTGGCATCTCTAGTGGCACGTTTTCATTCAAGGTTTATGGTATTGTACCAAACAGGATGAAAAATACAAGAGAACACCAAGAAATCATTTTTTACTGTGATACACAATTTACCGGAGAGATGAACTGCTCACGCAGAGATGATTAACATCACACAGTGGACTAAGCGGTTACTCACAACACTTGAGCTCGCTGCAATAACAACAGGAGGTGGCTATGAAATTATTACAGTAGTACAGTATGTACTACAGTTAATTGTATGCAGTTAGGACTTAATACTGCATCTTTACATTTGTTTACATTTCTCTTGACCGCGAATGATACTATGTATCGTGTGTGTGTAAGTTTTGATAAATTTTAATTTTTTCTAATAAATTTTATGGTTACTACCATAAAATGATAAAGTAGACTAGTATTTATATACATATTATGCATTCATGACATACCTAACTTTTTTCTTAATGTTTTTGTTATCCTGGCTACGTGGTTTGTCTGTGTTTTTATTGTATTTATTTATTTAAAAAAATTTTTTGAGACAGAGTCTCACTGTCACCCAGGCTGGAGTGCAGTGGCGCCATCTTGGGCCTACTGCAGCCTCAACCACCCAGGCCCAGGTGATCCTCCCCATTCAGCCTTCTGAATAGCTGGAACCATAGGCATGTATCACCAGGCCTGGCTAATTTATTTTTATTTTTATTTTTTGCAGAGACAGGATCTCTCTGTGTTGTCCAGGATGGTTTTGAACTCCCAGGCACAAGCAGTTCTTCCAAGTTGGCCTCCCAAAGTGCTGGTATTACAGGCATGAGCCACCACACCCAGCCCGAGTGTTTTTAAATTGTCACAAATCTCCAAAAATTTTTCCAAATATATTTATTGAAAAAAATCTGTGTATAAGTGGACCCATGTAGTTCAAACCTGGCTTTTCAAAAGTCAAATGTACCTCTCTTTTGGTATACATTTTGTGTTATTGATATTGTGATGTACTATAGTTTACATATTTGTCCTCTCCAAAACTCATGTTGAAATTTCATCCTCAATGTGAGAGTGTTGAGAGGTGAGGCCTTTAAGAAGTGATTGATCCATTCATGAATTAATGGATTAAGGGGTTATCATGGGAGTGGGACTGGTGGCTTTGTAAGAAAAGGAAGAGAGACTTGAGTGAGCACATGAGCACACTCAGCCCCCTTGCCCTGTGATGCTCTCTGTTGTCCTGGGATTCTTGGAGAGTCCCCACCAGCAAGGAGGCTCTTAGCAGATGTAGCCCCTCGACCATGGACTTCTTAACCTCCATAACTGTAAGACATAAATTCCTTTTCTTTAGAATTACCCATTTCAGGTATTCTGTTATAAGCAACAGAAAACAGAGTAGGACAGGATTAGAAATATTTATAATGTTGCACTAAAGTTAGAACCAGTAGTCTTCAAGAAGCAGGTGGAGCAGCTCACATAATAATAGTACCTTTTGTGTGGCAGGTGTTACATACATTATCTTCTTTCACTGTTACAAGAGCCCTTTAAGGCATGCTTCTTTATCTCAGAATTACAGATAAAGGAATAGGCCCAGAAAGAAAAAGTGACTTGTGTCACACATGGGGAGAAAGGGACCGAATTGGGATGAGAACCCTGACCTGACTCCAAAATCCATGCCCTTTCCACTTGGTTGTGCTGCCCTTATTAAAGAAAAAGGGCAAGGATGGCCAGAGTGTCCTTAATTACATTCTTTTATTTAATACTGTGCTATATACTTGCTCAAATTACTACTGTGCCAAACAAGAATAGCGAAAAAGTTTGTGTATTTAAGCTCCACAAAGATTCTTCTAGCTTTGTTTTCTGTTGACTCATCTGTATCCTACTGACCAGAGGTATGTGGTGATGGAACACGGTTGTTTTAAAGAATGAGGATCTTTTAAAAAGAAACATTTGTGGGGAATTAGACAAAATAAAGCAAATAATGGTAGCATTAGCTAGTTATTTCTTTCTTTCCCTCATTGTATTTAAAGCTTCTCAAGGGCAGGGAACTGAGTCAGTTAAGTTCCCTGATGTATTTAAGGCCAACATATGACCATATGTGTCAGCCATATGACACACTCACAAAAGGCTTGCTGAATGAAATTAGCACTTATTATCATATTTTTACATAAATACTTAAAAGGGCATGAGTTTTCCTCACATAGGAAGTTGAGCATTACTACATTTCATTTGTTTATTCATTCATCTTTTATCGAGTGTTTGTTGAGTATCTGTTCTGTGCCAGACACCAGGAATACAAAGATGAGTAAGACAGGATCTCTGCCTTTTGTTGTCAGAAGGCTCAGAGAATGGAGGCAGCCAGACACCCGTTTTAGTACAGTGTGGAGCTGAAGGAAGTATATATTAAAAAACAAACAAACAATGGACTTTGGAATCAGACCTTATCTGCCTTGGTTTTCTTATCAAAGAGGTGGAAATGTCAAGTAGGTACTATTATCCATGGAGGATGTTAAATGAAAAGTGTGTATGCCTGTGTGTGTGTGTGTGTGTGTGTGTGTGTGTGTGTGTGTGTGTGTGTGTTTATCCCAGCACATAGCAGAAAGGAGAGCCTCACTGTGGCCGAGGGAGTCAGAAAAGTCTTTACTGGGGAAGGTGATGTTTGAGTCTCATAGAATGAATTTTTGAGGCAAAGCGAGACGCTCATCTCTCTCCAGGTAGAAAGATGAGCATGTTTGACATGTGCGGAATAGGTTGGCATGATGGGAGTGGTGGGAAATTCTGCACATTCCCACATTCAGAGCTTACGGGAGTATTAGAAAGAACTGAATGAGCAGTTATTTTTCATTTTTGTAAGTAACAATACAATAGAGTATTCATTACATTGTAGCAGAAGAGAATAAAGATACCAAACCTGTTTAAGAATTGCATAAATCTTCTCTTCTAGTCACATGGCCTTCTAAATGTAGCTCTTTATGTAGCAAACAAATTCATGTGTTCTTTTTCAGTCCTGTGATACTCAAGTGATTATATGGAATTTAAGAAAGAGAACTTGCATGTTTTTGGGTGAAATTGGAGGTCCTGTTTCAAACCATTCTTACATTTAGTAGCATAGCAACAAAAGAATGTAATAATCTATGAAGCCAGATCTAGTCCTGTTTAAGCCTGTCTAAAATTCTAAGCCATAGTTTCTGAACAGAACCTGAAACATACTATTTAGGAATGTACTAAAAAATAACTTGTTAAATGAATTATGTGCTTGATAAGAGATCAGAGTTCTATAATTGAAAAATTGTGTTTTTAATATAAGGGGAGAAGAAAAAGAGAAAGAAAAAATAGTGAGAAAAAAGATTGATAGAAGGAAGAGAAGTTTGTACTTAAATGAGGGAGAAACATTTTTCAAGTCCCTTATTGAGGGCTGTTGAATTATCTTCTGTTAACACCATTAGAATATTACTAAGTTATTCCTTATTATAGAAATACATGTATATTATTGAGATATTTGTTGGTTTAATGCAACAATAGAATGTTTCCAGTATCTGAAGTGGAAAAACAAAGCTGCAAATAAAAATATGTGTAAAATCTGTCTCTTTTGAGAAGACATTGATTACAGTTTATCTAATTTTCTGCAATAATTTTGACATTTAAAGTTGATGGTAATTTTAGACCTGAATGTACAATAAGATGATTTTAAGTGCTCTTTTAGAATTTAAAGAAAGATATACTTTTGATGATAGAGATAGAAGATACTTTTAACTGCTTTGCTAGTGAAAAGTCTGTTACATTTTGCTGGGCAAGGTGGCTCACGCCTGTAATCCCAGCATTTTGGGAAGCCGAGGCAGGCGGATCACCTGAGTTTGGGAGTTCGAGACCAGCCTGACAAACATAGAGACGCCCTGTCTCTACTAAAAATACAAAATTAGCCGGGCTTGGAGGCACATACCTGTAATCCCAGCTACTCGGGAGGCTGAGGCAGGAGAATTGCTTGAACCCGGGAGGCAGGAGGTTGTGGTGAGCCAAGATGGCGCCATTGCACTCCAGCCTGGGCAACAAGAGTGAAACTCCATCTCAAAAAGAAAGAAAGAAAGAAAGAAAAAGTCTGTTACATTTTAAAATCTTGGTTTGCCTTCTTTTTTGGGGACTTGGATTTCTTGAAATTAATTTTGTGAGTAACTTGGTAAATTGATGACTTATTTTCTGCCTGGGCATGCAAACTCTGCATTTGATAGTTTCTTTCATATATGGAAGAAATGAAAACACTACCTTTAAGTAGATTTACTACCTTTATTCCCCCCATAAAGGCATGAACAGCTTGTTTATGTTTATATGCATGCGTACATAATCTCCAATTTCTCTTTGCAGTGTGTTTTCAAAACTTCAACTGTTTTATGACAAACTATATGTGTTTGGGAGTTTACAAATATTATTCTTTAATCCAGGAATGTGAATTTTTGAAACCCTATCTTCAGATTGAGTTGTCCTTACTGTTTTAGTGTTTATCTGTATTCTCAGAACCTCTGTTGCGTGGTCTGTTTTCAAAAAAGTACTGTGTACCATAAACTACAGTGTTTTTGTTTTGTTTTTTGCACATCAAGATCCTTTTAGTCGAGAGAACATTAATTTTGTCAGTAGTTCTTTTATTTAGCTCCTTTGTGGGGCCTTGTTAGATTCTGAATAATTTAATAGCAATGGAATCCTTTCTGTGATAAAAATCTGGTCATTGGTCCAATACTTGTAGCATTATTCACATGATACTCATGCATGCAAAGGTGTGGGATTAATGCGTATGCCTGAAGAGTGTGTGTCAGAGTGTTTTTAATCATTGTTGAAAATCACCCTCTGAAGATTTTCGTGTGCATTAATTCTCAGATTTGCTTAAAGTATTATCACTTCTATTTTAAAATGAATAATCCATGGTGGCCTAGCCTGAACAATAATATGTAAGAAAAATTGGAAAAATTATAACTTCCTTTAAATTTAGGAATAAGGTCTATATTTTTTGTATATTTGTATGTTTGCTATGTTTGCAGAATTACAGAATAAATTGTTTAAAGCATATTTCTTTCTATGTTATTTTAATTTTTTTACATTTCTTACCCAAACTGTTGAAACAAAAAGTTTCAGTCCCAGTTAGTACAACATCCATAAACTTTGTCCACATTTCACATTTTCAGCTTTATCTTAAGACTGGCTACTTTCCATGGTCTTGTCAAGAAAATAGTCTTTTACAACTCTTGAAGCAGATAAATAACCATGTGGGCTTTCCTTCATCACCCCCTTTCCCAACTCTTTTCCTCCTCCCAGCTGTTCCCCCTCCTTTTGCTCGTTTCTGACACCCTTTTTCAATCCTCAGATGGCTTTAATAGAAAAGTATATTTTTCATAACTTTGATAGCTTTCCAATTACTATTCTAACTCTTTCTCACTGCCTGGTGAGATCTCAGTCATGGAGAGAGAAGTCTGAATAAAAGAGACATTCATAGTGGTTATGACAGTGAAGGTTAAGTTTAGGCTGCTAGGGGGTTTGAAACAAAGGAGGGATTGAAGCCTTCATCGCCTTTACCTTATTTGGGTACTAAGTAAGTGATTTTGGAAATAGTAAAATCTCATTATGAAAAGAGTGAAATCTAGTCCGGAATAAATGTGTTAACAGTGCTTAACTTTAACTGGAATGCATCTTAACACCATTCAGTTTTTATACTGATTAGAAAGGTCCACTGTGGTTTTGGTCATATATTAGAACATATGCTGTTGGTTTTTTGTTTTGTTTTGTGTGTGTGTGTGTGTTTTTTTTCATTCTGCTTTGTAAGTACCCCTTATCACTGTAGGGAATTTTAGAATTTGAATTAAAATATATCTTGAGTTATATAATGTAAAAAAAAAATTTATATAGGCTACTCCATGGCATTGTAAAGAATCTTAAAATAGATATAAAAGTGACTTCATCTTACCTCCAATGTCCTTCCTCCATCTATATCTGTTATCTCTAGCTATTTTCATCTTTTCTCTCTGCCAGGCAGTTAGTAGAATAGTTGAAGAATGATTTTATCAGCTCTCATTGGACTACAGGATAAAAGACCTAAAAATATGGGATAATTTAATCCAATGGCTAGCAAATACATTTTGTGTTATGTTTATGGTTTTCAAAGGCATTGATAAAATCAAACTATCATTACTGGGAAATATGAAATTTTCAATAAGATTCCAAACTAATAGATAAAGTGATAAAATGATTGGGAAAACAAGTGGTGGTAGAATCTGATATAAAAATAGTTTGGCGGTAGCAAAAGGGGAAACGCTAAAATTCTCAAGAACCCATCAGCCATTTTTACTAACACTGTGCTCTTCATAAGCTATATCTAGGGAACTTTGATTATATGCTGTAAGGAACAATATATTATTTAAGTGTATATTGAATAAGTATTCAATAAATAACTGCAAAATAAAAGACAGTTCTGAATGTGGAAATTCCTATTCTTGCGAGATTGAGCCAGACATTTCTAGCTAACATTGACGTTATTGGGCTAACGTGGGCATCATTTGGGTTTTGGGTATTAGGTGTAACAAATGCTTGCTGATGCATAGAGGCCAATCTAGGTCTGTGTTAGTTCCTGAGAGTGTGCATGTGAACTTGAGGGGAAGGTTTTTAGAGTAGGTCACTCACCTAAGCCAGCTGTTTTTTTCTCTCTTCCAAAAGAGTACCGGATTGCTCCTTTGCAGGGGCTGACTTGAGAACATGGCTTAACTTTTAAGGCTAGATAAACTAGTTCAGCCAGAAGTGTATTATTTCCCCCCAAAATTACATTTAAAAGCTTCTAGCTATGATCATTTCAGCTGCTTCTTCCTCCCTTTCTAATTATTCTTGCTATTTCTGTTACTGATATCAACCATACCAATCACTGGAAAGGAGAATACTTGGGCAAAAATTTCTTTTAAAAGAAAAATTGCTGGAGAGAAATATGTACACAAATTTATATTGAATATATAATAAAATACATATGGAACTGCCCTTTGTATGTGAAGGTGAGTTTTGTTTGTTGTAGTGGTGTCAGATCTGGTTTGATTCATTTCAGCTTTTTCCAGTGTTCTTTCTTGTGATACGCATATATGAGATAGGAATTTTGCTAAATCATTAGCAGGCCCATTGGCTTAATGTAACCCAATCTAGTTTCTTGATCTAACAGTCCTGGAATATACAACTTTACCTAATAGAAAATAATTTTGTTTCAGTTAATGAAATTTATCTGTCAATAAAGAAATATTAAATAAGTGCCTATTAAGTGCTAGTACTAAATAATGAGAATACTCTAATTGACAAGATAGACAACATTCTTATCCTTGTGGACTGCGTGATGTTAGACACCTAAATGAAAAGAAGCATAAAAACTTAACAGAAGCATCAGGTTCTAGGTAAGGGCTCAAAAATCTGGAAAATAAAGGCTAATCTTTTTTGCTTTTCTCGCCCTCTTTCCTTAATATAGATTCACATTTTTTCCTATTCAAATGTAATGATATTCACATTTTGTATTGTTTTTCTACATATACTGGTACTGTGGATTTATAAAATAAGTCTATTTCCAAATTACATGTATTTTACAATGATTCCACAAAGGAACGTTGGCTATTTATGAGCTTTGGGGAAAATTACAGTATATCAGTACTCCCTTTGAAAGATTTTAAACTATTAAGGTCAATTTAAGATCAGACCAGACAAGTGTGGTTTGTGTCATTTTTATATACGGTATTCAGTATTTTTTCCTGCAAGCTTTTGGGAGTGAAGAAGCCATTATTCATAAAATGAATTCATATGTAACACCTTAGGCTGATCGTAAAGTGTTAAACCTTAGAGATGGGGAAAATTCTATTGTCTTGAATTTTGAATGTGGGTAACTTTAAGACTGCCATATGAATTGCCAAGTTGCAAAATTGTTTTTGCATTTCACTTGCAAGCAAGGAAAATGTGGACTCCTTCTTTAGTGGGGCCAAGCGCATTCTAACACACCTCTCAAATTACACACCACTGAAATGATACTCACAATGGGTTTGGCTCATATGTTTCTAGTTAGCTACTATGAATGAAAGATTCATAACTATCTGTTTCAAAAAACTTCCTTATTTGCACTGCAGGGAGCTTAATTGTTTGGTAGCAGGGTCAAGAATTGCTTTTAAATACTAAGCATGCATGGATTGGGCCATTATACACTGAACTAAAAAAAAGATTTCTGTGCACAAAGAAGGCTTTAGATAAATATTTGTCAAATCATTGATTACTTTGTTGGCTGTGGAAGAATAAAAGTCCCTGAGTTTTCCCACCCTGTTGGTAATTTGGACCAAATATTTTGGTCACTATTTTTTATATATATATATATTTATATATTTATATGTTTAAAATATATATATGTGTGTATATATATTTTATATGTATGTATGTATATTTATATTTATATATGTATATATATTTTATATGTGTACATATATATTTATATGTGTATATATATATATATGTATATGTATAACAAACCTGTAACCTTTCCCTTACCTTGCCTATTGAGCATTGTAGAATACAGGATAACAGGGAGGAAGAAGTCATTCATACTTACTAGACAGATGGTTGGCGTCCCTGTGGCAACCTTGTGATCTAATAATTTTCCAAGTTCTGTCTACCTAACTGAAGAGTAATAGCTGTTTACTGTTTGCTTAAATAACACTAGGCCTGTATGCAAGTTGCAGGGGGGGTGGGGTGAAGGAGGGGGGTAGATATATAAATTCATCTCTGCAGTTTTATCAAATCTGTAAAAGAGGTGTAGCATACAGGCACCTCTTTTCCAAAAGAAAAAATTCATTAGTTCCTCATTTTGGTTATTCCTTCTTATTCGTGGCTCAAGCAAACCATTACCAGAGAATCTTTTTTTTTTAATTGATGACACGCTAAAAATTAGTTATTTTTGAAGAATTTTTTTCAAAGGTAGTATTTGAATATATTGGTAAAAGATGGTGGAATTATTTTCCTGCTTTTCTGCAGTAAATTAGTTTGTACACTTCTGGTGACATTTGCTCGACTATCCAAAGAAGATGAGGCTGTTAAAGAAATTTTAACAAATATTTATGAATGCATGAAATTGATTATGTTTATTAAAGTCACAAAAAATTTCTAGCCTTTATTATAAATTTTATAAATTGCTACTGCAAAAATGAGAGAGAATTATAGTTACCAATGTGAATTACTTTTGTTTGGTCAGACATTGACTTCCCCTGATTGCCACCTTGTCACTCTGTTTACTAGACACAGATAGGAACTTCTTTCTTCTTCCTATGATATGCATTTGATTCATGTCATATGCTGTCAAAATAATGTTGTCCTGAGATTATTTGCTGGAATGATAAAACTGATGCAGACTATGTCAGCTAGACTTGTTAATATCACATTATTCTTTCTAATAAGTACTTGTACTTAGAATACTTACTTGCTTCTGCTGCATCATGTCTCTCTTCTTATCCCCAATGCTTTTTTTTTTTCTTAAATCTCTCTCCATAGTCTCTTGAAGGGGCTGATAAACACAGTTCTAAAATATTTCATGTATCTATCTCCCTTTAACACATAATTTGGTCCTGTGCATATGTTTAATACCAGGGTATCCCCATTCATTTCCTCCTTCTTCTGAGGATGATTGAAATTTTGTGGCTTCATGATTGCCTTCTAATTTTCAACTTGACTTAAACCAGAGCATAGTAAAAGAACCATTAATAATCACAATTAATAACATTAGAATGTAATTTTAATAATTCAGGCCTCTATTGCAAAATGTATTATGGAGTCAGTTTAAAATGTGATTCTTCTCTCTCTTATATGTACCTATGTCCAAGTGTGTATATAGTAAGCTCTTGGAGTTCAGGTGTGTCTTGGTGAGGTATTCTGCATATATGGAACATAGTCTCTTAACATCCTTTTGCTGCTGCCTTATTTCTGTCTTGTTTCCACCTAAGATTCTTGAAGAGAAGCTTAATGTCTATGGTTTCCTCTTCACTTCTCCTACATCAGCGAGCCCACTGTGGTCTGATGCTGAGCTTATGTCTGTAGGTCATCTGCCATCTTCTAAAAGCTAAACCAAAAGGAAAATGTTTAGTTTTTACTTGATTTTGCTGTAGCATTTACCTGTAAACTCTTTGAGGACATAAACTGTGTCTCGTTCACTATGAATTTTTACCATTTAGGGTTTCTGGTACTTTGTAGACCCGTCTATTTGCTGAATGAATGTATGTTTGTAATGATTTTTGCCTTCTTTTAAATAAAAAGAATATTCTCTTCCTTTGGCTCCTGTGGTGGTGCTGTTCTTTCCTGGTTAACATCTACCTCTGCTTTGTTACCCATCTACACTTAGATGTTGATTCAGAAGCTCTGCTACTTGGGATGGAATAGGTATCCAAAATTCTTCCTAAGTGAAACTCTCAAGTAAGTTCTAGCACCATCTGTTGGCAGCAGTGAGAGCCAATGCTTTATTTATTTATTTATTTATTTTGTGCCTCAGTTCATGGTTTTGTGTATTCTCAGAACACTCACAAGTTGAAAAGTTTCTGGATTTTCTGGAATTATTTTCTTAGCCTTCATCTCATTTCATGTTACAGCCTAAGTTTCATTCTCTTTCTAGGGAACCTCAGTGTTTCGTTTAGAACAGTTACTCTCAGTTCTTCAGGTGATGCCTTTCTTGGGAACTCTAACTCTATTTATGACTGAAGCTGAATATCACACAGGCCCCTCAGACTTCACATTTCCCAAAATTAATTTCTTGCTTTTACTCTGGCCCCCTCATCTCTTTCTGTCTCTCTACTTGGAGTGACTTTTATCCAAATGACAACCTTAGAAATCTGAATTTTTCCTGGACTCTTTTTCTTACCCACCTTTCTGCCCCACCTATATGTCAACAGTCATTAAATCTTTTTGAGTCAGCAAATGGCTGATAGAGCACTCTCCTCTTCCGTCTCTCACTGCTAATCATGTTAACTACCTTGCTTAAAACTCTTCAGTGGTTCCCCATATGCTCATTAGGGTGGTACAAATGAAGACTACGGGCGCCCGCCACTATGCCCTGCTAATTTTTTGTATTTTTAGTAGAGACGGGGTTTCACCGCATTAGCCAGGATGGTCTCGATCTCCTGACCTCGTGATCCACCCACCTCGGCCTCCCAAAGTGCTGTGATTACAGGCATGAGCCACCGCCCCCGGCCTTCCCCTTTCTTTTGTATTGAAATTAGCTCTCAATACTGCCACAAAGAATTCTTTGTAATGAGTTAGCCACAAAAATAGTTCAGTTCTAGGAAGAATTTCTTTTCTTTTTCTTTTCTTTTTTTTTTTAAGAGACAGTCTTGTTCTGTTACCCAGGCTGGAGTGCAGTGCAATCCTACGGAGAATTTCTAGCCCATTAGAAGAACACATCCATGACCCCCCTTCTCCTTTACCTGCCATATGCAACTGATTGCCAGATTTTGCTGCTTTCACATTAAAGTTAACCCTCGCCTTTGCCCCTTCTGTTCAGTTTTTCACTGTTTCAAGGCTATATGACCATTTTCTTAAGCTATTCCCTCCTGAATGTCTCTGTATCTGCCTCTGTCCTACTTCAATTCATGTTAATTACTACTTTCAGATCAGTCTTGCTAAAGCTGAGTTCAGATGATGTCAGTCCATTGCTTTAAAAACTGCTAACAAAGGTTTCCTTTTCAGGCTTTTCACAACCTGGTGACTTTCTTTAATTTTAGCCTCACTACCCGCTTTCCTATAAATTACTCATTAGCCAAAGTGAGGTACTATACACTTTCATCTGTATACTTCAGTTTTCCCAGTCTGTGCTTCAGTGTCCCTCTTGTCTATATTTGGAATAACTTTTTAATTTATCTCTATATACAAATCGAATCCATCAGTTAAGGTCTACTTTATCTGCCATTGTAGAATAATCTACCTTCTTTGGTACCTCTCCCACTTAATATTTTTTTTCTCAGGATCGCCTAGGCACTTATTTTCTTTCGTGAACTGTAATTTATATACATGTGTGTTACCTGATACCAGGTATCAAGCTCCTCTAAGGTAGGCTCCATATCTGATTTTTACTTTTGGACAGGCCTTAAAGCCTGGAGTGGTGCTTTTGTGTGATAGACGCTCAATGTGTATTGGTTAAATGATGAAATAAATGAATTTTTTCTTGCATCTTTCATCATGAGATTTGTGCCAGTAACATCCCAACTCTCAATATGAAAAGGAAAAAAATACTGACCACAGTTTTTACTGAGCCTAAATTGAAATATTCTGAAAAAGCTTAATCATGGTGACAATCAGAATGTACTCTGTTATTTAGGATAAACCCTTCTGGCAAACATGCCTGTTTTTCAGGTTCCCATTCTTTTAAATGTGGGCTATGATTATGCTCTTTAACATCTCACAGATTTAATAAGTAAACCATTGTTTTAAAGTATTATAACTTTTTCCACAAAAAACTGAGCTCTTAGAATAAAAAGCCAACAAAGATGATATTTTTTCAGTCTGACTCTTTTCTATCCTTTCCCCTCATTAGAGCACAATTTTCAAGATTTTTGTATTATGAGTAAGACAGTGAGAGCTTTTTGATATTTCATGAACTAAACCCAAAAGGGCCTACAAAAACACGCTTTAGCACATTGTTTTTACCAAATCCTACTGTAATTATAAATATTTTTAATAGTATGAATAATGTTATTTTTTCCCTTCCTTTCTTTTTCCCTTTCCCTTCTTCTTCTTTTTTTTTTTTTTTTGAGACAGGGTCTCGCTCTGTCATGCAGGCTGGAGTGCAGTGGTGTGATCATAGCTCACTGCAGCCTCGAGCTCCTAGGCTCAAGTGATCCTTAAGTCATGGGTGGGTGGATCACTTGAGTCCAGGAGTTTGAGACCAATGTGGGCAACATGACAAAACCCTATCTCTACAAAAAATACAGAAATTAGCCATGGTGGCATGTGCCTGTAGTCCCAGCTACTTGAGAGGCTGATATGAGAGGATTACTTGAGCCTGGGAGTTTGAGGCTGCAATGAGCCAAGATCATGCCACTACACTGCAGCATGGGTGAAAGAGCGAGACCCTAGTCTCAAAAAAGAAAAAAAAAAACCTAATTAAAAAAACATGAAAATTACAAATAATTGTGGCACTGGAACTATTTTGGGTATTATTCAACTGCTAAGAATAAAATCAGCATAACTGCAGAATACATCTGAGAAATAATAAAACATGACTTTGGTCAGAAAGTTCAGGAAATTTTTGTACTGTGTCCAATTTATTTTGCTCTGTGATCAGATTCTCGTGAATGCTAGTGTTAGACAAAAGACTGAAAATAGAGTTACTATATAGAGATGTTCATTGTTTGGGGAGAAATTCAATAGAGTCTTGAATATTCTCGTGATGTGCAGAATAATTATATAGAGATTATTTTAAATCATAAATACATCTTATATCTTAACATCTTAAATGTTTTGCTTTCCAGATATACTCAAGATATTTCTGTGAAAATGTTTTTTCTTAATATTTGCCAACAAGAGCGTCTTATATTTGTGTAATTTTTCCAAAGTTGAGTAATAACTGTAATGCTAGTTTGCTTATTTTTCATAAAACTCTGAGTGATTTTCTTTAATATATCCTTGAAAATGCATTTTTCATTTATTTTTTCTTATTCTTGTTGTATGTATATATCAAGTGTGGCATTTATTTTGAGAGTCTTGATAAAATTGGCAAAAGTAGAGTTACAATTTTATGTTAATAATGAAAGAATGACATATAATATTTGCCTGATTGTATCTCTTATTTTTTGTGTGCTTTTTGTTAAGCATATGTCAATTTATTTTGCCAACATTATTCTATAGACAGAGAACTCCTGTTTTTTTCTTTCAGGTTAGTTCATGTGATCCTGGTTAATGGAACATAAAGTGAGATTTTATGGGTGACAGGGAGAGAGATGAGGCTTGACTTGGGGGCATATGGGAAAAGAAGGGGGCTGTCTGTTCACAAAGATTTAAATATCTGATAAGAACTGTTTGCCAGCGCAATTATGAATAAGTGTATTTGTGCCTAATTTTTATTTTTTAAAAGCTCAGGTGATTATAATTTCATCTGTAAAATGTTGAAAGTATAGTCTGATTAAAATAATATATAAGAAATGGTTTTGGTTCTTTTTGAATCAAAAGGTGTGTAAACCTGGAGAATCTGCAGAGTGCCAGACCTCTGCTTTTGTCTTTTCTTAGTATTGTATCATGTTTTCCTTGATATTAATCTTAAGATGACTTCATATATGTCAATATTGTTTAATGTTAGCCATCCACCTATTTGGGATAGGAAAAAAAGTTTTTCCCTGTGTAGATTTGTGTGGATTGCCGAATCACTACTATGTTGGAGGGAGATTATTTTGCTTGAGAGTAATATTGAAAAAGCTCCTATTTTCTCCCTTCAAAAAAACTGGCTTCTGAAAATTCCGTGACTTAATGTATCAAGAACCCAACTCCTCAAGTGATGTTCTTATTAATTAATATTTAGTAAATACTACACACCCAACTTAGGGTAATTTGTTGGGGAACTTATCTCACTACCTCTGCTCTTAAAATTCTTTTTTTTTTTTTTTTTTTTTTTTTTGAGATGGAGTCTCTTGCAGGCTAGAGTGCAGTGGCGTAATCTCAGCTCACTGCAACCTCTGCCTCTTGGTTTCAAGTGACTCTCCTGCCTCAGCCTCTCGAGTAGCTGGGATTACAGGTGCCCGCCACCACGCCCGGCTAATTTTTGTATTTTTAGTAGAGAAAGGGTTTCACCATATCGGCCAGGCTGGTCTTGAACTCCTGACCTCGTGATCCACCCGCCTTGGCCTCCCAAAGTGCTGGGATTACAAACGTGAGCCACCGTGCCCAGCCTTAAAATTCTTAAATCTCATTTCCCTCCTTTTATTATTATTCAATAGTTAACTGTATAAGCCAGAACAGTTTTTTTAAAAATTGGATATCTCCCAGATTTCTTCCAACTCTAATATTCTGTAAGTCTTTGGTTTTTACTTAGGTTAATTCTTAACTGCAATGGAAGAAAAGCATAATTCCAGTTTCTAAGGTAATACTTAACATTTCTTTACATTATTCTAAATTGAATGGAAAACTTTATTTGTAAAATAACAACCAAAAATATCTATTTTATTCTCTGGGGAAAGACAACTTTGTAATATATTTTTCCACTTGAAATGTTTTTGCTTTGCAAAATCCTGTTGGGAAAACAGATTTCCAGACAGCTTAAAACTGACAAATGAGTATTTTGACAGGTATTCCTGGAAGGAGAGCTGTTGCCACCAACCATTTCAATTTCCTTATTCTAACAACCATGTTTAGCAGAGAAGAAGACATATCTCAGTTTGAAACAAATATTTAGTGTTGAGAGAGGTGGGTGAATATAAGCCTTTTTTAATGTATTGGAAAAATAGGGCATTTAGTTCACTGTTTTGGAAAATAGAGTAACAATGAGGATAATAAAGTACTTCTTTATGGCCTAAGACTGACCTGATACTGTCAACTTCCTGTGTTCCATTCAGTAGGGTGTTCCTAGAGGAGGGTTTCATTTTATGCCACTGTGTCATTTAACGGCTTTTTTCTGTGTGCAACCTGTTGTGGCTTTAGAATAGAAAGCGTCAAGATAAAACATTTCATAGCAGAAACATTTTTCTGCATAAAATTCCACTGGTGAACAGTAGTTACTAGACCTTAGTAGAACTAGTCTGCTTCTGTAGAAATAATTTGTGAAAATGGTAGGGATGAACTCTGTTGTTCTGTCCATATTTAATTTACCTTCCAATTTGTAAACTTCTTATTAACATTGATATATTTTGAACAATATTATTTAGATTTCCTTCACCATACAGTTATTTTTTGAGTAGAATATTAGAAGTAGTCATGCAATCTCTTGTTCTTAGGTGCTATTTGCCAGGCCCACACACATTGTTAGTTGCTGTCATTATTTGTCTCCATCATCATTCTCACCACCACCATCATCATTGTCATCATATATATATATTTAAACATCAGAGATGGCTATTTGACTGGCTTGTGGAATTTGTGAAAAGCATAAATCTGAGAATCTTAAAATGTGAGACCTGCTGTTTAAAGATAGAGCAAATGTAGTTATGGATACTTATAGAATTTAGACTAATTCCTTTTGGTAGTAATGACTGAGTGATTTTGGCTTATTTCAAAGAATCGAGTTAGACATATGTTTGAATGACCCCATAGAGTCTTACTTTATATGCTTAAGCCTGGATGAAAATCAATTTCATTTAGCTTTAACTCGGATAAGGGTTTCATGGTCATTATTATATTCTTTTTTTCTTAAAACTTTCCTTTTTTTTTTTTTTGGAGACAGAGTTTCACTCTTGTTGCCCAGGCTGGAGTGCAATGGCACGATCTCTGCTCACTGCAACCTCTGCCTCCTGGGTTCAGGCAATTCTCCTGCCTCAGCCTCCCAAGTAGCTGGGATTACAGGAGCCCCACATTAGCTCCCAATGTCCAGCTAATATTTTGTATTTTTTTTTTTTTTTGAGATGGAGTCTCGCTCTGTCACCAGGCTGGAGTGCAGTGGCGCAATCTCGGCTCGGCTCACTGCAACCTTCGCCTCCTGGGTTCAAGTGATTCTCCTGCCTTAGCCTCCCAAGTAGCTGGGACTACAGGTGCCCACCACCAGGCCCAGCTATTTTTTATTTGTATTTTTTTGTATTTTTTAGTAGAGACGGGGTTTCACCATGTTGGCCAGGATGGTCTGAAACTCCTGACCTCAGGTGATCCACCCGCCTCGACCTCCCAGAGTGCTGGGATTACAGGTGTGAGCCACTGCGCCAGGCCAAAACTTCCTTTCTTTCTTTCTTTTTTTAAACACTAAAACAAACTGCTGAAGAGTATTTTTTTTCTCTGTTAAAACTTTTAGGCCGGTTGCAGGTGGCTCACGCCTATAATCCCAGCACTTTGGGAGGCCGAGGCAGGCGGATCATCAGGTCAGGAGTTTGAGACCAGCCTGACCAACATGGTGAAACCCTGTCTCTACTAAAAATACAAAAACATTAGCTGGGTATGGTGGCACGCGCCTGTAATCCCAGCTACTCAGGAGGCTGAGGCAGGAGAATCGCTTGAACCTGGGAGGCAGAGGTTGCAGTGAGCCGAGATTGCGCCACTGTACTCCAGCCTGGGCGACAGAGCAAGACTCCGTCTCAAAAAAAAAAAAAACCAAAAAAAAAAAACCACTTTTCTCCAAAAGTAGATATGTGTCAAAAACCAAAATACTGTTGCCTTTTACAAGACTTTTGTAATTCCTTTAACTCCCTGCAGACATTTTGAAAATCACTTCTTTGTAACACTAATTTACTACAGTTTACTTTTCTGAAGAAATCTCTCTCCAGTTTCTGTTGGCCATTTTTTATTTAGTTCTTCTCTACCCCCAATAATTTCAGTATCTCATTTTCTTTTAATAATTAAAACAATTTTTTTTTCTTACTGAAAGCTACTGAAGGGTACAGTTTCTTGATCCTTTCTTCTCTCTTTCTGGGTGCATCTGTTATTGTTTTTTTCCTGTATTTATTTATTTTTGCCCTCAGCAAGGGACTATTTTTCAAACTCTTTAACATCTGATTGCTGTAAGATCTGTTGGAGTAGCATGTAAAAGTCACCAGTTGATATGGGTAGAAATACAAGTATGGAATTGTGCACCCATGACCCTTGGTAGTATTTATACATGAGACTTTTACTTGTAGTCTACAGTTTATTGTATTCAAATAACTTATAAAGTGAAGGAATCACTACTAGGCATCACTTTTTGGGATAAAGGCTTATTTTGTTTCATTTAGGTACTTTTTTCAGGTTCTTTTGTTAAAGTCTGCCTGGTGTGAGTTTTGATTTGCAAACTGAAAAAGCTTTAAAATGCTAAAAATTGGCTCTGCTCCTTTTTGTTTGGATTTCTCTGGGAATTCTAAGTTGGCTATGACCTCATAACTTCAAGGGCTTCTAAGGTCAATTATAACCTGATAGATATCATTAAACAAGGATTAATCTCAGTTTATAGAAAAATTCTGACTTTCAATATAAAATAATTCAATGGAAAATGATTAATGGTCTTCTGTTTTTGGAGAGTGATATTGTACTTGACATTGATAATGTTTAGTTTTAATGGTTGTAGATACTACTTGTTTTTTTATTGAATTACTTGTATTAGATCTTCATTCCCCAGAAAGTATGAGACCTGATGTTCTTATCTCAAGATGAGAGCTTAAAGGAAGAAGAGGTCAAGGTTTTATTTAAATTGTCTTAGCTGAACCTTTCCCTTTCCCTAAGATCTAGCACCTCAGAATTGCTGACGTCAGACATAGTTATTGACTGAAAAGAGTTAAATTGATAAAGTATAATTTCTGGCTTCAGAGGTTCAGACATTACTTTATCTGGTTGAAGTTTCATCAAGCCCTGAAAATAAAATCTTTAGGTTGTATAGTCATAGATTTAGAGAGAGAAAAGTTCTTCAAAGGCCTGTTGGTTTTACAGTTTACATAAAATCAGTCCTCGGTTCTGGTAACCTTTGTCTGATATTTTGCCTCTCTCCTGCTGATCCTGGAATATTTCTTAATTTGCCTGGAACCTTGTGGACTTGAACAGATTGTCTCTTGACTTGTCATTCAGCTCCTTCTAACTTGACTGATTGATATGGTTTCACTGTGTCCCCACCCAAAGCTCATCTTGAATTGTAGCTTGCATAATTCCCATGTGTCATGAGAGGGACCCGGTGGGAGGTAACTGAATCATGGGGGTGGGTCTTTCCCGTGGTGCTGTTCTTGTGACAGTGAATAAGTCTCACGAGATCTGATGGTTTTATAAAGGGGAGTTCCCCTGCATATGCTCTCTTGCCTGCTACCATGTAAGATGTTACTTTGCTCCTCCTTCACCTTTGGACATGATTATGAGGCCTCCCTAGCCATGTGGAACTGTGAGTCCATTAAACCTCTTTTCCTTTATAAATTAGTCTCAGGTATGTCTATTATTAGTGTGAGAATATACTAATACACTGATAGAATATTTTTCAAATTCCAGCTTTGTGTGAATACCATGCCGAATATTGTTGTGAATGAAAAACTAGTCATAGTTTTCATAATAGCAAGAAATCTACTTGAGAGGTAATTAATTTTTGTATACCTTTGTAAAAAAGTATGGGGACATAAATAGGGGTAGAGGCATTGGATTATGTATGTTCTGTGTGTGAAATCATTCTGGAATTTGTGATTTTGATGTCTAGAGTACAACACTGGCTATGGTATGGGAAGGCTACATAAAAATTTCATAAACAGGATGGAGAAAGAAGAGTGCCATGCAGCGTGTGCATATATAGCCTTGGGAGTTTAGTTTTTTTCTAATTTTATCATCTAGATGAGAGCAGCATACTTTTCTTTATAAATACTGTTTAAAGTTGAGAATCTCTGAGTCTTTTCCATTAAGGAACAGAGGCCCCTTGTTGTGAAGCTGGCACAGTCACTGGTGCAGGATGGTAAATTGCCTTGCTGTCAACTCTCCTCTGCCTCTTATTTTGTTGCCTCAAACATACATTGTTGGAAGACTAAGGCAATGATCAGGCTCTTTCTGTGTTCTCTGATTAGTGTACTTTCTCCATTTATTTTGGAATTGACCCACATGTGCCATCTTTTAGGGTTGTTGAATATTGTATTCCTTATTTCATTGCCTTGCTTTGCATTTTTATTTATTTTTTACCAACTTGGAAAGTTTAATGTTTGAACCCAGTCAGATATCACTATTAAGCATTAGCATACACACTCATTTTCCCTCCTATCCAGGTATGATTATAGTCTGTCTTAGGAAAAAAAACAACAACAAGCAACTCCTATCTATTTTAAAATATAAGCCTGTATGAGTAATACTAACTGTAATCTTTTATTTAATGTTTTCTTTTTAAATTATGTATTTTTGCTTTTTGTGGGTATATAAAAGGTGTATATGTTTATGGGGGTACATGAGATGTTTTGATACAGGCATGTAACACATAATAATCACATCATGGAAAATGGGCTATCTATTCCTCAAGCATTTACCCTTTGTGTTACAAACAATCCAATTATACTATTTTAGCTATTTTAAAAATAGCTGTAACCACTATGCAGAATAGTACAATTAAATTATTATTGACTATAGTCACCCTGTTGTGCTATCAAATACTAGGTCTTATTCTTTTTAACTATTTTTTAATACTCATTAACCATATCCCCACTTCACCTTCCCAGCCTCTGGTAACCATCCTTCTATACTCTCTCTCCATGAGTTCAATTGTTTTTATTTCTAGATTCTGCAAATAAATGAGAACATATGATGTTTTTCTGTGCCTGGCTTATTTCACTTAACGTAATGACTTCCAGTTCCACCTGTATTGTTGCAAATGACAGGATTCATTTTATGAATAGTACTCCATTGTGTATAAGTACCACATTTACTTTATCCATTCATCTGTTGATGGACACTTAGGTTGCTTCCAAATCTTGGTGATTGTAAACAGTGCTGCAACAAATATGGGAGTGCAGATATCCCTTTGATATACTGATTTCCTTTCTTTTGGGTCTATACCTAGCAGCGCGATTGCTGGATCATAATGTAGCTCTCCTTTTAGTTTTTTGAGGCACCGCCAAACTGTTCTGCATAGCGGTTGCAGTAATTTACATCGCCACCAACAGTGTATGAGGGTTCCCTTTTCTCTACATCCTTGTCGGCATTTGTTATTGTCTGTCTTTTGGATAAAAGCCATCTTAACTAGCATGAGATGATATCTTATTGTAGTTTTAATTTGCATTTCTCTGATGATCAGTGATGTTGAGCACCTTTTCGTATGCCTGTTTGCCATTTGTATGTCTTCCTTTGAGAAATTTCTATTCAAATATTTTGCCCATTTTTTGAATGGATTATTAGATGTTTTCTTGTAGAGTTGTTTGAGCTCTATATATATTCTGATTATTAATCTCTTTTCAGATGGATAGTTTGCAAATATATTTTCTCTGATTCTGTGGGTTGTCTCTTCACTTTGTTGTTTCATTTGCTATTCAGAAGGTTTTTAACTTGATATGATCCCATTTGTCCCTTTTCGTTTTGGTTGCCTGTTCTCGTGAGGTATTACTCAAGAAATTTTCACCTAGTTCAGTGTCCTGGAGAGTTTCCCCAATGTTTTCTTGTAGTAGTTTCATAGTTTGAGGTCTTAGATTGAAGTCTTTAATCTATTTAGCTTTGATTTTTGGATGTGGCGAGAGATAGGGGTCTAGTTTCCTTCTTCTGGATATGGATATCCAGTTTTCCCAGCGCCATTTATTGAAGAGTCTGTCTTTTCCCCAGTGTATGTTCTTGGCACCTTTGTTGAAAATGAGTCGACTGTAGATGTGTGGATTTGTTTCTGGGTTCTCTATTCTTTTCTATTGGTCTATGTGTCTGTTTTTATTCCAGTTCCATGCCTTTTTGGTTACTATAGCTCCATAGTATAATTTGAAATCAGGTAATGTGATTCTTCCAGTTTTGTTCTTTTTGATTAGGATAGCTTTGGGTATACTGGGTCTTTTGTGGGTCCATATAAATTTTAGGATTGTTTTTTCTATTTCTGTGAAGAATGTCATGGATATTTTGACAGGGATTTCATTGAATCTGTAGATTGCTTTGGGAAGTATGGAAATTTTAACAATATTGATTCTTTCAATCCATGAACATAGAATATTTTCCATTTTTTGGTGTCCTCTTGAATTTCTTTCATCAGTGTTTTATAGTTTTCATGATAGAGATTCTTCACTTCTTTAGTTAATTCCTAGGTATTTAATTTTATGTGTGGCTGTTGTAAATGGGATTACTTTTTTTTTCTTTTTCAGATTGTTGTCTGTTGGCATGTAGAAATGCTACTGATTTTTGTAATTTGATTATATATACTGCAACTTTAATGAATTTATCAGTTTTAATAGTTTTTGATGTGGTGTCTTTAGGTTTTTCCAAATATAAGATCATATCATCTGCAGACAAGGATAATTTGGGTTTTTCTTTTCCAATTTGGATGCCCTTTCTTTCTTTCTCTTGTCTGATTGCTCTAGCTAGGAGTACTGCATTGAATAATAATGGTGAAAGTGGGCATACTTCCTGTGTGCCAGATCTTAGAGGAAAGGCTTATCAGGTTTTCCCCATTCAATATGATACTAGTTGTGGGACTGTCATATATGGCTTTTATTATGTTAAGGTATATTCTTTCTGTTCCCAGCTTTTTGAGGGTTTTTATCATGAAGGGATGTTAAATTTAATCAAATGCATTTTTGGCATCAATTGATATGATTATATGGTTTTTGTCCTTCATTCTGTTGATGGGATGTGTCACATTGATGGATTTGTTTATGTTGAACCATTCTTGTATTGGTGGGATTTATCCCACCTGGTTATGATGAATGATCTTTTAAAGGTATTATTGAATTCGGTTTGCTGGTATTTGTTTGAGGATTTGTGCATCAATATTTATTGGAGATATGGCTCATAGTTTCCCTTTTTGGTATGTCTTTGGTTCTGTTATCAGGGTAATACTGGGCTTATAGAATGAGTTTGGAAGTATTACCCTCTCCTCTATGTTTTCAGAATAGTTTGAGTAGGATTCGTATTAATTCTTCTTTAAATGTTTTGTAGAATTTAGCAGTGAAGCCATTGGGTCTTGGGCTTTTATTTTACTGGGAGATTTTTTATTACACCTTCAATTTTATTACTTATTTTTGGTCTGTTCAGGTTTTGGATTTCTTCATAGTTCAATCTTAGTAGGTTGTGTGTGTCTAGGAATTTGTCCATTTCTTCTAGATTTTCCAGTTTATTGGCATATAGTTGCTCTTAGTAGCCACTAATGATCCTTTGAATTTCTGTGGTATCAGCTGTAATGTCTACTTTTTCATCTCTGATTTTATTTACTTAGATCTTTCTTTCTTTCTTAGTATGGCTAAAGGTTCATCAATTTTGTTTATTTAGAAAACCAACTTTTAGTTTCATTGATTTTTTTTATATTTTCTTCTTTTTAATTTCTCTTATTTCTGCTCTGATCTTTATCATTTCCTTTTTTCTATGAATTTTGGGTTTGGTTTGCTCTTGCTTTTCTAGTTCTTTAAGATGCATTGTTGGGTTATTTGAAGTTTTTCTTCTTTTTTGATGTAGGCACTTATAGCTATAAACTTTCCTGTTAGTACTGCTTTTGCTGTTTCACATAGGTTTTGGTATGTTGTGTTTCCATTATCATTTGTTTCAAGAAATTCTTCAATTTCCTTCTTAGTTTCTTCATTGACCCAGTGGTCATTCGTGAGCATATTGTTTAATTTCCTTGTACTAGTATATTTTCCAAAATTTCTCTTGTTATTGATTTCTAGTTTTATTCCTTTGTGGTCAGGGAAGATGCTTGATACTATTTCAAGTTTTCTGAATGTTTAGACACTTGTTTTGTGACCTAACATATGGTCTATCTGTAACCATAATTTTATAATGAAAACACAATTGGAATTCTGTTTTTCCTACTGAAGTTTAAGAGACTGAAGACTTTTTAGTGTATAAAGGTTTAATTTGTCAGTGCTAGTATCTTTCTTAATGGATAAATATTAAATACAGTAGATGGTCATTATAATTTTTTTATTGCATAAAATTAGTTGTGTTGAATCAGATCAAAATTATGGAAGTATAGCTAATTGTTGCCTTCAAAGCATAATATACATTTATTTGGCAAGAAACTATTCAGCTTCCCAATTGAATTAATAGATGTTCCTTTTAAAATTAGTCAGTTAATCAAAACATGTTTTTTGAGGCATTTTTAGTGTATTATAGCACTCTGTTGGCAATTATGAAATCCAAAAGAAAACATAGGGGATATAACAATACCATATTATGAAATATTAACACATAAGCTAATTTTGATAATATGGTTTATATAAGAAGTATTGGAGAAGGGAGAAAGTTTAATTCCCCTGCATCTTTTAATTAAAAAATTTTAAAAAAAAATCTGTAGAAGAATCCAGAATCCAGGCTGGAGTGCATTGAATAGTACAGTGAACATATATGCTTCCTCCCCATTCACTGATTATTAGCATTTTACAGTATTTGAATGTGTTCTTCCCTGCCCCCTTGTATACATGTATGTATATTTCCCTGCCTCCAACCATTTGTTAGTAGGCCGCAGACATTAAGGCACTTCATCACTGATTATATATCTCCTAAGAACAAGGACATTCTCCTACATAACCACTATATCACTTTCATACTGAAAAAATTTAGCACTCATTGAATATTATCAGCTATACAGTCTATTTTCAAATTTCTGCAATCATATGAAAATTGCCTTCATAGCTCTTTTGTTTGTTTAAGCTAGGATCTAATCAAGGCCAATGTGTTGCGTTTAGTTATCTTGTCTCTGACAGGCCTTCTTTAATCTGTACCAGTGCTGTACAGTATGGTAGCCACTAGCCACATGTGAAATTGAAATTGATTAAACTTTAATTCAGTTCCTTACATACCAGCAACATTTCAAGTGCTCAATGGTCATATGTGGCTAATGGATACTCTGTTGAACAGCACGACCATGGAAAGTTCTATTGGAGAGATCTGGAATGTACCCCACCTCTTTTTGTCTTTGTGAAATTGATTTTTTGGAGTTCAGGCCAGTTGTCTTGTTGAATGTTCTACGTTATAGATTTGTCTTGTTTCTTCATGATTAGATTCAGGTTGTGGCAGATTGTATCTTTCAAAACTAGCTACACTAAGATACTTGGCCTATCTCACATCCTTTTTAAAAATGTGACTGACATTCCTGCAGCTGAGAGGTGGGGTCTTTGCTCTCCTTGGATGTGGACAAGGGCATGTGACTGACAGGTGACCAATGAAGTAAGGTAGAAGTCATGCTATGTGACTTAAGACTGGCTCACTCTTTCCTGGTATGCTGGCACTGGGGACTTAGTCATCACACTGTGAGGAAGCCTAGGCGGTGTGAAGATGTTACACAACTCCAGCTAAGGTCTCAAGCTGACAGTGAATAGGCCTTCAGATGATTCCAACCGCTGGCTTTTGAGTTTTCCAGTTGAGTAGGCATGAGGAGCAGATAGCTGTTCCAGCTGAGATCTGTCAGAATTCTTGATGCAAAGAAACTGTGAGAGCTAGTACCTTACGCTATTGTTCTTCTAAGCTGCTAAGTTTTGAGGAATTTATTACAGAGCAGTAAATAACTAATGCACAGGTTAAACAGTATTACAAGAGTACTGCATAAATGATGGTCTGCATTTCCTGTTGCATCACATTAGGGGGCATGTAATGTCAGTGTGACTTGTTACTGATGAGGCTTGATCACTTAAGTGGTGGCCACTTCATCTTTTTCTTTTTCTTTTTCTTTTTTTTTTCTTCAGACGGAGTCTCGCTCTGTTGCCAGGCTGGAGTGCAGTGGCGCGATCTCAACTCACTGCAACTTCTGGCTCCTGGGTTCAAGCGATTCTCCTGCCTCAGCCTCCTGAGCAACTGGGATTACAGGCATGCGCCACCACGCCTAGCTAATTTTTGTATTTTTTAGTAGAGATGAGGTTTCACCGTGTTGGCCAGGATGGTCTCGATCTCCTGACTTTGTGATCTGCCCACCTCAGCCTCCCAAAGTTCTGGGATTCCAGGTGTGAGCCACTGTGCCTGGCCCATCTCTTCATCTTAAATAAATACCTTTACCTCTTTGTTATTAATATGCAATCTGAAGGAAAGTTTAATTTTGGATAGAATCAGCTTCCACCAAGTTTCTTGTCAAGAACATTTCACTCTACACCACTGTTTTGAGGGTATTTAAAATGGTAACAATTTTAGAAATCATTTTATTCAGTCTCTCCATTTTGTAGCTTGATTTAATAAATATTTCTAGGTTTCTATTACAGTTACTAGGGACATAAAATTTATGAGATATGATCATTATCCACTTGGAGCTTATGGATGAAAACTAACATGAATGGCATTTAAGGGGTGTAGATTGGGTAATACTTAATTTGTATTTCAAGATGATTCAACTGAAAGGTTTTTATTTTCCAAAAGACTAAAATGATGTTATTATGATGACTGTAGACTCTAGTCTCCCAAGGCTGGTCAATGCTGTTTTCTGAATTATTTTCTTATCACACAGAATTAAAAGAAAACACATTTTAAGTGCACTCTTATGTTAGACGTTCTGTTAGTCCTGTAGTTTAGGGGTTTGACTGTATCTTTTTCTGAAGATAGAAATATATGTGTTTTAAAATATAGATCTGTCATGTTCCAAATTTCTTCCTACGTAAATAAGAAATAGTGAGCTAAATGAATGTCTGTGAAGTGAAGGCTGTCAGGATACTGTTGTATGATTTTTGAAAAAATATAAGGTACAATGTATTAACGAAGTATGCTAGTATCTAATATATTGTCCTAAATAGTTGTTGATTGGGTAAATTCTATATAGATGAACCATGCTTTTTAATACTGGTTGCATGCTTATGAAAAAAAGTGGATCAAAGGTAACTATATAGAGCCTTTAAAGTTTTTCTGCCAATATGAAACCATAGTTTTCTTATTGTGTTTGTTTATTTGGTTCTGATATAAGAATAATTAAGAAATACATTTTTCATTTGTTTTTGGTTTGATACTGGCAAATTTACTTATATTTTTCTGTCCCAAATTCTATTTGAATTTCTTGGTAGAACATATAATTGAAGACAAAGAAGAAATATGTCCATTTATTTCATTGTTATCTCTTTCTGGTAGAACCCTGTTGTCTAGACTACTTTGCTAATGTGGTCAGACTCATGATACTTAATTTCTTTGTAGGCTCTACAGTTTCACCTGTTACTTGCTGCTAGACTGAATATTTAGCAACATTTTTTCCTAAGTAACTGGCTACAGGAAAAACTCCATAAATGATTGAATAAATCAATCAACAGTTTAGTAAGTTAAGTCAGACTACAACTGTTGCCAAGTAAAATGGTGTTATATCTTTATACAGAGGGAAGATGTGATTAGAGCTGCTTCAGAATTATAGGAAGATATAAGAGTAATCCTATCTAGGTGGGGAAGGAGCAATCAAAATACAAATCAGTTCTGGAAAGTGTACAATTCTGAGAGGCAAGTTGCGATAGGAAGCTCTGTATGTTTAACTCTGGGAGGGTGAGATAAAGGTGAAAGAATATAGAATTATTTAAGAAATGGAGCAAAACTACAGAGTAAAGAGTTAATGTAGGGACAGGAAGGAATCATTGGGGGAAGACTTTTGAATGGCAGCAGACAGGAAGGGACGAGGGTGGAGAGAAAGCTAAATTTTTGAGTGGAGGTGTGGGTTTGGGTACTTAGGATAAAGAGACCAGTTTAAGGATTTGCCGAGGAGGGAACCCATAGAAAGAGATCACTGCTTCAGGTGGTTCCAAGATGAATACTTTCTTTTTTTGGATACATTTAGTGCTTTACATTTGCTTTTTGTGCTAAATCCTTTACTAAGTTTATCATTTCATGCAATACCTGCAACAACCCAGTGACAACATCTTTATTTTACATATGAAAGAAACAGGCTCAGAGAGATTGCTCGAAAATCAGTGGTCCTTCTGAGATGTCAGAAGCTCATCTTGGTGGGAAAGGGGGAAAGCCAGAGTTTCAGGAGTTCAGCTTACCTTGCCCCTTTTCTCCTCCAACAACAGTATCTCAGTTTTAATCTGTTGAATATATAGGTTTTGCATGTAAGATTTCATGTCAAGAAAAAAGCAAAGGCTGGGTGCAGCAGCTCATGTCTGTAATCTCAAGATGAATACTTTCAAGTGTCAAGGAGAACTTGATTTTCCAACAACTTGAAAACAGAAGGAATTGGCTGATAGACTGCAGAGGCTCTGAAAGTGTGCCTCTAGATGAGTGATGTCATCTATACTCACCTTTGGTAGATGTAATCTGTATTCAGCTTCTCTCCTGACATCTCTAACCACTAGGATCAAGCTGACCTGACCACTGGACAGCATTCTGGGTATGCGCACATCAGGCCAAGGTGGTATCTTGATTTGCAGTCGCAAGGTTTAGGCTTCAGAGGGGAAGCAGCACTGCTTCCCTTTCTACCTTGGAGAAGTGGAGTAGAAAGTAACCAGGTGGCAGAAATGCCCAGGGAGCTTAATGATTGCATTGGCCTTGTCACATCACAATATCACAGCACACATTGCTCAGCCAGTCCACATTCCTGTCTCTAACACTTGGGGGAAAAAGAGAGCTAATATTGTTGTTCTAATTTTGTAAGCTAATATGGTAGAGACTTTTTTGTTGGTTTCTTTCACAAATTTCATTCACATTTTTAGTGAAATCTTGTGGACTATTTACTTGGAACACATGAAGTTGGGTGTTCAAAGAAGGAAAAATAATTTCCAATTATGGAAAAAGGGTTTGAGAGTTCTCTGGATCTCTTTATCTATGGTGGCGTATATGACTGTTGCTCTGTTTGGACAGGGTCTAAGGATGAATAGCTATTCACTTATTCCTCACTTGCTTTCAAGCCATGCCAACTACTAAATCCTCAGATCAGCTACTAAATAAAACAAGAATATGTTATTATGTGACTCATCCTTCTTGTTTTTCCCCCTGTATTTCAAATTTAAAATGGTGTCGTGTGAAGAGATTCAAGATTTCCATTCCTGCTTTTCCCTTTCCTGCCAAGCTCATGACCTCTGCCAGCTCCATCTTTTCCTTCCTCTGCTTACAGTTTTGGTTTGAGTTCTGGATTCTTGGAGTTTATAGAACAAGAGTCATTTAAACTCTTTTTTTTTTTTTTCCAAATGGAACAAGTGTCTTAATTGAGGTCAGGCCAACACTTAGTGTGACAGAATCTTCTCCTCACCTTCCTTGGGACAGAGAGAATTCATGCCAAGGAGAATGGTGTGAAACTGTGAACCCAAAGAGTGTCCATTGGGATAAAGCTGATGCCCAGTTGGAGGCACAGCACAGTGACTGTTTTGCCAGGCTCTGTTGTTCTGTTTGGTCCCAAGCCAGATGGTGGCCTGGTGGGTGAACCATTGGCTCTGGCCTTTCTTTCACCTCCTCAGGTATAAGATGAAATACCCAGCTGTCCCTTTCCTTGCATGAGTGACCCTCTGGAAACAGTAATTGCCCTCATTGTTACTTAATGTTTACATGATTTTGTTTAAATTTGGCTTTTAAAAAATATGGTTTATTGGTAGTATGAAAGTATCAAATTAATAAAATTCAGGAGTGGAATTTATTTAACACCATATTCGAGTTTAAACAGAGCTTCTGGAGTGAGCATGAGAGAGGAAGTGGGCAGATTTGAATGAGATTGAACGAGTATAGTTCATGTATTATATATATCATTATTTTGATCACTAGAAATACGTTCAAGATGTGCTTGCATTAGAGTTTTTATTACGTGTTATCTTTTAGCCACTTTGTAACATACATAAGATGGAAATGAGCATCCAAGGTCTCCCTCAAATGGAAATATATCCACTGAATCTGATGCGACTTATGCTTTTGTCCCTGGATTGTACTGTAGTATTAGTTATGCCTTATCTGTATAATGGTAAAAGCAATAGCATTTACAGGTCTTACGATTTGTCCAGTCTCAACTGTAGTAGGAGCTATTTGAAGCTATCAAGAAGGAATTCTGAAAAAGACACAAAGACCTTGTCATTCTACAGAGCTTCATCGAGATCTTCCATTTTCATACCAGCTTTGATTTCTATGATTATGATGCATTACTAGTAGCATTCTTACAATTTTACTTAATTTTGGCTTTATTAAAAAATCTTTTTAAAAGTAACAAGAAACATCTCGGAATTTTCTTGATAATGTTTCGGAGACACATAAATGTTTCTAAACAAAGCAAAATTACTTTGGCATGTTGCAGGGGACAGGGGTGGTAGGGGTGGTGCATGTCTTCCTGCTGTGGCCCTGTCCAGAGTCTCTTGTTCAGCCCTGGATTTGCAGCTCAAAGAGATATCCTAATTTCTGAAGGATCTAGTTGCTGCCTGAGTCACATTTCTTTAAGCCACAGAGCTATAAATAAATGATGGTTATCCCACAATTGCCCCTTTTACCATAATGTAACTGAAATGATGCAACTAATATTGTTGATGTTGTTAGGAAAGTAATGGTTCTTGCCTTGCCTTTCTCATAGGATTTTATGATAATGCAATGAGATAGTGGATTCAAAGGTATTTTTAAGGTGTTATGTGACTGATAAATATAAAGAGGCATTACAATTATTACTGTTATTACAATTAATTTTCCTACTATTTTTATCATGACCAACATCATCATTATTAATATCTTCACTGTCGGGGTATAACTTCTCAGGCCCATCTCCTCTACCTCCTGAGCAGGAGAAGGGAAATCATACCCATTGGTTATTACAATTATAAAGACTTTTTTTTCTCAGATAATTTGGGGGCTCAATATAATGTTTCTGACTCTGGGCCCCTGAATTTCTTTTAATTCCATTGCTGGGAATATTTCACTCCTGCTAAAAGGCTCAACTTAGGCTAGAGGGGCCAGCTCTTTAGGGGAATTTATTTTTATTTTTTTTGTTTTTGTTTTTTTTTTGAGATGGAGTCTTGCTCTGTCGCCCAGGCTAGGGTGCAGTGGCATGATCTCAGCTCACTGCAAGCTCCGCCTCGCGGGTTCACGCCATTCTCCTGCCTTAGCCTCCCTTGTAGCTGGGACTACAGGCACCCGCCACCACACCTGGCTAATTTTTTGTATTTTTAGTAGAAACGGGGTTTCACCATGTTAGCCAGGATGGTCTCGATCTCCTGACCTCGTGATCCGCCTGCCTCGGCCTCCCAAAGTGCTGGGATTACAGGCGTGAGCCACCACGCCCGGCCTAGGGGAATTTTAATAGCTCTAATTAGGAGCTGCTTTCTTGATATCAAGTACCATTGCTAATGATTCTGTATTAACTTTGTGTCTCAGTCTGATAACTGGCCTTCTGTCTTGCTTGTATGATGAAATTCTCAACTATACCTCAAATCCAGTCACTGATTTCCTGTATTGGCACTTTGCCTTGGCCTTAGAAACCTGCCCAGAATCTCTTAATCCTCCTTGATTTTCTACACTTTTCTGGCTCTCCACCTCCCCCACGCCCATGCCTACACACATGCCAGATTTAACTCCTGCTTGAGTCTCAGTGTATTTTATCATGTAAGGGAGACTTCATCAGAAGTCTAGTTAACGTCTAACATGTTGTCTGAGCTATGGTGTAAGTAGAGTATGGTAAGAAGGATACTAAGGAGGAGGGAAAGTATAGAGGAGGGAGGGAGGAGAGAGCGAAATGGCATGAACATAGCATAAAAGTACAAGGGACGGGTATATTCTTTCATTCACTAGGTTGTGACCTTTGTAAAGGCAAAAAATCTTGCCCCCTTTTTTTACTGCTATGTCCCTAGTGTCTGAAACTGCCCAGTATTGAATCTGTCCATTAAATATTTGTTGAATAAGTGTTTGTGGAGGCACACTAATTGACCGGTTTGTCTGGAGGACACTTGAATGTGAGCTTTTTAGGACTGGGATCATTGTGGCCTTGTTTATTGCTATAGTGCCATATAGTTTTGGCAAAATGAATGAATAAATGTTGGGATCAGTGGCGTTGAGGCTAGAAGGCAGAAATTGATAATGTGGATTCTTTTTTTTGTTGAGATGGAGTCTCACTCTGTCGCCCAGGCTGGAGTGCAGTGGCGTGATCTCAGCTCACTGCAGCCTTTATCTCCCAGGTTCAAGCGATTCTCCTGCCTCAGCCTTGCTAGTAGCTGGGATTACAGGCACACACCACTACGTGTGGCTAATTTTTATATTTTTAGTAGAGACAGAGTTTCACTATGTTGGCCTGGCTGGTCTCGAACTCCTGACCTCAAGTGATCCGCCTGCCTCGTCCTCCCAAAGAGCTGGGATTTACAGGCATGTGCCACCAAGCCTGGTGATAATGTGGATTCTTGAATGCTGAACTAAGGATTTGGTCCTTATTGTGACAAGGAGAGAAACAGTGTCCTTCTGATCTTAACATTTACTTTTACTGTCTAATGTACTAAGAATTTTGTTCTTGCAATGTACTGTAATTTGAGCCGAAGGGTTCAGAAAGAAAATCCTTTTGATACTAAAAAAAGAAGGGATATTTTTACATAAGATGCTTCTTTTTGAGTTAATATAAATCCAGAATCTTAATTGGTAGATATGTTTCTAAAACATGGTCTTTAAAAATTGCTTATATGGATAGTCAACATGTTTACACACAACAATGCTGTAAGTATGTTTCTATTCAGTATCATATAAATAATAGCTATGGTTTCAAGTACTCAGCAAAGTGATGAAAAGCATCCACTGTTTTCATTCTCACTGGTCTACTTTGGCATCCTGTGGTTGGTGTTGAGCAGTTGTTCACTGCTTGAGGCTCCTTGAATCTGGGAACCAGAGTGAATATTTCCAGGTGTCAGATTCATCTCTTCATCTACCTGTACTTCTGGACTCTAACATTGTCCATATTAGACCATAAAGATGTATACTTTTCAAACACTATGATTCTGGAAAATGAAACCTATCTAGAGTACAACCCAAATGCTCAAATTGAGTGGGGGGAGTTTATCTTGATAGACATATGTAAAGGAATTTCTTTTTTAGGTTTTTATCTTCACTGAGTGATTGGACTGCTTATGGGATCAAAGCATCTTGGATTGCAATAAACATTGTTTCATGTAAATAGGAGAATTTTTTTGTGTGTGTGCATGTGCATGTATGTCTGCCATAGGATGTAGTGTAAAGCCAAGCTTGCTTGTCAGGGACAATTGCTTTGTTAGCTATGAACTAAAACTGGAGTTGGAATTAGGGCAGGGCCGTGGCAAACACTCACTGAGCACTGGAGTGGCAGGTGTATCCTCTACAGGGTGGGAGATCGTTGTCACTCTTGGCTCCCCGTTTTCTTCTTATCTTCATCCAAGCACCCGGCAGGTTTAGAGAGATAGAGTCCAATTCTGGAGGCAGTTGTCCTCAGCAGGGAGAAACAGAGGAAAGTTATCTGAAATCTTAGACAAAAGGAACAAAAGGCAGTGGGCTTTTAGGTTTCTGAAGTGTAACTATTCTACAGAAGGAGATTCGTTTTTCTTAGATGAATTACTATAGTCTACTAGATTTTGTTTACATAAGGAACTGATTTATTTTGGGCTTACTGGTGTGTGGAAGCACAACTAATATTCCCTAACTAATGTTAGAAAACAGAAAATAAAGAAGAAAATATCTATAATCTCAACATGTAATCACTTAATTTTATATTTGATTTTAATGAACAATGCAATATGAAGATATTATGAACAATATGATATATGTTGTTTTGATTAGGTTAATTTTTCTTCCTACCACTACCACTATCATAATGGTTATTGTCATCATCAAGTATTTATTGAGTCCCTTCTCTGAGTGAGGCATAGTCGCAGCCAGAGTGAAGAAGATAAACAAAAGGCGTGTGTTTTCTTGTAAGGAGATTATTTTCTATTTTGGACTGAACATATATCTTGGAAACAAATTACAATAAATGATTTATTCATTAGGCAAATGATTATTGAGCTCTATTATGTGCAGGCCCTTTGCTTAGCATTTGAGAAATAATGTTGAACAAGACATTCCTGCTCTTGAGTATACTGTGCAGGGTAAGTGATAGACAAGCAAATAAGAATTTCAATAAATTATAATGCATGAATTGTCAATGAAATGCCACAGACAGCGAGTGCTATAAAAGGATATTATATTAAAAGATATATTGAAAAACCTATTGGACAGTGTTGGAAACCAGAATAAATTTTTTTTTAATTACTTGTTTCCTATATTGGCCCTTAGTGAGAGCCTAAGGCATAATCTTAAATAGTCAGGTAATCAATACATTTTATGACAAATTAAGGTAATATAGTTCAACAGTATTACATTTAGCTCTTCCAAAAGAACACTAGGATGGATCTTGACAAAAATAGTTAAAAGGGCCTTAAGTTCTCTCTAGCATCAGTTGTCTCAGTATTTGCTTTTGCTGGAGTTTAACATTAACATTTGACAAGTACATAAAGTGCTGATGTTCTATGGTATGAAAGGAAGAGAAGACTATACGTTTTATATTCTGGATTAGCAAGTGTCAAAGTTAGCATTCCATTATGAAAATTAGGAAACCAGATAGGCTTTTTTTGGTGAGGCGGGGCTAGGCAATGGATGTTTTCGCCCTTTCAGGAGGATATGTGAATAAAAGAGAAAAAGCTTAGATCTGTTATACATTGGATATTCTGTCTTTACCTGACATAAAACTTGTTGCAGAATAGAATTTTCTATCTAGAGTTATTCCATTTTAAACTAACTGGGCATATTTTCTTTTCTTTATATCAGATGAAAGGAATGAAAGCTACGTGTTTATACTTTATTTGAGTTGTTCAGATCCAGAGTGAAAAATACCAAGGGAGCTGTGGAATTTCTCTCCCTGGAGATCTTTAAGAAAAGGTGTAGGTATTCAGACACTTAATTCACTGAAATTGTTTCTGTAGAGTTTTGTGTGTCCTACTTTAAAAAAAAACAAGATGTGTAAAAACCCAGACTTAGAAAATTGATATTATTGAGGATAATTCTTTCCTTTCTAATCCTCATCACTTTAGTTTTCCTACTAGGTGAATTTATTTGGTAATAGATGAATACTTAAAATTGGTGAGCATTTGACTTAAGAATATTACTTCATAATATTTTAATTGATATTTGTGAAGAATTTCGAAGTTTTCAAAACATTTTACATTATTATATCATTTGCTTCTCAGTGATCTTATGCAGTAGACAAGGTTGGTATTATGATTATTTCCCATTTTGCTGTTAAGGAATCTGAGGATAAGAGGCTCTGAGATTTGACTGTGGGTTATTAAGTTGCGGGGCTTGGCACAGACCTTTTGATAGCAAATTCTCTGCCTTTTTTGCATGCATGAGGCATTACTTTTTTTTGTTTTGTTTTTGTTTTTGATTTTGAGATGGAGTCTTGCTCTGTTGCCAAGGCTGGAGTGCAGTGGTGTGATCTCGGCTCACTGCAATCTCCGCCTCCCGGGTTCAAGCGATTCTCCTGCCTCAGACTCCCGAGTAGCTGGGACTACAGGTGCCTGCCACCACGTCCGGCTAATTCTTTGTATTTTTAGTAGAGACGGGGTTTCACCGTGTTAGCCAGGATGGTCTCGATCTCCTGACCTCGTGATCCGCCCACCTCGGCCTCCCAAAGTGCTGGGATTACAGGCGTGAGCCACTGCGCCTGGCTATTTTTTTTCTTAAATTGGAGTATTTGTCCTGTTTTATATTGAAATCAAGTCACTGAAGATTCTGGAGAATAGGATAATATCTCTGGATCATTCATTTCTTCTTTCTGTAAGCTGAATGATGGCTGAGGGAAAGGAAAATATGTTTTGGGCTCCCCCCAAGTTACTTTTTTGATCATTTGCCACTTTCTTACTAATGCAGTGTTGTAGATGGTAACTGGGGGTTCTCTATCAGTTCACAAAAATAATTTAACTTATAAGATTACTGAATTGGTAGTACTGGAACTAACCAGCTGCTCCTAAAATAGTGCATTTTGGTTTGAAAAACAGATTGGGTTTCTAGGAAATGGAGTAAGTTTGTTAATGTACTAAGATTAAGCACTTTCTGATAACCATATTAGCTATATATAGTATCCACTTCAGCTTACCATTAATAAATTAGACCATGCACTTAAAAGAACCAAAATAAAATCAGTTTATTAACTATTGAGTCTTTACATTAGAGCCACAGTTTATACAGGTTAAGTTTTAAAGTTAATATCCAAATGTGTACAGCAAATAATCTCTAGCAAGAAAAATAGGATATATTATTGAGGGTTACTAGGTTGGCTTTATGCATTGAGATAATTTTACTTTGTAGTTCTGGTTTGAAAAGTTTGTTTATTTTCTCTGAACACTTCCTGCGTACAAAATATGTATTGACTGTTGAGGATTTAAAAATATCAGAAAAAGGCAAAGAAGAAAGGAGTCCCTTGTTAACCCCTCTGTTTTAGAATAGTTTTGGTAAGAAAGGAGGGTGAGTTCATTTTATAAGAAGAACTAGTTAGTAGGGCACTATGGTAACTAACATAATTCAGGAGCATGCAAACAGTAGTGGACAGTAGGAGTATATGCTTAGGGGGATGCTTGTAGATGAGTTTGATTAGCTAAATTATGGTGGGCCATGAATTCCAGGATAAGAGATTTGTTGTTTTTCAATAGAAGGGATTCCAGAGCTCTTCTAATCCAGGACTTGCTTTTCAGGTAAGGAAACCAAATTGAGTTGCTCAAATTACTGAGTAGAGGAACTGGGGCTGGAACCCAAGCTTCTTGATTAATAAGTTAATGTTTCTTCTGTTATACGATCTCATGTGTTGCCAATGTTGGTTCTGGGAGAGAGGAAAGCAAAATAAAAGCAGTGCTTTTTGAATAAATTCTTATAGTCTTAGAAAAAGAAGATTGATTAGAAGGGGGAAGTTATTTAAAATTGGAAGACCAGTTAAGCTCATTTTGATTATCCAGACATGTGATGATGGAGTCATCAATGGCTAGAGTGATGAGGAGAAAGGAAGTGCCATTAAAATCAGTGAGAAAATTTGAAGAGTAAGCTTATGGTGGGAAAGATCAGGTTCAATTTTGAACAAATTAGAAATCAAGCAGAAATGTTTGATTAGGCAGATAGCAATATGGGGCTGATATTCTTGGTGTTAAATTATATTTAGCAGCTAAAGAGGATTGACTAGCTGGTTAGCATGCAATATAATCCTTTCACACAGTGCTACTGAGGGCAGTTGAGTTCTAGGAAGTCTCCCCCTGACTCCTGCTTCAAGGAAAAATTAGTTCTCTATTAGATGCATCACTGACTGAAACATTTGTTTAATAAACTGGTATAGGCAAACTCACCTCAAAAAGACCAATACTGGCCTGATGATATAATCGTATGATGCTTCTTTTTCTCCTATAAAGGTGTTCATAGAATGTGCAATCCCATGTAAAAGCTGTGTGTTAAAGAAAATGGTGTAACTCTTCAACCCTCATAAGGCTTTGTGAGATTTTATGGCATGATCGCATTTATTGTCATGATAGTAATTCAGTTTAATAATGTTAACTAGTTTCATTTGGACAACGTATTTGCCCTGGTCATTCATCCTTTGTTGTTTTAAACTTACATGTACTGGGAAACCACATATAATAGCTCTTGATGTTTCTACTAAAAGGCAGAGAACTTGAGCTATTATCTAGATAGTCTAT
Source organism: Homo sapiens (assembly GCF_000001405.40). Classification (NCBI taxonomy): domain Eukaryota; kingdom Metazoa; phylum Chordata; class Mammalia; order Primates; family Hominidae; genus Homo; species Homo sapiens. The sequence continues at coordinate 15,745,730 of NC_000012.12, read as the reverse complement.
GAAAATTTTAAAGATGGGGCAGTGTCTTTGTTTAATTTCTCTTTGTGTATTTCCAAGGATTTGAAAGTGAACAATGGGAGGTCTATATTTTGCTAGCAATGATTGCTACACTCACCTGACAAAATAAAAGTGATTTCTTTTTCTGTGGTTTAAAGAATTTTTTTTTTTTTTTGGATACATAGTCATAGATTTTTGGAGTCAGATGGGGACTGTAGAGACTGTCTAATTCAGGGATAATACCTGGTTTCCATTTCTATGCTGACTTTATAATTTAGTAGTGGCTGTTTACAGCAATGTTGAGAATTCCCACATCTTTGGGTTCAGCTTGGCATTAAAGAGTGTAATGATAAATTATTGATGTTTTTTATGGGAACGGGGAGGGCCCGCACAAACGTCATGTACTTGCTATCCTGATCTACTCTAGTTCTTTTGTTTTTCAGGTGAGGAAACTAAAATCTACTGAACTTAGTCTATAATAAGCAGTTAGGTTGTAAAGTGTTCTTTTATACTCATTTCTTTGAAACAGGTAGAGTTTTTCTTTACAAATAATGTTAAAAATAATGGACAATTGGCCAGGCATGGTGGCTCACGCCTATAATACCAGCACTTTGGGAGGCTGAGGTGGGTGGATCACGAGGTCAGGAGATCGAGACCATCCTGTCCAACGTGGTGAAACCCATCTCTACTAAAAATACAAAAATTAGCTGGGCGTGGTGGCACATGCCAGTAATCCCAGCTACTTGGGAGGCTGAGGCAGGAGAATCACTTGAACCTGGGAGGTGAGCCGAGATCGCGCCACTGCACTCTAGCCTGGTGACAGAGCGAGAGTCTGTCTCAAAAAAAAAATAATAGTAATAAAAAAATAGTAATAATGGACAGTTAAGTTTTTAGGCTAGTTCACAAAAGACTTTTAAAAGTATTTGTTAACGTTATCCATAACTACTTGGTTTAATTAAATTCTTGTTTGTACTATTCCCATAACCTTTGTTTCAGCATTTATCATACTGTGTTATAATTACTTAAGTTTGAAACCAGCCTTTACCACTTAGTACCTGTATGAATTTGCAAGTTACTCAAATTCTACATGTTTCAATTTTCTTATCTCTTGAAATAGGAAAGTATTACAACTTACCTTCATGGGCTTGTTGTAAGAATCAAATTATTAAATATGTAAAGCACTTAAAAAAGAGCCTGGAATCTTGAAAGAGTCATGAGAATCCTTCTCAATGGTGCTTTAGGCAGCAAATATTAGCTGGAAGTGCTCAAATATTAGGTATTGTTATTCTTACTGATCAGTTTCACTCACTATAGTTCATCCTTGTATACTTGGATCTAGAACAGTGTCTGCATTTAATAAATTTCTTTGAAGGACCAATTAAATAAGGAAGGGGCAGAGGAAGACGCTATCACATGGTATCTCATAGGGTGAAAGAGGAAGGAAGAGACCAGCTCTTTTAACAAAGTGCTATTTCCATGCTTGTTGAGCTCCACTCTAGAAGAAAGTTTCTTTTTCCTTAGTCGTTAAGACTTAATGTTGCTGATCTCTCTGATGGCCAGTGATGATGGGCATTTTTTCATGTGTCTGTTGGCTGCATAAATGTCTTCTTTTGAGAAGTGTCAGTTCATATCCTTTGCCCACTTTTTGATGGGGTTGTTTGATTTTTTCTTGTAAATTTGTTTAAGTTCTTTGTAGATTCTGGATATTCGCCCTTTGTCAGATGGGTAGATTGTAAAAATTTTCTCCCATACTGTAGGTTGCCTGTTGACTCTGATGGTAGTTTCTTTTGCTGTGCAGAAGCTCTTTAGTTTAATTAGATCCCATTTGTCAATTTTGGCTTTTGTTGCCATTACTTTTGGTCTTTTAGTCATGAAGTCCTTGCCCATGCCTATGGCCTGAATGGTATTGCCTAGGGTTTCTTCTAGGGTTTTTATGGTTTTAGGTCTAACATGTAAGTCTTTAATCCATCTTGAATTAATTTTGTATAAGGTGTAAGGAAGGGATCCAGTTTCAGCTTTCTACATATGGCTAGCCAGTTTTCCCAGCACCATTTATTAAATAGGGAATCCTTTCCCCATTTCTTGTTTTTGTCAGGTTTGTCAAAGATCAGATGGTTGTAGATATGTGGTATTATTTCTCAGGGCTCTATTCTGTTCCGTTGGTCTATATCTCTGTTTTGGTACCAGTACCATGCTGTTTTGATTATTGTAGCCTTGTAGTATAGTTTGAAGTCAGGTAGCGTGAGCCTCCAGCTTTGTTCTTTTGGCTTAGGATTGTCTTGGCAATGCGGGCTCTTTACTGGTTCCATATGAACTTTAAAGTAGTTTTTTCCAATTCTGTGAAGAAAGTCATTGGTAGTTTGATGGGGATGGCATTGAATCTATAAATTACCTTGGGCAGTATGGCCATTTTCACGATATTGATTCTTCCTATCCATGAGCATGGAATGTTCTTCCATTTGTTTGTGTCCTCTTTTATTTCATTGAGTAGTGGTTTGTAGTTCTCCTTGAAGAGGTCCTTCACATCCCTTGTAAATTGGATTCCTAGGTATTTTATTCTCTTTGAAGCAATTGTGAATGGGAGTTCACTCATGATTTGACTCTCTGTTTGTCTGTTATTGGTGTATAGGAATGCTTGTGATTTTTGCACATTGATTTTGTATCCTGAGACTTCGCTGAAGTTGCTTATCAGCTTAAGGAGATTTTGGGCTGAGACGATGGGGTTTTCTAGATAGACAATCATGTCATCTGCAAACAGGGACAATTTGACTTCCTGTTTTCCTAGTTGAATACCTTTTATTTCTTTCTCGTGCCTCATTGCCCTGGCCAGAACTTTCAACACTATGCTGAATAGGAGTGGTGAGAGAGGGCATCCCTGTCTTGTGCCAGTTTTCAAAGGGAATGCTTCCAGTTTTTGCCCATTCAATATGGTATTATTGGCTGTATGTTTGTCATAAATAGCTCTTATTTTGAGATACATCCAATCAATACCTAGTTAATTGAGAGTTTTTAGCATGAAGGGCTGTTGAATTTTGTCAAAGGCCTTTTCTGCATCTATTGAGATAATCATGTGGTTTTTGTCTTTGGTTCTGTTTAAATGCTGGATTACATTTATTGATTTGTGTATGTTGAACCAGCCTTGCATCCCAGGGATGAAGCCAACTTGATTGTGGTGGATAAGCTTTTTGATGTGCTGCTGGATTCGGTTTGCTAATATTTTATTGAGGATTTTTGCATTGATGTTCATTAGGGATATTGGTCTAAAATTCTCTTTTTTTGTTGAAATGCAAATTAAAACCACAGTGAGATACCATCTCACAGCAGTTAGAATGGCAATCATTAAAAAGTCAGGAAACAACAGGTGCTGGAGAGGATGTGGAGAAACAGGAATGCTTTTACACTGTTGGTGGGACCGTAAACTAGTTCAACCATTGTGGAAGACAGTGTGGCAATTCCTCAAGGATCTAGAACTAGAAATACTATTTGACCCAGCCATCCCATTACTGGGTATGTACCCAAAGGATTATAAATCATGCTGCTATAAAGACACATGCACACATATGTTTATAGCGGCACTATTCACAATAGCAAAGAGTTGGAACCAACCCAAATGTCCTTCAATGATAGACTGGATTAAGAAAATGTGGCACATATACACCATGGAATACTATGCAGCCATAAAAAAGGATGAGTTCATGTCCTTTGTAGGGACATGGATGAAACTGGAAACCATAATTCTGAGCAAACTATCGCAAGGACAGAAAACCAAACACTGCATGTTCTCACTCATAGGTGGGAACTGAACAGTGAGAACACTTGGACACAGGATGGGGAACATCACACACTGGGGCCTGTCGTAGGGTTGGGGGAAGGGGCGAGGGATAGCATTAGGAGATATACCTAATGTAAATGACGAGTTAATGGGTGCAGCACACCAACATGGCACATGTATACATATGTAACAAACCTGCACGTTGTGCACATGTACCCTAGAACTTAAAAAAAAAAGACTTAATGTTACTGATCTGGATGTGATGTTGCAAAGGCAACAGTTTGATTAATCTAAGCTGGAGTAGCTAATAGTTTCCCAGTGGACTTTACGCTTTAAAAGATGATATGTGCTAACCAATCACCTCTCTCCTCTTGGTAGTATTTTTGTTGCCCTCACAAAGTCAGGGACAGGGGCAGGCTCGATAAATTGCAGGGCCAAGAACAAAATGAAATGTGGGGGTTCCAGCTAGGAAAGTCACTTTCCCCTTCTACCCCAAACTGCAGATGGTCAACCTACAAATGATCCTGCCAGGATTCGCTTGGTACCTGAATTGGGGGTGGGCAAGAGGACCCCACTGAGTCACCCACCTAAAGTGGCATCTCACTGCTGGCTCAGGATGGGGATGGCCATTTCCTCTCTGCAACCCAGTTTCTGTCCCTAGTGGAGGGGGGTGGCTGGAGGCAGGACTGCACATGAGTCACAGTGCTAAGCCAAGCTCTGTTACCCCATTGGACTTTATATACAAAATGCAAATTCAAAGATACAGTTATTAAGAATTTAAAGATAATTACCACAGAACAAGGTCCTGGACCTTTTGAGCCCACGACTCTATGCAGCTGTACTGGCTGCCTGCCCATGAAGCCCACCTTGGTGAAGAGCATTTTTTAGATATACCCCTCTCTCTGGGTAGGGTCTTCTTTGTGGGCAGTCCAATTCTGCCTGGGAATTTGGACTTTAGGACAACTCTCCATTATTGGTCAGTTTCTTGGCTGCTGCTGCTTTGGAACATACAGGTCACTAAAAGCACCATTTTTTAAAAAAGAAATTGACCTTTTTTCTATCATTACCAATCCACGTAGATGTACTCAACTTAATGGTTGTGGACATGATGCATTAGCCACATTTCTCTTAATTTCGCTACAGGGAGGTATTATTGTTTCTATTTTACATACTGGAGACTGAGGCTCAGAGTAGTTGATAAGTACCTTTCCTGAAGTCATGTATTAATTGGCAGAGCTGAAATTTAAACTTGGGAGAGACTGTCTTATTCTTTAGCCTGTACTGGCTCTCATGTAAATTTTAGCATTAAATCTATATGACACATATGTTCTAGCAGCAGCTTTTTGCCTCAGGAACTTCCTATTTATTTATTTATTTATTTATTTATTTATTTATTTTTATTATTTTTTATTTTTTCTAGATGGAGTCTTGCTCTGTAGCCCAGGCTGGAGTGTAGTGGCATGATCTCGGTTCACCGCAACCTACGCCTTCTGGGTTCTAGCAGTTCTCCTGCCTTGGCCTCCCGAGTAGCTGGGATTACAGGCATGCACCACCACGCCTGGCTAATTTTTGTATTTTTAGTAGAGACGGGGTTTCACCATGTTGGCCAGGCTGGTCTCCAACTCCTGACCTCATGATCTGCCAGCCTCAGCCTCCCAAAGTGCTGGGATTACAGGCGTGAGCCACCGCTCCCAGCCTACGAATTTCCCATTTAGTGAACTTAGTGTGTATGCTTGTAGGTGCTCTAGAGTTTTTAAGCCCTATAAAGATTTTAGTTATTAATAGAGATTTGGTCCTTTATGCAATAAGATTGTGCATCTAGGAGTTTGATTTTTTTTTCTAGTGTTTTGCTCACAAGATTTCTAGTCTGCTCCGATTTTTTCTTTGAGCATGCTTTTTATCCTTAACTTTGCCGTCACCTCGGAGTAGCTTCTTTTGGTTAGTATTCTCTGTATTCCTGAGTCCCTGTGTGTCAGAGAATGTAAGAGTTGAAAATGGTAGACTCCCACAAGGAAACAAACATTGCTTTTTAAAAGCTCATTAAAAACTATCTAAAGTGACCTCAAGGGACCTTTAGAGGCTTCTTTGAAAAGCTTTGTTTACTAGTAGCCTTCTGTACTAGTCAGAGTTCTCCAGAGACAGAAATAATAGGATATCTATTTATGGATGGATGGGTGGATGGATGGATGGATAGATGATAAGGGGCTTATTAGGGGAACTGGCTAACACAATTGTGGAGGCTGAGAAGTCCCACGATAGGCCATCTGCAAGCTGGAGAACCAGGGAAGTTGATGGTGAACCAGGGAAGCTGAGGGCCCAAGAGCCTGAGGAGCTGCAGGTGTGAGTCTCAGGGTCCAAAAACCAGAGACCCTGGAGTTCTAACATCCAAGGTCGGGAGAAGAAGGGTGTCCTGACTATGGAAGAGTGGGAAGAAATTCACCCTTCCTCCACCTTTTTGTTCCATCTGGTCCCCCAGTCGATTGGATGGGTGCCCATCCACATTCAGGGCAGCAGATCCTCCTCCCCAGGCCACCGACTCACACGCCAATCTCTCCCAGAAACACCGTCACAGATACACCCAGAAGTAATGTTTTACCAGCTATCTAGGTATTCCTTAATTTAGTGAAGTTGGCACCCAAAATTAATCATCACACCTTCTGTTTAGGAATGTCAGTGGTGGAGAATGTGGACTGTACTGTCTGACAGATGTGGCTCAAATCTTGCCTCTGCCCTATGATCTTGGGACTTTAAACATTTTTTGTAACCTCTTTAAGGCCTCAGCATCTTCACCTGTAAAATGGGAGTAATACTATTCTCAGGTTATTGTAAAGATCACATGAACTAAGGTATATGATGTGTTTTGTGTTGTACCTGGTACATAGAGTGCTATCAGTGAGTATTAGCTATTATTATAGATTAAAGGATCTAGGCTTAGAATAGTAACCCAGGGATGTAGTCTGTGCTATATTAGAGCAATCTGCATAGACATGCCTGCATGGACTAAGGGGTCAGAATAAGACCAAATGAAAGTCTCTTGAGAGTCGTGTCTCAGGTTTGGTAGATTTAGCTCCACCATGGACTGTTTAACGTGGCACGCTTAATGATTTAATCTGAGGTCCTTGGAGTGAAGGTGTATGCTTGTAAGTGGATTCAACAAACATTTATTAAGCACCTGCTATTGCCAGGACTTTGTAGCTGCTGGTATTACAAAAAAAAAACCAAGTTGGCCTGTGTCCTTTTGTAGTTTATATTCCAACTATGAGACAAATATGCAAACAAATGACTGATATTAAATACAACACAAGTGCTTTAAGGTACTTAAAATGCCCTAGGGCATAATAATGCAGAATGCCCTAGGGCATAAAGTGAGTTGGAAGGAAGTTGTTCTTTGTTAATATTTTATCTTCAGGGCTAAGAATGTTCTTATTATAGAAGGACCTTCAGTAAGTTCAATGAATTATTTTGATATTTTTAGTATAGATTGATCCTTCAAACACCAAACATATTGAAAATGTAACTTAACTTTGGGTATTTAAGTGACAGAAGCCCATCTTTAAATTTTCCTAACAATATTATTTATCCTTTATCTTCACAACTTAGGTGAATAGGAGTTATAGGCAAAATCTTGTTAATTATGTGAAGACTACCTATATCTGCAATGTGCAAAAGGGTTTCTTAGCCACTCAGGGTGGGTGTGTTTCTAAATGATCATTTACATCTATGGGAAATATAGCTGGCAGTTGAGAAATGAGTCTAATATTAGTTAGAATAAAAGTGATATTAATTAGAATAATAGTTAGATATTCACAATTAAAATATTAGCTACTATGTATTAAACACTATCTACCAAAAATAACACTAGGAAATATATCTATTTCGGTAGTTTATATACAAAATTAAAATAAAAAATATTTCTGTGAAGAGCGAATTCCCCTCATTTACTATTTGTTTAGCTAATTTTAAAGTTTGTATAAAAAGTGGAAAAATGCTACTCTTTCTTAGTTTCTGAGTTTTTAATGACAGGAGTCTTAGGGAAGTTTTTCATGTACTTACAAAAAACACCTGAGGAATATAGAGCAGATAGATCCAAATCATAAACATGTATTGGTAAATGAGCAAAAATGGAAAATAATTGGTGTCGCGGGACTGTTGAAACAGATTTAATAATATTTAAAAAAAAGTCACTAGGATATGCTTTGAGAACTATATTTTCTACAACACAGTAGCATCATTAAGTTTTTAATATTTGGGTATATAATAGTTAGCATCATGGGCTCTGAAGCCGGACTTTCTGTTTTCAGTTTTAGTTCTTCACTTACCAGTGTCACTTTGGGCAAATAATTTAATGTCTTCATGCCTCAATTTTATCATCTGTTAATTTAGGATAATAATAGAACTTCCCTCATAGGGTCATTGTGAGGATTAAATGAGTTCATATACATTAGGCACTTAGAGCAGAGCCTGGAACATAGTAAGCTCTCAGTAGATGTTAGTTGTTGTTGTTGTTGTCATTATTTTTCTTTGTAGAAAGGAGGAGGGATGGAACTTCTGATGCTTATTTTTAATCTATGTTACAGAGTCTTCCCTTTGGTATATTTTTTCTAAACTATTTTGTTTGTTTCAGCCTTCTTAAAGTCACGTTTTGCAACCCTTTCTGAACTAAAGTGTCTAGGCTTTGAACTTCAGTAGCTGGTAATGTCATAAAAGGAGAAAATTAAACATTATATGTCTTTTGTTTAACCTCTATTACGGCACCAAATAGTATTACAATTTATTGATATTTATGGTGGTATTTTCTACTGAGCTGTGAGCTTTTTGAAAGAAGAGACCTACACTATTGTGTTTAGTACACTGTCTGGTACTAGGTATGAGGCCTGAGCCCCTAATAGTTGTTCTGTTAACTATACTAACATCTCATTTATCAGGTTTACCTAATAGTGTGCTTTTCAAATTCAAAAACAACTGAGTTTCCTAGCTGTCTAGCTACATGAATTAAAGTATGTTACTTTAAATATGAAGATTTTATTTTTTTAAGTATTTAGGATAATTTTTCTTATAAGCATTGAGCACATCCCATCCTTCATAAGCATAATGTAAATTCATCATCATGCGTACTGTTTATTGGGGCTGTAATATAGTGTCTCCATGGAGGGTATTGACATATGCTTGGTTGTATGGTTCTATATCACATACTCTGAGGATGCCTTATGCATTTTTTCTTTGCATCTTATGTATTATTTTTCTCTCATTATCATAATACACCAATTTCTTTCTTCTTTCTGCCACATCTAGCAACCCTAGCTTCCTAAATTCAAATTTAATGCTTCTAACCTGCTGCGGATTGATTTGCTTACTAACTTCATTAGAACCTATAGAAAAAGAAAGATTTATTAATAAGATCTTAACCAAGCTTGAGGGCATCTTCTGTGAGTAAAATGCAGAAGTTCAGCACATAGATAGAGGGTGTGACATCTATTTAGCTAGCCATATAGGTTTTACACTTACTTTATGACATTGCTGAGGTTGTCATATATGTGTGGCCTCCAGGCAAGTGATTTTTTATTATATTAACCTCTGTACAGAAGAATGAAATTCTCTTCAGTATTTCCGTAGTGTTAACTTATGGCGTTGGAATTCAAATCCAGATCTCCTTTACTCCAAAGTCCATTTTCCTTGGTGCTAGACTCATGTTATAAAAAAGTTAATATTGTTAATTATTACAGTTCATTAAAGTGACATGATACTAGGATAGTTTTTGGTTTAAAACACAAACTCGGCCCGGCACAGTGGCTCATGATTGTAATTCCAGCACTTTAGCAGGCTGAGGCAGGAGGATTGCTTGAGCTCAGGAGTTTGAGACTAGCCTGGGCAACATAGTGAGACCTTATCTCTACAAAAGAATTTAAAAATTAGCTGGGTATGGTGGTACGCACCTGTAGTCCTAGCTACTTGGGAGGCCAAGGTGGAAGGATTGCTTGAGCCCAGGAGGTTGAGGCTGCAGTGAGCTATGATAATGACACTGTACTTCAGCCTGGGCAATAGAGCAAGACCCTGTCACAAAACACAAAAAAACACAAACTCTTTGTCTTTGTCCTATTATTGGCATTTTTTTCTATATAAGTTTTTAAAAATATTGCCAATTATGGATTGTTTAAATATTTAATTGATAGATACATATTCAACATATATTTTACAACAGTAAGTTACACAGATATAGGTTACATTTAATAACATGCACTTTTAAAAGGTCTACAATTTAAATAACCTGATTACTATGTTTATTTGTAGGCTTTGAGCTCAATATACATGCACATCTACATAGAAGAAGTACTTAAATGTGCCTATTTTACTTACAGTTTATAAAACGCTAGAAAAATATTAAAAAGATTCAAAATTAAGTAGCTTTGAGGCATTTAGGATTAGACATGGATTCAAATCATAGTTTTAATCTTAGAATGTTAGCTTTTTCAGTACTTCCTAGGGTTACTGTAAGGATTAAGTCAAGTAGCATTAACGTGGGATGCGCCATAAGACAATATTTGATCCTTCATGATCTCTTTCCTCTTCATTTTTTCCATCTATATAATTTTGAATCTTGATAAAAAAGAGGGAGCAAAAAAGTATAGGGAAGAATGAAATATATTTCTTAAGCAAAAGCAACTATGGTTTGCATATTGTGCTTCAAAATGAATATTTTTCTTTTATCATTTTGTTACATGCAGAATACCTTTAACTTAGCCTTCATTGGACTAAAGTAGAAACGTAAGAATTGGAGCTTATTTTCATTTCTGAGGTGAGTTCATTTGTAGAAAAATTAGTATACTTAAATCAGTCTACTGTTTCTTTGGAAACTTTGTCATTTGCATGTACCTGGGAATACTACAGTTATCCATGAAATGCTGTTAGTGTGAAGTCGTGGTGAGGGTTCCAGGCTAGGCATTCGGAGCTCCCTGTCAATACCTGGGCTGTGCTACAGATGCCCTTCAGTGTTGTGACCCTAGTTCCTTGACATCTTTGTGTCAGTTTGCTTATTTTTAAAATGGAAATGATATGGCAGTTGGCCCTGCTTACCTTCCAGCTTACATATTATAAGAATCAATTGAGATCATCGATATGAAAGTATTTTATTATGAACAATGTAAGGTAGAAGTATTAATATCGTGAAGTGTCACAGTGAGTTAAATGGGAATTAACAAAGTTACGTGCAGAGAATCTTTTTTGTTTTTTTTTGTTTGTTTGTTTTTTGTTTTTGAGACAGAGTCTCGCTCTGTACGGAGTCTCGCTCTGTCGCCCAGGCTGGAGTACAGTGGCGCGATCTCGGCTCACTGCAAGGTCCGCCTCCCAGGTTCACGCCATTCTCCTGCCTCAGCCTCCCGAGTAGCTGGGACCACAGGCGCCCACCACCATGCCCGGCTAATTCTTTGTATTTTTAGTAGAGACGGGGTTTCACCGTGTTAGCCAGGATGGTCTCGATCTCCTGACCTCGTGATCCACCCGCCTCAGCCTCCCAAAGTGCTGGGATTACAGGTGTGAGCCACCGTGCCCAACCACAGAGAATCTTTTTAAGCATGAAACTTTTGAATGTTATTGTAGCCTAATGCCCCTGGAACAGTAGTAAAACAGGGCCATCTTATATGTTGTTTCTGAATAAACTGGCAAACAAATAGAAGAAAAGGAAGAGGAGGAAGCAGCTGAGGAGGAGAGAAAACAAAACTAAACTGATTATATGGTCTTGAAAGCATTGACATTTTTAGAACTACACATCACTTGAAAATTTTTGAAGGCATTGTTAATCTATAGGTTATTAAAAATGAATTTTCTGGCCAGGCATGATGACTCAGTCCTGTAATCCCAGAACTTTGGGGAGGCTGAGATGGGAGGATTACTTGAGCTCAGGAGTTTGAGACTAGTCTGGGCAACATGGAGAGACCCTTTCTCTACAAAAAATACAAAAATTAGCTGAGGGTCTCACTGACTTGGGAGGCTGAGGTGGGAGGATCACTTGAGTCCAGGAGGTGAAGGCTGCAGTGAGCTGAGATTGCATCACTGTACTCCAGCCTGGGTGACAGAGTGAGACCCTTTTTCAAGAAAATAAAAATAAAAATGTATTTTCCATTAAAAACCAGCTTACATTATTTTCAATGTTTTTACATTTCTTGCTGTGGAGAAAAGCCTAGTCCCTTCTCTAGAATTTTAATCATTCATCTGGATGCCTTGATATATGTGGTATGATGCTTAGTAAAATGGAATGGATATTTCTTCTATCTCCATTAGTTTTTCTGTTTGTTTGTTTTTCTTTTTACCTGCCTTTATTTCTGTTGTTGTTATTCTTCTTCCATCCACCAAGAACATGTGGTCCTCTTATCTCTGGGCTGAGGTGTTTTCACATGTCCTTTTATTCTTTCTTCATCTCACAAAAGGTATATCTAGGCTTTTTAAAGGTGCCAAGATACTATTTAATGAACAATATGATATGGATTGGCTCTGTGTCCTCACCCAAATCTCATCTCAAATTATAATCCCCAGAATCCCCATGTGTTGAGGGAGGGAGCTGGTGGGAGGTGATTGGATCATGGGAATGGTTTTCCCCATGCTGTTCTCACGATAGAGAGTGAGTTCTCATGAGATCTGATGGTTTTATTAAGTGTTTGACAGTTCCTCCTTCACACACTGTCCCCTCTCACCTGTTAGACGGGCTTGCTTCCCCTTCCCCTTCCACCATGATTCTAAGTTTCCTGAGGCCTCTCAGCTATGCTTCCTGTTAAGCCCGTGGAACTGTGAGTCAATTAAACCTCTTTCCTTTATAAATTACCCAATCTTGTGTAGTATCTTTATAGCAGTGTGAAAATGGACGAATACATTATATTTCTTTCCAGTATCTGTTTTGGGAGAGGAATGCTGGTCAGCTGCTAGTAAAATCATCTCCATGTACTCCATTATTTAGGTATCGTTCAATTCTAGTGTGGTAGTCATGACTACCTAGGTGGTCATTTTTGTCTAATGTTGCAGCTGCTATTTCTGTGTCTTAGTCTACAAGAAAACGTTATATTTTCCTCACATAGCTTACTTATTCTGTTCCTTGCATAATGACCGAGGTGGCTGTATTCAAAGCCTTAACAATGATTAACAACATGTCCTTTAATCTTCAGCGCTAGCTCAAGAGTTTTATTCTCCTGTGGCCACTGTAACCTCCAAACTATGAGTAATCTGGCAAGTACTTTTGTGTTCTCTTTATTGCAAATCATATTCTTTTTCATCTTTAAGAAATGTTGTTTCTTAGTAAACAGTAGGTCATTTATTTGACTTCTCCAAAAAATAATTGACTATTTAAAGAAAAATAGTTTTAAGGAACATTTACCAGTTGCTTTTTTATGTAGATAGTGAGTGTAGGATGTAGCAGATAGGCCGGGCTTCATAGTCTTCACTGTTTAGTTTTGGGCATGCATGCTCTCTGAGCCTTAAATGTTATAGTTGTAAAAGGGGTGTAGTGTTGGGATTGTTAGGATTAAATGAGATAGTGTATATAAAATGCCTCGTACATTGTGGAGCACAAAGAAGTTCACAGAATAATGTAAGTATTGTTATTACTGATATCTTCTCCTCATTGTTGTTGTCATTATCACCATAATTATGTGGGAAAACCTAAAGGGAGTTTTGTACTAATGGGCTCAAAATGGAATGCATTGTTGATGAAGGTCTCGATACAGTAGATCACCTTGACAAATTGTGTGTAGTCATAGTTTCTTTGATACACCATTCATCTCGTTAAGATGAGAATGTCCAGCCAGCCCTAGAGATATGTCAACATTTCTGGCTGAGATTAATATAGACTTATGAAAATGGGTTAATTGGTCACTAATGAGCTGCATTACTGGGAATAGGGTTAGAGTTTTATGAAATGCGTAGTTTCACTTTAGACTTACCTACTCTCAGGAGTAGGCAGTTATTTAAGTAGTAGCCAGTTTGAAAGAAAAAAATCTACCTTTTCAGTTTGTTTCCTTTTTATGGATAAAATGAAAAAATTCCATCCTGAAATCAGATTTTAAGGAACAGATATATATAGTGATTAACCACCCAGCTTCCTTTTGCCTACACACACACATGCACACACACACTTTATCTTCTGTTTTTCATTCAGAATATGACTGCACAAGCTGTAGGGGTTAGCTAACAGCACACTGAACAGCTTTTTGCTGCCAGTTTGGGGGATGATTGAAATTATTGACCCTTACACGAAGACAAAATGAAATATTTTTATGCAAGAATACTAGAAAAAAATCTTCTCTATTCAGAAAATACTTTAGCTCTTAGAATCTTTAGCATGAAGTCACATGATGTGAAAAAGCCAATTAAAAGTCAATTAAGGCCAGGCATGGTGGCTCATGCCTATAATCCCAGCACTTTGGGATGCCAAGGTGGGTGGATCACCTGAAGTCAGGAGTTCGAGACCAGCCTGGCCTACACGGTGAAACCCCGTTTCTACTAAAAATACAAAAATTAGCCAGGCGTGGTGGCAGGCACCTGTAATCCCAGCTTTTGGGAATCTGAGGCAGGAGAGTAGCTCGAACCTGGGAAGCTGAGGTTGCAGTGAGCCGAGATTGTGCCATTGCACTTCAGCCTGGGCAACACAGTGAGACTCCATCTAAAAAAAAAAAAGTCAATTAAATATTTTTAATGGTGGAAGGCTTATTAAAGTTTTATATTCTGAATTTGTCTTCAAAATACTTTGAAAAGAGAATAAACATTTCCAAGGCTACAGGAATTCTGTTTAGAGGATTTGGTTAAGCTAGCTAAAAACCTGGATAGCAGTTGCCCATGACATTTTAATTATTCTATCTAAAAAAGATGAATTTCTATGTCATATATAGATATGCCTTTAAGGTACTATGATATATATTTTTGACTGAACTTTTTGCACAAGAGGCATTTCTGAAATAAGTAAATGGGATATTTGAAATGTCATCTGTGAATCTATTTTTAAAGCAGTATTTAACATCTAATAGACCTTGTGTGCTATTGTAGATATTCTTATTTATATGTAAAGGAGGGCATGCCATTTGTATCTCTTTTTTTTTTAGTTATATGGGAGATGCAATTATTTTCTGAGGGGAGTGAAGGAAAAGAAGGGCTATATTATAATTTGAGGACATAGTTATTATGGGAGACTCTCTTAAGGAACCAACAAGAAAGGAAGTATAGATGAGCAGCGGTTAGAAACTAGTCGATACTGATAACAATGTATAGTGGTCCTAATAGGTTCGTAATTCTCTTAAAAGGAAAACAGGAAGCAAATACAGAGAAGATTGAGTAGTCATATGCCAGGGTAAAGAGAAGGCCCCTGCCCTCAAAGAGTTCATAGTTTTATTTACAAACTAGAATTATCTATCTTAAAGTCCCATCGTTTTTAAGCTGCCTGCAGACAATTATAGTCTAGTTCTAGTGTATCTTGTTGAATCTTTATTTTTCAGAATTGTCTTCAAGTACCTAGCTCCATGCTTACAGTTTATACTCCCCAATATAGGTTAAATTAAACTGGATGGAATCAAGTGCTAAAAAAAAAGTCATGCTTTTATTCTTCCAGTGATGGACAGCAGAAGTTTTAGAGTAATCAAGATCTGAATTTGAAACCTGGCTCTGCCACTTAACTTATGTGGTCTTGGGCAAGTACCAAACTCTGAGCTTTTATTTCTTCTGTTGTAAAATCATGATTATCATACCTATTTCATAAGTTAGCTGAATGGGTAAATGACTCTGTGTGTGTGTGTGTATTACAAAAGTGTTTATCAAATAACTGTAATTATCAATATGGTTATCAAAACTAAGGAAAAGTTGAGATGCCCCAAAGTTATAGAGATGGGAGTTGATATAATGGAGAGGGTTCCAGGTGACGATGGACTTCAGAAGCTACACAGGTGAATTTACAGTGTTGTGATAGCCAGTACGGAGCCATTTTAGGTTCTTGATCCCTAGAAGTGTATTGTGAATAGTTAAATCAAAATGTATTTAAACAGGATTAATCGAGAGATACTATTCAAGAGGTGTGTGGGGAGGTACAGACCTTGAGAGTTAATCATACCTATGTAAACATTAATGAAGGCACTGTACATATCAAAATAAACTGTATTCCTGCTTATAAAAAGTACCTCAACATATTTAGACAGATTGAAATCATACACGCATTCTGTGAACACAGTGGAGTCAAACTAGAAATCAATAACAGAAAGATAAGTAAATCTCCAACATTGAGAAGATAACACAACACACTTCTAAATAATCCATAGGATAAAGAGAAAATTTCAAGGGAGATAAAAAATACACTGACTAAATGAAAATGAGAACAGAATATATCAAAATTTGTGGGACACAACTAAAGAAATTAAAAACTAACAGAAATGCAGAATGCCTTTGATTCCTTTGATGCCATCAGTAGATTGGAGAGGGCTAATGAAAGAATCGGTGAGCTTGGAGGTAGGGCAATAGAAACTTCCCTAACCGAAGCCATAAGAAGAAGGAAAAAACTGAAACAGAATATTTAAGAATTGTGAGACAATTACAAAAGGTGTAACATATGCAGAATGGGAATGCCATGAGGAGAAGAAAGAGAGAAAGGATCAAAAGAAATATTTGAAATAATAATGACTGAGAATTTTCCAAAATTAATGACAGACATCAAACCACAAATGTTGGAAGCTCAAAATTAATGAGAGACGCCAAGCTCAGGACAAACACCAAAAAATCTACAGACAGGCATATCTTATTCAAATTGCAGAAATTCAAAGACAATGGGAAGATTTTGACAGGTCGGGGGGTGACTTCACCTTACCTTTAGGGGATTAAGGGTAAGAATTACATCGGACATCTCTTCAAAAACTATGTAAGCAAGAAGAGAGTAGAATGAAGTATGTAAAGTATTGGAAAACAGAAACAAAAATCACTTAGAATTCAGTATCCAGTAAAATTATCCTTCAAAAGTGAAGGAGGAGTAAAGACTTTCTCAGACAAAAGAACTGGGAATTTGCTGCCAGCACAGTGCCTTACAAGAAATGTTTTTAAAAAAGATGGATTTACAAATATTTTCTGCTAGTCTGTGGCTTGTCTTTTCATTTTCTTAACAGTGTCCTTTAGCCCATTTTTATTGGCTTGAATATTTTGCTACCAAAGTTTGATATTAACATATATTGTGCTTTAAATATTTCTAGAAATAGCATCTCTGCAACAAACATTTTCAGTTTAAACTTATTGAAAGTCTCAGGAATGGAGTGTTGTTTTGTGTTCAAGTAAGTCACAAAGCATAAATATTTCACTGAAATGTAAATAGTAAAATCTGTGATTTTAGGCCTTGTATTTTCATGTAAAAGATATATGCTATCCTCACATAAATATGGTGGTATTAGGAGCAATGCCTGACTCTTCAAATTCTATTAATGACTCAGCACCCGGGAGAGTGTTCCTTATTATTGTTGCTGTGTTTGTGTAACATTCTCTAAGGTTCTTTGTAGTGAGGAACAGATGACCCTTCCATGAGTCGGGATCCAGTGTTCTTAAAAGGGCCACTGCTGTAGTTTCTTTAAGCTTCATCTTGGATTGTTATTAGCATGGCAAGGACACTGGATAAGTTATATACACACATACACCCACAAGGCACCCCCCCTGGTTTGAAAATGGAATCTATGAATTGGCTTCCGTGCCTGCTTTTATTGCCATGGTGATGAATAATCTGCTGAGTTTTATGGTTGGCATGATTCTTCTGGATTAGGTCACTTGTGTTTTCTTTCTATAATACCAGTCGACTACGCTTTTGGTAACAGTTAAAGTTCCATCACTAAAAAGCTAGTAGGTAGAATGCAAAACTAATGATTTAGTAGAATTAGCTACATCAATGCTTTTTAATCTGTTGATTATTCCCTTTCAGTGCTAAGTAGCAGGGGCTTACTCATTTCACAGGGCTTTAAATCTTTCCATTGCAGTCAGACCTGGTAGGGAATTATTCTATGCTGCAGTTATAAGTTTTTCATCATTTATTAAAGCATTATGGGAGAACCATCTTGATAAAAGCATCTTAGTAAAGGAAACTAGACTTATTTATTTTATTTTATTTTTTTTGGGGATGGAGTCTCGCTCTGTCGCCCAGGCTGGAGTGCAGTGGCACAACCTTGGCTCACTGCAACCTCCACCTCCCAGGTTCGAGTGATTCTCCTGCCTCAGCCTCCTGAGTAGCTGGGATTACAGGCACGCGCCACCACGCCCGGCTAATTTTTGTATTTTTAGTAGAGACGGGGTTTCACCGTGTTGGTCAGGCTGGTCTCGAACTCCTGACCTCGTGATCCGCCCACCTCGGCCTCCCAAGGTGCTGGAATTACAGGCGTGAGCCACTGTGCCCAGCCTTATTCTTTATTTTAATGAGTCAGAATTTTAAATACCTTGCTTTACTGTATTTACAAAAGTTGTAGCAATGGGTCAGTTGTCTTAAGTTAAATTTATTAGTATCTACCAACATTAAAGGAAATATTAAAGTGTTTCAATTATGTTTAAAATAAAACACAAGAATGAGGAGTGATGGACACAAGTAAAACAATGAATTTGGGATGATAAAATGAGTTGTTGATTTAGAAATATATACTATATGCCAAATGGTCAGATCTACTTGGGGATATAGTGAGAGTTAATCTACTTCGAATCGTTGCTTCTAAAGCAAACCCAGTTGTGTAAAGTCCTACGTATAAAGGTAGATATTAAATCCACGAGGGAAGTAATCAGAACCCCAGGTGCCCAGGCTTTGTAAAAAATTTAAACAGTAAAAACGTAGTCACTTGTACTTAACTTAGATTTAACTAAACAAATTCATAAAATTTCCTGAGTGGAATGATGGTTTCAGAGAGCTAGTGAGTTTCAGACCTTGAAAAAATACCACTCACTGAACTGTAGTCATTCTTAACTGTTTAACAATTGAAATCTAAGTTGTCATATGTTTAAATTAGTACAGTTCTGGTTATGCTGTGTCTTTTCCAACTCATAACTTTCAGTAATGAAAATAGCTTTCTATTTAATTAGCCTGAATTAAATTTTCCTCTCTCTTCCTTCTACATCACTAATGAAAGTGGAGTAATCATTTCTGCTTCAAGGATGACTATATGATTTCATTTATCCCTAATATAGTACACACTACATAGTAGGCACTCGGTAAATCTTTATTCATTCTTTCAGGAGGCAAAGCAGGAACAGATTAACTAATTACCAGCTCAGACCAAGTTAAGAAAAATAAAGCTACAGATTGTCATTTCAAAATTTGCCTCTTTTTGCTGTCTCACTATTTTAAGGAGTGCCCACTATATCACTAATATCTCTGGCAAGAAAGCATTCCATGTGTATGTATGTAAGTGTGTATCTTCATTTTTTGCTGTCACCACACAGACATCAGGCTTTTTCACAAAATCTGACCCCCTCCCTTGACCATTTTTTATAACTACCTGGCATGTATCACTACAGAGCTTTTGTTCTGGTCCTTCTACTTGGACTTTGGCAGATATTTGAACTCTTCTGAGCCAGTGCTTTCCTCTTCAGGGATTTGTTTTTAAGATTTTCTTCCTTGCCAACCACAGAGACTGAATTTTATATCCCACAGATGAGTCTGAGATTTCCAGCCCCCTCCGTAAATCCCATCACTCTGTCACTCTTGACAGTGTAATTATCCCTTTTGTTTCTTGCTGCTTTCCTGCTTGTAATCTTTGTTCCTCAACATGTCCTTCATCTGAAAAAAAAGGCACCCAATCCTTCTTGCTTTGTCAGCTCTTTAATTTCTCTTGTGAAATAGTCCTCAGATATCAGCTCCCCACAAAGGCTTTCTGGAGGAGAAGTGGCATTTTGCTTCCTTAAATCTTTCTGTCTATTCAATTTTCATGAGTGACTGATAACTAGCCATCATATTAAAGTCTTCTGATCTTATATTTAAGTATGATTTTTTATTAGATTTATGTTTTGTTCAGTGTTTATGCTGTTCAGTGTATGCATGTGCTATGTGTACACTTTTAATATGTGTATCTATACCTGTATTTGTAAAACAGAGAAACCTAAAGGCCAAATTCTGCATCTTATTTTTGAACCAATCAAGCAGCCTACTGATGTGAGACAAATTTCAACAAATGCTTAAGACACACATCTGATAAATATATAATAAAACTTGTATGTTGACAGAGCTTGTAAATTTTTAAAATTCATATTTTTCCATCTTTTTGTTCATTTCTCTGTTATTTGATGATGATGAGTCAGGATTCTTTTAATGAGATAATGAGATCTTTACAGGTCTAATGTCCAAGGTTGATACTGTGGTGGTGAGTGAATCACCATATGATGAAGACCCATTGTGTCACCGTATTTTAGAATTTTTCATAAGGTAACAAAGGTATGAGAATTAGGCAGGACAATGTAAATGAAGTGCCGTGTAAACTACAAAATGTATGTGCACACCCATGCAGATTTTTTTTTTTTTTTTAGTTTTTTTCCTTTTTTTTTTGAGACAGGGTATCACTATATTGCCCAGGCTGGATTTGAATTCCTGTTCAATTCTTCTGCTCAAGTGATCCTCCTGCCTCGGCCTCCCAAGTAGCTGGGATTACAGGTGTGAGCCACTGCAACCAGCTACATGACTTTTCCGGAGATCTCTTGAGGGTGATTTCAGGTGATACACAGTTAGTGGTATGAGATAAAGCACATTGCTGCTAAAATTCCAGACAGTCCCCATAAACGAGTAGAAATTGCTTCAGTTATCTAGCAGGTAAGTATCAGATTTGCTGGCTTATCCTGATTTATTGACACAGATCTGTGGACTGGTGGTATCCTATTGGAATGCAGAATGACATTTACCTTGAAAAAGAAAGTGGATTTTTTTTTTTCCTAACAAGATACCTAGGAGTGAGTGATCTGTGGATGTTGAATTTTTTTCATTGTGACATAATTCAAAATGACAAAGTGAACTGAAGACTTATTATTTTCATGCATTGTATGCTATTTTAAGTTTTGGAGAAAAGAACTTCGGAGATCTTATTAGTCTGTTTTTACACTGCTGATAAAGACATACCCAAGACTGGGTAATTTATAAAGAAAAAGAGGTTTAATGGACTCACAGTTCCATTTGGCTGGGGAGGCCTCACAATCATGGCAGAAGGTGAAAGGCATGTCTTACATGGTGGCAGGTACGAGAGAATGAGAGCCAAGTGAAAGGAAAAACCCCTTATAAAACTGTCAGATCTCTTGAGATTTATTCACTACCATGAAAACAGTATGGAGGACACTGCCTTGTGATTCAGTTATCTCCCACCAGGTCCCTCCCATGACATATGGGAATTATGGGAGCTATAATTCAAGATGAGATTCCGGTGGGGACATAGCCAAACCATATCAGAGATTGAAAAGTTTTAAAAGTAAAGTGATATCCATACTTACAGATATTGAGATGTCTGTAAACAGTCTCCCTTACAAAATAGAGCAATGCTAAGATAATTTGTGTGGGAGATATGCATATGTATATCGTATGTCTTTCTAAAATATTCATACATAAGACTCATACAAAGTGACTATTTAATATGTACTTATTATACCATAACAGTCAAAATTTGAAATAGAACTGATCTGAATTAGTTTATATGATTTGACAACACATAAAACTTTGATAAACTTTATTCATATTAAGAAAAGCTACTTTTTCTTTCTGGGTCTAAGTCTCATGTTTACCTAATGTTGAAGTCTTTGAAAGAAGACTTTTTGGTGATATTTTACATATACCTTATACATAAAGTACACAGTTTATCCTGGGAGTCTGAGATGAGGATTGAATATTGACATCAAATTCTGAAAGTTCATAAACCTTAGGATTCACTGACCCAAAGGTGATGTTTTGATTTCATATTAAGAAGCCATAGAATTTTTCTGTTAAGTCAATGAATTCTAGAATATTCAAAGTCAATAAAAGATAAAGAATAATGACAGATGTCTCTATATAAATGATGTAATGATGCTTTTGTACTAGTATAGTTAACCTGTTGGTTATCTTCAAATTTAATTCTGTATTTACAGTAAAAATTAAGGTGACCTTCTGGGATTTGAGAGGTAGCATGAGGTTAGTGGGTAAACTTCATCTTCTTAAGTATAAAATGACTTTACTTAAAAGTTGATCAAAAACTTTTGGTTTTGGATTAAGTATAATTAGAATAATCTATGGAGGTATACAGTAAGGATTACCACTTCATGAGATTTATAAAAAGATAAACAGATGTGGTTTTTAACTTAAGGATGTTATTGAGAATACAGAAAGACATAATCTATAACCTTTTTTGAAGTGTAGATATAGAATAGGTCTACGTTAATTTTTTAAATTAGAACTTGACAGTGAAAACATAAATCCAAGATGTATGTATATTTTGGTCTTCAGGAAAAATCTTATGCATATTTGTACCTTATACATATACAATTAAAAATCCACGCTGATGACTAACAAATGATTCCTATTGATCTAAAAGGAAAAAGATGAAAAATCAGCAAGAAAATATTGAAAACTTTAAGAGGAATGGTTTTAAAGAAAGGATACCATCACTACTAAGCAAAGAAATAGTAATTTTTTCCTCTATCAGATTGAAAAAGATATATATATATTTTTTTGAGACAGGGTCTCACTCTGTTGCTCAGGCTGGAGTGCAGTGGCACAATCATGGCTTACTGCAACTTTTACCTCCCAGGCTCAAGTGATTCTCCCACAGCAGCCTTCCGGATAGCTGAAGCTACAGGTGTGTGTCACCATACCCAGCTAAGTTTTTGTATTTTTTGTAGAGAGGAGATTTCACCATGTTGCCCAGGCTGGGTTCAAGTGATGCATCCCCCTCAGCCTCCCACAGTTCTGGGATTATAGACATGAGCCACCCTGCCCAGCCTTGAAAAATGTTTTTTTTTTGTTTGTTTTTTTTTTTCAAACAAGTGATATCCAGTGTTTTGGTGAGAGTGTGAGATAGCAGAAAAAAAAATCTACTGGTAGCTGGGTGCTGTAGTCTGAATGTGTCGCTCCACAATTCATATTTGAAACCTAATCTTCGATGTGATAGTATGAAGAAGAGATGGGGCCTTTTGGAAGGTGATTAAGTGATGGAGAGCCCTCATGAACGGGATTTGTGCCTTAAAAGAGGTGAGAAGGAACCGTTTGCCCCTTCTGCCATGTGAGGACACTGGTAGAAGGAAGGCACCATCTTTGAAGCAGAGAGCAAGTCCTCACCAGACACTGAATCTGCTGGCGCTTTGATTTTGGACTTTCCAGCCTTTGCTGTGAATGGCAGCACATTACAAATTACCCAGCATAAGGCATTTTTGCTATAGCGGTCTGAATGCACTAAGACAGAGTGTAAGTTGGTGTAACATCTCGGGAGGGAAATTTTGACAGTGTATTAATAATTTAGAGATGGGCATATCCTTTTACATAGCATCTTCTTTAGAATTTTACATTAAGACAACATTCTGGAATAGGCATAAAGATTTATGTTCAAGGATGGCAGTTGCAGATTGTCTTTTATTTTTCAGTTGCAGATTTTTATGATAAATATTAGCAATGTACTACTCAAGGCTCAAGGAAAGATTAGTTACATAATTTTTGGGGGGGGTAATTGTTTAAAATAGGCTGTAGAACAAGCTTGTCCAACCTGAGGCCCAGGACAGCTTTGAGTGCGGCCCAACACAAATTCATAAACTTTCTTAAAACATTATGACTTTTTCTTGCGTTTTTTTTTTTGTACCTCATCAGCTATCGTTAGTGTATTTTATGTGTGGCTCAAGACAATTCTTCTTCTTCCATTGTAGCCCAGGGAAGCCAAAAGATTGGACACCCCTGCTGTAGAAGGCTTCAATGAGAAATCATTCATAGTGCAATGGTCTTTTTGTTGTGACTTCTCAGGATACTTTGAGTTAAAAGATTATAAAACCAGACAGACAGTAGCCCCCTTTGAAAAAAAAAAGTATGTATGCATTAAAAAAAAACTAGAAAAATTTATAAAATGTGAAAGCATTTGTCTCTGGCTAGCAGGATGACTCATGATTTTTGTTCTTAAAATAGTTTTGTATGTTCTAACTTTCTGCCATGGATTTACTTTTATGATCAGAAATAATATTTATAATATATAATAAAAATTTTAAAAAGTCTGATATTTGGTGCTGAATGAAACACTAGAAATCCTGTAGGCACTTCTTATTTCTATTTGTTGTAGTAAAGTGTGCTTTTATTACTTTTAAGTTTTCAGGAAAATCCTTTTAACTTGATGCGCAAGACAAAGGCAAACAAGATTGTTGTCTTTCACAAGAAATGGAGGATAAAATGTACTATTCCAAAGAAGGAAAACTGATGGGCTGAGATGTAGAGCAGTGTGCCTTCTAACTGGAGAGCTGCCTGGGGGTTTGGAGATGAAATTTTTTATCTATTGGTTCACAGAACCGGCTGCTTCCAGACGATTACTTTTTTGTTGAGCCCCACAAACCTCGTTCTTTTAGCTGAGTATTATGTAGTTTTTCCAGTATTGCTTTCTTTCCCTCATTACATCTAGGAAAACAGTTTGGAGATGAGCTACTGGAGTTAAAAAAATCTATTTGGTTTTATTTGTCAATTAAAAAATCTATTTGGTGTGTGTTAGGTTTATTTTTGTGAGTGGGGAATGGCATATGACTGTATATTACAGACATGGGTGGGTTTCCTACAGATTGTGAATGGGAAAAGTTTGAGTTACTCTGTTGTGGTATTTGTGTTATAGTATTTTCTTGCTTTCTTTTCACTCTGAGTATATGTGGACATATTTTTGATTGCCTTCACCTATTATGTGCCAACTATTGTACTAAGTGCTGGGGATACAGTGGTAAACAAAGGCTGGCCCTTGCCCTCAAGAAGTATGTATTCTAATGGGACAGACAGGGCAAAAATAAATGACATGCAACATCACCAACTGTAGTAAGTGGTAGGGAGAAAATAAAAAATAAAAGCACACAGAGATTAATGCAAGAGGGTGGGTTAGGTTTGGGGATAGATAATCTCATACAGCACTTTAAATATCTGGGTGTGCTTCTCTGAGCAAGTGGTAGATAAACAGGCTTAAAGGATGAGAATTGCTAAGAAATGGAGAACTTGAGTTTCAGGCAGAGGGAGCAACATGCCCAGGGAGTCCACAGCTGGGGCAAAGTGAGCAAGGAGGTCATAGAAGAAGGAAAGAGACAAAACTGAAAAGTGAGGCAGGGGACAGATCCTAAAAGGGCTTTTAGGTGACAGTAAGAGGCTTTGATTTTACTATGACTGCATTCAGACAACACTGAAGCGTTCTAAGTAAATAACACGACCAGATTTAAGGAACACCCCATTTGTTGATCACTAAGTGTATGATTATTTGTAACACTTAGCAGAATGTGACTGTCAATGGACCTCTTTTACAGTATGCTTTGCTTACATCAGTAGTGTGACCATTATGTTCTTAGTCACCCTGGAGTAAAGAAGAGTTATTGTTGGGCATGATGGCACATCTGTAATCCCAGCTACTCAGGAGGCTGAGGCAGAAGGATTGCTGTAGCCCAGGGGTTCAAGTGTAGCCTAGGCAACATAGGAAGACCTTATCTCTTAAAAAAAGAGGTTACAATTTATGTTACCTCATCTGATCCCAAGTGTTATCTAGCAAGGGGGAAATATTTGAATTACTTAGAAAACTCAGATGTGATTTTTTAAATCTACCATTTATTACTTATAATTAATCAGGTACTATGCTATACTCTTTTCATATATTATTTGAAAATAATATGTGAAGAAGATACTATTATTTTCATTTTATAGATAAGCAAACAGATTTAGTAATGTGGCCAAAGTTGTATAGCCTTAAAGTATGGAGTTGGGATATGAGTCTGTTTTGTACATGAACCTGAATTCTTTACAACTACATTCTACTGCCTATACTGATGATTTGTTTGTCACATAACACTAAATTGTATAGCCAGGAAAATAATTAAGGTTTAGATTTCAAATCCATGGCTTTTTGCCCATAACATACCACCTCTTGACGTAGTTGGTTTAATCTGTTTTTCATAGCCCCATGTCAAAAATAGAAGGGGATTAGATACCATTTTTAGAATTACAATTAAGAGGTCTTAAACTATAATCTAAATAAAGATTAAGACTTGGTTAGGAGAATAAGCATTTTATCAATTGAAAATAAACTTGAAAGGGATCCTTAATATTTTGCCCACCCAGGGTAAACATTCACTGCACTAACAATTTTCAGCCAAAGGCCCCAGCTAAATTCTGCCACCTGGGCAAACTCTAGTCCAATGATATTCAAAGAAATTAAACCGTTTTAAAAACTGATATGTCCTCTGGCAATTTAATGTGAGTGTATCACTGTGGCATTCAGCTTCAGATCATGTGTTGCTGTAATATCTTCTCTTTATATGACTGCATTTCTGTTGTGTGTCACTGACACGGCTTGTCTGATTTCAAGCCCTTTCTATCACTCCTATTTATTGGTAACATACAAGCTTCAAGGATCATTTGATGTGCAAATTTAATTGCAGGTTTTACTTTTAAAGGATGACATAAGCTATATCATTTTAACAACTGTTTGCACAGCTTTTTCTAAACTGCTACTCAGAAAACAGGCATTTTTATTCTGTGTATTGTAATGCTTCCTGACTTGTCAAGGCTGCTTGCTCAGTAATTAACTTATATGTAAGTATGTATGTATGTGTGTATATATATATATATGTATGTTTATATATACATATATATGATGATGTTTTGCAGTGCTTCAATAGGTACATGCTTTGGAATTAAACTTGGGCATTTCCCCTGATTTTTTGATAAGAGGACACCTTATCAGCATTCACAGTTCCTTTTTTGTATTTACTGATTTGCCCCTTTCTCTTCCTTCCTTCCTCGCTTCCTTCCCATTGCTATATAGCACATGATTATAGATAGGAGAGGTTAAGTCTTGCTACCTAGCTAATGTGATAATTTCCTGACAGTATTTCAGAGTTAAGGTAAAAATACTCCAGAAAGGATTGATACTTCTGTAAGAAATGCCTTTTTTTTTCTCTAAATGGCACTTAAGAACCCGGAAGCACTCATGATTTTAATAAGCTGAAGTAGTCCTGTCGTTTTGTTTAGAGTTTAACTTTTTGTGGAAAGGACAGGCTTTGAGGACATTGTAGGTTTAAAAATGCGTTTTACAAGGACCTTCTAGACAATTCTTTTGATATACATTCACCAACATGTCCAGCTAGCTGATTTGGTAGAATATGAGACTCTTGATATGCACTCATCAAGCTAATTACAGGGGATGGGAGTTCCATTTGAGCCAGGTGAAATGAGGAAAGTCTAAGTAAAATCTTCATAATTATGGGAAATATTGATACTACATGCCAAAAGCTTTCATTTTCCCTGCTTCAATTCTTTGTACCTATTGTGTTTCAGCAGAGTCTGTATTTAAATGGGAAATTTTCAGCAGAAATGGGAGGCTCTATAAATATTGTTATTCAATAATTTGTAAGGTGAATTTGCAGATGTCCTCATAGTGACTCATAATTTTTCCTTATTCGTCATTAGGTTTTGTGACTATTTGGTTATTTCTTTTTTCAGAAATTTTATGTTGAAAAGTGTAAAACTGCTAGTTACTGTATTTTAGCCAAAATCTAATTAAATAGGTTTTCTCCTTTTAAATTTGAATTAGGAAAATGTTCTGGGGTATTGGATCTGAATGAGACTGTACAAATTGGTCTCATTGGTCTCATTTTACAGGTGAGGAAGCAGAGGCTGAGAGAGGTTAAGTTACTCACCAAAGGTTATAGAGCTATTAAGTGGCAGACTTGGTGCACAAACACAAGCTTTTGGTTTCCTTGTGCTGAGGTCTTAACACTTTACATCTAATCTTTAGTTATAGGACATGAAAGGAAATGAGAAATCACTTTTTCCACCAATTTTTTTGTTTCTTGCTGTCTTTTTAACTGAAATTGCCAAATAAGATCATGTCTTATTGGAGCTGTACAGTGATTTCTAGGTTGAAAGTGACATTTAAAATCCATAATCAAATAAGTTTGTGTGGTGTTTCCCTTAATGCATTCCTAAACATTGCCAATTTAAGGCAAAACTACCATTTTGTTCATTTATATTCCCTGTTACATAATTTTGCGGTTCATTTTTCTCAAATCAATATTTTCCTAACTTAGACTACTAATGCCATCTATACACTTAATTTAAGTATGGTCTCACTCTTCTAAATAACTTCTGGAAAGAACGTATAATATTGGTCCTGCTATTTATATTTATTCATGCCAAGAAGTGTCCATTTCATTTCTTTTTTCTTTCTTTCTTTCTTTTTTTTTGAGATGGAGTCTCGTGCTGTCACCCAGGCTGGAGTGCAATGGCACGATCTCGGCTGACTGCAACCTCTGCCTCCGGGGCTTAAGCAATTCTGCTGCCTCAGCCTCCCAAGTAGCTGGGATTACAGGCACGTGCCACCGCGCCCAGCTAATTTTTGTATTTTTAGTAGAGATGGGGTTTCACCATGTTGCCCAGGCTGGTCTTGAACTCCTGACCTCAGATGATCCACTTGCCTCGGCCTCCCAAAGTGCTAGGATTACAGGTGTGAACCACTGTGCCTGGCTCCCTTTTTTTGTTTTTTCTACCTTTAATCCTAGCT
The DNA here is from genome assembly GCF_000001405.40 of Homo sapiens. Taxonomy (NCBI): domain Eukaryota; kingdom Metazoa; phylum Chordata; class Mammalia; order Primates; family Hominidae; genus Homo; species Homo sapiens. Next base: position 15,717,269 of record NC_000012.12, on the reverse strand, counting down.
CTACAGCCAAACAATAGCTTCAACCCATACTGACTCATTGAATGTTTTAACAAATTCCCATCATTTACATGCCAGGCATGTTTGTCCTTTTGCATGACTATAATTGTAGTTAGATATGATTCTCCCAAAGATAAGTCATATTGCATCTCCTGTCCCTCTCCAGGTAAATTGTTAAAGCATTTGATTGATCATTGTATCCATACAAATTTAACTAACTTAGCATGTATGTAATTGAAATTTGATAATATGTAGTTTAGAGTATTTCTTTAGAAACTTCTTTTGGGTTTCTTACTCTCACTGAAAAAGGTATTAAAGTTAGGAGAAGGATTGGTTTAGAGAAGACAAAGCAGATAGTGGATCTTATAAGAAGAAGGAATGAAGGACCGATGAGGAATTGGGGTTGAACAGTACAGGAACTGAAAGTGAAATTTTGCTTATACTTCCAAGATGAATGGATTGTGACATTGTTGATCGATTCTGCTTGGTTGTCCTAACAATTTATGTAAGTGACCTCACATCATTTTGGATCTGATGATCTTAGCTTACAGATTATGTTACAGCCTATTTTGTCTGCCTCTATATTTGTAGTTACAAAGTATGGGAATGTAGGGCAAGGTTACCAGTAAAGATGTGTGTGTGTGCAATTTCCAGCTTCAAGAGCTTTGGAAAAAAGTGCAGTAACCAAATCTGTCACATTCGAAATATATAATATTTCCTGTGACTACTTCTGGTAAACTGCCCTATCATAGAAAACTGAAGGAATCAGCAAATACCCATGAGCTTTGCTTAGAATTGTTCCACTATCATTGATATCCTGTGTATGGATATGAATGACTATGGATGGTTTCAGTCCATGCCATTTTTTTAATATTTGGACAATGATTTGTCATATATCAGTCTGTGCCAGATTAGCCTTTCATAAGACTTCATTATCATCTTTACTGATAGATAATTCAGGAGCCAAAGGTATATCAGAATTTTGTTTAACAGCAGGGTATTAACTGTACCTGTTAACTTACTATTAGGAAACTGTCTGTTTCCAAGCAGCAACATTTTTTGGCATTTGGCAGACCTATGGACCATTTTTAAGAGACAGTATCTTAAAAATGACAGGGATTGGAATTGGGATACTCTCTCAGATTTCTTTCAGCTCTCAAGTTTAGTGATACTTTGAAATGTTGGGTTGGAATTTTATGATTATAGTGTTTATTTTGATTATATTCTTCGTTTTGAAGGGTTTTCTTCTTGCTACTTTTAATACTGATTTTCTCATCGAGGAATTATATTAGTACTTTCTGCTGTTCTCTCCATTGGTTTCAAGACTTAATATTATTATCCTCTTCTCACTCCCTTCAGTTTCTGTGTCCTGCCGTGTTTTTTTTTTTCCCTAATGTCCTTCTGTTGCAGTTTGGGTTCCCCAGAAAGCAGATTTTGAGATGGAAATTAGTGTTCGGGAAAGTTTATTAGAAAGTGTTCTTGGGGGCCAGGCATGGTGGCTCACGCCTGTAATCCCAGCACTTTGGGAGGCCGAGGCCAGCAGATCACCTGAGGTCAGGATTTCGAGACCAGCCTGGTCAACATGGTGAAACCCTGTCTCTATTAAAAACACAAAAAATTAGCTGGGCACTTTGGGAGGCCGGCAGATCACCTGAGGTCAAGATTTCGAGACCAGCCTGGTCAACATGGTGAAACCCCATCTCTATTAAAAACACAAAAAATTAGCCAGGCGTAGTGGCGCACACCAGTAGTCCCAGCTATTCGGGAGGAGAATCACTTGAACCCAGTAGGCGGAAGCTGCAGTGAGCCAAGATTGTGCCACTGCACACTCCAGCCTGGGCGGCAGAGTGAAACTCCATCTCAAAAAAAAAAAAAAAAGAAAAGTAAAGAAAAAAAAAAAGAAAGCGCTCTTGGGATCAGCCCCTGTGGACGAAGGGAAGGAAGGAAACACTGTTGGGCCAAGGGGGATGTTGGGCTGCCATGTAGTCTCAAATAAAATCTGACCCTGTGGGGTGCTTCAAAGCTGAGAGGCCACCTCACCCTTGTCCCCAGTTGGAGAAAGGGGACCAAGGCTTTGTCTTCCACATGTCAACCAATCTTTGGATGTGGGCTTCCCTGGGAAGGGAGTGTGATACTGGGTGAAGTGAGGCCATCCTGAAAGAGCTGATAGTTGAAGGTTGTCTGCAGGCAGCACCACAGCAGTTGGGGAATCAGTCCTTCAGTCCTGAAAGGAGATGTGGGTGGCATGTCACAGTTTCCATTCAATCTTTTTTGCAGGGGTGCTGGAGATGGGAAGGAATGGCCCAGGGGATGGGTCAGAATTTTCAGGAATAAGGAGTTGCAGCATACAGTGGTCAGGAGCTTGAGAGATGGTAGAGAACAAAAGTGGATGTAGAATAGGTTCTGCCAGGCAATTGACTTCTGACATTGACTATTGCTTTTCTAAATACATTTTAAAAATTCTATTTATAGTGATGCTTTTCACTTTTAAAGTTATAGAAACCTGATGAAAACTCTGAGTGCACTATACAGAGAATGTATTTTTGTTTTTTACCCATTTCCCATTTGCCCCAAGAATACTGCACTGGCAACAAGCAGCACTTTTTTATTCTAAGTGAGAAATGGGTTAAAGAGATGGGTCCTGCTCAGTCACACAGGCTGGAATACAGTGGCGTGATCATAGCTCACTCCTGGGCTCAAACTCCTGGGCTCAAGCAGTTCTCCTGTCTCAGCCTCATGAGCATCTAGGACTGCTGGTGTGTACCACCATGCTTGGCTGATTGCTGAATTTTTTGTGGAGATGGGGTCTTGGTATGTTGCCCAGGCTGCTCTTGACTTCCTGGACTCAAGGGATCCTCCCACCCGTGGCCTATCAAAGAGCTGGGATTACAGGTGTGAGCCACTGTACCCAGCCTGTGCCATATCTTTATTCAAATATAATTTGGTTTTATAAAACATACAGATTTTTTAGTTTTATGTTCTTTATAGGCTCTTTTTTCTCTCTCCATTTCTTTAATAATTTAAATATACTTTTTTGGTGTCTTCATATTAAAAATCAGTTGAGCACTCAATTTTCTGTTTGGCATATTTGTTAATAATCACAGTAAATCATTTTCTCCATATTTTGTAATCTCTAAATTTATAAGCTCATCTTCATTGGGGATTGTTTTTTGTTTTGTTTTGTTTTGGTTTGGTTTTTCTACCCAAAGAAATCCCGTGGGGCCTTGTTTACCTCTCATCACTTTAAAATAGTTTTGTGTTTGTTTCTTCTAGATACTTTACAGATTTCACTGGCCCAGGATCTAATTCCTTAGATTGGAGATTCTTAATTTTTTTACCTAGGAGATTCTCATACAAATAAGATTCACATTTCAAAACTGTTGTGTCATAGGTTTAGGATTTTAATTTCTTATAGCATTTATAGCATTTCCCCTGTCCTCTTCACCCAGATTCTCAGAGACAAGCTCTCTTAAGTCTTAATATGACTATGAGTGAATTTCTCCTCCCCGACACCATTTTTTAACTATGAGGATAGACCTTTGAAGACAGCCCTGGTTTTCTGGAAGAATCTCAGTACCAACTTTATACCTCGTGTGCCCAGGGCCTCCCCTTCTGTCCCTGCATAAGTATCAGGACTGCTTTAGAGTTGTGAAGGTTTAATGGGGCTGGAAATCCAGCAGAGTGCTTTCTCTCTTGAGGGAGCACTTTCTTCTGTTCTTTCTCCTTCAAGAGGCATCTTGTTACCAATTTCAATCTATACTTAAGTGCTGAAGAGACTCCAGTGATTATCCCCATAGCTCCAGTGTTGGCCACAGCTGACAGTGTATGCTTTTGTGCTTACTATTTTGGCCATCAGTTCTGGCTTTGGTTTAGCATCAGGGAATTATCTTTATTGCAAGTAAAGCTATGTATTTAATTTTGTTACACTTATTTTCTTCTTTTCTTAGTGTCTGTAGTGGGAAGTCTTCATGAGCTCAGTTGGCCATATTTCTGTACCTGGAATTCCCGTAAGTTACTTATTAACTACCGTTTCTCAGATTCTACCTCTCTAAAATGGGAGTAATAATGGTGTCTGTGTATATAGCGTTAATTTAGACCACACAGTAAGCTTTCAGTCAATGCTAGCCAGTATTATTTTCACCATTTAAAACTTAAAAAAAAAATCATCTTAGGCAAGAGTTGGAAGTGTAGTGGTAGCTGTGTTTACTTACTTAACAAGAGGAGGAAATCTTAGTTAACGCCCTAGAGAAACCAAATCAGAAATTTTGTTTGGTACAGTACAATGCCGAAACTGACGCTTAGAGTCCCACCCTTTCTGACGTTGTGCCAAAGGTCACTTGGCACATAAGTAAACTGAGTGGAATGGCCTCTCAATATTGCCTGGACGATTGCTTAGAGGAGTATTTCCTGAACTGTGTGGGTAGGTAAGTTTGAATTTGTTAATATTTTCTTTGCTAAGGAGGGCTCTCAAAGGCGTAATTATTATAAAGGGTATTTGTAGACCTTGAAACATGTAGCAATACTTTTAGTCCAAGTAAGCCCTTTGATTGCTTTTTAACTTCCCATTTAGTATTCCAAGTGGATTCTGAACTTGGTGAAATTAGTGGTAACCCAGTCTCCTCAGGGTCTTGCCTCCTGTCTTCTGGCTTACAGAGGTGGAGATTCAAAGGATTTCTTTCCTTTAGGTCATGGTATTTAAGAGAATAATTTTCCCCTCATATTATAGCTAAGAAGAGGTCTGTTGACTATTACAGATTGGGAATCCATGGGCATAATATACGAAATGTTTAAAAAATTACTTTGAACTTAACCTTATATGCAAAACATTGATTATCTTATAAATATTAACTGCTTTGGATTGTTTACACAATGTTAGTTGTACTATGAAAATTTGCTTATTAACCAGGTTTAGACTTCTTAGGTTGTTCTTGGCTTTGAGTCCACAGATTTAACACTGCCAAATTTCTGTGTAAACATTTTGCTTGGGACCTAAAATACAGTTGAATATGTGTATTTAAAGTTTTTTTTTTTAAAGCCCATGTATATTAATGGAACTTGTAAATGTTTAAATAGTCAATTAATGGAAGCTTTTAAGAAACAACTCTTTCAAAATATTCAATTTTATAATTATGATGTTTTAAATATCAAACTTGAGTTAGTGACAAACATGTAATTCATAATATATAAAGATCTATAAGTAGTTCTTATTGATTTATTACATTTAATCTTACTCAGAAGGAACTTTTTTGTTATTATTCTGTCACTAATAATTAAGTGCAAGGCTATTTAAAAACAAATAAGAGCTAATAACATTGTAACACAGACTAGATAGAGAGCAAAAATAAATAACTGATTAAGTTACTGTTTTGGTCTTGGGAAATGTGGTAGGTTCTTGAGTTTAGGTGCCATGGTTATGGCTGTTTTGATCCTTTTTTGAAATACATTCTTGGATGTGTTGATTTTCTTGTAATGTCACTATTATTTCTTAAGACCCTTATATACTGTAAAGAGCATTATCAATTTACACAAATTTTAACTACCCATAGAAATATTGTATACAGCTTTTTTGTAGCATAAATAGGTGAAGTTCCTCAAGATGTTTATGGCCTGGTATATTCTTACCCTTGCTATAAAGCTTTGGTCAGCTTTAGTGGCCAAACTCTAAGGCAAATGGCAGTATTAATGTGGAGTGTAAATCTCCATATATGTTCTTGGAATGGTATGTAAAATATTTTGTTCCCTGATCCACCTGTCCCCACCTTTAGTAAGATACCCTTGTGTCTGCAGTAGCTTGAGTTATAAAAGAGGTTTCCGTTTTTCAGCAACTAGACTTGGAAACAAATTTTTTCAGTTTAACTTAAGCAAATTGTATATAAGAGGAAATGACTATGGAGGAGATACGCTGCTTAGTCTCATTTCTATGTAAATAGTTCTGACATAAATTGTATAGAGAAGTCTCCTTTGTAGTTTACTTTTCAGTGATGTCATTTGTCATTAAATCGTCAAGGTAGGTATGAACCTTGGAGTTTTAAGGTGACAAAAATGAACTCATTACACTTTAGACTTTTGGCCAGGTTCTGTAACTTATGCCTGTAATCCCAGCACTTTGGGAGACTGAGGCAGGAGGATTGCTTGAGCCCATGAGTTCAAGGCCAGCCTGGGCATCATAGTGAGACCTTGTCTCTACCAAAATAAATAAATAAATAAATAAATAAATAAATAAATAAATAAATAAATAAGCCTGGCATGGTGGTGCATGCCTGTAGTCCCAGCTACTCAAGAGACTAAGTTAGGGAGGATGGCTTGATCCCAGGAGACTGAGACTGCCATGAGCTGTGATTGTGCCATTGCACTCCAGCAAGGGCGACAGAGTGAGACTGTCTTAGAAAAAATTCTAGCCTTTTAAATAATAGTGTAGTTGAATTGTATAAATATTTTTTGAAGAGAATATAATAAGGTAGGTTATCATGTAGTCTTTTTGATCATTTATTTATAGGATATTTCTAATGTAAACAATCCAGTATTTTAAAATTTCCTTTTTTTTAGAGTTTGTTTGTGTATTTGTTTTGACTTGTTTAATTTGACATGTAAGCACTTAAAAATTGACTTTCCAGCTACATGAAGAAATTATACGTCGGTTAAATTTGTGGCATTTTTATACAGAATCGTGTGTACAAAATATATTAACTAGGTTTGTTAATTTGATTAGAAAAAACTTGTGGTAGTTTTAATGCTCAATATATTTTCTAAAATGCAAAAGCAATTTGTGAAATATTGTCTCTCTGTACTTGGTAATGTAAGATCTGAGCTGAATGAAATGTGAGTTTCTTAAGCTTGTCTTAGATTTTGTATCAACATTTGTTCAAGAGCTTGGTTTTAGGAACATTTGTGTGCATTTTCTTGATTATTAAAAATTCTTTGTGTCATATTTAGATGTAATTTAGAGCAATATTATTTAACTTTGCCAATTATATTATTCTGATCACTAGATTTAATGCTCTGGTAACAACTCTCTGACAACTCATTATTACTCTAGTATTAGATTCCATTGGATTCTTTATCTTCCTTGTTTCTAAAAAAATGCCTTTCCTCATTATGCAAGTAATTTTTCTTTATTTCACCATTTATACAGTTGGCCAGACCAAATGACATAGTGAGTATCCCTTAAGCCAGGGGTCCCCCAACCCCTGGGCCATGGTTCAGTACCGGTTGGCAGCCTTTTAGGAACTGGGCCGCACAGCAGAAGGTGAGCAGTAGGCCAGCAAGCATCACTGCCTGAGCTCTGCCTCCTGTCAGATCAGCAACATCATTAGATTCTCATAGGAGTCGAACCCCATTGTGAACTGCACATGTGAGGGATCTAGGTTACGTGTTCCTTATGACAATCTAACTAATGCCTGATGATCTGAGGTGGAACAGTTTCATTCTGATCCATCCCGCCTACTCCTGCCTTGGAAAAATTGTCTTCCATGAAACCAGTCCCTGGTGCCAAAAAGGCTGGGGACCACTGCGTTAAGCAGAGCCGTGAATATCAATCTTGGACACAAAGCCTGGGATTGTGGGTGGGGAAAGCCCTCCCGTTGCTCTGGCCTGGCATTCCAAAGACTCTTTCAATTCTCTTAACTTATTCAAAGCCTGGATTCTAAAAGCCAATTGGGCTCCCTTTGCCCATTCATAATTCATGCTACAGTCTTCTGGCTAAAAATTGTCAGTAGAGTTTCCATTTCCCATTATATGAAATTCAATGTCCAGTGTGTAACTTATCTTTTGAGTCGTGTATCTTAATGTATGGCTTAAGCTTCTTCTTTATGCTTTACAGTTTCCATTTCCTGCCTTTTTTTCTTGACACGTGGTGTAATTAGAAAGTCTCTCCCTCATATTCAAAATTTACCTCATCCTTAAGGTTTACTGACCACTGCCATTAAATTTTTCTTGGTTTCACCTTCTTTTTTCTGCATTTTATACCAGTGTTTTGTGTTCCATCTTCTGTTATATTTATTTTTACATGTGTTATATTTTACTTCCTTTCTAATGACTGAGTTTAACTGATTGAATTACTTAAAGTCTATCTCTTACTATGATGGGTTAGAGGTGGTTTTGTCTTGTTTCTTCTAGGTTGCCTTGCATTCAGTACATGCTTATTATAAATATTTGGTTACTGAAAAAAATGAAGTGATATGACAGTGTTATTGATTACAAGACATTTTACTCCTTTGTTGGAATGGACATTTGGGGACAGGGGATCAACTGGAAATCTAAACAAGTGTGGCATGGCTCTCTGAATCAGGCTGTCCCCAGCAGGGAAAGCTGATGAAACAATTAAGGCTGCAGCTAAGAAATGTTTTAAATCATGTTGCATAGTGGCTCAATACTGACAGGCAAAGGACAGCTCTTACTAGGGAAAGACTTTGGACTGATAGGAAATTGAAGAGAAACACAGGCTTTGTAGATAGTGACTACATTTCTAACTCAGATAACATTTTCTGTGAGTTCATAGTGTGAGAATAAATACAGTCAATTCTGCTGTAATGATTGTTTTGAAAAATGGGAGTTTTTATTCTTTCATGATTGATATTAGGCAACACTTTGAGCATAATGCAAATTTCACTTTTGCTTATGCGTGATTTCACCTGAGAAATAGTAGGCGTGCACAGAAAATTTCACCCAACTAAAATGAGCTGCCTAGGCTACACAAAGTGTACATGCACACATCTCAGACATTGCCTGGCTGTCTCACTTTGCCACATGTTATGAGCCATATTCATTCATATTTTGTATTATAATTTCCCCTCCAATTTCAGATAACCCATCTTGCACCACTTCCCAATAATTTACATGCAAGGCTTGTGGCTGCCTGGAATAGAAATATTTCTTTCCCACAAATAACAATTATGTTAACATTTTTGAGCCTTAACTATGTGCTAAGCACTATGATAAGTGCTTAACATGGATTATGTTATGGAATTCTCACAAAACCTGATACAGTAGGTATTATTACTGTCTTTACAGATGAGGAAAGTGAGGCTTAGAGGGGTTAATTAACTTGCCCATGGTCAATAACTCATAAATGGCAGAGCCAATTCTTGAATCGAGTCTGATTTAGATCTTAGTGTTCTCTTACTTTGTAGATTACAGATAAGTAGCTTTCACTTGTGTTATTTCATATGCATTTAATAACTGTCTCTGATTGGCATCATAGGCTGTTTCGATCCCTATGATAGATGAGGAAACAACGCTACTCAGGGTAAGAATGCACAGATCATCATAGGCAGAGCAATAACAGGAACTCATTCTCATACCTAAATCAGAATTTTTTTCCTGGGGCTTATACATAAAAGGGGAAGAAAACAATTAGAGAATTAGAGATAGGGAGGTGAACTGAACTACAAAAAGAGGATGAAATGATTGTGTTGGAAGTTGGGGAACAAAAGAAGGTGAGTTATAATAGTACTTCAGAATTGTAAGGAGAGAGTCTAATGAAAAATGAACACTAGGGGACTTGTAACTCTGTGGTACATAAAGCCTAATCAAATTCTTACAAAGGAATTAAAACCACCAACTTCATTACAAGATTGTGGTAAGAGAAATCTGATCATGAGCATAAATCACTAGTAGTAATACGCTCAGAAATCAGAGGGAAGAGCAAGGCGATACCAGAGGAAGACTTCGGAAGGATTTATTTGTATTTGTTTTGTAGCATGTGATTTTTTTTTTTTTTAAGGTAGTGAGTTACCTTACAGGCCCTTACAGATAAGCAAGTACTTGATTAGTGTTTGTTATACTGAAAGCTTAATAAATAGTAAGGAGAGTAGTTGTTCAGTTGGGTATTGATTAAGGTGAAGTAATAGGAAAAGTAAGGGTAGAATCGATGAGTAATGATGAACTCAAAGCAGAGGGTCAGCAAACTCTAGCCATTGGGCTGTTTTCTTTCTACAAGCTGAGAATGCTTTTTACATTTTTGGTAGGTTATTAAAAACAAAAATGAAGAATATTGACAGAGACTGTATGTGGCCCACAAAGCCTAAAATATTTATAACCTGGCTCTTTACCGAAAGTTTGTCAACCCCTGACCTGAAATACATACCATGAAGAAAAAAGTTAGACTTGTTCCCTTTTAGGAAATTGGATTAGGTACTGTAAAGTGTAATATTTCATGGGGCTACATTTTCAAACATGTGCCTTTTTCCCACATGGAGGAAAGAACTGTCATGTATTTAGCCTGCTCTTTTGCTATAGGGGTTTTGCATACTTCGATTGTTCTTAACCTTGAGAGATACTATAACCACTTTACAAATGAAGAAACTAGGCTCATAGAGGCTAAGTAAGCCTAAAGTTTTACATTTAATAAGGACTGAAATGTAAGCTTGTCTGGCTTGCTAACTAGATATCAAATATGGGCATTTGTATAAATTTAGTTAGTATGTAAAATAGAAAAAAAACTTGTACACATAGACAATAGAGTAGGTTGGAGAATTGTGTCATTTTATTACAAAATTTGCCCAAGGAAGAATATCTTTGGATAAGTTGTAAAAAAAAACATAAAATATAAAGAACAGAAAATTCTAGTCTCATATTAAAAATGTAATATTCACCTAAAAGAAAGATGAGATTCAAGATGTTTTTGAAAGAAAATGCAAAATACAAAAGTGTGTTTTGCTTCAATAGAAAGTATACCAGCTAGTACTTTATTTTTGAAATGCAGATATTAAGCAAATATTGGCCCAAATGTCTAACAGTAAAGATTTATGAAGAGAATTTCAGAGTGCTGTGAAAACATGTAATGTAGAAATCTAGGATAGATTGGGAGTCAGGGAATGGTTTCCCAAGAAGGGGCCATTTAAGCTGAGATACAAGATTTAGATAGGCAAAGATATAAAAGATAATTATTCTAGACAAGTGTGATAGGCCTCGAGGAAGGAAGAACTTGGCATTGTCAATGCTGCAGTGCTTCCCGCCTTGCCTTTTGAATCCCAGGTTCCACGCAGGAAAAGGCAAGGCCAGGCTCCTCCCCTCTGCAAAGGTGCAAACTTGCTCAGGCTCCACCCCAGTGCACAGGCCGGCAGGAGCTTTGCCAGGGATCCCCTCCCACTTAGCTGTCTCAATGGGAGGGACCATTTTACAAGATGTTTACCATACTGGTTTGCAGAATTAGAGAGAGTAACCTTAGGTGAGGAGAAGACTGGGATTTGGAGACAGAAGGAAAGAAAATAGATTCAGGGTCATTCTTGAATGTTAGCCTTCTTTGAGTTAAAAAAAAAATAGCTGATAGGTGGTAGCAGCAACACATGTGCCTCTGATTGTACAAGAATTTAATAATGATACTTGTGTATGTTTTACATAAGCTTAAACTTTAGTGAACTTTAGTTAATGATATCAAACATTGAGGGTTTTAATGTCTTTCTACTGGATATCATAAGTCTGTTTTTCCTTACGAAAAGGGTAATATTGGCTAGCCGTTGAGGTTAGTGTTTGCTAAGAGTTGGAAGTTTTGAACAGTGAGGAAAACAATGTCACTGGGCTCATTTCCAAGAGGGTATTCTAACTATTGCAGTCAACAACTGATTTGCCATAAAATGTCAATAACTTTTTAAAAGGAAGGTACATTCATGTGTTTATTTTGCTTTTTAAATGAGTGTTAAGTACTTTAATTAGCATCATTTTATAATTATTGATATTTTGTATGGGATTTAATAATGGATTAGTTAATTATGAAAACAAGATCTAAATGTTTTCTTCTCCAATTGCCGTTAAAATTTGTTGAAATCACCTTATTGAACAGATTTTTTTTAAACCCCTTGGAGTACTAGTGGGTGTTATTTTGTTGAATGAATGTTTTACCCAAACTTATATGCATATTAGATTGTTTAAAAGCTCAATTAAAAAGTGAAAAATAGACACTGAAAATTTTTTGAGTGATTTCACATGTGTTCATGAAACAATATATCTATTACAAATCATTGAATATTTTAAAAGTAATGTCATGTATTCATTTTCTTATTTTATCTCCTCAGTAGACTGAGATCAGTGTGTAGGGGTGAAGCAAGGAGTCCTACTCTGTTTGACTAAGGTAAAAATTAAGAATCAGTGAGAAATGGAATTTGCAAAAGTGCCTGCCAGATAATGTTAGAACTGGACCAGAAAATAGGAGTTGGTATAAAACTAGACCAGCGAGCTTTTTTTTCCTTCAAGATGCAGTTCAGTTTATTGCTTTTGTAAATTAGAGATTGTGTTTCTTGATCTTTATTAAAGTAGAATACAATGTTAACCTACTTCAAATTTTAAAAAATATACACACATGTATATGTATGTGTGTGTGTATATACACACAGGATTTTAAGGACAGTTTTTTGTGTGTGTGTGTGCATGCGCACGCATGCCAAGGAAATTGTTAATCTTCTAGTACATCCCCATAACAGAGGCAGCTACAATAAGATCTAGTCTTTGCCTTACAGACCAGGTGGCTTTACCTGATAGGCTCACAGACATTCAGTAGTTCATTTGTTCCTCAGATTTCTCTAATTATTGTGATAAAGTTGATATTAAATTTACCAACTTAACCATCTTTAAATGTATAGTTTATTGTCATTAAGTGTATTCACATTGTTGTGCAGCCATCATGACCATCCATCTCTAGGAGTTTTTCATCTTCCTGAATGGAATCTCTGTGCCCCAAAACAATAACTACCCATTCTCCACCTTCCACAGCCCCTGGCAGCCACCATTATGCTTTCTGTGTCTTTGAATTTGACTATTCCAAGTTCTTCATTTAAGGAGAATCATAGAGTATTTGTCCTTTTGTGACTGGCTTATTTTACTTAGTGTAATGGCTTCAGGGTTCATCCATGTTGTAGTATGTATGAGAGATGTCTGTTTCCTTTTAAAGGATAAATAATTCCCTTATGTAGATGTATGATATTTTACTTATTCATCTGTGAATGGACAACACTTGGGTTGCATCTACCTTTTGGCTCTCGTGAATAATGTTGATATGAGCATGGGTGTACAAATATCTAGTCTCTACTTTCAGTTCTTTTGGGTATACACCCAGAAGAAGAACTGCTGGATCATATAGTAATTCTATGCTTGATTTTTTTGAGGAGCTGCCATACTGTTTTCCACAATGACTACACCATTAAAGGGATATTTTAAATGAACGAACAAAAAAACCCAGCAGGAAAACCCTCTATTCTTACAGTCTTTGGAATTTTACAATGAACTTTCTAAAATAGGATGAAGATAGCTTCATTGGATTTCTTGTGTAACTAATAATTCTAGGAAGTGTGGTCTCTGTCCTTAGAGGTAAGTGGTGGGCAGATTTAAAATTAATATATCGGTTTCTCTTTGGATAATTACGGAGTTTGGAGACATTAGGGGAATAACAAAGGTGAGTCTAAGTTTTTCCAAAAAAAAAAAAAAAAAAAAAAACAAATACATAGAGCAGAATACAGGTGGGAAGATTCCTATAGAAATGAAAGAGACAGATACAATTATCTCAAATAATCAACTTTGCTTCCTGAAAGTGTCAACTTCGTTCTCTGATCTAGTCTGCCTTCCAGAATGCCTGCATAGTTATTTTCTTAAACATTAGTAATATGATTGTTACTCCTTACCATCTCCTAAAAGATTAAGTCCAAATTCCTTTATATGCTCTACAAGGCCCCTCACAATCTGGCATCAAGCTTTTCTTCATCACATCTTCTTTTCATATATTCTGTATTGCAGCCACACTGAATATCTCACTATTCCCTGAAATTCATGTCCTTCCATATCCTTTGTATATGTCTGGAATGTTCTCTAATTACCTGTACCTGTACCAACTGGTGCACTCCTCACTGTCTTTCAAGACCTGATGTTACTGTCTCTTCCTATATGAAACCTACAAGCAGCTTCCATAGGTAGACACTTTCCTAGTACATTGTTCATACAGTAATAACATTTACTAAAATGCATTGTAATTATCTGTTTGTATATCTATCCATCTTGCTGAACTGAATGTTCCCAGAGGAGAGAAAGTATGTTTATTATATGTCATCATGCAAAGCACAATACCTTGTAGGCATAAATGTCCAAAAAATACCAAATGAACTTATTTTTCTTTATTTATTTTTATTTTTATTTATTTTTTGAGACGGAGTCTCGCTCCATCACCAGGCTGGAGTGCAGTGGCGTGATCTTGGCTCACTGCAACTTCCACCTCTTGGGTTCAAGCGATTCTTGTGGCTCAGCCTCCCGAGTAGCTGGGACTACAGGCACACGCCACTGCACCCAGCTAATTTTTGTATTTTTAGTGGAGATGGGGTTTCACTATGTTGGCCAGGATGGTCTCAATCTCCTGACCTTGTGATCCACCCACCTCGGCCTCCCAAAGTGCTGGGATTAAAGGCCTGAGCCACCGCGCCCAGCCTCGAATGAACTTATTATGTGGTTTTGCTCACTCTATTGAATGTTTACCTTTAATAACCATTACGTGCATAAGCTAGAATTCCTTTCATAATTTCACTATTATTAATATACTGGATATATATGTATTGGATATAGGTAAAATATTAAGCATGCAATTTTTTTCTTCATATTTATATATTGTATTGGATATGTGTTTTGGATATAGGTAAAAATATTAGGCATGCAATTTTTTTCTTCATATTTAATATACTGGATATATGTTTTAGAGATAGGTAAAAACATTAAGCATGCATTTTTTTTCTTCAGTAGTTTGCTGCTGCTCTATGAAGATTTCCAGACACTGATCTCATAGACATTCATACATTACCCCAGAGTCCTCTTATCCTAGGAGAAAGTATCTCATAATCCACACTTAAATGTTAATGACATAATACATTATTACTCCCAGAAGTGTTTGTAGTTTAAAAGTGCTTCCTATGGATGAAAATGCTTAACTCAAAAGAATGAATTAATTTCCAGTGCTAGAATTTTATTCACCTTGTCGCCTGTGTAAACGATAGATTTTAAGGAAATAGGATGATACTCTCTCAACCCTAAAATCACACTGGACAGGCAGGCTTCCAAGAGCACCTCTGAATCTTTAGCATCTCCAGAGTGGTGTTAACAGGGGGAATATATTCTGTTTCCTTAGGCTGCTGCTCTAAGCACTTTGCCCTTTTGGAATAAATTTGTTCTTCTTATACTGCCTCCTAATAATCTGCACGGCAGAGAAATGTGGTTTATCTCATGGTGCTTAGCCTGACTCACAAACTACTTAAGAATTTCTTTTTCACATGTGTAGTCATTTAATATTTAAACTAGTTTCCATGAACCAGTTATAAATATGAGTGAATACTTATTAGCTGACTTGACATCTAAAAGGATGTCTTTCTACTGAAAGCAAAATATTGTAAGAGTCAGATGTTTGAACTCTTTTTAGTCTAGATTACTCAAGAGGAAACAAACAGCAAGATCCCATTTAATTGCTTGTTATTTTGAAGAAGGAAATGTTATGTTATTTTTCTTCCCCTAAGGGCCGTGTCCAGGGCAGTATCATTTTGGTGTTTTTATAGGTCTGTGAGATATTTCCAATGTTTCGAAACTAAAAAACAAGTGAGATTGACATAAATGTATCTGGACAGTGTAATGTTTCAAAGCTTATCCAAGTAGTTGTTCTTTCAGATTGAAGACTTGGTATTATTTGTACTAAAGTCCTATTGATATAATTAGTTACATTAAAAATTTTAAACTAATGGATGAGAAGGACATACCTGAATCCAGGCATGGATTATGTAGATGTGAAATGTTAATACATATCTGTATATGTGTAATTGTGTGTGTGTGTATGCTTAAGTGTGTTTAAGTTACTATCAAGTATTCTAAAGGGGGATGAGTCACACATACAGACATAGCATAGAAACTGAGTTTGGGCTTTTGTGTTGGTCTGCCTGTGTCTGAGGCTTTACCATGTACTAACTGTGATACTGAGCAAGGCACTTCTGTGCCCCAGTTTCCTCATCTGTAAACTAGAGATAAAAGTAGTACCTGCCTTTTAGAGTTATGCTTATCAATTGAATTAATGCATGCAAAGAACTTACAACAACGTTTGACACATATATGGATTTAATAAGTGTTATTGTTTTTGTAAATTATTATTAAATATTGGTGACACAGTTGATTCAGAGAGAGAAAAGAATTACCTTTTAAAAAAGTGACTATTTTGAAGCCAAAGATATTAGTTAATTTAGCAGATTGAAGTCATAAGGTTGTTTATCATTAAGAGACTATGGTATAAAGATGGACACAGGTAGGTAGTAGTTTATTCTTTATAATATACCTTACATTACCAATTTTTGACTATTTTTAAAGTCTCCTTTCTCCTGACCGTATGTTTATGAAAATGTTCTTTACTTTGAAACCTGGCTGGGTTTAGAAAATATATGTCCTTTGTCTATTTTGTGATAGACTTCAATTTTGTCTAATCAGTGTTTGAAAGAAATGGCACTTGTATGGACTTCCTTCCAAGAAAAACATTGGGTGTTTCAGGAAGTGGTCTTGGTGAGTCAGAGCATAGTACTTTTTCCTCTGAGTCAGTTTTGAACCTCCTTGATATAAATAGGCATGCTTTTACCAAAAGTTCTGCTTTTCACATGTTAAAATCATCATTGATACATGGCTACACTAAGAGCAGTGCCTTCATTGGTTTTTCTGCTCAGTTGGCATTGAGGCTCTTTTATCTAATTGTGACTGTAGAAATTCTGTGGAATAAATTTCTTTTTAAATTTTCAATTTAATTCTATACTTCTAAATTAGTTTCTGTTTTCACACCAATTTTGCTTCAGAAAGGAGTGGAGTCAGGTGACCAGTTATGTAAATTTTAGAGGAATTTATATTGGTGATAATATACACTTTAATCATTAGAATTCTATGACTTCTCTTTTAGCCCACACATATAACTCTTTATAGCACAATTTCAGTTCAGGGATTATTTTGCAAAAGACTGTACTAGTTTGCCACACCTCAGAATTGTTTAGAAGATAGAAAAGAATACGTTAGAGTGGTTCTTCATAACCACATTAAAAAACATTAAACATGATAAATAATTGCCAATTGACTAGATATTGTTAACGTTGAGTTGGTTAGGGAAGAGTTTCTTTTTTTGTTGTTGTTGTTTTTGAGATGGAGTCTCATTCTGTCCCCCAGGCTGCAGTGCAGAGGCATGATCTCAGCTCACTGCAACTTCCGCCTCCTGTGTTCAAACAATTCTTGTGCCTCAGCCTCCAGAGTAGCTACGACTACACGTTGTGTAGCACCACGTCCGGCTAATGTTTGTGTTTTTAGTAGAGATGGGGTTTCACCATGTTGGCCAGGCTGGTCTTGAACTCCTGACCTCATGATCTGCCCACTTTAGCCTCCCAAAGTGCTGGCATTACAGGCGTGAGCCACCGCACCTGGCCTAAGGGAAGACTTTTAAAAAGGGGTGGGAATTGAGGAATTGAGAAATTGCTAGATGGGAAGTATAAAGTAGTGGAAAGGGCATTTAGGGTAAGAATAGACACTTAAAGTTGGGTCAGTCAAGATATGCTCAGGACAGTGGTGGGAATGAGGGTTTATATGTAGGAGTATTTGAGAGAATATGGATTACTGGAAAAATTATGTAAGCCAAAATTATGGTCGAGCCTCGAATGGTACACTAAAGTTGTATGTGTGACTACATAGTTGGTAACATTGTTTAATTGTCATATATTTCTCTTGAGTTGTAATTGGTTGAATACAACTGGTTTTTAGTGAATTTCATTTTATAACTAGTATTTAAAGAAAACTTCTCTATTTCTCTTAAATATATGATCCTGCAGGAAAATAAAGGAACTGAGAGATATAGATGTCAAATGATCTGTGTGTGCTTTTGCATATAATCCTCATAACAATCATTCTCATTTTACAGGTGAGTAAACCGAAGCTGAGATAGGATAATGACTTGTCTAAGGTCACAGAGAGATGTTAGTCAGGATTTACACTTAGGGCTGCTCATCTTCATACTATTTTCTTTTCACTATGGCAAAATACCACAATAAAAGCTCTGGGACATACTCAGTAAGTTTTTATTATTTCCAATAGCTGTGAAAAAGCAACTCAAAGGTATTTTTCTTCTGAACAGAAGTATTATTTTCTTTTAGGAATAGGTCTTTGGACTCTAGGAAACTGCCTTGTGGGTAAGCTTGCTCTCCTCCTCTTGGGGAGCAGTTTTCTGTAAGGTTTGCAGGGGCAGTCACATCGGTGGAGGGATCATTTGTAGGTTGTGGTGAGCCATGCTGTGGATCATCTGTCCTTTGCCCATTTATATTAGTAGATTGATGGTCATTTACATTTTTTCAAATCTGAAGCATCTGGGCCTTGATTAGTTGGAATCTTTGATTTTCATTCTTGACATATACAACAATTACAAGAATATGCTACATTGTTTTATTCTATTTCCTTCATAATGGGGAAGCAGTCATGTGGCTCTTGGCAAAACTGACCTTGCCTGAGGTTTCAACAGAGGCAGTTGAGATTAAACACCATTCTTGTAAACACTGAATCTCCTATCTCCTAAATTTCAAACTGGCATCCTGGAAAAATTTCTTTGTTAGGATCTGGAATTGAACAGCTCAGTTCTTAGGAGGGCAGGGAAAGTCATCATGTTTTCCCCAGCTAAATAGTTTGAATGTGCTACTATGTGCCGGTACGTGCTATTCCTGGGGCTTCTTAGCAGCTAAATTTTTTTTTTTTTTTTAAAGAGGATGAAGATTTATTTTTCCACTCCATTTGAGGAAAATAAGGAAGTTGGCTGGCAATAAGAGAGGTCAAGATGGAGAGGCTGGAGGAGAGAGATGTCTGTTTACTGTGTGGATGAGGTTAACTTAAAGAGCGGGGGTTGGGGAGTCTAGTTGACACTGCTTGTTCTTTTCCTTGAGTAGTTCTCGTTAGAAGCTAGAGCTGCTGAATTTTTTCTGTTTTAACTTACTTGGTTAAAATATTTATTAGTAAGATTTTAAAATTACTTTTAGAACATTGTTTTATTCTGTCTTTTCTTATAAGAAGATTTGAGATAAACATCTCCATTTGGCCAAGTAATAAAATATTCACAGGCATAATTTTTTATAAAATATTTTAGAAAATTGTAGAGTTTTTCCATTTTTCCTTTATTAAACAGTTTCAGAAAGCCTTTTAAAATACATATTTCTTTCATAATCATTCATATGTCCCCATGCTTTGTAAAACATATGTTGCCTCAAAGTTGGATATAAGAGTGTCAATTCTAGTTTTATTGATAGCTTTTATACAACTGGAAATATGTTCCCATAGAGAAATTTCTGTAATAGACATGAACTTCATGGAACAAAGTCAAGGTGATGCCATGCTCTTTTGGAATTTGGTGATTCTTTTGTCACTTTAGTGTCCATTGTCTTTATTCTGGTACTATCTTGGCCTTTATATTGATCCTATTTCTAATAATCCTGATCATCTACTGCTTGGACTCCCTAAACTTTCAGAATCCAGTTCCCTTTTTTTCTTACTTATCAGTAAAGCTAGATTATCAGTTCTTTTTTATACAGATGTAGGACTATCATCTGTAATTTTTGGCAAAAGAAGAAAAAAATCCATGTAGTTCTTTTTAGAGGTCATGTGAGCATGTGATTTTTGGGTAAAAAACTCTAGCCATTATTTTCCTCTATGTGGCAAAGTGGTTGAATTTTATCCCACATCTACTATTAATTACCTCTTTGACAGTGAACATGTTATTAAACTCTGTACCTAGCTTATTCATCTGTAAAGTGGGAATGGTAATTGTTCCTACTTCATGAGGCAGTTGTGACAATTAAAAGAAAATGACACATGTAAAGCAGTGCCTGCTATGCCGTGTTTTCTAGATGTGAGCCATTGCCGCTGCTGCTGCTGTTCTGCCTCTTCCTCTTCCTGCTGTCACTGCTATTGGCAGTTTGTAATAGTTTAGTTTTCCTTCATGCCCTGATTTTGTACCACCATTTGGCTTAGAATGGGGGACAGCAGTTATGCCATGTAAGTGATATCCAGTTTATTTAATCAAGAGCTGGAGTTAATTTGGGGGGTTATTTAGACATTTTAATCAGTTTGTGCTTGTCCCTCAAGTTTTCCCTTCTTCAGTCTATAGGCCATTTTCCCAAATCAGTTTGTGCTTGTCCCTCAAGTTTTCCCTTCTTCAGTCTATAGGCCATTTTCCCAGTTGGTTAGAGATGGGAACTGTGGGAATAGAAAGAAAGAAATGCAAATGCTGGCCTTACGATAATTCCCTCTTCAAATCTCCTCTTCTTTCTGACCTAAAATAGCTTACTTACCCAAACAAATCTATCTGAAATTCCCAAACAAAAATCTATATAATGTGATCCGGGAACATGAAGGTTCTTTGGTCACTCTCCCTTCCCTGCTAATCCAAACACCTTTTTTCACTTATTAATTCACTATAAAGTGGTGTGTTTCTGCTTGGTTTTAATTCCACATGCCCGAGTTTAGGAATGTAATTCCTGGCAAATATTTTTGGGGGTTTATAGATTGACACTGGCCTCAAAGTGGACATGTAAAAAAAGTCCCATTTCTTCCCAAGTGGAATAGTAGTTCAGGTGTTTTTCTCTGACCTTCTGATTCATCAAGTCCATGTTTTTGTTTTTTTATTTGAGACAGAGTCTCGCTCTGTCGCCAGGCTGGAGTTCAATGGTGCGATCTTGGCTCACTGCAACCTCCGCCTCCTGGGTTCAAGCAATTCTTCTGCCTTAGCCTCCCGAGTAGCTGGGATTACAGGTATATGTCATCATGCCCAGCTAATTTTTTGTATTTTTAGTAAAAATGGGGTTTCACGATGCTGGCCAGGCTGGTCTTGAACTCCTGACCTCGTGATCTGCCTGCCTTGGCCTCCCAAAGTGCTGGGATTACAGTTGTGAGCCACTGCACCCGGCCAAGTCCATGTTCTTAAACTTGGAAAGTCTCTAAAGTTAGTGTTTTATAGATTTTACTGTTTTATTTTTGTGTTTCTTCATCCCTACTGTCTTTTATTTTGCTTATGTTCAAACTGCTACCTGAAATATAATAAATAATAGCATTCTCATTCAGAATTATTTTTACATATTTTTTGTCAACAGAGTACTGTTTCACCTTGTCTTGAAACATTAAAAACACTTTCAATAAATGCATAAATTCTTTGTTTTAAAGGTAGACTAATTATCCTGGATTTTAAATAGAGAAATCCTGAGAGAACATTTTCAGAATGAATCTCTCAGTCCCATACTTTTGAGAAGTTCATAGCTAGGTTTGATGCAGTCTGTGTTTGTATCCTTATAAACGCTATCTGTTTTATTTTTACTTTTTAATAAATTAACAGAAGTTGTCATATTTATTCTTTTTGCAACCTCCGCCTCCTGGGCTCAAGTGATTCTCCTGTCTCAGCCTCCCGAGTAGCTGGGATTACAGGTGCCTGCCACCATGTCTGGCTGATTTTTATATTTTTGGTAGAGATGGGGTTTCGCCATTTTGGCCAGGCTGGTCTCAAACTCCTGACCTCAGGTGATCCACCCACCTCGGCCTCCCAAAGTGCTGGGATTATAGGTGTGGGCCACCATGCCCTGCCTCATTTTCTTATTTCATGCTCTCCTCCCTCTAGATTGTAAGCTCCATGAAGGTAGGAACCCTGTCTGTTTTGCTAACCATGCACTCAATATGTAGAGCTACCCTGTCTAGTGTGGTAGCTGTTAGTCTATATGTGGTTATTAACATTTAAATGTAAACTAATTTATATGTAATAAAACTTAAAATTCAGTTTCTTAGTGGCACTAGCCACATTTCAAGTGCTCAACACTTGTGCTCAGCTACTGTATTGAGCAGTGCTAATATAGTGCATTTCTATTATTCTAGGAAGTTGTATGGGACTGTGCGAGAGCACTGATGGGCACATTCTGGTTACGTAGTAATTATTTGTTAAATGAGCGAATGAATGAAGTAGTACTCAGATTGGCAGGTGCCAATTAATGTTGAATGAATCTTGTTTGAATAATCATGTTTAAAAGTTATTTTAGTTTTTAATTAATCCATGTTGACATTTCCCCAGCCAACTTCAAAATACTGGATTTATCATTAGTAAAAGGAAAGTATATAATAGTGGTTAAAAGCACAACTTGTTGCTGATGTCATGGCCAAATTACCTTTACTTATAACTCTAATTTAAAGTCTCAGATTCTCATTAAAATGAGAATAAGAAGTTCTTTTTACCTCTTAATAAGAAGTAAGATAATGCATGTAAAGTGCTTGCACAGTGGCTGACATAATAAAATACTTAATGAGCATTATTTTTACAATAATGAAATAGTGAAATATGTCTAAATTTACCTCATTCGTGGGTGATTTCATGGTTATGAAAAAATTTACTGCTGGTTTTGAGAACTTCTATTATAATTTCACAATTTTCAAAGGTAATGCTATTCACAGTCAAAGCTTATATTTACTGACTTTTAAATATGAAATATAATAGGCTCAATTATTTTTTCCATTGGAATTAACTTTTCTTCCTTTATTTTTTAATGACTATGTAAGCAGGTAAACTCTCAAGAAGAGAGTTTCATACTACTTTTATAGGCAACTTGAATTTTAAAACTAATGTACAAATATCTCTGCTTTTGTTTTGGAGTAGTCCACGAATAATTTGTTCCCAGCTGTATCAATTTAAATGGGCTTCTCTTTGGGAAAAAATTAATAAAGAATGGATAAAGTAGTGGTTATTTACCTAAGGATGAATTCCAGGTTTTATTTAGGCACCTAACTCTGTTATGATTTAATTTCTAGAAAAGCAATTAAAGCAAGAGCTTTTCGTGAACAGTAATGTCTGATTTAACTGGGGTTATTGCCTCACGTCCATGCTTTAGCGTATTGTTTTTTCTCTGGGATTTGAAAACAGAATTTGTTGTTATAATAACAATAGGTAGTTAAACATATACTACCAAAATACCAGCTGACTTTATCAAATGTAAATTTCCTTCATTTTTTTTTGTGTTACTTTCACTCTGGTTGTTATGGTACCTTTGTTTTTAGTATAAACTTGTACTCATATTTCATAGTCCACCTGAACCTCTCAAGTTCACATTAGAGGTGACTTGAATTTTTCATCTGGGTTTTTCATTGACAAATATTTCTTAATGTTTAGACAATGAAAATATGCTACAGAAAAATGGCAGACTAAGCATATACATTTGTTTCATTTTTTGAAAAATTTTACTTGAAGTTCTGGGATACATGTGCTCAATGTGCAGGTTTGTTACATAGGTATACGTGTTCCATTGTGGTTTGCTGCCCCTGTCAACCCATCACCTAGGTGTTAAGACCCGCATGCATTAGCTATTTGTCCTGATGCTCTCCCTCCTCTTGCCCCACCTCCATCTGACAGGCCTTGGTGTGTATTTTTTCCCCTCCCTGTGTCCATGTGTTCTCATTGTTCAGCTCTCAGTTATGAGTGAGAATATGCAGTGTTTGGTTTTCTGTTCCTGTGTTAGTTTCCTGAGGATGATGGCTTCCAGCTTCATCCACGTCCCTGCAAAGGACATGTTTTCATTCCTTTTTATGGCTGCATAGTATTCCATGGTGGTATATGCATTTATTTCACTTCCTCCAAATAAAATAACAGTAAAGGGATTTTTAAATGCAGAAAGCCAGTGAGACAAAGGGACTCTATAAAGCCTGTGGATAATTGTGATTAACCTAGAAGTCCTTACATGCTGAAACCTAAGCTACTATTGAGAGACATTGAGAAGCAACCTTATTTTCATTTCAGAACCTCCAACTGACTCAACAGTGAGAGTGAGGCTAAGAATAGTAGGATTTATTAGTCATGTGTTTAAAGTGAACTTGGATCCCAGATGCCTCCTCACACTCCAGTAAAACCAGTAGTTTATTCTGTGGAGAATGTGAACTAGAGAACTCGGTTGGGGATACCAAGGTACAGACAGAGGGTGAAAGATGAAATGAAATGCTTAGTAAACAGTAAGACAACCCTGGCTGACTTCTTCCACTTATTGCCAAAGTTTTGGCAGTCAGCTTTACATTCTCTAAACATGGAATGGGAAGATACTTCCTTGGAGAACCTGACTGATCTATGCAAAAGACCGATAGACACTGATGGCTGGGGTCTGCCAGCAGGACTTCTGTGCAGTGAAGCCCACTTGTTCACAAGCCCCACCCATGGACACTGACTTTCTTGCCACCTTTTTAGGGCTTCATCTTCAATATGAGTAATAACCAGTAATCACCTGATATTTAAAGCAATTCAGAAGCCAAAACAAACCTAGCGAAAACAAGGAAATTGTCATAAAGAGACAATGAAGGGAGAAGAAAACTTAAAAATATTATCATGGATATTCTCAGAAAGATCAGAGAATATACTGTAATCAGAAAATAAGTATAGACACTAAAAGAAAAGGAAGCTTTAGGTTCTAAAAATGTACTCCTGAAAAATGGAACTGATAGAAGAAATAAGAAACTCAAAATGTTTTTTGAATATAAAGAAGAGGAAGCTACCCAGAAAGTAGAAAAAAAAATTACAAAATGAAAAACAAAAGAGAAAATACAAAAGTAGAGACTTAGACCAGGAGGTCCTACTCTGAGCAACTGAATTTTTTAGAAAAAGGAAAAGTATATATAGCAAGGAAACTATCAAAGAAATAGCAAAAGAAAATTTCCCGGACTTTAGGAAAATGATTTTCAAGTTTGAAAAGGCCTATTGTGTTTCCAATATGCTGAATTTTTCAAAAAACACCCATACTAATGTATAGCACCATAACATTTCAGAACATCAGGGGTAAAAATGAAGATCCTAGACTCCAGACAGAAGAAAACAGACAGGCTCTATACAAAAAATTGGGAGTCAGAGTGGCCCCTAACATTCAGCAGGGGTCATTGAAGACAGAACCACAAGGGCTTCAAAATTATGGGGCAAAAAAAAAAAAAAAAAAAAAAAACCAAACCTCTTTCAATCTACAATTTGAAACCAAGACAAACGGTCCATCATGTGTAAAGGTAAAATAAACACATTTTTCATCATATACAGTTTCAAAAATGTACATTTCTAATGCTCTTTCTTAGGAAGTCCCTGAAGTATGTGCCCTACCAAAATAAAAAAGTAAAAGCATGGAAAGAGGGAGGTCCAGGATCCAGGAAGTAAGGCTCCAAGACAGGGGGAACGTGAAGGGGATACACAAGGTGGTGAGGAATGTGGATCCCGTGATGAAAGCTCTTCGGAGCCTTAGAGAGTAATCAGTTCAGAGTGGAGCAGTCATATATCTGGGAAAGAAGCCTGCAGAAAGACAGAAATGTTAGAGTAATGATAGAATGGGTGGTGCTTCAATGTATTGAAAGGAGGGCTCCACTTCTGGTGGTGTAAAGTAATAAAATTAACGAGGGGGACATAGGATCACTAAGAGTTGGGGGGAAAGATAATTATTAACAAACAGAAGACAAATATATAAAAATGGAAGGGTATTCTTAGTATACTGTGAATAGCATTTACATAGATTCAATAAGTAAACACTGAATTTTAGTCTCACAAAAATGTGGTGTATCTGTAATTCGTCCTCTGTGATATGATTCTCACTTCATCTCCAACCTCATCCCTCATAACTTCCTGCCAAACTGCTGACAGTTTCCTAAGTGTCCAAAGCCATCTCCTGCCTTTGCTCTTCTCTTTTGCCTTCTGGCTTACTCAGCTCCTGCATCACAGCCTGTGAAGGAAGGCAGTTATGAACCGAATGTCTCCCGCTTCCAGCCCTAGGCGCAGGCCTTGCATACTGTCTTTCTACTTGCCACATTGTACTATAAATGATCCTTTTGATGTCTCTCTGCCCCATTATACTATATATTTCTAAAAGTCATTATCTTTCTTTTTTGTTAATTTTTTTTTATTGGTAGAAATGGGACCTTACTATGTTGACCAGGCTGGTCTTGAATTCCTGGCCTCAAGCAATACCCCCACCTTGACTTCCCAAAGTGTTGGGATTACAGGCATAGTAAATCACTGTGCCCAGCCTCTCTTGCCTTTTTTGGTCTAGTCATTCTTTCAGGGAGATTTTATCCTCTAGATCCACCCCTAATCTAGTTGCCCTTGAACTTCACACTTTGCTGTCTTCTATTGCCTATAATGTGGTCTTTTCTTAAAGATGCTTTTTCTTTCCCCTAAAATTTCTTTATAAGCAGTGAAGCTTCAAGGAAAGTTTGTCCTAGCTTTTCTGTGAGTTGGATGAGGTGCTAGAGATTTGTTTTCTTAGTAGGATTACCTACTGACAATCTGGCTTGTTTTTTTTATATTCAGCCAAGTGTAGACAGTTAGTGGAACTGACTTTTTTGTTTGGTCTTGACTCTTCTTTATTGCATCACTTTCTAGCAGCCTATTAGGACTGCCTCTATTCTTGAAGATAAATGAAAAATACTATTTTGAAAAGAGTGCATTTTTATCTTTGTGGGCAAAATGTTAAGAGGCATAGGATAATAGGAAGAAGGAACAGTTAAGAATTGAGGGTTTTAACTTACCTGCTTAGTCGTGAACTTTTCATAGACATAAAGTTATACATTTTGCTCTTGATACAGTCTGATACCTAGAAAAGTATACAACGTATTCTGTTAGAAAGCAATTACATTCCCCCATATAATCATTCTGCTGGCCATTGGATCTGTAAAACCATGTATTACTAAAATAGAGCAGACAAATTGAAACAATGGATAATCCTTGATAAGATATAATACCTCTGTGTTCCCTTATCAAAACAATCAATGTTAGAATATTATGGCAGGCAGGAAGAGAGGAAGTTGAGATAAGAAATAGTGACTATCAATAAAATATATGAGAAGTAGTTTGGGGGTAGTGTAAGTATGTGCATTATAATACACTAGAAAGATTTAGTTAACCTTTAAAAAAATAGAATTCTTATGCTTTTTAAAGAGTCCCATGTGGTTTAACAATTAAGTTTTTACTTGTAGTAATATTCGGGAGATGTATTTATGATTTAGAGAAGTGGGATGAATCAGTACAGCAGTTGCCTAAAGATACCATTTTCCACTTCGTATGTTGTAAGCATTTATAAAGATATATTGTACACTTTAGAAAAGATTGATCCTCTTAAGGAGCTATACGGAAATGCAGTGAGTCACCTGCAGTATTTTGTTTGCTGCTTAATGTCCTTTGCTCTAGGTGATGCAGAGGAAGGTAATCATGTGGTGACAGGGTGGTTAAATATTAAAATATTATATCTCATCCTTGGGTTACAGCTCTTCTTGCTGTACCTGTAATGTTTTATGATTTACTATTTTTAGATGCCATTTAATACACCAGAATGAAATTTGAATTCAGGCGTTTCAGTCTCATTAAAGATGATATTACCAATGTTTCTCTTCTCCTGGTCCACCTCCTTCCCCAACTCCCAGCCTCTGCTAACTACCATCCTACTTTCTACTTCCGTGAATCCAACTTTTTTAGAGTCTGCGTATAAGTGAAATCTCTGTGCCTGGCTTATTTCACTTAACAATGGGTACACAGTTTCAGTTAGGAGAAATAAGTTCTGGTGACCAATTGCACAGCACAGTGACTATAGTTAATACTAATGTTTTGCGTATTTCAAAATAGCTAACAGAGAGGGTTTTAAATGTTCTTACCACAAAGAAATGATAAATATTTGAGGTGTTGGATATGCTAATTAGCCTGATTTAATCATTTCATAGTTATACATGTATCAAAGCACTACATTGTACACTATAAATATATACAATTATTATTTGTCAATTAAAAACAAAACAAAACTTTTAAAAAAGATGTTTTTAGAGTATGTTTTTCCATCTTCCCACCCAGCTGGTTTATGTCAGGCCCTGGTAGGTCTTTTTCTGTTTGCTTTTGTAAAGTATGTTGAGCTGTACTAATTTAGCATGTGGTGCTGTTATGGAAAAAGGATATTTAGCATTAAAAATATATTTAATCCTAGTTTTCTCAGTAAATACTCTTCCTTTCCAAAAACTAGCATTTTTAATACCTTATTTTAAGAAGAGTTGATTAGAATAAAGAATATAATTGCACATCCGAGCAAATAAAACTGAAAACTTTTGGCAAGCACACAGTGGTCAAACTATCACACAATGGTGTAACTTACTGAAAAAAAAAAAGGGATATAAGTCAGTCAGATCAGAGTTTGAGTTCTGCTTCTAATTTTAGCTTCTTCTGTTACTGAAACAAGAAAAGTTCCTTTGTCCCCCTCGCAGGGCATGCAATGTCGGTGTGGCTTGTTTCTTCAGTGCCCCGCTGCTCAGACCTCTAGGGGAGCATGCAGACTGGCAGGCTGTGAGGTTCCAATCCCACAGCAGTGTCTAGGAGTGAATGTTTACAGATGAAGCCCCCGTGGGCGAGTGTTACAGGGTGCTCTTTTAGTTTTGCTGTCTATAGACAGCTTGTGTTAACCAGCTCAATTAGATCCTCTACCTTATTGCAAGGACAGGGGGTTTTCTGTATCCTGGGGTTATTGCCTTGGCGTATGGGAAGAATCGGATCACACGTGGGCTTAGAGAATGAGTGCAGGGTTTTATTGAGTGGAGGTAGCTCTCAGCAGATGGGGGAGCCACAAGGGAGAATGGTTTTCCCCTGGAGTCCGGCTGCCCCTGCTAAACTCCAAATTCCGCGTCATTCTGCTGGTTAGTGGCCTGCAGCATGCTAGTGCCTGTTGGTGTGTTCCTCTGCCGATGTGCCCCTCTCAATGTCCAGCTGCTTATGTGCCTGCCTGCTAGGTTCTCAGGGTGTTTATAGGCACAAAATGGGGGCGTGGCAAGCCAGGCTGGTCTTGGGAAATGCAACATTTGGGCAGGAAAACAAAAATGCCTGTCCTCATCTAGGTCCATGGGGGTGGAGCCCTAACCAGTGACCCCGCCTTCCTCTACCCAGCACTTCCTTTCCCCACTTCTGTATTATTTAAAGGGACCACTCCCTTCCCTTCCGTATCATTACCACTTAGGCAAATGACTTAACCGCCTTGAGGCTGTCATCTCACCCATAAAATAGAGCCAATAACTAGCTGATAATGTTGTTTTAAGGATAAAGTGAGGTGATATTTGTAAAATGTCTTATGAACTGGGGGCTCATTAAATGTTTTCTTTCCCTTTCTCCTTTGTGTTCACTTCTGCCTATGATTTTACCTTAGATGCAAATAAGACATTACTTTTCAGTCATTCATGGTACTATGTGATTTTATTAAGCTTCAAAATACCACACAAATGGCAGTCTGTTTGTTTCAATTTCTTCATCTATAAAATGAGAATGAAGAATAGTACTTCCTTCAAAAACTAATGTCAAGATTAAGACAATAGAATGCATTTAGCATGATACCTGATGCAGAGTTAAAACTCAATAAATAGAAGTGATTCTTTTTAAAATTAGCATAGTTTCCCAAGTCAGTAAAATATCAAAACATTTTGAACTGAGATATTAGTAATTTCCATGTATAGTATAGCATCCAGTAGTACATGTGTGCTGATGATGTCATCATAGCAACTCAGGGAATAGACAAGAACTGGAGGGAAATATAATAGTAGTATTAGAATATGTCTATGCCTCTTTTCTTTATTAGCCCTTCCTATGAACACCATCACAATAGCAAACATAATTAGTGCTAAAGTAGTTCTTTCTAAAGTTGCATATTAAATTTTGTTATAAGTAGTTTTCTTCAGCCACTTGTTAACCAAACAACATTCTGATTTGATCATAGACTTTTCCCAAAATTATGTTCTGATTTATAAACAGCTTAAGAATTTTGTCATAAAGAAAGAGGAACTAAGTTAACTATTTTAAGTGATTTTATTGTGTTGACTTAAAGGCATAAAACTACTCCATTTACATTGATACTGGTGTTGAGAAAATACTGTTCTTCTATATGGTCTAGAAATTGTGATACCTTCACAGGCATTAACCACATTATTGTTACAAGAACTTAATATCCTTATTAGTTTTTTGAGTTTATTCACACATAAAAATTCTTTGTTAATTGATATTTGAAAAAATAGCATAGAAAAATACATGGTGCCGTCTTTACCAATGGTACTGGAAAGAGATATTAAAACGTGATTGCTCTAGAAGACATTGCAGGAGACAAAATGTGTGATGATTTAAGAGGTTTAAAGAAGATTTTTTTTTTAATGTTTGAAACAAAATCATTGTTAGACAATGTCACAAAGTATTGGTGGAAATTAAGTTTCACTGATCTTTTAGTGAAAATCCTAAGTAATGATAATACCCCCTCCCACTTGGTTGTAACTTAGACTGGGAGACATAAATTAAATTAAATTGAAACCTAGACATAGATGTTTCAATATCATATCCAAACACACAAAAACACACTTCTGTAGATAAAAAAATCTGTGATATTTTCTGAGAACACAAGTCATTTGAAGGACAGTTAAATATGCAGAGAGTTACTAATTATGTGGCAGCAAGATTGGGTAAGTAGTTTTCTAATATTGAGTCATGACTACATACTCATCTACCAATTTGAAAATTGATATGAGATGCAAGCAAGAGTAAAGAAAAGGAATCTAAAACTTATATTTGAGGATCTTAAAACCTTCTGATACAAATTTAATTTGCTGAGTTAACCTTATAGCCTTGTTTATTTCTTCTTAGTCATTTTTTATATATTCCATTTCCTTTCTTTTTGAAAATTATAGTGTGTTACATTTTTCATTCGCTTAACTTAGATCTTAAATTTATCATTTGTATCCTTCTAATTGCCAAAGAATTTTATTTTCTGTAGAAAATAAAGATAAAATTATAGTAACTACGACTTACTAAAAGTGTTTTCATAAGGAAATTGATGCTGTTACTTAAAATCAAATATAGCTGACCCTTGAGCAAATGCAGGGATTGGGGTGCTGACCCCCACTCAGTCAAAAATCTGTGTATAACTTTGACTCCTCTAAAACATATACTAATAGCCTACTGTCTACCTAAGATCATATAAATAGTTGATTAACGTATTTTGTATATGTATTATATATTCTAAAATAAAGTAAGCTAGAGAAAATACTTAAGAAGGAGAAAATATGTTCACTATTCATGAAATAGAAGTGGATCATCATGAAGGTCTTCATCCTTGTCTTCATGTTGAGTAGGCTGAGGGAGAAGAAGTGGAGGGGTCGGTTTTGCTGTCTCTGGGTGGCAGAGGTGGAAGAAAATTTGCTTGTAAGTGGACTCTGCAGTTCACCCTCCTCTTGTTCAGGAGCCAACTGTAGGTGGTAGCTATTATGATGGCTTTAGTGTATACTTTCAGCAGAATTATGTAGTTAGTGTGATTAACTGCATTTGTGAGTCATTAAACTTAAAAGCGATTAAAAAAACCTTTGTCTCTTTAGTTTTTAGGTTGCTTTAACAGTTTATAAAAATAAAAACACTTAATTTTTCAGTTAGAGTTGATCATTATTTTAAATTGTGTATATGGGTATAAACTGGGTATGTCTTAAAAGCCTAATGGAAAAAAAGACAAACATTTGTAATTGTTTCCTCCGCATGGTATACACTGCAATCGCTCAAATTGGGTATTTGAAAGCCTCCATATTTGCCACATGAGCCGCCGTGATAAGTGAAACTGTGATTGCCAAATGACAAAAAGTTTCTATATTTAAAATTCAATTTAGCAAATTGCCATTTTCTATCCCCTTTTCTAATGTTCTCTTATTCTAACAGATCACTATTTTAAAACAAAAGAGAGACCATGCATTTATTTGATTGTCATGAAGAATTAAACATGAAAAGATGAGATGCTGTGGCTATCACTTTTCATTAAAACCAGCTGCTGTGGTTTTAAAACGCAAACCAGATCAAAATCAGCACAAACCCTGGGGGTTTAATTTATATACTGAATGAACCAGCTTGCTTTGAAAGAACACTTCTTTTTTTTTCAGTTTTGGAAGAAACTTGCACATCTATCTCATTTCATCTTTACACTAGCACTGTGAGCTCGGAAGACGAAGAATTATCTCTATTTTACTGACGAGGACATTGAGACAGAGGCCAGAGGCTTAATTGACTTTCCTAGCCCAGTTAGTGCCAGGAATAGTGTTAAAATTCCAGACTATCTCTAGTTCCATAATGTTATTCCAGGCCTCTGTTCTGGCCCAAATTATAGAACGTAGCAATGATGTGCTGCAGTTGGATCCTTAGCCAATCGTGAAGAATTTAGGAATTTTGTAAGCTGCTGTTAAACCACTGACTGCTTGAAATTGGCCATGGTGGGAATATTTATACCATGGAAAACAATAAGCACTACAAATCAGGCCCTCTGCCTTGTCCCACCCTGAGAATTGGTTTACCAGCACACCACTGATTGTATCCAAGTGTAAACTGAAGAAGGAAAACAACAAAAATGGAGCACAGCAATGTAATATACATGTAATTTTATAAGTACATGCATGTATAGGGCAGAGGCCGATCTTTCTTTGCTTCTTAATTTATAAATGTGCTTTTAAGCAGTGGATAGGAAAGCTTAAATTAAAGTCCAGTGTTTTGAGGGCCATTCTTACCCATTTTTTTAAGAACTAGGTCAAGTCCCAGCCCTTCCAGAAAGTAATGACAGTCTTCATGGCCTTTTCCCTCTCCGAACTTCTAGCAGATTTAAAATAGAGCTACATATGTTGGGACTTAATTCCTTACTATTTGTTTTACATGAATTAACTTTGTTTCCCTAAGAATACAATAAACTCTTTGAAGAGTGGGACATGGATTTCCTTCTTTCTTTCTTTGAATAAATATTTAATGAACACCTATTCTGTGCCTGGTACCCTTCTTCTTATTTGAAAAGCAGAAGTCATCAAACAAAAATTCAAGCCTTTTGGGGGCTAAGAGTTTAGTGAAGAGTCAGGTATTAATTTAAGTAAAGGAAAAGTTATGAATGTGATAAATGCTTTGAAAAATTGTCTATAGTATGGAGAGTGTCTGATAGTGGGATTTTATCTATCCAGGACGGTCAGTAAAATCTTCCCCTGAGGACATTGTGATTGAACTGAGATCTGAAGAATGAGACAGAATTAACTCGAAGTGACCAGATCTTGAATATTATTTCTTTATGTAGGCTTTCTGTGCTCTTCCAATCAGAGTTAAGTTCTGTTATTATTTGCATCCGTGTTATGATGAATGTTCCCTTTGTAATGATAAGTACAACTTAAAATTTTACACTTATTCATTATCTGTTTCCCCCCACTAGACTGTTGGCCCTATAGTTGGGACCATGTCTGTTTGGTTCACTTTGGTGGTCCCAATATCCATCACAGGACCTGAAACTTAATAATCAATATTTGTTCATGCTTTCACCCCCTTGGCCCATAAAGCTGGGGTATGTCCTGCCTAACTCACAGTTATTGAGAGGACATAGTAATATAATATATTTGAAAAGACAAAATTCAGAAAACTAAGGCAGGATCCAGGATAGCTTAGTGACACAAACCCGGAGAGGACCAAATATCCAGGAGTGAAAAGAAACAAATTGGGTACAGCAATGTTATCTAGAAGAAAGAAAAGGCCATTCCATTTGGTAAAGAGGAAGTTTTACTAATTATTTGTCTTGTTTGAAGGAAGTTTGTTCAATCTGTAAAATAGATTTAAAAATGGTTTTTGAGGTTAAATATCTGATATTGATTTTTAAAGTTATTTTCTTGTGAAAAGTAAAAGAAGTGTGTAAATGAAAAGTTTCTTGAAAAAAGGATGTGTCCATGTGCATTTGTGCATTTGACAAAGCACATGTTGTCAAATGTGCTTTGAAGGAAAGAAGAAATAAAAGAAGGAAGGGAGGAAAGAAAACCACTTGTAGGCAAAAAGACTGCAAGGTAACTGTTACCTGGTTCTCTGTAAATGATAGGGCTCTGGGTGATACTTTTTGCTTTTGTACTTTTCTGTATTTCTCAACTTTTTAAATTAAATGAGTTTATATTACTTTTATAATGGAATAGTAAACAAAATAACATCTCATAAAATTGATAGTTGATTATGAGTTTGGGCAGAATGTAGAATTATGTCTATATGCTTTGAGAACTCAGAACTATATTTTAGATTTTTCTTTTGTTCACCTAAATCTGCTTATAATTTTAGCATATTAATTTTAAATGCCAGTTGGATCTTTGTTTAAATGTTCATCTATACCTCTGGGGCCTGAGCTCTTTGAGGGTGGAGATCTTTATCTTTGCATTTCTACTATAATTCCTGGCAGCAACACATATTTGTTGAATGAATAACTTTTGAAACTGAGATGTCTTGACCTTTTTATTGCCTTTAATCTATGTGTCTTTCTTTTTTTAGAACACACAAGTGAAAGACACAATGAATGGTCATATTTCTAATCATCCCAGTAGTTTTGGAATGTACCCATCTCAGATGAAGTAAGTTGAAAAGTTTATATTTAATATGTTTTGGGGGAATTTGATTTGGTGATTTTAATTGTTTTATATTTTTAGTGAAAAGATTACTTTCGTTGTGTAGTTCAGTAGTTCATTCCTCATTAATATGTAATATCTTTGTTA
The DNA here is from genome assembly GCF_000001405.40 of Homo sapiens. Taxonomy (NCBI): domain Eukaryota; kingdom Metazoa; phylum Chordata; class Mammalia; order Primates; family Hominidae; genus Homo; species Homo sapiens. The sequence continues at coordinate 15,682,751 of NC_000012.12, read as the reverse complement.
CAACACATGTTATTAAAAGTTTACTATGTCTGATAAGAATAAGATGGTAAAGTAAATAGCCTTATGATAATGATATTGATCTCACACTTGGAAGATGTTTCTGTTTCATTCTAGTACTTTATGCATTCTTGCTTTTCATGGTTGAATATATAATCTACTTCAGAGCTTTGAATTTCTGTGGTGCATTCTGTTATTGTTATTTATAAAATATTGGCATTTGAGAAGGGTTAAATGTCATTTAGTATAAACTAATCAAGTTATTTACCACTGTGTAAAACTAGAAAAGATCAGGCAAACTAACAAAATATTTCCAGTGGGTCCAGGTATAACTTGAAATCATAACCCTGACTTAATTGGCCATTGTCTTATGTATTACGATTAATGTTATTATTTGACATTGGCCATTGTGGTATATATTTTACTCATCATTTTTTCATAACAGGTAATGTTTACTATTTTGAGAGAATAAAATAAAATGTAATTCTTAATCATGATGCTAAAAGCCCTCAATCTGCCACAGCTTCTCCAGTCATTCGTCTATTCTGGGAATGTTACATTAACTGCATCTTTCCACAGACACTGTGCTATTTCTTGAGTCAGTTCCACGTACCTTTTCCTCACTTGATTCTCTGCCTGTTTATAGAGCTTCTTTCCATTCATTTAGATTCTGCTTGTGTCAATGCGGTAGTAAAGTTTTCTTAGATATGTTGATGAAGAGTTAGTCCTTCTTTGATTTTACATGTCATATCTATTAGTTTTACCCAGATATCACATTCTATTATAATTATTTTATGTACTTATTTTATTGACAGCACCCTGTTTCCCCCTCCCATAGTCCTTATTCTTCTAGGTTTTGGGTCTTACAAAAATGTTCACTGAAAAAATGAGTAAAATTCAAATAAAGCACTATTTATTTCACATAACATATTAGTAGCAAGAGGTTAGATAGCCTCCTGCATAGCTGGGATTACAGGTGCCTGCCACCATGCCTAGCTAATTTTTTTTTTTTTTTTTTTTTTTTTTGAGACAGAGTCTCGCTCTGTCACCAGGCTGGAGTGCAATAGCGCGATCTTGGCTCACTGCAACCTCCACCTCCCGGGTTCATGCGATTCTCCTGCCTCAGCCTCCCGAGTAGCTGGGATTACAGGCATGCGCCACAACGCCCGGCTAATTTTGTATTTTCGGTAGAGATGGGGTTTCTCCATGTTGGTCAGGCTGGTCACGAACTCCTGACCTCAGGTGATGTGCCCACCTCGGCCTCCCAATGTGCTGGGATTATAGGCGTGAGCCACCGTGCCTGGCCATCAGTATGTTCTTTTAAACACGTGGTGATTATAGTGCATTGGAATTTTTATTTTCTAGTTGAGTTTCTGTTACTTATATTGGACTTTAACCCAACACAATGACCTTTTTATATTATTATTATTATTATTATTATTATTATTACAGTGGCTACGGATCATCACCTACCTTTTCCCAGACGGACAGAGAACATGGTTCAAAAACAAGTGCAAAGGCCCTTTATGGTAGGTTTGTTTATTTGATAGGGTATAATTTTGTTTCTAACCACTTTTTACAAATTACATTTTCAAACTCATGGTTTGAACCCACACATTTAATATTGTTTGGAATGAGGCAGTGATAGCTAAATAAGGATTATTTTAAAGAAGAGTTTTTATAAAAACTACCAAAGCCATGAACTCTGCTTGCTGTTATGCATTTTAGAACTACAGATGAAATGTATTGCAGTGCTTTCAAAAGTCCTATGCATGGTGCCAATGCCCTAGGTGGCTTTTCCCATTTACTACTTGTAATAATGTTTGTTGATCTTTGTGACTGATCTAGTTGGTGGTGGGCTGACAGGTGACAGAACGTTTTCCTGATAGCTCTTGAATTTTGGGGGGTATTATTACAGTATGTCTAATAGATGTTATATAATTTCTTTATGCACTGCAAAATGATTATGCTTTTTCCCTGATCTTACTTCCAGTGCCCTCTCTGGATTGTCTCACATATACATACTATTTTTTACACTTCAGATACAAAATAGAAGTCATAAGTAACAAGAAGTCGAGGACTCCTGAAGTTTGCCACATATGTTTAGGATGGCATTTATTTGTATAGGGTCTGGATGGCCACTTTTATTGTATAACAATAAAGAATGAGAATAATATTGTGGTTAATAGCAAAGACTCTGGAACCAGACTTCCTAGGTTCAAATTCAGTTATTTATTATCTGAGTGATCTTGGGCAAATTAATTTACCTGCGTGTGCCTAATTTTGCTTATCTGTGTAATGGGGGTATCTCACAGGGTTGAAATGAGCATTAAATAAGTTAGTACATGCAAAATACTTAGAACTGTTCTTGGCAAGTAGAAAACACTGTATGTGTTTGCTATTATTATTGTTGATATTATCGATATTATGTGCTATAGGAACCAACAGCATTTTCTAAATTGTGAAATTCTTTTTTTACATTATCTAGATCTGCAACTTCTTGGCTGTTGTAAGAATAAACAATTCTAAGGTTTTGTGATTGTTTTTCTACCTATGTTAGTGAATTGGCATTATCACTGAAATCAGACATTCATAAAATGGATTTAATACCATACATGCCTATACTTTTTATAGCCTTATTAATCTGATTGTTGTTGGTTTCAGTTTATTAAGTATTGTGACATTATTACCATGGTCTAATAGTTATGAATTGTAGATCTAGAGAATGTATTCAATAAATATTTTGTCATTAATATGTGTACAGAACAGGACCAAAAATATATGATCCCTGACTTTAAGGGACTTAAAGTCTGGAGAATAACTTGAAGATAACAGAAAAAGATTTTTTGGATAAGAATAAAATAATTCAGTCTTTCATTTCTAGACAGATATTTATTAAGTGCAGTATTTATTAAGTATGCTATGCCATGATCTTCATAGTCTTTATTTCTATGTGCTTTCATTCATTTCAAAGATGACTAAGAGAAGGCTGTTGCCTATGTGCCATTTTGGTGCAATAGACTAGTAAACACATTGTTATAATAAAGGGCTAAATGTGCTTAGATAGTAGTGTGTAGGAGGTGCACTGGTGAGGGTTGATCAGAAAGGATTTAATAGAGGAATTGAGCCTTGAGCTGAGCTGTGAAAGTTATATTGTGTTCTTCAGCATTTCAGGGGTCGGAGGATGCTACAGACAGTATGAAACCCTTTTAAGCAGGACTATCAATGCTGTGAAGGTGGCCCATATTTGTCTTGTTCACTTCAGGATTCCCTGTGCTTACTGGCATAGTGGCTAGTATATAATTTATGCTCAGAAAATACTTGCAGAATGAGTGTAATGAATTAATCAGATGCAAGCAATTTGGTGTTAACTGGAGAGTGCATAGTGGTGCATTGGGAAATAAGACTGAAAAAATGAACGTAGACCACATTGGGAAGAATTATACTAAGGAATTTAGGCATTGTTTACAATGAATGAGCAGCCTTTGATGTTTTTTACTCAGGATAGTAATAGGTCAGATTTGTTCTGGCTCACTCTGGTAGTAATATTGAGGATGAATTTGATGAATATGGATGGAAATAAGTGAATCAGAGATTTAAGTAATATGGCAAATTAGACACCTAATAGTAGCCTAAAGACTTTTAATAAGGAGAAAGAGTATTAATCCTGTCAGAAATACCACAGATCTAAAATCTAATTTCAGAGAGCTAAGAAAGAAATAAGAATAGAAAATAGAACTCACCTGTAAATTTTAATGTTTATGTTGTATTAGAAGCAACTTTGTAAAATCTTAGATCCAAGGAATGAAAAATCTTACTTTTTTTTTTTTTTTTTTTTTTGGAGACAGAGTCTCACTCTGTTGCCCAAGCTAGAGTGCATTGGTGCAATCTCGGCTCACTGCAGCCTCCGCCTCCAGGGTTCAAGCGATTCTCTTGCCTCAGCCTCCAGAGTAGCAGGGACTATAGGTGCATGCCACCACGCCCAGCTAATTTTTTCATTTTTAGTAGAGACAGGGTTGCTTACACCTGTGATCCCAGCACTTTGGGAGGCCAAGGCAGATGGATTACCTCAGGTCAGGAGTTTGAGACCAGCCTAGAAAATCTTTAGCTTTTAAGCAGTTAATTTTTATTTTCCCCCTTTTACATATAAAGCAAAGTGAGGCCCCCTTTTCAAGTTAGATGATTATCAAAGTCACATAACTTTAAACTTGATACCACTGTAACAATTTTGTATACTGTAATGAAAATGAGCAGTGTATAGGTACAATGAGATAGAAATAAATGGATTGAAAGGGGCAAATCCAAGAAGCATTTATAGGGAAGAGAGAAGTCTTAGCAATGGATTGGGCTTAGAAGTAAGATGGCTTTAAATTGCAGATGTGGTTTCTTTCCTCTTTGTTTCTAATACCCACCACTGTCTCTCAACACACTGCACAAAGACATACACACAGTACCTTCCCTCTGAGAGTTCTCAGAAAATGCCTATGGAATGAATGGACAGATGGATGGATGACAAGGGAGAAATATGTTCATGTTTTGAAGATAGCTTTGCAATAAACAGATTCTAGTTGAAGTTTTTTTTTAGGTAGCTTTGGGAGTGTTTAGCATCCCAGTCTGCATAGTTTTAACTTATGTATAGCATCTGTTATCACATGCTAGAAGTATGCATGATATAACAACATGGAAAAGAGACAGGCTTGAGATCCGGCCACATGGGAAAAAGCAGCCCTAAATATTCAGAAGGGAGATGAATCTGAATGATTTGGTGTAAAGGTAAGGAATGCAGCCCCCGAGTTTCACAGCGCATAAGCTAATGTGCACACACATGATCCTTTGTCACCAAGAAGAGATTATATGTATCTTCAAAACATGAACATATTTCTCCCTTGTCATTCATCCATCTGTCCATTCATTCCACAGGCATTTTCTGAGAACTCTCAGAGGGAGGGCACTATGTGTGTGTTTTGTGTGGTGTGTTGAGAGACAGTGGTGGGTATTAGACACAAAGAAGAAAGAAACCACATCTGCAACTTAAACAGTGTGTGCTGGCAGTGTCTCTTCTTAACTGGAAAGTTAGTAAAGAAGAGATTTATGATATAATTTGTTTTCTCACAGTTGATGCATCTTATGTAAAATTTATCCTTTTACAATTTTAAACGAGTTGAAATCATGTTCCAAGAATTAATTTGCCTTCATGGGTGGTACATGAACATCTTTGTAATAGGAGGATACTGTTTTGTGCACTGGAACATGAATGTTCACACTGTTTTTTACGCACTGACCACAGTCTAGATACTCTGTCTGAAGTTTCATGCAGAGTTTTTCATGAGAACACTTTTCAGGTCTGACACTATAGTGGGCCTCCTGGGTTGCTTCTACTGAATGTGCTCGGAAAGGCAGCAGGGGTTTTGGAGGCCAGAGGATCTGAATCATGGTACTGCTACCAAATGGCTGCTGTCTTTCACAAATGATTGGCCCCAGTTTCCTCATTTATAAAATAAAAATGATAATAATTCTGTGGTAAGTTTATATGAGAAAACAGAAGTAATGACGCCATCATGGGAATGGGGAGTGGTACTGGAGAGTCACTTTCTGTCCTGGGTCCTCAGATTCATCAAGATTCTCAAATGTAATATTTTGATATTACCTCCAAATGATGTTAGACAATTAATTATAGTGATATTTTGACAGAATCAAGAGGTGACTTTCATTATATATTTTAAAACTTATATTCCATATGTCACTCCCTATAATGCTCTAGAAATATTTTTTATAAGTGGTATAATTGTATTGTGAACTATGCTTGTATATGACAATAAATTTGCTTATTTGAGGACATATTAATTTATTCAAGGAAAATGGTGAAAATATGCTGCCATTTTAATAACTTGATTTTGCCATTTTTAAATTACCATACAAGAAATTTCTGAGCCAGCATGTGAAAGACTCTGCATCATTATTGTCACTGACACCGTAACACTTACTTAGGAAGATAAATATTAATTTCTCTCTCCTCCAGTTATAACAGTAACATTTTACTTAGCTACTGTTATCAGAATACTGGAAATTTTATATTTTTTTCCAACTAGGCTGTTTGTCAAAGCCTTTAAGCACTAAAATTTAAAATTGTTTTTAAGGGAAATAATTGTAAAGTATATTAAATATTCCCTTCGCTTGGGTGTGGCAGCTGTAATCTCTTCTTGGGGACAAAGGATCATGCATATGCACATTAGCTTATGCACTGTGAAACTCAGGGACTGCACTCCTTACCTTTACACCAAATCATTCAGATTCATCTCCTTTTTGAATATTTAGGGCTGCTTTTTCCATGTGACTGGGTCTCAAGCCTGTCCCTTTTCCATGTTGTTATAACACGTGAGCTTCTAGCATGGCTTCTGGTATCTGTAGGCTGGGAAACTAGATAAAAAATGTTCTTAGTGAATAGGTTCTAAGTGGGGACTTGAGAGTCTTTTTTTTTTTTTTTTTTTTTTTTTTGAGATGGAGTCTTGCCCTGTCGCCCAGGCTGGAGTGCAGTGGCGCAATCTCGGCTCACTCCTGGGTTCACGCCATTCTCCTGTCTCAGCCTCCTGAGTAGCTGGGACTACAGGCGCCCGCCACCACGCCTGGCTAATTTTTTTGTATTTTTAATAGAGACGGGGTTTCACCGTGTTAGCCAGGATGGTCTCGATCTCCTGACCTTGAGATCTGCCCGCCTCCGTCTCCCAAAGTGCTGGGATTACAGGCGTGAGCCACCACGCCCAGCCGAGAGAGTCTTTTCCACTAGAGTCTGTATGTTAAAATATGCACGTGTTAATGTATAGACATGGTGGCATCTCTAACAAACGCTCAGAGGACTTCATTTATTTAAGTGTGGGTATTATTCTATGTTCTGAATAGATAGACTTTCCAGAAAGCTAACTTCTCTTTAAATTAGATATTGCTTAATTTGGAATGTGATCATTTCATAAATTACCAACTGCTTAAAGTCATTTTATCTCTAGAAAACTCATTTCATTGAATTACCAATTAGTAATATTTTGTTGTCATTACCAACACCTACAGTTAACTTTGAGATTTTATTATTGGGAGGACAAATAATATTGGGTCAGTATGATAGAAAGGTACTCTTTTAAGTCTCATTTTATTTTTATTTTTTGAGATAGGGTCTCGCTCTGTTGCCCAGGCTGGAGTGCCGTGGCACAGTCTCAGCTGACTGCAATCTCCACATCCTAGTTCAAGTAATTCTCCTGCCTCAGCCTCCTGAGTAGCTGAGATTATAGGCGTGTGCCACCACACCTGGCTAATTTTGGTATTTTTAGTGGAGACAGCCTTTCGCCATGTTGGCCAGGCTGGTCTTGAACTCCTGACCTCAAGTGATCTGCCTGCCTGGGCCTCCCAAGTACTGGGATTACAGGTGTGAGCCACCATGCCTGGCCTTAAGTCTTATTTTAACCTTAAGTTTAAACTGCTCTGTGATGTTAACAAGTAGGAAAATATATTTCTGTTTTTCTATCTTTGTATTTTCTTCTCAAGGAGGTGTTGGTAAGAATTGAGTATAAGTAACCTATAAACTGCATGGTGAATTTCTGTATAATTGGGTTTACTATAAACTTTAGTTCTACACAGTGCTTGATTCAACTCTTTTGTAGCAGTGTTCCTGAATTTTTCTTAACACATATCCATTCCATATGTTGTCCTTTTCATACCTAGCTTTCTTTCTCTTCTTGTCTATCTCCTGATCTTGGTTTGGAGCTAGTCTCTCTGTTTAATTTTTATAATTAAAGCCCAAGCAATTTTTTACACATTCAAGTAGTACTTAAGAGTTAAAACCTGTTTCTCTTTTGCCCATCCTTATTTACAGTGTGTATTTTACTTAAAGAAAACATTGAAATCTTTTTTTTTAACAGAACAAATTTTTTTTTGAAATTCTTAAGATGTAAATGGCTTCTAATTCATTAAATAGTATCAGGAAATTGAGCTAAATGTTTGAGTCAAAAGTTCAGCTTGATAGAATGTGGCAGAACAGTTGACTCAAAAAGACAGTTCGGCAGTTTTCCCAACTTAGCTGAAAATTTTAAAAGTCCTTTTTACCTCATGGAATCAGCCATTTTAATAATTTGTTGAACAGGCCAATAAAATTAGTTCTTAATGTAGTTTTAAAGAAATGATTTTATTTTTCATAATGGTATGTTGGTTCGGATACTCATTTGTCAAGCTGTGATTGTAGTTGCCTGATATTGAGAGCTTGTAATTATCACTCAGTGCTCCTCACTGATTCCCATTAAGCACCTCTCCCCTATGGAATAGATATACTTAGACACTAAGCTAGTGGGAAAGGAATTCTCCCTTACTGTGGTTGAAAGTTTTTGTAAGTATAAAGTAATATGAGTTCTAGCCCATTGTTTTATTTAGAGAGAGGAATACTCAGCAGCTGCTTTTATGTTACTTTTTTCTTGTTAATGGCCAAATCCTTACTCTCTAAGGAACATTTTTGTTTTTAGAGAAAGAGAAAAAAAATTCTAAATATTAGCTGTATCTTTGAATATTAGCCGTTTCAAATGTTATATTATGCATAAACAGCAATGCATGTGAAAGGGAATTAAGTGTAAATACCAACACCTGGATGCTTTTTATACTTGTAGTTCAACTAATTAACAAATTAAATGAAACCTAAATTTAGTATTTCTGATCTGGGAGTTGAATATCAATTTTTGCAATAGTGTATGATAAAATTGTATGTAAATATTTTTCATCGTTGGTTACTGAATTCATGTAATTCTGTCTGTTTGGAGTTGTACATTCTGGACCATGACATAAAAGCTAATAGACAAAATAGTGAAACACAACCAGTGGTTCTATAGCCAAGTAAGTTTCATCCTACCTCTAATTGATTCTGAGCGAGAAAGAGAGGCAGGGGCCAGAATAGGAGGGGAAATAGACTTAGTCTTATGTTAGGAGTTGAGCAGCTTGTACTACTAGAAACCTAAAACCCTACTGCCATGTTTATTCATGAATTTATTATTTAATATACCATTTGACGATATTTACATTCTTAATTTGGAAAGGAAAATGTTCTGCTTGAAGAGATAGTATATAGTAGATGAGTTGCACACTGTTTTATAAAGTTCATTCCAACATGCAGCCAAGGATGAGAACCACTGTTAGCAAAAGTGGTGAATTTCATTAGAGGATTCATCTTGAGTAGTGTTGAGAGATTTTAGTTAGGCTTTTTATACTGTTTTAAGGCTTTGGTGAGATTTCTAGCTTAGGAGCCTAATTACTATTTATACCAGTTCTTGTGAATACATGTGATTCTCATAAAAAAGAAATGTATTATAATTGCCTTTTAGGAAATGTCTTTCAAAATTGCCTATTAAAATGTTAATATTAACCTTTATGGATTGACTTAAAAATCACTGGAACTACTAGTTTATTTATAAGTCCATTTATGGCATTTATACATTTTTAGGATCTTTAAAAGGTAGTTTCTTATACAACTTATTTATTGTACAACATAGAGAAAGCAGCTTAGGAATTCCTAAAGTGGATTCTTAATTTGGAATATTAGAAATGACACCATATCTTCTAGGCACTCAGAGTGATCGGTTAATGTCATACTGTTTAAAATGCTATCAGATAGTTTTTCTTCTCATTTCTGTAAATTATGTTTCTGTGGGATTGGGAAACTATGGGTTAGGAAATCAAGAGGTCAGGGATAAATTCTTAATACTTCATAATGAGAATATCTAAATAGAAACACACAGTATTTCAGATCTTCAACTGTTGTATTTGCCAATAAATTACCTGAAAGACAAAGCATTTGAACATCCAGGAGCTGCCATATCATGACTGGGTGTCATGGCAACCACTGCCATTTCTTTTCTGTCCTAAGGTCAGATCAAAGCAAGCCGAGCCCTCCTGCTCTGAATCTATCGTGGACAGTTGTGTTAGAATATGGTGAACCAGTGACTCTGAAATAGTGATTATTTCTAGATGTGGTTTTGTGAAATATATTCCTGAATTATATATTGTATTACAAGAGTCATAACGGCTGTCACAGGGACAATTATCGATGTGTTAATATCTCACACTGATTAATCCTCAACAACTAATCAGAAAAATCACAGTCGCTCACTTTTTAAAAATATGTAGAATACAGTCATGTAAGTGAAGGTTTATGTTTTGTTATATTGGGAGAGAAAATTTTAGGTGAAACCAGATCTTTCTTTTTGATGACATTATTTTGGTAGGACCAGATGGATCATACTTCCTCAGGTCATCATCCAAACAAAAAAAGAAAGGTAGCACAGAGTGAATTTTGTAGTGCATCTGTTTTTATTAAGTAATTTTAATGCTGCAAAAGCAAAAATGGAGTGTATTGGAATATCAGAGTAATATTGATACAAGGACATGGAGATTTTAATCTAAATTTTAAAAGTAAATATAAATGAAATTCATATGTGTTGTAAAATGAAAATTTATTAAGTTTTCTTAAAATTCTGTGTTAATGTTCTGAGTCTGCATATGTATATATGCACTTTATATTTTTGTACTTGCTCAGCTTTTATGTTCAGCAGAACTTTCCAAACAACTTATCTATTATAGAATATCTATACTAACTAAAAGAAATAGGTTTACATTTACAAAAAAATAGGTTGTTGGGAAAGCTAAGGTATATCTATATGTCAGAATGTTAATGGCTTAAAGGCCTTTAGGTTTGACCTTGTTTAATCCTTTTATTTTACAGTAAGGGTGCTGAGGCCCAGGGTATTAAGTTTCTTGCCCAAATTTAGTTTCCTACTTAGTGACAGAGCCGAAGCTGGAACAATAAATCTTATAATTCCCTCTCAGAGTTATTTTTCATCATAGCATTCTGTTTAGAAGAAATAGGGCAACTCTGAATTTACAAATAAGCAAGTTGCTTGATTAGAAAAGTAACAAATAGTGCTCACTTTGGCAGCACATATACTAAAATTGGAATGATACAGAGATTAGCATGACCCCTGTGCAGAGATGGCACTCAAATTCATGAAGTGTTCCATATTTTAAAAAACAATACAAATTTTAAAAAGAGAGTAACAAATACCAAATATTGCCGACATACATTTTATATTTTAATGTTATTTTTTTGGTTTTGCAGCATTTCAGAAAAGAAAATTAAAGGTTTCTTTTTGCTTTTTAAGTAGTTTGGTGCAATAACTTTCTACCTGACTTTCTTGTTTTTCCTATCAGCTTATATTTATAATTCTAAGTATCACATTTGTGTGTTTTGTAGATGTGTGAAAACTGTTAATATTTAATGGCAAGCCATGTGATTGAATCATGTTTTAAATCTCCTCTAACACTATCCCAATTTGGATATTGCAAAAGGAGATGTTCCTTGTAATGCCTATTATTTTAATAATGTAGTCTAACTCATATAATACAGTATCTATGACAATATTTGCAATTACATTTTGATATCAGTGCAGTAACAGATGAAATTTATAAGCCAGTTGTAATTGACTTGTCAAACAGTAGGTCCCTGACTGATAAATAAAACCTTTAGATGAAATAACTTTTTTTCTTATAATATTTATACTCTTGTTAACCTTTGGAATTCTAAAAATGGATAGTGGATCAAATTGTTCTTGCCTATTATTTAGACTTTCTTGTGGTTTTTAGATTTACTGCGAATAATGAGTGTTTTCAGATACACCACACAATGGCAACTTGTCAGCTACTGTATTTATATGTGAGATAGACTAGTTTTAGAGATAGCCACATGATACCAACATATGAACTTCAGTCTATTAGGGGACAAATCATGGCTTTTTCAATTTCTCTTTCAGAACAAAGGAAGAATTATGCACGGGACAGTGTCAGCAGTGTGTCAGATATATCTCAATACCGTGTTGAAGTAAGATGCTTTGGTGTTTGCTAGTATTTAGAGTGACCCTTGAGGAACATAAAAATTGGAAGTTAAATCAGAATTCTGTTTTATTTCATTCTTATGATGTATTTTAAGTTGCATTGACCTTTTTGTTTAGATTTTTTAAAACAGATATTACATATAAAGTATCTTGTTAGTCTGTGGTCTATTTTCATAAAGAATGATTTAAAATCATAACTACTATCCATTTATCCTTGCCAGTCTTATTTCACTTATAATAGAATAATGGCTTTTACTTTGTACTATAGAATCTTCTTGAAATTAAGCCTTTGCTAGTTTCAGTGAGCAATTTAGTTTTTAGTTTAACTAAAGTTATTGCCAGTTCTAGTTAAATAATGGTTCTTTTTTAGTTTTTGCCCTCTTTTACGATATTTGCTCTTGATTGGAATTTATCTGGTTGACCTGTGCTTATAATAGAAAATATTTAAGCAGGGAAGTAATTTTTAAATTGCTCTTATTTTCAGTTTTCTACCTATGTCAAGCATGCTTAATCAAATTTAAACAGTTTTGTTTCAGTAAGTGGTTTTAGTGGATTGAATAGTTTGACAGTTCCTATAGACTAGAATTGTGCTGTTGCTACAATCAGTGTCCATAGTTTTGAAGCTCCCATACAGATAGCCTGCTGTTTAAATGCTGCTATGTTCAGCATTTAAATAACCATAATAGAGTGTCAAATAGGGGAAAGTTTATTTTAAGAGAATATTATTTAAGCTGTTAAGAATTTGTTTTAATGTCATGTTTATGTAGTTCAACATGGCTCCGTATGAAACAGATTTAGGTATCTTATGAGTCAAAACACCATTTCTTCTATTCAAAAAAAACCTTGGTTGGCTTTATTCTCTCATTAAAATAGTCATGAAGTTTTAAGAGTACTTTGTGTTTGTCGTTCTCTGCTAGCTGACCTCAGGTTATTTGATTTTCTTTTGGAAAATGTATACTAAGAGGTTGTATGTGTTTGTATGTGTTATAAATCTTTTTCCTTTTTGCCAATTGTAAGCACTTGACTACCTTTGTCCTGGATCGGAAAGATGCTATGATCACTGTTGATGATGGAATAAGGAAATTGAAATTGCTTGATGCCAAGGGCAAAGTGTGGACTCAAGATATGATTCTTCAAGTGGATGACAGAGCTGTGAGCCTGATTGATTTAGAATCAAAGGCAAGTGTGTAAAATTTATACTATTTTATTTTCAAGAAACTCCACAAATATTAATGTTTACAATCATTTCAGATTGTTTGAAAATGGATGGAAGTTTGACAAAATAAAATGTTCACTTTATTTATAGAATGAACTGGAGAATTTTCCTTTAAACACAATCCAGCACTGCCAAGCTGTGATGCATTCATGCAGCTATGATTCAGTTCTTGCACTGGTGTGCAAAGAGCCAACCCAGAACAAGCCAGATCTTCATCTCTTCCAGTGTGATGAGGTTAAGGTAAAAGAATGGTGAAATTTTTGTTTCTTCTTTAAGCAGATTGTCTGGGAGCTTTTGAATTACCTATTTTGATAATATATCTGCATATTAGTTACTAGATTTTTAGTTTCTGAGCATCTCGTAAGGAAAACAAATACCTTAGTATCTTCTCTAGGATTTCCATGGCAAGTAAATAAAGAAATTAGGGTGATGTTAATCAAATCAGTAGTTCACACTTGTAATCCCAGTGCTTTGGGAGGCCAAGGCTGTAAGATGGCTTGAGGCCAGGGGTTTGGGCCCAGCCTGGACAACATGGCAAGACCCAGTCTCTACTAAAAAGGTTTTAAAAATTAGCTAGATGTGGTTGTACACGCTTGTAGTCTCAGCTACTCAGTTGGCTAAGGGAGGAAGATCTCTTGAGCCAGGAGTTGGAGATTACAGTGAGCTATAATCACCCCTCTGCACTCCAGCCTGGGCAACAGATTGAGATTGTGTCTCTTAAAAATAAGATGCATTCTGTTTATTTTTTTAAAGTGTAGATAATATATTAAATTCACATCAAATGCCTTAAACTTATAATTAAAAATTGATTGTTCAGAAATCTTGCTTTGTGGACAGTAAATAATCATGTAATTTGAATTTATTCTGCACTAATGACATAGCATGGATTACTGCAATGAAGTACTTAGACATTTCCCACGATATTGATTTAAAGTTCACCATTTAATTATGTGACTTGATTCATTGCTCAGGATTTGTAATTCCCAGATGATATGTGAAAATAGTTGAGCCAGTAATAACAGGCTATATCCTGAAAGTTTCTATTTCAAAGTACAGTGTAATTTCAAATGATTATAATTTGTGATGCTTTATTGGACCTTAGAAGTTATCTTCAACCTTGAATGTGTTTATTTCCTCAGTTGTTTTCTTTAAAAGAGAAATCATTTTGTGTTAATTGGTACTTTGCCAAAGCAGTGATTTAACATTTTGATGATATATTATAAAATATCCATGTAATTTTATTTTATAAAGAAACTCTAGGAGATTAGCACAGTTACTTGATCTTTTCTGTGTTTTTTGACATTTAAAGATGATAGATAAAGTAAGATTGACTGTAAACTGTATTTTATAATTTTCTTCTAATTTCAATTTACGTCATGGATGACTTTCTAAAAACCTTCTTCTAAAAGAACTGGCATTTAGGTAATTTGTGTAAGTGATATTCATCAGATTTTTGTATAGTGCCTTTTGAAAGTCATAGTATATTATAATTTTTGTAAGGTTAGATATATTCAGTCAATAAATATTAAAGGGAATATTTTGCTTTAAAAATATAGTGAAATTTAATTCAAACATTTTTATAAACCAGAGGCCTAAGTTGAAAAACATTTCAAATTTGATGTTTGTATCTGTGTTCTAAAAAGCCCCCCCCGGGAGCTAAAAGTTACTATGCTGTGAAAAGTTTCTGGATTTTAGGTTTGGGAACAAATGGCTTGCTTTACTTGATATGGAATGGTAATGATAATGGATTCAAAATGTATTTACTGAATATAGTTTTGTCCTAACCCCAAAAGCTCACATACCACGAAGCACTGTATGCATTTACTCATTAGTTTCATACTCTGCATATGAGACATTTTTCGCTTGGCTGGTTAAAAATATAGAGGCAATGAAAAACGCAGTTTCTTTTATATGGCTCATTGTGCAATATTGCTTTTGATTTTTAAAGTTTCTTTATTATAGGACTTCATGCAATGCTCCTGCCCACCTTTGCAGTAAAATTTTTCTTAGAAATATAATAGCCCCAGTATAAGAAGTTGAAGATTCCTAGGCATCTTCAGTTTTCATTTTGGGTTTTTTTAAATAATTATTTTTAATTAAATATCTTTTCATCTTCAGTTTTAGTATCCTATGTAACAGAAAGCCTTTGACACGATATTTGTAATGTCTTATTGAAACTAAATGCTCTTAGGAAGTCACACTGGACTGGGATGCATTGGCCTCTCATTTAACTAGCAATGTGACCTTGGCCAGGCCCTTTTATACAAGTACTCCTCAGTTTTATTAATTAGAAGGAACTGATGAGATGCTCTTTTAAATATCCCATCATTTCTAAAGTTTTATGATTATCGATGCTTACTGTAAAAGAAATACAACATACATATTTGAGAAAACATTACAGAGAACAGGGAGGCCCAAACATAGATGGTGCATCTCATCAACATTCTAATATAGAGTAATGATCACTGGCTCTAAACAAACTTTGCAACCAAACAGAAACTTCGTATCTGCTAATCTCACGTTGCTCCCCAAGAAAAATCTAACTGAATGTTCTGGAAAAGTAGTGGAAAAGTTAATTGTTTGCAGAAAGTTAACTTTTACCTGAAGTGACAAAATAAAGTGGTTACCCAAAGGGGTAAAACCTAGCGTTGGAGTTTATCTTATGGGTGTAGTAGATTTGCCTTAAACTCAAAGATTTGTTTTGCTGGGTTAATGGGTGTCCAGTGGATCTTGAGGATGAGAAAGGGAAGGAACTCTGTTCTATGTGTGGGAGCCTCTAACCCCTTAATTTCTACCCAATTAGAGATTTTTACTCAGTTTCATTTTTAGCGTGTACATATCCTTTCTATCATTGCCTTTATTCAAGGATAGTTTCCCTTTAAGATAATCATTAAAAATTTCTTCAGTTTTTAAAATCTTATCATTATATAGTTCACCATTATAAAAACCACAAGAGTCATGTTTTGCAAGATTTTTATAAAAAGACTTTTTACATCAAGATACTTACTGATTCAGACAAGGAACAATCCCTTTTTCTGTTTTAAACTACATATCAAGACTCAGAAAAATCCATAAACTTTCAGGTAACTTGTGTCTCTTTGCAGGCAAACCTAATTAGTGAAGATATTGAAAGTGCAATCAGTGACAGTAAAGGAGGGAAACAGAAGAGGCGGCCCGACGCCCTGAGGTAAAAGCATTGAAAGAAATCAAGGAGTGGAATTGATTTGTTTCTAAGGCTTTTTTCCCCAAAGAGTTAGAAAAATTATTTTCTATGGAAGTATATTATTGTATTGTATAGATCATAACCTGTAGTCTCAACACATTTGTTCTCCCAAGTTTGTCAGTGTGTTTACTCCTCTTCTCTCCATATTTTTGGTCTTTCTCTGATATGGCTTCACTTGTGTTGGAAGTCACAGAGTCATGAAAGATGAGTGGCATTTTAAGAGAAGGTATCCTAGGGAAATACAAGCTAGACAGTAGGATTGTAATTGTTCCATGGCCCTTTCAAATCACATAAGACTCAGAAGGAAAATCAACCTAGTTTTCAGCTGACTATTAATTTTTTTATTTCATATGCATTCATAAATATGCATAATGTGTAATGCTTAGGAAATCCTTATTGTCCCTTGACATAGTTCTTTTTGAATTTTAATAACTAGTACCACAAGTTGAGTTAATTGATATGTTATAGAAATAGAGATGGTAAAAATTCTATTTGTTTTCATCTTTTTAAGGATGATTTCCAATGCAGACCCTAGTATACCGCCTCCACCCAGAGCTCCTGCCCCTGCGCCCCCTGGGACCGTCACCCAGGTGGATGTTAGAAGTCGAGTGGCAGCCTGGTCTGCATGGGCAGCCGACCAAGGGGACTGTGAGTCTTCCTAGAATTAATACTTATTGAACACTTACTTTGGGTTGGGACATAGTTCTTGCTTTCAAATTCTGATGCTGATTTCAGAACTGAAGCTTGAGGTTAGTTTTTAAAAAATCAACTCTGGCCGGGCGCAGTGGCTCATGCCTGTAATCCCAGTGCTTTGGGAGGCCGAGGCGGGCGGATCACCTGAGGTCAGGAGTTTGAGACCAGCATGACCAATATGATGAAACCCCGTCTCTATTAAAAATACAAAAATTAGGTGGGTGTGGTGGCATGCGCCTATAATCCTAGCTACTGGGATGGTTGAGACAGGAGAATCACTTGAACCGGGAGGCGGAGGTTGCAGTAAGCTGAGATCACGCCATTGCACCCCAGCCTGGACAACAAGACCAAAACTCCATTTCAAAAAAAAAAAAAATCAAATCTTAGATAAAATAAAGTTAAGCCTTGAATTTTGTTAAGATTATTATCTGTAAGAGTTTAGACCCACCATTTAATAAATATGGTATTAGGGTTAGAGTCTTTTTATTTTTTTAATGCTAAGAGGAAGTTTTACTTGATTGACAAAAAGATGGCAACAAAATATATACAGGTTTTTCTTAAAGATTGCACTTAACATTCTTTCCATTTTTTATTATCTAACTAGAGTCCCTTTTTGGACAAGTTTGTCATATTCATGGAAAGGTTGTCAGGACAGTGGTTGGCTGCTGGCAGTGGAGAAGGGTAAAAGGTATCCATCATATGACTGTTCTTGTCAAGTGGGCCCTATGAGCGTGGCATCATTTCACCTTGGCATTCTGTTTAAAAACAATTATAACATAGAACTTAGTGTTACTTTTTATATGTTAGAATATTTTACTAGAATCTGAAATGTTTATAACTAAAAAAATGCCTTAAAATATGTTTGGTCTAGTATCTTCATTTTAAGGACGAATAAATTGTGATTCAGCAGGCTCCAATCTGATGAACTCTAGAGCCTCATTCTTTTGCCGCTACTCCAGTGGAACTTCTTAACTTCTTATTCTTTATCCAGTAAAGTATTATTCACACAGGGTATCTGGCACTATAGTTAAACGATATAACTCATTTCCAAAAATGAGTCACCTCGGACTCTACTTTGGATGTGCAGAGTAAAAGTTGGACTCTGAAGCAAGACCTGATATGTCTACCTGTGTGGTCTTGGGAAGTTATCTCTCTGTACTTCGGTCTCATCTCTGAAATGGGGATAATAATTCATGGGTTGCTCTGAATCTGAAAGTAAATAATGTTTATGGTAGTACCTACTACAAAATAGTAAGCATAATTTGTGGTTTTCATTTTGCCAAATTGAGTTCATTTTCTTTCTGAATTGTTTTCTATTTTGTTTAGGTTTCTTGTATTCTTAAAGGTTTTTTCAGAGGTTGAAATGTAAGCCGAGCTACCAAAGATATGAAAAAAAGAATTCTTTGATGCATTTATTTAAAAAAAAATTAATTAACAGAGATATGTAGTTTAATTTTATAACAGTTTCCGTTTTCATAAGTTATGTAAATTTGTATTGATCTGCTTTGTATTTAAAATGTGTTTAAAAGACAGTAATTTATTGTATTCTATACTTTTTGTGTACTTATGGTGTTTTTGTTGTTACTGTTTCGATGAAGAGGGTCTGAAGTAGAGGAAGGATAAGACAAGTTTACAGACATTCTGAACAAACCTGTAAAAATATATGTTGAACCTAATATATATAATATATATTATGTATATTATATGTTGAACCATATATATATGTGTGTGTGTATATATATATATATATATATATATATATTATTTTTTTTTTTTTTTTTTTTTTTTTTGAGATGGAGTGTTGCTCTGTCACCCAGGCTGGAGTGCAGTGGTGCGATCTCAGCTTACTGCAACCTTTGTCTCCTGGTTCAAGCGATTCTCCTGCCTCAGCCTCCCAAGTAGCTGGGATTACAGGCGTGTGCCACCATACCTGGCTAATTTTGTATTTTTAGTAGAGATGGAGTTTCACTGTGTTAGCCAGGATTGTCTTGATCTCCTGACCTCGTGATCCTCCCGCCTCAGCCTCTGAAAGTGCTGGAATTACAGGCGTGAGCCACCATGCCCTGCTGAACCTAATATAATTTATAACAAAGACAGAATTTATCCCTAGGGGTTTCTGAGCTTTCATTAAATTTTATCTGAAATATTTTCTGCAATGTCATCTGTTTAAGTGAGATAAGGCTTTCAGAACTTCTAATTTACCACTAGCCTAAACAGAAGACTTATTATATCAGGTTTGGCCTGGGTCCAGTCCAGTTTTTAGTTGGAAAGCCCCTCAGGAGGAATATCTTTTTGGTTCCTCTGGATGCTCCAGCTGACTCAGGCTGAACTGCTTCTCCGTTGAATCCCTGAGGCATATCTACCCCTGACTTCCAAAGGTGATCTCTGTGGAATAGCGCCAGTGGCACTAGGGTTCCTAGTCGTGTTTCAGACCTGACAGAGCCCAAGAAATACCATATCTCCCCCTCACTGTGCCCTCCAAATGATATTTTTTGGGGCCTCTGTAGAGTTCCTAATAGCTATTTCAACCTCAACTTAGTACTTTCTGTGGTAGTCCACTACAACCAAGGTAGCAGCTATCTATGTGTAAAATAGTAGCTAACTGGCAAGATTTCATAGATAGAAATTTTAATTATCTTAAAGTAGTTAACAGCCGCTAATTAAGTTTCATAAGACACGATGATTTCTTCTTTCTTTTTTTTTTTTTTTTTGTTGGCAAGTGTTCCAGTTACAGGTAAAGTTAGTGTAAAGGAAGAATAGCAATACAAAGTGTCCAATTTTTTTTTGCAGTTCTCTCTATTGAACATCATGAGTCACGATGATGTATCATGAGTTGTATTTCCATTTGTGGTGTTACGTTTCTGTTGTTCCATCCATATATTTTGAAATTTATTCTACCATGAGATATCTGTAACAACTCTCTGTGTTTAGAGGCAGTATTAACTGACTCATACCAGGAAGGAGTTCATGATAATAACTTCATGATTAACATCATGCTGTAGCCAACTGAGCAACCTTAATACCCTGAATGGTCTTAAGACATTTATTTTTTAATGTGAAAATTTCTGTCTGCTTTTAAAGCATGTAGCTTAAAATTAATGAGCCCAACATTGTGGGTTTTAAGCTTAATTACACTAGAATTTTAAGAAGCACTCTGCTGTCAGAACTCCGAAAGCTTTATTGTAGTCACAGTGTTGGAATGTATAAAAATTATAGCTCTGTTGCATTAGAACTTAGTTGACCAGCTTTTGAGAAGTAAAAGCTTGACTGCTGGTTTATATTTCTGGCTTGTGTAGGAATTAAAGGGTGCTAAGTTAAGGTTGGTTCTACAGGTAGCTGACTCAGGGAAGAGAGAGAATGGGGTGATATTACAAGGTAAATTAACATCATAAAGTTGAGAGGACTAATACTTAAGCTCTGCTCAACTGCTCCTGTTAGTATTGACAAGGATGCATTTCATGGCTGATGAGCACAGTTTTGACTTGTGTATCCAGTGGAGGTGTTCCCTTTGGCAAATGGTCCTCCTTTTTAACTAATTTTTATGTTTTAATTGTCTGTATTGGTATTGTGGGAGTAAAAGATTGAAAGACTTATGATTGTCCTTTCTATAGTTGAGAAACCAAGGCAGTATCATGAGCAGGAAGAAACACCTGAGATGATGGCAGCCCGCATTGACAGAGATGTGGTAAGTACAGGAGTCGCCTTTAGATCACTGGCTTTTCTTTTAAGAGGAAAAAGAAAACTTCATAAGAAAATGAAGCTGATTTAAATAGAGATATTTTATGGAAACCATGTTTTCTGTTACCTGTGATGGCTATGCCCTTTGAATTTGCCCTTTGAATTATTTTCTCGTTAAACATTTTTGCCTTTATGCCAATATTTAGTTAGTAGACTTGGGCTATGATAGAAGAATCAGCTTATTAACTAGTTTACATTGGAACTTAGGCTGAATTATTAGATTTCAGGAATGGTACAATTTTTATTTTATTATCGTTTGTAATTCATAATTGAAATATCTTTTTAATATGTCTTCTTGGCATTTATTAACAATGTATTTTAGAATACCTAAGAGATAAAAGTTAAGTGGCATTTTTAAAGGATAGATTTGTAAATCGTAAAGCTTTTATAAAAGATAATGCTACATTTGTTTTCTTTATAGTGATTTACAGAATGAGAATGCTGTAAATGCTTTATTATAGCATTTTCATTCTTTAAATGAGATCTAGAATATGATGTTAATACATTACTTTTTATACCATATACATGTTACCAGCTTATTGAGAAACAAATACTGAAAGGAATTTGAAATTTCTAATTCAATTTTTACAGCACACTATTACATGTTATACTTAAAAGTTTAACCCCAATTTGTAGTCTTAAATTAGAAGAATGTCAAGTTTCACACATACTGGAGAAAGGCAACTAAGACTATAGTATATAAGATAATCAAATTCATTCCAGTGATCTCTGAAAGCATGGTGCATTATTCTATTTTGTCATGTGGAAACTCTTATTAATGCTTAGTATCCTAGACTAGCTATTAGGTTATCACAACAATCTGTATACCTTTAATTCCATGAAGTAATATTGTCAGTGCTTTATTGGGACATTTATCAGTAAAGCAAAAATGTCAGTGCTCTTCTAACAAAACCTATTTTAGAATTTTCCTCCTAACTGTGTGGGAGAACACTGAGAAAATTAGAGTAATTGAAAATAATAATCTGAGCAGATATTGTGAATGCTTCCTTGATGACATTGAAAATAGAGCAAAAGTAAGCTAAAGAAAAATGTAAATGTCAGAATATGGCTATAGGTATATTTAGTTTGATTCTTGTAATTAGTAATAAACTTGAAATTGGCATGTGGGCTGCTTCCTTTTCTAAAAAAACCTTTCTATTATTTACTAACAGAGTACAGCTAAGGTAAAAATAGTTTTGTTTTATATTTTATTCTATAATTTCTAATTTCAGCAAATCTTAAACCACATTTTGGATGACATTGAATTTTTTATCACAAAACTCCAAAAAGCAGCAGAAGCATTTTCTGAGCTTTCTAAAAGGAAGAAAAACAAGAAAGGTAAAAGGAAAGGACCAGGAGGTAAGTTGGATTTTCTTAATCTTCTAATGCCTGGTTAGATCTCCAGTACTGGCTGGGCGCAGTGGCTCACACCTGTAATCCCAGCACTTTGGGAGGCCGAGGCGGGTGTATCATCTAAGGTCAGGAGTTCGAGACTAGCCTGACCAATGTGATGAAACCCCGTCTCTACTAAAAATACAAAAATTAGCCGGGCATGGTGGCATGTGCCTGTAATCCCAGCTACTTGGGAGGCTGAGACAGGAGAATTGCTTGAACCTAGCAGGCGGAGGTTGCAGTGAGCTAAGATCACACCATTGCACTCCAGCCTGGAAACTCCATGTCAAAAAAAAAAAAAAAGAACTCTGGTACTAGGCAGAGTTTTGACCCTCAAGAACTACTTAGCAAAACTTCATTGACTGTGGACTAGGGTTCCTCTTCTAGTTTTGGGGTAGCACTTGAGATTTAGGCAAAGAGTAAGATGAACTCAGGGAAGAGTCCATTTTGGTTATAAGTCAGCTATAGTGAAGAAAGATCCTGGAATGTTTTACCTAAATCACAGAGACTGAGATTCAGGCAGTGACCATCTATCTGTAGTTTTCATTAGTTATTGTAAAATTAAGTATCTGTTAAAGAAAGACATAGCTCTATTCTTGTAGTTGGATTTATTCTGTTGTAAACTAGAACCATATTATTTGTTAAATAAAAGGGTTGACTTACTAAAATATTTAAAAGTTTCAACAGATTTGAATTTTTTATCACAAAACTTTAAACGGTACATTCAGGTCACATACAAAGTCACATACAGACAATTTTGAAGTATGCTGCAGTTCAGCTATTTAAAATGGCCTCAGCTATATAAAATTAAAATTATGGAAGTAATGTTTATACTTCCTCTGACAAAATGGTAGAGATTGAAAGATATAAAATAGTAAATAAATATCCCTTTCATTACAGATAACTTCCAAATCTTTCTGTAGCACATATTTGTATAATGAGCATATGACCTTTGGCTTTATCTTCTGCATGTGAATACATGGATGTGCTTCCTCTCCACATATTCTGAAATTAAGTACTATTGCTTCCTGGTATCTTAAACCACTTATTCCTTTTGAAATTCTCTATGAAAGGTATACTATCCTCTTGATCACCCAGATTCAAAACCACAGATTCTTCTGTGACTTCATTCTCTTGCTTATAGCCAACATCAATTTTATTTTCTCAACATCTCCTGTATCCAGTTTTTTCCCTTTTCATTTTCATATCTAGTTCAAGCTACTATCATTTTTTTTAACCCTGCTTTCGAAGCAGTCTTTAAGCCTCTACTTTTTCATGCTGTGAGAACAATCTTCTTAAAGCTCTCAGTCACTTCATTCTTCTGCTGTAAAGCACGCTAGTTCCATGTTCTATTGATTTAAGTACAACTGTTCGCCCTGGAAATCAAGGTTATCCACAATCTAACCTTGATCTACCCTTCCATTCTCATGTTTCTCTCCTTTTGTTTGTTGTTTCGTATACATGCAATTCCCCCTTTCCTTGTTTTTGCTTATGCTGTTTTTATCCAACCATGATGTTTTTCCCACCACATCACCCTGGACCAAACTTTTTCAAATCCCATCTTATAAGCTACTTTCTCCATCTAATACCTTTTAAGTATCCATTTCCTTATCTCCCAACCAGGTAAGTCTCTTCTCATAACGATTGGTACTTCTCTTGTTATTTATCTGATTCATGTATTTTATTAGCTTTTAAGGCCCTTAGAGCAGGGCTTGTCAGTTACTCACTTGCACAATGTCTGCCATAGAGAAAGGCTACAATGTATGTTTATGGAATTAAATGAGTAATTTGTAGTGCCTAAGGATAGAGCAATCCATTTTGAAATTTGTATCTTCTCAGTTTGTTACAGTCAGACTATGAGATGTAGCACGGTAACTAGGTAGCATGTCTGATGAGATCTTCAAACTTTACAGACATAAATGTGGTTTTTGTTTTTCCATTTAATAAATTTCCTTGGATTTTGCTCTGATCCTCTCCTCTCGCTTATTTCATTAGAGGGTGTTTTAACGCTGCGGGCAAAACCTCCACCTCCTGATGAATTTCTTGACTGTTTCCAAAAGTTTAAACACGGATTTAACCTTCTGGTAAGTGAAATTTATGTATATAGAATTAGAAGAAATAAATGGAAAAGGTGAAAATCTAGTCAGGATGTTTCTGATTAAATTAAGAAATAAAATTGTTTTTATAGATTTTGTGGGGGTGTGTATGTTTTGATTTGCCTTCAGTTAAAACAGCAAATTTTAAAACATATATATCTAAGAGACTTGATTGAAAAACAATGACTTCTATTCTCACTCTATCCATGCTAAAGAATATATTAAAACTGAATCTGGTGGTAAAGACCGTCCCCTCTGTGTCTATGTTGGACCTTTCTGAGTGTCTGTCTTGCTTGATAGTAATCTGTTTTCTGTTTTCTTCATGTTGCAGGCCAAACTGAAGTCTCATATTCAGAATCCTAGTGCTGCAGATTTGGTTCACTTTTTGTTTACTCCATTAAATATGGTGAGATTTTATTAGTTTAAGAAAGAATCGTTCTTAGTATATTTTTTAACCCCAAGTGTCTGTCTGGATTATCTAGACTGCTTTTCTTCATTACCTTGCGTGGGTACTATTTCTTTGCCATTTGTGTAAACATCAAGAATGTAAAATTTGAGAATTTAAAAGAACCCTGTAAATCATCTAGTTTAAGCACCTTATTTTATAGTTGAGGAAACTGGTATCTCTGACAGTGCTAGGGATATGAAAAGAAATAAAGATTTATTGGATACCAGTATTTCAACGTATACTAGTATATAATATCCAGTGCCTTGAATAACGTAGATGTTTTTCTCATTCTCACAAAATAATCATGAGAAGTCTAGTTCTTGATGGATGGTTTGCTCCATGAAGTCATTCAGAGACCCATGTTCTTTTTATCGAGGTGTTCCTTCATCTCTTGAACTGTCTCTGACTTGTTTATTCATTTATGCACTGGTTCTACAAATACAAATTGAGAGCCTTCTATGTGCTTGGCTTTATAGTAGCCCATCAGGAACAAAACAGACAAAAATTCTTACCTTCTTAGAACTTATATTGTAACATAGTGGGGTAGCCAATAACCTAAATAAATGTCTGCATAATACAGTAGTCTAAAAATCACGTGCTATGCAGAAAAATAGAGGAGTGAAGGAAAACTGGGAGTTCCCCAGGGGGATGCACGCATGTGTCTATGTGTGTGGGAAACGGAGTGTTGCACTTTTTGAGTAGGGTTGGTTAAAGGAAGCCTCACTGAGAAGATGTCATTGGAGTAAAGGAAGTAAGGAATGGGTCATGTGGATCCCTGAAAGAAGAGAATTCCAGACGAAGAATAGTTAACGTATAAATGTTCTGAGGTGATAACATGCAAAGCATGTTCTTGGAATAAGTAGAGCTGTGACTTCAACAGAATGAAGAAAAGATTAGAAAGAGATGATATCAGCAGGGTAACAGGAAGACACATCCTGTTGGTCTTTATAAGGGATTGGGAGACCTTTGACAACTGAAGAGTTTTCAGCAGAAAAGGATTGCCCTGGCTATAATGTTTAGAAATTTTGGGGAAGAAAAAGCTAGGGTCATTATTAAAATAATCCAGATGGGGGATTATGGTGCTTGGACCTGGTAGCATTGGAGGTGATGAGAAGTCTGATTTGGTTATAAATTTGCTGCTAGATTGGATATACTGTGCAAGAGCCAAGGATAGCTCCCAGATTTTTGGCCTAAGACTAACAGGATGGAGTGATGATTAACTAAGATGGGGAAGACTGGGTAGAGCAGGTTTTTGGAGGTTGGTGAAAAATTCAGTTTTAAACATATCAAAATTGAGTTGTATCCAGATGGGGAAATTTGAATTGATCGTTGAGTATATGAATTTGGAGTTCAATGGAGAAATCAGGCCAAGGACTGCTTGAGCCCTGGGCATTCGATGTTAGGAGAATGGGAAGAACCAGCAAGTAAGATTGACAAGAGGCAGTAAGGGAGGATAAATCTCATCCTTCTTTCCCCAGGGATAAGTAGACAAGACCTGAATTAGAATATGAAATGAGTATTGCTTTACAAACATAGGAAAGTAAGTAACATTATCAACATGAATGTCAGAAGCTAAGCAATAAGGGACTAGAAGATGAAAGTCCAAGAGTACATCAATAACTTATGAATGCTCCTATATGTTGTTGCTGTATATGGAGC
Source organism: Homo sapiens (assembly GCF_000001405.40). Lineage (NCBI taxonomy): Eukaryota > Metazoa > Chordata > Mammalia > Primates > Hominidae > Homo > Homo sapiens. The sequence goes on along the minus strand of NC_000012.12, from coordinate 15,656,377 downwards.
ATCAGATTTCTACTTGCCTAATTATTTCTGAATAATTCTTGCTCTATAAATGCTTTTAAAAAATTAGGTGGAGATCAAGGACATACATATGCAAAGAAACTGATACTAGTTCATTAACAAAATTTGTATTCCTTAGTTTTTAACATTTTTGATGCTATCTTAGAGTATTTGGAAGTATTATTTATAAAGAAGTTTTTGCTGCCTCCTCTTATTTATTTCACACACTTTCAGAGATCATATGTAGATATCTAGTCATTACACAGAATAGAGCTGTAACATAACAAGGCTGGTTTCCCTGACATATACAAATTGGTCTTTGTGATCAGGTTATGTACCTGAAAACATTGGTTTACTTGCCAATGTTTAGTATCTCTGCTTTTCTCAAAAATTACACCTTATTAATGGTCTCTCCAATCATAATATTTTGCTGGTCCATTTAATGTTCTCCCTACAGGGCCCCGGACATTTTACTTGGACGAGGGAGATGGGGAGGAACATCTATTCAGGGCCTGCTACTGGCCAGCATGATGTAGTGGCTTTACACCTGCGAGTTGCTCTCCTCTTCCCTCAGCATGGACATGTACACACGAGCGTAGCCACAGCACATGTGCCTGCGCACGTTCTTGAGAGGGAACCATGGCTCTTAACCTTTCATTTATACTTTCTTTCATTTTATTTCCTCTTCCTTCTGTTAAATCAGGTATTTTTATATTCCTCTACTCATTTTCTTTAGTTTTACTTTTCCCTCTTATTGCTACATATTTATTGGAAATGCGTTCGAGGTTGGAAGTTAAAAATTACTGTGCTAGATAGGCAGGGTAGGTTTTGTTCTCAAATAAGAGTTAGCTTTCCTCCGTTATCTGCCATCTTTTTTCATTCATTCCAGTACCACTGTATCATCTGCAGTTGAAAGTCAGATAAGTCTTAGTCCAACTCCTCAAGGAGGGGAAACTGAAAAGCCATAAATTACAGTGTAATAGTGTAATGTGTTACGAATATGCATAAATTACAGTGTAATAGTGTAGGGTGTTACTAATATGCATAAATTACAGTGTAATAGTGTAATGTGTTACTAATATGCATAAATTGTTTAGAGGACGCAGGCTGGGGAGTGGTACATCGGAGTTACACTGTGGGGTTAACACAGGCTTTCACAAGAGTTGGGACCTGAGTAGAGTTCTGAATAATGGGGGAATGGCCTTCTGGGGAACTGGGAACAGCATGTACAAATACACAGAGGCCTAGAACAGTATAGCATGCTGAGAACACCTGGATGATTGGAGCCATTCAAAAAATCTCCTATCTTCTTGTGCCGCATCTCTGAGAAGGTAAGATTTTATAAAGAGACTCTGGTTTCTGCTCTAGGAGATAACTACCATTTTTTTTTTAGCCAGAAAATAGCTCATAAGAAGTAAATTTAGAGCAGTTTTTGAACATCTACTTATCCTCATTTTGCTTATCAGAGAATTGCACCTGTTTGTTTCTGCTGTCATTAAATTATCCATATTAAATCAGAGGAATTTTCTAAAAATAATTCTGGGGAAAAGTACCATAGATTCAGAGTACCAGTTCTCATTCCTGTTTTGCCTTCCTTCCTGGATCCTTTTATTTTTTGTATGTGTGTATAGGCACAGCCATAGACTGTTAACTCTCGATAGTATTGTTTCTCTTGATAGTACTCATTTCGGGAACCGCATTTTTCAAGTTTGGCATAATAGATTTGCCAGTAGAGAAACACATATTTAAAACAACAACAACAAAACAGGGGTAGTAAAATCACCTGATCTAGAATTCTCTGCATAGCCTTTGGTATCTTCCAGAGAAACTATAGTCATATGCAGCCCATAGGCAGATGCTGTGAAAGTTGTTAAATTGTTAACTTTCATTTAGGTTTTAAAGCACTGCTGGGCTGGGCAAGTTGATTTGACAAGCTTTTCTTCATTCAGTAGCACATTGCACAGCATCAAAAGTTAATATGACTATTAAAAAGTAGTGCTTGTTTTTGCCATGGGTTTTTGTCCACACATTTTGAAAATACACAAAGAATAGTAATCTTCTTGCTAAAAAATGGTTTATTATCTTAGGTGGTGCAGGCAACAGGAGGTCCTGAACTAGCCAGTTCAGTACTTAGTCCCCTATTGAATAAGGACACAATTGATTTCTTAAATTATACTGTCAATGGTGATGAACGGCAGCTGTGGATGTCATTGGGAGGAACTTGGATGAAAGCCAGGTAAGCATTTACCACCTATAATGCCTTAAGTACCATTCTTTGTTAATTACATGGATCTAATGAGACATTTATTTAACCTTCTACATACGAAGGACTAAGCGTCATAGGATGAAAAAACCTAAACCCTTAAAGGCTAGAAGTCTAGTGGAAGAGATAGAAGTGTATGTAATATAAGGCATGATATACCTTAGGAGTGAGTCATAAACAAAATGCTGTTGGTTGGCAAGGGGGACCAGTCAGGAAGAGGATTTAGACAGGAGGGTAGTTAGCTTTCAAAGAAGAGCTGTCATTTAAAATCGACAGGTACACATAGGGTTCACACACACATACACATGCGCGCGCGCGCGCACAGTGCTTGCTAGTCCATGCACTTTACAGAACTACTCTTATTATCCCTATTTTGCAGATGAGGAAAGTAAGGCACAGAGAGGATAAGTAATTTGCCCAAGGCCACACAACTTGTAAGTGACAGAGCAGGGATGTGAACTCGTGCCATGTAGCTCTGGAGTCAGTGTTCATCATTGGTTTGCTAAACTGCCTTTTAGCAGGTTGGGTAGGATTTCCACAGTTCCATAGTAGGGCAAGGGCCTGTCCAGGTAGAGAGAGAAGCAGAAGTGAAGGCATAAGGTAGTCAAGAGAAGAAAGGATGAAGATGTGTTTCTCTGGAATATGGACTTCGGGTAGCAGATCATTGTGGAAGGGCGGGAGGCGGATGGTATTAAAATGAGCATATAGAGATGAGCATATAGAGATGAGGGCTGGATTATGCAGGCTTTCAGTGCCATGCTAAAGAGTTAGAGTGTGGTTCTGTAGGCTGTGGAGAACCAATAACTTTGTGAATAGAGGTGTGACATAATTACATCTATGTTTTAGAAAGGTCAGTCTGGTAGTTGAGGCTAGAAAGGACAAGGACAAAAGTAACTGGAGGCAGAGGCCTTTTGAGATGCTAATATCGTAGGAGAGGCTCCTTATAAATCAATTTTCTTCAGGACTAGAGAGTCACAGTGGAACTGAAAAGGAAGAGTGGGTAATTTTAAGAAATGTGCATTTGTCAATAAAGTGATTATGGAAGACAGATTATTAACAATTGTAGTACTAATGCTTGCTGAGCAAGGCAAGGTAAGAAAATATTTCTAATTTCATGATTGTAAATAAATCATTTTTGCTTTGCTTATTTATCTAAATCTTTTTCTTTATTTCACCACTTAGAATAAATCACTTAGTATGGCCACTTAGACATTTGTCTTCCTAATGCTTTTGAATGGGCTAGCTTAAGAGTCATGGGCCAATTCATAATTTTTTTTCTCCATTTTTCTCCTATTGAAACATATACAAACTTTTCCACTTATTTTCTGGACTTTGACAGTGGCTTGTGTTGGAATATAGTTAAGCAGAAAATTCTTTGAAAGCATTGCAGTTGTTGCTTTTAAATTGAAAATATTTACATTTATTTATATTATTTATGTACTAGTATAGCATAGTGTATGCTGTATAATAGTGTTCTTGTTATACTGTATAAAAACTGGTTAAATAGATCTTTTTATTTTTATAATTTTAATTGATACATTATTAATAGTTGTACATATTTTCAGGGTACATATGATAGTTTGATACATTCGTATAATGTACAAAGGTGAAATCAGGGTAATTAGGATATCCATCACCTTAAATATCTTAAATATTTATGCTAGGAACATTTGAATTTTTCTCTTCTAGCTATTTTGAAATGTACAATAGATTAGTGTTAACTATAGTCACTTTACTGATCTATCTAACACTGGGTCTTAGTTCTTCTAGTCAATGTACGTTTGTATCCATTAATCAACTTCTCTCCATCCCCCTGCAACCCTGCCTCATCCTTGTCAGCCACTAGTAAACACCAGTCTACTCTCTACCTTCATGAAATCCAGTTTTTTAGCTTCCACATATGAGTGAGCTTATTTCGCTTAATGGAATAACCTCCAGTTCCATCCATGTTGCTGCAAATGACAAGATTTCTTTCATTTTTATGGCTGAATAATATTCCATTGTAGATCACTTAAATCTATTAGATTTATATAGGTTATGATTTTATGATAAGCCTCGGTGGCATCCTTTAATTTCATGAAGTTTATTAAATTGATCAGGTCTCACATTACAAATATAGCTCAGGCTCTTTAATTTCTTTGTTTAGGGTTCTATCTTAAAATAAGAAAATTAATTAACATTCAAAAAACTACATCAAAACGAAATATATTGTTAGCTGTTAACACACGGAAAGGGTCATTTTAGATCCTGATTGTTAAGAGTATTAGGAAATGAATGTACTGACTGATTTAAAAACTCATAAAGGTAAAAAGAACCATGAAAGTCTATAACAATCTGAATAAAATGGCTGATTTCATCATAGTAGAACTATAACATGAAGAATTAAATATGAAAGATGAAGCAACATATTCTAGCAAAAATGAAGCCCTCGTTTTTGTCCTAGTTATTTTTGTGGTTCATGAATGATTAGGATCTTACAGAAATAAGTTTCACTCAGTGTCATTAAATGATGAACCCATATGATTGTGATTACAGATTAGTTTACTGATTAAAACAGAGCTGATACATTTAATTTATAAAACTGGCCATCTGTTTCAGTTTAGGGGACTTCATAAATTTAAAAATCGTAATCTTAACTTGCTGGGCTGTTTCTCTTTTGAAAGATATATCTAATACCAGGAGGTTTCAATAATGATGGGAGGGGAGTGAAGGGAAAGTTGAGAATCTGAAACTACTTTAAATGTTAGAGAAGTTTGTGCTCTAAATACTTATCACACTCCTAGCTCCATAATCCCTTCTTACACAAATTTTTAAAAACCTATATCCATGTTACAAAGTTGAGTTTAATGGAGAAATGAGGCAATGTTGGGAAAACAGATCATGCAACAGAATTCAATCTTTCTTTCATTTTATTAAGGTGTGAAATACTGGCATAAACATGTTTGCTTTTTCTTTTTGGGTGGATGGAAGACAGATTAGGTCTATGTGCTGTTTTTGTTGTTTGTTATTTATGTGTGTGTGCGTGTGTATGTCTAGCCTTACTGAAGATAACTGTGAGCATGGATACATTCCTAGATTTTATTGTTTATATGCCTTCATTCCCTCCTGCAGAGCAGAGTGGCCAAAAGAACAGTTTATTCCACCATATGTTCCACGATTCCGCAATGGCTGGGAGCCCCCAATGCTGAACTTTATGGGAGCCACAATGGAACAAGATCTTTATCAACTGGCAGAATCTGTGGCAAATGTAGCAGAACATCAGCGCAAACAGGAAATAAAAAGATTATCCACAGAGGTAGTTTTTTTTTTAACATTGCCCTCTGTAGACAGTGTAATTATCTGTGTATTCTCTTGTAATTCTGATTGCAAGTTCTCATTTTATTCAACTGAAAATTGTTCTAGAATCAAAGTCTGAATGTTACCCTGTCCTGAATTACCTCTCTCTCTTGCCTCTGTCATTTTTTGTGACAGTTGCTCTGTTCCTCCGTGAAGCCCAACCCCAACCCAAATTGCTCTCCTATAGCCTGTCAGCCCCCACCCCTCCCCTTGTTGCCACTGTTTTCCTGGCTCTGGCGATCCTAAGTCAGCTTTTTTAGGATGACTTTCTCTCCTTGTCAGGGAATTGCACTACTGCCCTTTGGCTTATTTCTTTATGTTTTCCTCTCCCATTATCAGGCCCTCAAGACAGTTCCCTGAACCTAGATCCTCTAACCTGTCTTAAGCAGCTGTTTCCTGAATTCCCCCAGTTAATTAATTTCTCTCCTTCTCTTCACGTTGCTTTGCCTCTCTTCTCCTCTGTTTGTTTTCTTTCTTCCCTTTTGCCTAGTTCTAAAACTCTGGAGTCCTATCAGCCTTGCTAGAGGGCCCAAGTTCTTCTGCACTCTAGTCCTTAGGCTCAAATGATCATTTATAAAACTACACCTTGAGGAGATCTTAACATTCATTTTATCTTTTAAGTATTTAATAATATTTAGAGTATAACCTATTTGGGAATCAAGTTGAGGGAATGAAATTGAGTATGCTGTTTTGTCACATTCCCTAAAAGTGATGTTTCTATGACTCTTCTTGTTTGTTGGAAAAGAACATTGAACATTGATTAAAGCTGGACCAAACACAAATAGGATGATCAGAACCCGAAGAGTTAGGTGAATGAGATCTAGTTTGAAGAAGAAACAGTAAATGATGACTAGATCTTCCCGAAATCCTATTATTTTTATTTAATTCCTTAGATTAATTTTCTCAGACTATCATAGGTATTTATAATGTGGCAAATATGTTATGAGGGAATGAATTGTCAAACCATGGTGTATTATATCCTGTGACTGCTTTTAAGGGGAAATGTTTATCTAAATTAAATTTTAAAAATTGTTCCCTTTGTGGACTATTCTTTGGACAATAAAAATAATATTATAGAAGTTTGGTTGAATTCCTGAAACTTTAAAAATAAAGCAAACATATTACTTTGAAATTATTTTTTCCTAATGCAATTTTTTTTTCCCTCTGGCTGTATTATAAGGGAAGAGGTGGATTCCATGCCTGTCTTTCCCTCTAAATGAATAATTAAGATGACCTCACTGCTCGGTTGGCAAGCATATACCCCTGCCTGTATTTCATAGTTCAGGCCTCATCACTGTGAATTTTCTTTCCATTTAAAGGGTAGTTTTTCTAGAGGAAAGAAAATATAATCAAACATGAAATTATGATACACTTGCTGTTGCTATAGTTACAGCTGACTATTTTTACATCATAAAAATTTCTAGCTTATAGCCTTCATACCTTAAATAAGAAAATATACTCACTTTATAATGTATGCCTCAGAAATTCACTTTTGTGATTTCGTTCTCAATTTGTGTATTTAAGAAGAGAGTAATGTGTTCTGGGCTCCCAGGATATAAGTTTGTCTACTTTCACTGAATAATTAATTTTAAAAGAGGAATTATTGAGAATCCTTACTTGTAATGAGTTATTATTTTCCTGTTATAAACTATATTTCATTTTATGGCTGAAGTAGTTATTCAGAGGTTTAAAAAAATGAAAAACACATTCTAGCAGTTCCAGGGAATTTTATGCCTTGAGATTTTGTTGGAAAAGAGGCCAAGTAATTGTGACTTAAAAAGCAAAAAAACGTAATCATCCCTAAAAGAGATACTTTATTATACTTTATTGCTACTATAATAAATGCATTTACAACAAGACTTGGGTAATTCAGGATCTGATGATTTTTGTTTAGGATTGAAAGACATAGGTGACTTGGAGTGACAAATATGGGTGGCAGTACTCAGCTTCCTTACTTCCTCTGAACCCTAAGCAAACTTTGGTAGTCATCACAGTTAGTCATTTGTCATCATTTCTCTTCTCCCTTTCAGTATTCGCAGTTGCTCTCAGGACCCAGTGATTTCCTACTGCTGACTTCACTGTTATGTTCAGAGCTGGGCAAAAGGTGTGGGTGCTTCCAACAGTTAGAGCACTCCCCTCTTTAGAACAGCCTTTAATTAAAGATTACCTAATCTAATGTAGTGCCTCTACTCTTTCCCAGGGAAATGATAAACTGAATTAATTGAGCTCAGATTTTTTTAATTTAAATGGCTGAAACTTGTTTATTTTTATTTATGTATTAATTACAGTATCCTGATAATGTCACCTGCTTTGTCCATGGATAAACTCAGCCCTCCTCCTGATCACTTTGTCATTAGAATTAACTGTGGTAACCATATGTCCAAGAATTTTCTGAAACATTCCCAGTTTCAATATTTTGCCCCAATGAATCCATAAACAAATATACAAAATCCATAATGAAAACAGCCAAGGAATTCCAGTGCTTCAGTGTCTATCATGCTTTCTCCATACCTCATTTTCATATAAAGAAACAAAGTAAAGGCTTTGGGGAGTTTTTATTTGTTTTCTCCCAATCTGAGCATGTATTCTCTATAGCAGGGGTCCCCAGTTCCTGGGTCGTGGACCAGTACTAGTGCGTGGCCTGTTGGAAACTGTGCCTCACTGCAGGAGGTGAGCAGCAGGCCTGCGAGCATTACTGCCTGAGCTCCATCTCCTGTCAGATGAGCTGCGCCTTTAGATTCTATTAGGAGGAAGAATGCTCTTGTGAACTGCACATGCAAGGGATCTAGGTTGCACGCTTCTTATGAGAATCTAATGCCTGATGATCTGAGGAGGAACAGTTTCATCCCAAAACCATCCCCATCATCCCCGGCCCTGGGGTCCATGGAAAAATTGCCTTCCATGAAACCAGTCCTGCTGCCAAAAAGGTTGGGGATTGCTGCTCTATAGCTTTAAAACTGTGGTCCTCAGTGGGACCTATGAACCTCAACTGTCACTCTTGGTAGCTCCCAGTAGTCTCCTGTCTGAATTATCTTAACTGCAAAAGAGAAGTGACTCTAGCATTCTCTTATCCTGGACTCTTGACTGTCAAGATCAGTTTAGTTGTGCCTTTCTGTGTTTCCCTTAACAGTAAATATGATAATAGTGCTGCTATTTTAAAAATATTGAAAATACTATAATGTTCTGTGTATAATTTTGAAATTGAGAAAAATGAGAAGCCGGTATAATTTTAATGCATAGGGTTCAGTTGATTTTCATGTGACAATATTTACTTTGCTAGAGTGGTGAAAGTTTCTTGAACAGAGAGAGCAAGATTACCCTTTGCACTAATGACTTTTCTTATTATAAGTAAGTATTTGACAAAAATGTGTCACTCCCATTTGATAATGTGTTAACATAATGGTCAGTCACTTGAAAATGAAAACTTATCACAATATAGTTGAGAGATCTTGTTGACTGACCTGAGTGCTGATTCAAATAGTATTTGGTGATTCTTTAATCTGCCCCACTTTGTCTTTCAGCATTCCAGTGTATCAGAGTATCATCCAGCCGATGGCTATGCGTTCAGTAGCAACATTTACACAAGAGGATCCCACCTGGACCAAGGGGAAGCTGCTGTTGCTTTTAAGCCAACTTCTAATCGCCATATAGATAGGTAACATTTAATGGGCACCCTTTGGAGAGCTGTGGATAAATGTCTCTGATCTAGTGCTAACAGAGGTGACAGTGTCTGTATTGTCTACTGCTTCTTTAAACTTTCCATCTGTTAATTAGTTGATAAAGTTTCAGTTGTTCCTTTAGAGAACTGGTTTTGATCAACAAAAGATGTCTGGACCTTCAGTCTGTAATTCCCATTTAGTGCAAATGCCTTTGGATGACTTTCCATTTTTTAAAAGATACTTCGGACAAAATGTGTACATTAAGAAGAAAGAATTGTCTTGAAACCCTCCATTAGTTTGTACCAGATGGTCTCTGAGGATCCTTCCAGTTCTGTAGCTTTTAAAGAAAACAGTTTCCATCTTTATCTTCACCCAATGAAAACAAATAAACCTTCCTTTAGACAGATATATTTAAACTGAATATAAACTAAATATTTAAACAGGGTCAATGCTTTATTAGTCATTCTTGCCATTTCATCTTTTTATCTTGACTTTCCAGTTTTACATTTCATTTATTTTTCTATATCTTCACTCTTAAAAAATTTAATATAGGCAGAGATGGAGAATTGGGATGAGAAGAAATAAAGGAACTGGAATAAGTTCTTTTTTTTTAATTTCCAATCTTGTTTTTAGTAAATGAGATCTACATAGAGCCAAGCCATGTAGAAAAGAGAAAAGGAGGTAAAATCTTGGTAACACGGTTATAGGAGAAGGGTCATTCAGTGAACTGGGAATAGAGAACTCGGCCTAGTACTTTCCTGCCTCAAAAGCCTCTCTTACCACAAGAGTTATATGCCCTTTACTTCTTTTCTGTATACTCTTTTCTTAATATAATCTGAAGAAAGTGGGATTTAAAATTTTTATTCTTTGTCAGGGGTGGTGACAGGTAATGCTTAAGTAATTGCTGTAGAAATTACACAGGTATAACTCCAAGGGCACCAGTGACATTAAATTGAGTACAAAGAAAAGTCAGCAATGAATAATATATTTTTTAAATGCCAACATATGAGAATGTTTTAATTACATAATTAATTTTCAGTAGATACAGTTGAAAATCAGTTTTGAAGCTTAAACATTATTTCATTGAAATCCTTAACTAAGTATTCATCTTAATATTTTCTTTTTTCTTTCTGTCTGTCTTAGATGTCAATATTTTAGAAATCATTTCAGATTAATAGGTTTCTTTTTGTTTTATCACTCCAGTAATTCAGATGATTTTCCACAGCTAAGTAGCTAGAAAACCACTTGAGTACATATGTAGAGTACATATTGACACTAGAAAACTTTTATCAGGTTCCATTTGAAGACCACATTTAGCATACTGTGGTCACTCAGTAAGTGTAGATTTATTTGATTGATGGATTGGATGAATAAGTGCATGAGAGTATATCTAGTATTTCAGAGTCACTACTTCCCTGTCCTTCACCTGCATATCTATAAGGGATAGTATTACTGATGGAATAACCTCTGCCATTTATTTTGGGCACCTTACCACAGAGTCTTTTAAAAGCTTACCTTGATTTTTATGATCTTTATAGAATATCAGGGCAGTATACCTTTCATTTATTGATTTAGTTATATCTTTGTACCCCTTCTGCTTCCAAAATAGATTCAGTTAGCTCACTTAAATTATATGTAGTTAAAGTGGTATTATTATTGAAAGTTAAATAATGAAATAAAATATAAAATTAAGAAGTTAAGAGGGAAGATGAGAATTTTTATAAAATATAAAAGTTGACACTATTATTGAATTTCAGATTTGTCTTTCAGATTTTTGGCTGTCAGAACAAAAAGAGAAACATAATCATTGGCTGACATTAGGAAAAGGAATAAGTATCAGTTCATCGGGATAAAAAATGCTTTTCTTACTCCTAAATTCTCAATAATATTTGTTTCATGAAACTTAATGTAGGATGGGATAGGTGATGTCAGGGACATTTATTTTTAACAATTTTTTTTCCTCACCACAGAGAAGGCTGTGGTGAATTTTATAAGGTTTCTTTTTGTAACCTTTGATAAATAGAAATTTAAATAAAATATAAAAATAGAAATTCCATGAAGGGATAATAGTCTAGAGTGGTCAGAATTTCACCATAGAAAGAATTTTTTTGAATACCTTGAGTGGTGGGTAGATTTTATATCTCAGTTGTTCTTATGGATTCTGTCTCAGCTGGACTTAATAGGAGCTAGGATAGTTGATAAATACATGAATCATTGATGTTCTATGTTGCTAAGAACATTTGTCATCATTTTGAAAAACTGTCTGAAAATTGTGGTCTGATATAAAATACACAGAGGTTTGGAATTTGTTTTTATAAATAATTATTGTTGACCTTAAACTCTATTACATACCAGGAATGCAGTAGATACTGTTAAAAGAAAAACTTCACACAAATTAAATTTAACAGTTTTTTTTTTTTTTTTTGAGACAGAGTCTTGCTCTGTCGCCCAGGCTGGAGTGCAGTGGCGCGATCTTGGCTCACTGCAAGCTCGGCCTCCCGGGTTCACGCCATTCTCCTGCCTCAACCTCCTGAGTAGCTGGGACTACAGGTGCCCGCCACCATGCCCGGCTAATTTTTTGTATGTTTTTTTAGTAGAGATGGGGTTTCACCGTGTTAGCCAGGATGGTCTCGATCTCCTGACCTCGTGATCTGCCCGCTTCGGCCTCCCAAAGTGCTGGGATTACAGGCGTGAGCCACCACGCCTGGCAAATTTAACAGTTTAATTGAACAAGGGGAAAAAAAAGTGGCACATGAATTGGGCAGCCCCCAGAATCACAGCAGATTCAGAGAGACTCCAGAGATGCCTCATGGTCAGAGCAAATTTATAGACAAAAAAAGGAAAGTGACGTACAGAAAACGGACGTGAGGTATAGAAACAGCTGGATTGGTTACAGCTTGGCATTTGCACACAATTTGAACAGTCAGCAGCCTGTGAGTGCTTGAAGTATGGCTGCTGGGATTGGCTGAGACTCAGCTATTGTTACAGAAGCATACTCCTAAATTGGGTTTTCAATGTGTCTACCTACTAAATTAGGTTATGATTCGTCCACAGGACTCAAGTATGGAAGTATAGAGGGTTTCTCAGAACATATTTAGCTTAACAATGCCATACGAAGTATATTCACTGTTCTGTGAAATTGCTATGCCATTAGGTAGAACATTTGTTGAATTTAGAGCCCACGCCTTCGAGTTTTATAGCTTACTGCTGTCAGATGCAATTAGTATTTTAGAGAAGTTCTCAAATTACTGCTGTCTCTATGTCTGCTCTCTATCAAGTGGCGTATCTATTATTCCTAATCAGAAACTGAGCCCATACGTTTTGTTACATTCCATAGCTGTTAAGAAACTTTGGTACCTCTTTTTTTTTTTTTTTTTTTTTTCGAGACAGAGTTTTGCTCTTGTCGCCCAGGCTGGAGTGCAATGGCACGATATCGGCCTACTGCACCCTCTGCCTCCCTGTTTCAAGCGATTCTGCCACCTCAGCCTCCTGAGTAGCTGGGATTACAGGCATGTGCCACCGTGCCCAGCTAATTTTGTATTTTTAGTAGAGATGGGGTTTCACGATATTGGACAGGCTGGTCTCAAACTCCTGACCTCAGGTGATCCGCCCTCCTCGGCCTCCCAAAGTGCTAGGATTACGGGCATGAACCACCACGCCTGGCCAAGAAAGTCTGGCATCTCTGAAAAATTACAAATTGTGATTGTCTGTTTGATAACTATGGTCAGTGTCATATCCATGCTTAACATATAGAGGGCAAAAAACTGTGAGCCATAAAGATTTGTAAATTCTGAAGCACTTCAGGTAAACACTTCTGAGACCTGCAAGATAACAAAAAATTTGTTATAGACCCTTAACTCTCCATTATTAATAGTGATTATCTTGCAGATCATAGGAGAAAGGAAAATAGGGGAAGAGAGGAAGATAAAACACTAAAATTACTGTTTTCCTAATGTTTGGGGTAGTTGAATCTCTTTTATCTGCCAAATGAAATCTTAGTAGATTAAATGTGAATATATAAAGTAAATGAAAGCAGAGCTATTCCAGTAGGGATAGGGATGGGAAATCCATGGAACACAGTTTTAAAATTATTATTATTAATAACATAATTACTTCACCATAATTTCACCTTTTCCACCAATTTTCTTTTTAATGTGCTAAAAATAGCCAATAAGCTGTTCTTACATGCTTATCTGTAAGGTGTTCTATACTGGTCATCTTTTTGCTTTGTCCCTGTCTCCCTCCTCCAATGGAGTTACTACCTAAGAGGTAACAAAAACCTATGACAGGATACATTATGTCTACAACTGTCCTGCAGGCCCTGGTATAACATTCCAGAGAACTTGGTAGACAGCAAAAAGAATGGCAACTTTACAGGGGTAGGATGACCTAACATCTTTAGTCTCTACCTGCTATTTCCCTTGTAGAGATGTGTAAATAAATGTGGGAATGTAAATGGAGGAGAAGACTAGGGAGTAAAATTAATAAAGGGTTAAAGTAATTTTATTATTGAAATATATGAAGAAAATACAAATATTTAATGCATCAAGTGTATTATGTTACATATAAAAGTAATCTTTAGTTAAGTTGTTAAATCTATTAGTACTCATTTAATGATTAGAAGAGGTATTTGGTTTTTTAAGGAAGTTTTATTTTAAAAAAATGAGGCCCATACACTTTTTAAAAGTTTATAGTGAATTAAATTATTTACTTACTTATTTGCAAGTGTTACTAGTCTCATACTTAATGCATATCTCTTTTTTTTGCAATTTAGATAACTGGGCAAAGTGTTTCTAAAAACTAATGCCTAGTTATAAATTTTAAATTTATATATTTGGTTACTGAATTGCAGACATTGCTTGAATTAGTGAAATCAACATATAACTAAAATTACCACTATGGAAATTATCTTCAGTCTCCTTTAACTTTATGAAAAATACTAACATTTATCTTTATCTAGTTCTTTTATGGTAGAGATGGTAATTAACATAATATCCAGTATGTGTATTTAGTAGACAAAGAATTCATAGACTTGGATTCTGGATTTGGCTAAGTACCACCTGGCCTTGTGATTTTGCATTATTTGTTTTTATCCCTGGCCATAATTTGTTCATTTTAAAAGCAAGAACTTTAAAGTAACTTTTATTTATCATAATGTAAAATATAATAAAATGAAACTGCTGTAATTTTTCAGAAAGTTTTCTGGTAGGATTTGGCTTGTCTCAGTGTTTTCCATTTTTATCCTTTAGGAAGAGCTAGCAGAATAATAATCTTTTTTCTTTCTTTTTATAGAAATTATGAACCACTCAAAACACAACCCAAGAAATATGCCAAATCCAAGTATGACTTTGTAGCAAGGAACAACAGTGAGCTCTCGGTTCTAAAGGATGATATTTTAGAGGTAATATAATTTTTTCTTTTTTATACTCTTAATAAAGTAGTTTTATTGTATTACTCTTTTGGTATATAACTAAACTTTCCTTCAAAAGTATTATATTACTAAAGACGTAGTATATTAGAAATATCTACATCTATTTAGTAGGGGTATATAGATACTCCTTCTAAGGGGATAGCTTTAGAATACTCCTTTATTTGTTTTTTGTGGGGAGTGGCAGGGTGGGTTTTTTTTTAACTTCCTTTGCTCTCTTCCTTGCCCTCTTTCTTCTTCTGATATTTATTCATTTTGGAGTCAAGACTAGTTAACAATTCAGATGTGGATGCACATAATAGTTCAATAAGAGACAACATTCTTTTTTTAATCCTATATCCTTGCACAGATATACTCAGCAGTCATTGAGCTAATAATGTTAGGGATAATCCACCACAACACCAACTTCTCTTTGTTAGATTCTAATTGACAGTTCATCTTCTTGAATATATAAGGTGAATTATCACAATAAATTTTGTAAGGAAAAAAAGTAATTTTTATATACTTTTTCTTTCTATCACCAAAATGGAGACAATGGGGCTTTCCAAAAGAGTCATTTTAGTCCTTAAGTCCTTTAAGTACTTTAGTCCTTAAGTACTTCAAATAATGCAGGCTGTTCTTTGGAGGTAAAATGGACCTTGGGTAGATTCACCATAATGATACCTTACCTACTGTATACTCATAAATGTCTTCTTAGTGTAATTCCTGAGAATCATTCAATCAACACTATGTTGATGCTGAGTTAATTATCAGAAGTAGAAAAATTTTCTTTGTTGAAGTCTAGGGAACTTCTTTCGTAGAATGGCTTTTATATGGAAATTATACCTTTATTTTCTTGTACATGACAGATACTTGATGATCGGAAGCAATGGTGGAAAGTTCGAAATGCAAGTGGAGACTCTGGATTTGTGCCAAATAACATTTTGGATATTGTGAGACCTCCAGAATCTGGATTGGGGCGTGCTGATCCACCTTATACTCATACTATACAGGTGAGCATGATTTCTTAGTAAAATGTAGTATGTACACATTTACGAAGTTATCACTCTTAAGTAGGATTTAAACACCTTTGTGTATTGATCATTTTGAGATGTAGTTGGTTATATATTTTTTCTAGAGTAATTGGTGGGGGAGTGGCAATGGTGAGAGACACAGGGAAGAATTACACATATGTTTTCTGATTTACTTCTAGAAATTGTTCAAGATGTTTAGCAGTAGGTACCTGATTCTCTGAATGCTTTTTTTCCCCAATCTGTAGTATTTCTGACATTTGAAGAAATGGTATTTCTGTCTTTTTACCCACAGCTCTGCTATCCACCAGGGGCTTCCTCTTGATAGAGGATGGCACTGATATCACGGCATGGTGTCCAGCAGTTCACCTTCACCAGCCCTTGCTTTCAGTCTCTTAAATGTTCTGCCACTGACCAGCCTTGAACTTGCACTCATCTCACCTTACACTAATACATGAGTACCTGTTCACCTGGATTACAATATTTTTCCTCTCTTGATTTTAAGATTAAAAGGTACTTAGGATATAGATTAGATAGGTCAGGCTCTCTCTTCTTGTTCATTGAAGGCCCATGAAGGTCCATTCTTATGGCCCATGCCACATTTTCAGGATTTCAGTGACCCTGGTCAGCTCATTCACCCTAACATCTGAATTAACTTGCTCTTAAACTCCGGAATTTTAGACCTGTGCCAGGCTCTCTAGAGTTAGGTCTGTAAACAAAGACAGAATGGATGGACTCTCTCAGGTACAGCCAGTGAACCTGGGGTGGCTTCTCATTCCCCCAGAAAGAACTCTTTTAATTTTCAAAGTCTCGAGAAAAAGATCACATCTGACCTCATAATAATGTCATGAATTTGAGTAGAAGCTGCGTAGAATATGCAGTGAAATAGTTAATTTTTATGCCAGATCTAGGCTTAAAAAAATACAGATTGTCCAAAGCTGGAATTGTGGTCATACTTCTGCTGCCGTGACAATTTATTTCAGTACTTTTGGCTCCTCATGACATTCATGCCTGGTGTCAGTCCTGTGCTTATCCAGAGGGACTTGGCCTTACTAGAATCCATGAATCAAGCAAACATTCAAAATAAAGAATTTGTGTATAGTTTCTCTATCTCGGTAACTTAAAGTGATGGCAATGGAAATTATTTGCTGTGTTATGTTTTGGCTGGCCTCATGTGCATATATATATTATGTACTTATTTTATGTTCATCATTTGTCATTAGCTGTTGATGCCAAAGAAGGAGTTTGAGTTATTCAAGGTATGGTCTCCTCCATTTCCCATGGGTTTTTGAAGTGAATTTTCTTAGTTTTTATACCTTTTTCTTTTCTTAGTTCCTACTTTTCTGAGTTTAATATCTGTTTACCTAATATAATATATGCTTCTGTCTGGTTCATGAATACCAGTTCTTCATTTTCTTTCCCATAGAGGTAGTATATGCTTGAAACCTATACTTAAAATAATGGTAGAGTACATACCTTTGGGCTATATCAACTAATTTTAATATGCAGGTCATGGTAAGCTATGAGAAGCACTATTCATAAAGGATATCCCTGATCCCCATATGTGAGCAAAAGGCAAGAGTTTATATTTTAAGTTTTGAAAACAATTATCCAAATTTGTTTTATTTGTGTGTGTGGTTGCTAGGAATAAGCAAACTGCGATAAAATAAAAAACATGCAAATAGTATGAATTCTATAATAGGAATTTTCTCCTACCTGATATTCCTGAAAAGTTTAATATCTCTTACCTTTTGCTGTTTACTGTTCAGTCTTGTCTTTTTCTTTAATTCTGATTCTTGGCTTGAGCCATAAGTTGACTTTTCTGTTTAAAAGGTTGCTTCTGTCTAAAACTGAACCAAAACTATTAATATATATCATACGCAGGGAAAGTATTTTCAGAGAATGTCAAACCTATTCCTCCTTTCTTAAACAGAACCTCATCTTTTATTTTTGTCAACTTTGGCACAACCCAAGAAATGTTTTTAAGAGTTCACAAGTTTCAGGAGTTTGTTTTGCTACTTTATGTAAATAGAAACTTGTGGTTCTTATAGGGATTGCCTATTTGGCTATTTCGTTTTAAACTTTTCAACACTATCCTACTCTCTTCTTAAAAATTCGGGTTGCAACTACAAATGTAGTGGTGTGTGTAGAAATGTGTACAGAAGCTTTCTGTGTGTATGCAGAAGCGTATGCTGTTCAGGTTGAGGGCCCTACTTTGAAAATGTATTAAAAACAATCTGCTTTTTAACACCTCCTGAAAATTTTGGGCTGAGCTCAACAAAACCACTAAGACCTTGTAAAATTTTAATAAGCAAGCTTCACAGTCTGCTTTGCTATCTGCTATCTGGCATAAATCCTACTCTAAAAGGATTCCTATTCTCAAAACATTTATAATATATTCTTTAAAAAAAGAATAGAGTAAAATGGAAAAGAAAACATCCTTGGAAATATGTGCCAGTCATTTTTCTATCTCTACAACAGTAGATACCCATATCTACTGTTTCATATCTCTACAACAGTAGATACCCATATCTACTGTTTTATATCTCTACAACACCAGATACCCATATCTAAAATATCTAAGGAAGAATCCTGCAACTTATTTCAGAATGATAATTAAGATACCACCATATTTATGTAGATTCCACTGATCCTAATACCCTAACCTTATAAAACTCAACTGGATTACAATTTTATGTCTTACTCATCTTTTTATTCACTCATTCCACAAATACATATTGAGTACTGGCATCTCACACACTTGGTAAAAAGAACAATAGAAAGCCTAGCGCCGAGCAGATCCTTCCCGAAAGCCTGCATGAGTCCACAGGTCATCTGCCATGGCTTTGCTCCTTCCTGCATGCTTGCTGTATCAAGAGCAGCGTGACCCTCTTTCTCCTCCTCAGATATGGCCCACACATTTGTTTTCTCTTCCATCTGTCTCTTTCATCCAGTGATATCAAAACTTTGAAGAAATATAAAGAAACTTTAACAAAAATATTTTAGATTCCTGCACCATGCTGCCAAAAGGAAGCAATGATTCATTACTTAAATTTGCTTCACATTCACAGAAAACAACATTCACAGATACTCCTCTCTAGAGAAGATATGCCCGTGGCCAGTGCTCATGCTGTGCCAGGCATTGTTTGAGCACTTCGCAAATCCAAATTCATTTGATTCCCACAACAACCTTGTGAAGGAGGCACATTTTTTTGTAGGAAACTAAGGTGTAGGAGAAATAATTTGCCCAGATTTATACAGCTGTATGAAGCCAGGATTGGGCCCCAGCACTCTGGATCCAGAGCCTGTGCTGTGTTGCATTCTGCTGTTCTAGAGAATAGTGATTATAAAAGGTTCTCATTTCGGGTGGGCACAATGGCTCACGCCTGTAATCCCAGAACTTTGGGAGGCCGAGGCAGGCAGATCACTTGAGGTGAGGAGTTTGAGACCAGCCTGGCCAACATGGCAAAACCCTGTCTCTACTAAAAGTACAAAAATTACCCAGGCATGATGGCACACACCTGTAATCCCAGCTACTCAGGAGACTGAGGCAGGAGAATCGCTTGAACCCAGGAGGCAGGGGATGCGGTGAGCCGAGATTGTGCCACTGCACTCCAGCCTGGCGACAGAGCGAGACTCCGTCTCAAAACAAGAAGAAAAAGAAGAAAAAACAAAGATTGTCATCTCTTTTTGTATAAACCCATAGTTTTTCTCTGTATTAATGTTTAAAGTGATATTTTCTCAGAATAGCTTTACTTTGCATTATACTGTGATAAAAGTTGATCTGATCAGTCACAATCCTTGGAATTTGATTTTTGCTTTATGTATCCATTCACTGGATTTCATGGTATTGTTCATTATTTTATAATTTAGGAAAATAACCCAAATTATATGATTTACTTAGAATAGGACATTTTTGTAAGTGGTGGAAATAAGGGAATTAGATGTAAACTATTTCCATGCAACATCTGTGAGTCACCAAATACTTAAAAAAAGGGACAGTCATGACTCTTATTTTTATACCCTTACATTTCCTATAAAGACATATATATAAATAATGGCAGTTTCTGGGTGAAGGGCACAAGTGCAGCTCTTGCCTATTGTTCACACACTTTTTATCAGAGATTCTGTTCTGATGACAGGGATGCTCATACCAGGCAGTGAATAGGTGTTGAATTGCCACCTGGTGTCCCTGAGAGTCTAGGCTATTTAATATCCTCACATTTGAAGTGATTTTTAACAGCTCTGTAAAGACAACCATTCCCACCTAATGTATTTCCCCCATGGCTTCAGCAAAGTTTTAAACATAAAAGAGAAAGTAATAAAAATTTACAAAAGATATTGACACAAAAGATTGAATAAACCACAGAGAAAAGGAAGTAAATGCTGAGGAGAGATTATGGAGAGATAACATGTCTTGATAAAAATGTTGTAGAGCATTCCAAGGCTTTGTAGTATTTTAGCTGGGCAGCAGATGGACATCCAGGGTTCTTTCTCCCCACCTGGAAGCTACTTGCCACATAAAGTTTCCTGATCTTTATTTTGACTTGATTCTCTGACCTCTAGCCCTGTGACTGCTCGTCTGCTAGAATTACCCTTTTGCCCATTTAAATTTGCAAGGTATATGCCAAGAGCAGAAACCACCTCCTCCCGTGATGTTATTTATTATATATCCAATGGACTGACTAAAGAAGTCTTTCATATATTCTTAATTATTATCTATGCGTTTATTATTGTTATAGGTATTCTTACTCTACCAAGATGCAAGTAATTATGAATGTCCAGTCTCTGTGGTCACGTGAATTCAACAAAACGTTTCCCATATTCTTTATTGTCTAGCAAGAGATACTGTAATATGATACTGTGTGAAAAGCCCCAATCTAGGTATTGGTAGGTGAGGGTTCTAGTCCTTAAAGAGAGCATTTTATTTTTCTGTGTTCCAATTTGCTTGGTCATGAAATAGAAGGAGTCAGTTATGTGATCTCTACAATCCAGTCTAGGTATAAAATCTTCTCATTCATTATATACATGTTTAAATCACCCTAAAATAAAAGTGGAAATGTTTTGTACAGGTGACTACTAAACCGCTAACACTACTAATTTCAGCCTATGTTATTAGTGCTCTGTTTTTTAAGCTCAGTACAGACATTTAGCTACTGCTGGATAGAGTGACGATTTTACCAAAGATGGCTTATATTCTTCCAGCCAGGCCAACCTCCTGATAATATTCAGTTCTTCAAAAGTGTTTTTTAAAAATTAATATCAGAAGACTCTGCTCATTAATTATAGGCATGGTTTTTAGACAAAGATGTTTACTTTTTATTCTGTCACATGTATTGACATTTTCCCAGAGACTTCTTAATGATAATTTGAATAATACCCACTATAAATATATATATGTGTTTTTATACATATATAAAGTATTGATAATTACTGTCTGACATGCACATGTACATAATTTTATTAAATGTTCTATGTTCAGGCTGCTTAGAAAGTTTGAAACTAAAGCTCATTACAATCACACGATAATGCATGCAGTATTACCTTCTGTAAAATCAGCTAATTAAACAAGAATAACTCTTACATGTAATGCATTCTAATTGTATTCTTTATGAGCAATAGGAATAAAATAAACCTATATCTTAGTATTTTACTTGAATATACAAATAGTTACTGTTGAAGTACTTTACACGGTTTCTACTATAGTAGAATCTATATGATTAGTTTTCCATGGCTAGATAGTGATGGGAATTAATTATAGATTTACAGGCTCCTTCACTGGTTGATTGTGGGCATGTAATTTTACTGTCAGGCTAATTTACTCTTTCTGATATTTGATGTGAATTATAATTGATATTATTTTAATTCCATTTCCTGTATTAATTTTCTCATTTGATGTGATTTGCTCCATTTTCCTAATAGCAATTACTTGGCGAGCTGTCAGAGGTAACCCACATTCGTTCCCTCATGGCACTTCTTTTTAATATAATTTTTTGGATTCAGTCTCTCAACTTAACACCCTCCAAATGTTCCAGCTGTGCTTAGTTTTCACTGCAGAGTTCCCAAATAACCAAATTTAGAGGAAAAATGTGTAATTTAGAGTAGGTTAAATATTTAAGAACAGTTCAATTTTAATGGCTTTGTTGCGCTTACTTGCATAATTTCCCCTCTGAAGCAGCATCTTGTATGAATCAGGATCTTATCTCTCAATAGCATTCTTTAATTCTTTAGAATTTCTACTCAGCTTAAGTTGCTAAAGAAAAGTGACTCATTCCAACTTAATTATCAATAGGAAAGTAAATTTCCTATGAGGTCTATTAATTCTGCCTTCTTTCAGAGAAAGAGAGACAAAAAGATAGATTTTGCTTTTAACAGAACTTTGTGTTTGTGGGCTATCACAGGCAAGAGTAAGGAAGTGACAGTTGGGTGCAAAAGTAGGTCCACACCAGGCTGACCAACCCTCCCAGTTCCCAGCTGGGGAGTCTGAGGGGTTTGTGAAGATGTGGAACTTTCAGTGCTAATTACTGGGAAAGTCTCAGGCCAACCAAGAACAGTTAGTCAGAATTTCTTTTTTGGATTTGGAGCTTCAGTACGTTGGTTCAGGAGAAAAAAGTTCAGAGTGCACTTCTGTTCTCCAAGACATTACGTAAACTGAGATACGTTGGAATCATTAACTCTGTAGCTTCAACAAAAAATAGCCAAAAGACAGACATAAGGAAAGGAAGAACAGTAGTTGGGTGTTAGGTAAAGAGGAGTAGAGAAGCTAGGGAGGGAGACAGAAAAGTGACGTTAGGAGTCAGTGCTGATTCTTTTTCTTCCACATGAAGAATTTCAAACCAGTTTCCATGGAAGAGCTGTCTAGGTTGCCATTCAGAACCAGTTGTCACGATTCAAGGAAGGTACTTTGCCCCTTTTAATGTCAGAGGTTGGAAACATGGGGCAGGAGGAGAGGACTAAGGAAAGAGGAAAATATGCAAGTAAATATAATTTATGGCATACATTTTCATATGGGTTTCTTTAATCAAATATGTATTTTAAACCTATTATTTTGGTAGGTCATACTGATAAAGTTGCATTATGTAACAATGGCATGAATGAAATAAAGCACAGAACATTTGGTGAGTTTGTTTTCAGGCTTGATTGTGACAGTAACACAGTTTATTCACTTTCTCACAATAGTATTTGATGAATAGCAAAAGCAAAAATTATGAATCATATGGAAAGCAGGGCTCATGGCATTTTTGTTTGTTTAGGCTTTAAAAACAATAATTGAAACTATGATGCTTTTGAAACACTAATGTGAGAATTCATTTGCCCTTCATGAAATTACGTGCAGAGGACATTCTTGTCAAGGGAACATTGCATATACATTAATCAGATGACTTTGGTGTGTGCTAAGTATTACATTCTGGTGATGTTTGCTGTATTTTGACTGCTTTAAGTATTTTATTGGCCCAAATATAGGAAGATTGTTTGTGGGGAATAATAATAACAATTCATTCTTTCATTCTAATACAGTATTGAATACATTAAAAATATTTCTAAGCCTTGAATGCTAAGGGGATTAGCAACTCAGTTTCTGTCCCACCTAACTCCTTCTCTTACTCTGAGAATCTTACCCTTTACTCCCTCCTTCCCTCCTGTCCTGCCTCTCTCCTCCTTGCCCTCCTTCTTCCCTCAGCATCTACCAGCATTATAAACACTCCTTTCAGATATACTTCCATCCTTTCATAATACGCTTCCCACTTCCTTGACCCCATCCCACTGGTCAGTGAGTAGTAGAGCGAGCTGAAAAGAATGAGGGCTCCTTCCCACACCGGTTTCCACAGGTGTTAGTCATTTGCCGTGAAGTGGACTGATGAAGGTTGATGTGTTGTTTTTGAGTAATAGTTTAATTAAAAAGTGATGTGTCTGTGTGTGGTGTGTATTTTTGTTTTTGATCTCTGTGGAAATTGGGAGGACTCTGTTAAAATCAATACTACCTGATATTTGGGCCATTTTAGAATTTAAAAGTAAATACTGTTCTAATCAAAGGACCAGATTACCAAAAGGTCTTTTTGCATGTAATATGCTAATCCTAAATTAGAATAATTAAAATTGTGCCAGTGCAGTATCTAAACTTTGCCTTAATTACAAATAATTGTCCTGTATCTTTGATTCTAAAAAGAAAATGTGCCTTTTGAGAATTTGGAGACTCTCACAATGCATTATCTATTAAAATTATTTTACTTAGATTTAAAGTGTTAACTATTATGTGTGTTTTAAATAGGGAATATGCACAAATGCTGTTTTATAAGTATGCCTAACAATCATGATTTTAAAATTATTAAAAAGCATTTTGTCACACCTACCTTTTTTAATACAAATGGCCACAGGTCCCTTTCTAGTATTCGTTTGTAAGTTGCAATCATAAACATTTAAAGACCATACCATTACCCTCACAACCATCCACCCCGTGACATTTCCATTTTAACAAGGGAAATTTCTAATTTTAATAAATTAGCATTAAGATGATGGCAGAAAAAGTTATGCCTTGAACAAAATAATACCAATATTTTAAAATTATTTATTGGAAACAAAATTAAAAATCTTTGAATATAGCGTACATTTAAAATGAGTAAGTGATGCTTTATGCTGTTGACATTTAGACTTCCAGTGCAATTGGAAATTATTATTAGCATAAATTAAAAAATAATTATAAATCTTTCTGCCTCCCCTCATCTTGTGTGATTCCAAGCCCAAATTCTGTTTTCTTGACATTTATTACTATAATACTACTATTTGCTATTGACGTAGCCTTGTGACTCCTTAACTAATGTTTTGACTTTGAACAAATTATGTAGAATGTTTAAAATATGATTTTTAATGGTCATTATACCATATAGGATTACAGATAAATGAGTAATGGGTTTGCAAGTAAGTTTAAAAATAGCCAACAATGTCCTATCAAAGTATAATTTGTTTTCCTAGCCTAGGTTTATATTTTTTAAATTTTAAGTTAATTATTTGTCTTTTTATAGAAACAAAGGATGGAGTATGGCCCAAGACCAGCTGATACTCCCCCTGCTCCATCACCTCCTCCAACACCAGCTCCTGTTCCTGTTCCCCTTCCCCCTTCCACTCCAGCACCTGTTCCTGTGTCAAAGGTCCCAGCAAATATAACACGTCAAAACAGCAGCTCCAGTGACAGTGGTGGCAGTATCGTGCGAGACAGCCAGAGACACAAACAACTTCCGGTGGACCGTAAGTTTCCCAGGGAGGCAAAAAATGTCTTCTGCAAATTAAAAGCACTACTAAGTAAAATATTGTTTACTGCTGATTCTACTTGTATTAAAGTCCTTTATACTTGCATGGTACTTAATAGATTGCAAAGATTTTCACCTGGTTTCTCATCAGCTACGTAGTTCTGAGAAACAGGAAGTATTCTCTCCACTCTCTAATGCATGCCTTTCTACTCCTTTTCCAATCTGTTATGATAATTGAATGCAGACTCTGGAGCCAGACATCCTGGAATTTGTATACCAAAACAACACTTGCCAGCTTCCTGACCTTCAATGATTTAATTATCCTCTCAGCACTTCAATATCTAAAAAGTGGAGAAAAATAATAGTATCTGCTTCATAGGATAAGTGTGAGGATTTAATGAGATAATGCATAGAAAGCATCTACTTCAGTGCTTCTCAGCCAGGAGCGATTTTGTCTTCTTCTCCATCCTTCTGAGGACATTTGATATTGCCTGAAGACATTTTTGGTTGTCAAAACTGGGGGGATGCTACTGATGTCTAATGGGTAGAGACCAGGGACACTTAGCAACAATTACAATGCACAGGACAGTCCCCAGCAACAGAGTTATCTGGCCCAAAATATCAATGGTGCTGAGGTTGAAAACCCCTGACTGATTTTGACCCCTGTATGACACGTAATATGCAGTCACTAACTACATCCTGCTGTCGCCATCATCATCATCATCATAACCTTCCTACTTCTCTTCCTCTTGTTTGCTATTCACAGTAGCTGCACAATCACACTATGTTAATATAATCACCTGCCAATAGTAGTCTCAGATTTAGCCTCCAAATTCAAATTTCATGTGACTTACACTTCAGTGCCATATTTTCATAACTTGAAATTTGATGTTTCATATAAATGGTTTCTATGAAAACCATATTTAAGTAAACTAAAAAGACACTATGACCAACTTTGGATTATCCTTATTTGTATTATTGGTGAATAGCAGTGTAGATATTTTGAAAACTGAAGGTAGTTTTAAGATAAATTTTGTTTAACCTTGTAGTATATGGCATGTCAATTTAATCTCCAAATTTGGTGTTTTAAACGTATTATAAAGTTACTTGGCTTTACCTATACTTGATGTGTAAAAACTCTTGGAAAACCAGAGCTATGAAGATATTTCATATTTCCCCAATATGACAAAAGTATATGAAGTGTGTGTGTGTATGTGTGTGTGTGTGTGTGTGTGAGTGAGAGAGAGATAGAGAGACAGAGAGAGAGAGATGGATATCTATCTTTCCCTCAATGTGGGCCTCTCTTAGGGTTCTGCCTTCGTTTTCCACATAAACATACTTTTACTGTAGTTCATTCTATTTCCATTTCTTTCAATACTATTTATATTGTTGGGAAAAGAATGATTCCCAAATTAGTCATCGTATTAAAACTCATCTCTGACATCCAGATACCAGTATGGAACTATTAACTTTATAGCTGAGATTGGATGCTTTCTATTTATGTTCAAAACTAAATGGCTGAATCTTTCACTCCCATTTTCATCCTACTGTTTTTCTCACGTCAGTAAGTTATTGCCACATCTGTTCAGTTGTGGACATTCTTGATAAAATAAAAAATAAAAAAGACACTAAAACTATTACTATTTAACAATTCTAAAAATTCTGGTTAAATGCAATAAGCATAAGCCTACTTTTACTCATTAATTTTTCTCCCACGGTATGTCCAATTTAAATGACTGTCATATCTATCTTGCCAGGAAACTAAAGGAAAAATGAAGTTTTGGAAAAGTGATTAGCTCTTTCTGTACAGCAAAAACAACTGTGTGCGTGAGTGTGTAGAACCATAATAAAATAGAATATGCTACTAAGTTTTTAAAATTATGTGGAGTTTTTAAAAAGAGTTTTCTTTTTCAAATACACTAAAGACATAGTTTTAAGATGAGAAATTTCTATAAATATTTTTATTGAGTTCCCTAAGGAGAAAACTTCCTCTTAGAAATGACTGTTCTCTTCTTTATTCTTCCCACAAGTTTATAGCATTTCCCTCCGTAGAGACGTCAGCACAGTCATCTTTGACACGGTGGGACTCTTTATCCAGGCCTAGCTAGGATCAAAGTTCATCGGCCTCCAGTCCCCATTTGGAGCAGTGTGTGGGTTAGGACAGTCTGTTCTTTGTTCACGCTGAGAAACCAAGAATAACCTAGTGGGAAAGAGGCATAGTTTGCATACTTTTAAAGATAGAGAACTCTCCTGATAATTGTGACTCATCATGTTGAAGTCTGTTTTTCATAAGTAAAAGGGTGGCATTGGTGTATAAAATATAAACATCTCTCCCAAAATTAACACACATACTTGTTTCCTTAGAATATTAAAAATCTTACAATATATTTGCAACTTATGTAAGTTCCTTTTTAAAATATCTCAAAAATACAGTTTGGCATTAAATAAATATATTTCTTTTTATAAAACAAATATTTCTTGATAACTTTATTGCAGAACAGTTTTTCTCTGAATGAATGTTGGGGCTTAATGTTCTTTTAGAACCAGACAGTAGCACATATTTCAGTGTGTGTTTATTGATAGCCAAATTTCTCTCAAAATATGCCTACTCATCTACCCACATTCTCTGCTTACTGCCTAAACTTCTGGTAAAAATAAAATGAAAGGAACTAGGAAGTAAATACTCATAGAAATCTATCAAGTAGCAGCTATGAACAGGGGAAAAAAGCCAACATGCCTGTTTTTACAACGTAGCAAGTGGCAAGAGTGAAGCCCTTTTGTGGAAGTCTGTGTGTTGCCTATTCAAAATAACTGTGAAGCCTTGTGTCATAGAAGCTATTCAGGCTGTTTTATCGCAGGATCCCAAAAGGTTCTCCTTTTATCGCTTTTAAGATGCCAAACTTTAGTTGCTTTGTATTTCTCCCATTTCCTTTGAAATGGTAGTCCTTTTATTCGAATTTAATCTTTTGTAATCAGAGTGTTACTTTAGAAAGGTGTAAAGTTATTCTGGTTTGCTGTTGTGTGTTAGAACATTGGAAATGGAAAGCAAAAGCCCAGGAACATGTTAGGTGGAGGTTTTTTTGTCCTTCCTGGAAGAAAACTATGCTGTGGACTGGTGATGATTGATATACTGACTAAGTCAGCAGATGAGAAACCAAATCTTTTAGTGTGGTGATACATTTTATTTTTTATTCTTTTGAGATGCACTCATATGCTGTTTGACAGTTTGTTGTAGTGATTTTTTAAAAGGTAGCTAATGAAATGCACATAATGTATACTTAAATGTAACAATCAATAGTATTCTCTCTTACTCTCTCTAGCACCCCCTACTCCTCCCTCCCTCCCTCCCTCCCCTTTTCCCCTTTTTTGATTACTTCAAAAGATTTCCTAGATACTTGAGGCATTAAAAAAAATTAGACTGAAATAACACTAACTATTCACACTTTCCCTTATTTCCCAGGGGCACCAAACACTTTCTAAAACCCTTTCCCTAGGGGGGAAAAATCATAGAACATTGGTCACAAAAAGCTCCCTAAGTGACCAGGTTATTGTCACTTGCCAACTTAATTAGATTGTTCTTATTTCTTGAAAGTGAAAACAAACAACGAACATAATGTACCTATGTATATATACACACATATTTTAAAATACACAGACACATGATTCCCCTTCCTGTACTTTTATGCCTTTCCTATTTTTGTCATGACAGTATGTTCATATACACACACATCTTTTCCATTAGCATAAATGGCTAGGAAAAAGGAGTAGCTAGGGAAGTTAATCAAAGGTGATTTTAATGACTTTGGCTATAAAACAGCCCTCTGCTGAAAGTCAGAAGATCCAGTTCTAGCTAAATTATTCTACTAATTGAAATGTGACTTTGACAGATCATTTCTCTGTTTTTGGCCTTCATTTTCTTATCTGGTTATGTAAGGGGTTTGTACATGATGATTCTCAAAGTCTCGGTGAAAAAGTCAGCAGAATGCCTCATTCATTCATTTATTCAACAAGTATTTATTGAATTAAAGCACCGTTCCACGTATTAGGATATAGATGCAAGCAAAAAAGGGAAGCATCCTTTTTCTCCTCAGGCTTATATTTTAATGAAAGGAGGTAGGTTAAAAAACGATTAAGTTGGCTGGGCGCGGTGGCTCATGCCTGTAATCCCAGCACTTTGGGAGGCCAAGGTGGGTGGATCACGAGGTCAGGAGATTGAGACCATCCTGGCCAACAGGGTGAAACCCCATCTCTACTAAAAATACAAAAATTAGTTGGGCATGGGCATGGTGGCACACGCCTATAGTCCCAGCTACTCCATAGGCTGAGGCAGGAGAATCGCTTGAACCCAGGAGGCGGAGGTTGCAGTGAGCCAAGATTGTGCCACTGCACTCCAGTATGGCAACAGAGTGAGACTCTTTCTCAAAAAAAAAAAGATGATAGACAAAACTATCTATCAAGAAGGTGGTAAGTGGTTTGGAGACTAATAAAACTATGTGGATAGAGAGTGCTTTTGGGGAGGGATTGCAGTTTTATATACATCAGGGGAAATAGAAAGGTGGGGAGGAGTAAGCTATGTGGAGATGCGGGGGAAAGCATTCCAGACAGAGCAGACTAGAGTGGCCTTTAAATTTGAAGAGCACCAAGGGAGCCATTGGGAGCAAGAGTGAAGGGCTCCAGAAGAGTTGTGGAGTGGCTTTAGAGTGGTGGAGGTCTTGTAGGGCCTTTTACTGGGAGTAATTAGGATCACTTGGGAATGTTTTGAGCAGAGGGGCTGCAACATCTGACTTGCATTTTTTTTTTTTTTTTTTTTTTGAGACGGAGTCTTGCTCTGTTGCCAGGCTGGAATACAGTGGCGCTATCTTGGCACACTGCAACCTCCGCCTCCTGGGTTCAAGAGATTCTCCTGCCTCAGCCTCCCGAGTAGCTGGGGCCACAGGCACATGCCACCACGCCCAGCTAATTTTTGTATTTTTAGTAGAGACTGGGTTTCACCATGTTGGCCAGGATGGTCTCGATTTCTTGACCTTGTGATCCGCCTGCCTCAGCCTCCCAAAGTGCTTGGATTACAGGCATGAGCCACCTAGCCTGACTTACATTTTAAAAGAATCACTTAGTTGTTATACTGAGAAGAGAATGAAGAGAAATGGGTAGGGTGGTAGGGAGTGGAAGCAGAGAGATCTGTTAATAGGCTGGTAACTCAGACCAAGCTGGCAACAGAAAAAATACAGTGAAATCATTGGATTTTGGATACATTATGAGGTCAGACTAACAGGATCTGCTGATGGATTGGATGTAGTATAGGACAGGAATCAAGTGCAGCTCCGTGGTATTTTGCCAGAACTGGAAAGATAGAATTGTCATTAAGTGAGTTGAGAAGTCTAAAAAGCAAGTCTAAGAGTTCATAAAAGCAAGCTTCAGGAAGAAGATCGGGAATTCAGGTTTGGGCATGCTATATTTGACATGCATTTGAGCTATTTAAGAAATACCCAAATGAATATATCAAGTAGACAGCATATATGCACCCAAGTTCCGAGTAAGAGGACTGGAAAAATAATTTGGTAACCATCATCTTTTAAATGGCCATGAACCTAAGCACAGTGGTCATTGATGGAGGTAGTGCTGGCAGAGATGAGTCTCAGGAGTGTCCCCTAGAGCACCTTAATATTACTTAGTTGGAGAGATGAGAATATTCAGAAGAGGATCCAGAGAAGGGGAGTCCAGAAACATGGGAGGAAAATGAGGAGACTGTGGTATCCTGGAGGCCACAGGGAGAAAATGTTTCAAGGAGGAATCTTCTGCTTCAAATGTGTGCTGATAGGTTAAATAAGATAGTAGCTGGGAAAGAATTGGCTGGAGTTTAGCAAAGTGTAGTAGAGAGATGGGGGGAAAAGCAAAATTGAATTTCGGCGACATTAAGAGAAAATAGGAGAATGGGAATTGGAGTCCACTAGTACAGGCAACTTTTCGTGAACTTTGCTGTAAAAGGAGCAGAAAAATGGGCAGTAGCTGGGAAAGGACATGGTAAAAAGGACTTGTTTAAAGGTAACAGAAATCATAAAATAATAGCATGTTTGCAGGCTGATGAACTGATTCAGTGAAGAAGGAAAATTAATAACAGGATAAATAAGGGAGAAATGACTCAGTATTTGAATAGGCAGAGAACTTGAGGCCTAGTGCATACATGGATAGTTAGCCTTGGGAGCAGGGAAACAGCTCTTATATAACATAATAGGAAGGCAGGCAGAACATATGGGGAAAGTGCTGTTAGGAAGAACTACTAGAGGAACTTACGGAGGTTTTCTTCTAACTATTTTATTCATAAATTAGGAAATGAGATCAGCTCAAGGTGAGGATTGGGGAATAGGGTTAGAAGTTTGTAGAGAGAAAGTAGAATATATTCAATACTTGTCTAAGACAGTGGGCAGTTACATGACCTTAGGCAGGACTTCTTGGCCTTTGAGGCTGGGTTATTCTCTGCTGTAGGAGAGGCTGACATTATAGAATGTTGTGTGCATCCCAGGCTTCTACCCACTGTGTGACAGCAGCAGCCTTTCCCCTTTTTCTCCCTCAATTGTGACGACCAAAAGTGTCTCCAGATATTCCCAAATGTCCTCTGGGGCCAAAACTGTCCCCAGTTGAGAGCCACCAGTCTAAGGAAATGTAGTATAATTGTCAGGAAGCATTAACAGCCAAGTTAAGGTTCATAATCATGAATTTAACATGAGATCATTCAGCATTGTTGTGTTATATTCAGCTGTGCAGGTGCAGGCACAGAATACGCAGAAAGTTAGGTTTAACCAGGATTGGGGTTTTGCCAAAGGAGTACAATGAAGAGACTAGAGAAGAGCCAGGGAGTTATTTTAATAATTGATCATGGCATTTATACCAGGCGAGGATAAAAGTGAGGAAAGATGGTAGGAACACTAGACTGTAGGTCCTACTGGGGTCAAGGATTATAGAGATTGGGGTTCTAGAGAGGGTGATGTAATATTAGGGATTTTCAAAAAGAACCTACTCCCTGTTGGTGTCTAGGAAGGAAATCTCAGATGGAGGAAGTGCAAGATGAACTCATCCACAGACTGACCATTGGTCGGAGTGCCGCTCAGAAGAAATTCCATGTGCCACGGCAGAACGTGCCAGTTATCAATATCACTTACGACTCCACACCAGAGGATGTGAAGACGTGGTTACAGTCAAAGGGATTCAACCCTGTGTGAGTCTCTCTGTGAATACTTTGCAATTCTGTGTGTACAACATGCATTGTTTTCAATTTGCTTAGTTAGATGTCACAGATAACTGTTATAAAACATAAGGGCACAGACTGCATACTTTGTGCCATACTCAAGAACTCACTATAGCTGTTCATAGCTGAAAAAGAACTAAAATAAGCATAAATAATTATTCTGATGCCACCCCATTTTCGAATTGGTAGTATCTGTTCATTATTAGTTCTTTAAGCAAACTATTGGCAGCTTTGAGGCCCAGTAGCTTCTTTTCTCCATCAGATTACTGTGATGTAACCTAGGTAGGACCATGGTCTTAGCTGAACTTCCTAGACCACATAGGACATAGAGCATAAGCTTTCCTCCTGCTGCAGGATATAGTGTCTCTGGCAAATAAAAAATAGTGTTACCTAGCATCAATTATAATCTTAATAGAACTTTTCCTTTAATAAACCCATAGTAAAGGTTCTATTTATCTATCTAAAAGTCTATAAACATTTCATATGTATTTGGCACAATGAACTATTAGAATAATACATATTCAAGGGACCTTGACATATTATAAACTCACCTACCCAGCATGATTGAAAAATGAGATACAATGGTTAGTCAATTGCCAGGTTACTAGAAAGTTATCTATTCCTTCTATAAAACACCAAATCCCAAGAATTGGTATTAAACAATGACCCTAAACCGAATTGGCTCATTTTTGATACTTTGTAATTAATAATCTGTATAGCCTCAGGGTCATCATCATGAAAGAAACTTGTCATTGCCCTAACTATAAAGACTGTAGTGGCATTTAATAAGGGTTCCAGGGTATGGAACGCTTAGAAAAGAGAAGTTACTAGCAGGAACAGATAATTTTCTCCTTTGTTTGTAGGCAATATTTTTAATGCTCAGTTTCTTTTTCCTTTTTTTTTTTTTAGGACTGTCAATAGTCTTGGAGTATTAAATGGTGCACAACTTTTCTCTCTCAATAAGGATGAACTGAGGACAGTCTGCCCTGAAGGGGCGAGAGTCTATAGCCAAATCACTGTACAAAAAGCTGCATTGGAGGTATGACTTGTCAACCTAAGGTGGTGTTTTTCTGCAAATTGAAAGCTCTGGAAACAACTATTTATGTCCATATTGGCCAATTTCCCTTTCTTAACAGAGCTGAATTAAATTTAACTCTGCTTTTGTAAATTTGTCACTGAGATCATCAATGACAGTTTCCAGAAGGTTAATTTGTTATAAATGCTCATATGATGTGAAGCTTGAGCACATACTTTTGGAAACTTGACAAAAAGCATAATGTTCTCATTTTATATGTATTGACTAATTCTATAGGAAATTTAATTTTGACATAACAATGGAAATTAGCTTCTGAGTGAGTAAGAGCCTTAAGAGGCCAGAATCCTTGCCTATTCTTAATATTTTTTTTTTTTTGGAGATTCTAATAACGTATAGGTTATAAGATTGTAAAACCCTGGCTGTGTGTGTTAGGTCTAGTAATACATCTCAATAATCGGGAAAGATACATTAGGTAGAGATCACTGAAAATAGAGAGCCTGGAAAAGTATTTAATCACAATGGTCTGTATGAAAGCAGGAGAGTCATGTTTTCTAGATTGCTTTATACTTAAGCTTCCAATATCCTATTTTAGACTTAAAATGTGCTATATACGGGTAGTAGTTTCCAACTGTTACATCTCACAGCTCTTAATAGTTTCATGAAAATTATACTTGGACTCAAATGAAAGAATGTAGGCTTTGGCATGAAATTGATCCATAATCATCTCTAGCAGGTATATTCTATAAATTCAACAGTTAAATAATTCAGGGTAAAATCACTTCATGCGTATCACCCCGTAGCCATTCTGAATCAAGAGAAACCATATTTCCCTTGGAGGTTTTCCCTACAACATTGATCTTGAAGGCTCCATATTAAAGTTTGATTTGATTGCTTTCCATATGTTGAATATTAATAAGGATTATATATTTTTCTCAAGCAGTTTTATTACCACTATATTTAATTTTGTTGAGAGTATATAATTACTTCTTCAAGGTATGTTAGAAAATGCCATATTCCTAAAATTCTGAATTCCTTCATCCCACACCTGCCTATCATTATTGTCATTTGCTGTCACCACCCACTTCAGGATGGTCTCTTGCTTCTTGTTCTCTTCCTATTCTCTGCATGGGAACTGAGGCAGAGGCTGACTACCTGAGGTTCTTCATGTTCCTCAGCCACCTTCTACCACCTCACCCTTTCCTTGGATCTAGTTAATCTTTTAGATTATTTGCCTGTGTTGCCAGAGACTTCTGTTGATGGGAAAGGAGAAAAGCCAGCATGGTCGGAGGGTCAGAACTATATGGAGGGGAAACTGGGTGAATTCTGAGCCCACTCTGGCCTGAGTTAAAATCTTCTAAAGGCAGATCAGTATCTTGTTTGAGCCCAAAAGAGTCCTTTGATAATTTACCATGTTATTATGCTTATTGTACACATTTCCTCTTTCTCTCAGCAAACCTAGAGTACTATACATACATTATTGATTTATCTTTATCATGTTCAAATGAAAGGCCTGGTGAGTGAATTGCCTTAACAGACTTTACAAAATGAAAAATTATTAATGTGATATATTAGTGAAGTGCAGAAGCTTCACTTAAAAAGTAGAGCTGTTAGCTTTCCTAAAGAGATACTAGAAGAAAACCACAGTAGAATTTTATCCTGAGCCATTTCATGATATGACCTGCAGCCTGCACAAGTCAGTAACTATCTTGTCTGAACTGTTTATCTTTCAGGATAGCAGTGGCAGCTCCGAGTTACAAGAAATTATGAGAAGACGACAGGAAAAAATCAGTGCTGCCGCTAGTGATTCAGGAGTGGAATCTTTTGATGAAGGAAGCAGTCACTAATTTGTTTGTTTGTATTTAAACTCCATTGTTTTTGGCATTATTCCAACATGCTTTGTTTTAAGAAGCCTTGAAGGGAATGTCAGATTCATTTTTCTTGATGTAATTTATCACCATAAAAAAAAACCCATGCAAACCTGAGTGAGCACAGGATTTGCTTCTAGGCCCATTATTTTTATTAAAACTGAAAAAATTTAAACTGAATTTTTTGACCTTGGAAAATATTTTTCTTACTTTACCAAGGTGAAGTTTCCTTAATTAGACTAATTATTTTATCCCCATCCCAGGGTATAAACAGGAATTGTTTTGATAGTGGTGGAGTTATTCACTGCAACAAAGCAACAATGTTGTCCATGATTCAAAATCTAAGCAGTTTCGATTTTGCCTGTGAATATGGTGTCTGTCATTCAGGGCATAGCTCACTGTAGGCTAGCCTCTGCTTACTTAAGTCTCTTCTCTGACATACTCAATGGAAGAATATTTAGATTTATTTAAAGTTCTTAATGCCAACAGTTTAAAAAAAAATTAAAACATTTGAATGAACTGTAAAGTACAGCCATACCTTGGACATGCAAATATAAATCTATGGAGCATTCTCAAGAGAGTTTGTCATGGCTCTGTTGATTGCAACTCCTTGTATAGCTTGTATTTTGATTTAGTTTATATTCTGCTTATTATGTATACTGTGTTCTTATATATGAGAAAGCACAAATGCGAAAGAGGTCATGTCTTCTCAAAATCTAGCAAAGGAAGTAGTCTGCATTGGTGTGCATTACAGTATTTTGCTTAATGAAAGCCTCAGTTCTGAATGTTGATATGAGTAGTTAAAAGGAAGTGGGGCCATTTTATGTGTTTATCTGTGTCAAGTATTTCTGGTAATAAGAAGCACTTAATTTACACATATTTTAATCCTGTGAAAGATTCCACATAGAGAAAAGAAAGATACCTAACCTTCAACAAATGTTATTTTTGGAAACACAATTTTTGTCATTAAATGTTATATTATTTCACATATATAAAACAGATGTTATGTAAGAATGTTGTATATTTTAACATAAATCATTTAGAGAAATTATCTAGATTCATTAATTTTCATAGTGCCTTTTTCACATGAGTCAGCTGGAAAGTCTGCAATAAACAGTATTTGCTGTCTGTTAATAAATGGTTTCTGTCTCATTAGCAAAAAGGATCTGTGCTAGATCGGCTGAGGATTCGAGTTGAATGCAATGGGAAAAAGTAGAGATCCACATTTTAAAAAAACTATATATTATTCTATTTCTGAGTGGGTAGAGAAACTCTAGAATACTTTTTTCGGTTGTTTTTCTTCTTTTCGCCTCTTGTTTCATCATCTTTTCCTTCTACCATCTAGTCATATTTGGTAATGGTAATGGAACTAATTTACACTGCGCTTACGATTGCTAAATGCTTCCATATAAATGCTTTCCTGGATATTTACAACAACTCTATATGAATTATTACAGATGAGGAGATTTAGCTTCCTAGAAGCTAATTTTCCCCAGATCCTGAAGGATGTGGGAGTTTCTCATCTTCTATCTCTCGGTCTCTCTATAACACTGCCCTTTGGATAAAGTGGAACAAACATGAGCATGATAAAGGTGAATTAGTTTAGATCTTTTACATTTCATAAGGACTGATACATATGTATAATTTAGCCTTTATTGAAAGGGATAAGATGAAAGAAAATAAGATCCAAAAGTTAAGATAACCTGCGTGTAAAATAGCAGACGGATATGAAAAGAATTGGTGTAATTTACATCTTTATGCTATAAGATGCCAAAGGAATGTATCACAGAGGTAGTAATTGCAGAAAGCAGTCACATCAGCTAAGGATGTGGGGACAAAGAGAAGAGGTTCCTGGAATTTAGAATCTTGAGGGAGCAGCACCACAGAATTTGGATCCAGACATCTGAGGGGTTTGGTCACTGGTATCTGAGGATTTGAGGAAAGACCCCACAAAGCTAACAGGGGGACACAGCCTAATCAGTGTTTTTGCCTCAGGTATTCAGAAAAGATTTCAGGAATTGAACAACAGGTCAGAAAATCCATGGCTCTGGGACTTAGACTTTGGAGAAGAGCATGGCAGGTAGCTGGTGCTTGAATCTCTAAGAGGGCACAATGAGGATGCCTCTGGGAGCCTAGGGAATAGAAAACTGGTAAATTGAGCCAACTACTGCTGCTGGGAATCATTTGCTACTTACTGAGTGAAGAACCACTACTGGGGTTGTGTTGGTAGCAACAGAAAGTAAAACAGGAGGGAGAAGCCCCTTGTTCCCTCTCTAGCCTTCTATCTCCCTGTAGCACATGCTTTCGGCACAGTCTATTGAGCATGCACCTGACAAAGCCCCAAATCTCAAAGATGAGAATTAAGGGATGGATTTGAAACTGAGAGAATAACTCATAACCCATTCCAATCTCTAGTACTTAGCCTCTACACTTGCTCTTCTGTACATATCTGAAATTTCATACAACAATAATTTTTTAAATGTGGGCCAGGAGCAGTGGCTCATGCCTATAATCCCAGTACTTTGGGAGGCCAAGATGGGAGAATTGCTTGAGCCCAGGAGTTCAAGACCAGCCTGGGCAACAAAGTGACACCTCATCTCTACAAAAAAAAGTAGCCAGGTGTGGTGGCATTCACACACAGTCTGTGTTACTTTGGAGTCCAAGGTGAAAGTGTCGCTTGAGCCAGGAGTTCAAGGTTGCAGTGAGCCATGAGTGCACCACTGAACACCAGCCTGGGTGATGGAGTGAGATCCTATCTCTAAAAAAATTGATTAAAAAAATTTAAAAGATAGAAAAAGCTTATGATTTTACCTAACAAGGTGCAATCATCTTTCTCTGTTATTTTAGTAGTATTTAATGTAGAGTACTTAATGTAAAGAATTGTTAAACAGGCAAAAAGAGAACACTTAAGACATCACAGAGGTGGTTATAATAGGAAGCAGCTCCTATCTAGGGCTACAGAGCAAAGGGAAGGGATTAGGTTTATCAGCATTTAGAAGCTTGGAAGGAGAGTCCTAGAAAGCTTGGACTGGGACCCATGAAGAGGAGGCACGGTCTAGTGTTGGTCCTGGTGCTTCAGTAGCACAGAGGAGAGCGCCCTGTAGAGCTGGGACAGAGACCTCTGAGGAGGAGATTCTGGCCATTTGATGCCGGCACCTCTGAGAGAGTGCAGTGATGTTGGTCCCAAAAATGTTAGGGCAAAAACTAAAACAGAATCACCTGCTGCTACTGGACTCAACTGGTGATGCCAGAGTAAAGATCTATTTTGCTGGCTTACAGCCAATTGGTTTTTGTGTGCCTTTGTGTGGTTTTCTTGTTTCTTGTTCTTCGTGTTGAGCTTCTTGGAACTGTGGAATTATAGCTTTTATTAAATTTGTAAAACTTTTAGCCATTATTGCTTTAATGTTTTTTCTGTCCCTCCTACTTTCTCTTTTTGAGAGATTCCGATATATGTGTATTAGGCCATTTGAAGTCTTTCCAAGGTCATTGAGGCTCTGTTAATTTTTTAACAAGTTTTTGTTTCGTCTGTTTTATTTGGGTAGTTCCTATTGCTGTCTTCAAGTTCATAACCTTTTATTCTTCTATTTCTAATCTGCTTTTAATTGCTTCCATTATATTTTCATCTCAGACGTTATAGTTTTCTAAAAGTCTGACTTGGGTGTTTTGTTTTCTTAAAATATCTTCTATATCTCTGCTTAATTCACTCAATATTTTTCAGCTTTCCCAATTATAGGGAATACAGTTAGAGTATCAGTTTTAAAATAGGATTCTGTGAAGATGGCAGAGTAAGAAGTACCAGAAATCTGTCTGCCCACTTAGACAATAATTACACTGGCAGAATCTATTTGATGTAACTCCTTTGAAACTCTGGAATCCATTGATGACTTGCAACTTTCAGGGAAAGGCTTGGTTGGTAATTTGCAGTTAATTTTGGTAAATAACAAAAATTAATAATAAAAAATAAAATTAAGAAAAAAGAATTTTAAAAAGTGAAC
Source organism: Homo sapiens (assembly GCF_000001405.40). Lineage (NCBI taxonomy): Eukaryota > Metazoa > Chordata > Mammalia > Primates > Hominidae > Homo > Homo sapiens. Next base: position 15,617,300 of record NC_000012.12, on the reverse strand, counting down.
AGGCTGGGTGTGGTGGCTCACCCTTGTAATCTTAGCACTTTGGGAGGCCGAGGCAGGTAGATCACTTGAGCCCATGAGTTAGAGACCAGCCTGGCTAACATGGTAAAACTCCATCTCTACCAAAAAAAAAAAAAAAAAAAAAAATTAGCCATGTGTGGTAGCACGTGCTTGTAATCCCAGCTACTCAGGAGGCTGAGACAGGAGGGTAGCTTGAACCAGGGAGGTCGAGGATGCAGTGAGCCATGGTTGTGTCACTGCACGTCAGCCTGGGCTACAGGGAAAGAACCTATCTCAAAAATGAATAAATTAAAAAACTTAATAAAAATGAACAAAGCCTCCATAAAATATGGGATTATGTGAAGAAACCAAATCTATGATGTGGGGGTTAGGTCAGGATGGTGGGGAAAATTATAAGCCAGAAACCTTCTTGGAAGGCCTGGGGGGTTTGCGTAAGCTCCAGTAATAAACTTGGCTGAAGGCAGCCTTGTCCCCTTAGTTAAATAAATTAGAGTAGAAACAAAGGAATGTGGGGAGTTTACTTAACTAGCTTGTTTACTCATGTGGTCCTAAGACTAACCTTTGATCTACTGTGGGTGCTTAATTGTTTTCTACTCGGGAAGTCCACAATGTCGATTACCGTCTAGTGGTGTTGACTCAAGCCTTTGTCAATTAATCTTTACTGAATAAATGCGAGTCTTGCTGGCTGGTCAGGGCTGCGGCTGCAACTAAGTGGCCTGGACGCTCAGTTGAACTGGCAAAGCAGAATATCTGTGTGTCAGTGTACTTCATTCATCTGTCGTTGGCTCAGAGTCTGCGGGACAGACCCCCACACTATGACTCATTGACATTCCTAAGAGAGAAGGAATAGAGAATAAGCACCTCGGAAAATATATTTGAGGGTATGGTCCATGAAAATTTCCCCAATCTTGCTAGAGAAGTTGACATACAAATTCAAGAAATTTGGAGAACACCTGCTAGATACTAACAAGAGAACCATCCCCAAGACACATAGTCATCAGACTTCAAGGTCAACATGAAAGAAAAAATTATTAAAGGCTGTTAAAGAAAAGGGTCAAATCACTCACAAAGGAAACTCCATCAGGCTAACAGCAGGCTTCTCAATATAAACCTTCCAAGCTAGGAGAGATTGGAGGCCTATTTTCAGGATCCTTAAAGAAAAGAAATTCCAACAAAGAACTTAATATTCCACCAAACTAAGCTTCATAAGCAAAGAAGAAATAAAATCTTTTCCAGACAAGCAAATGCTAAGGGAATTTATTACCCCTAAAACAGTCTTACAAGATATCCTTTAGGCCTGGGGAGTTCTAAACATGGAAATGAAAAAGCAGTATCTGCTGCCACAAAAACACACCTAAATACATAGCTCACAGGTATTATAAAGCAACTACACAATAGAGACTACAAAGTAACCAGCTAATAACATGACAGGGTCAAACTCTCACCTATAAATATTAAACTTGAATGTAAATGGTGTAAATGCCCTGCTTAAAAGGCACAGTGTGGCAAGTTGAATTAAAAAAAAAAAAAAAAGACCCAACCGTCTTCTGTTTTCAAGAGACTTCTTCAGAATGAGCAGAAGTTGCTATTCCTAGATCAGAGGCAGCAGACATTAAGCAAACATCATTAAACAGGACAAAGAAAGTCATTATATAATAATAAAGGGTTCATTCAACAAGACTTAACTATTCTAAATATATACACCGCCAACATTGGAGAACCCCGGCTCATGAAACAAGTACCTTTAAATGTATGTGTAGACAGCCACACAATAATAGTAGGAGACTTCAACACCCCACTGACAGCATTAGACAGGCCATCAAGGCAGAAAAGTAACAAAGAAATTCCAGCTGAAATTCAACACTTGATCAATTAGACCTAATAGTCATCTAGAGAACACTCTACCCATTAACCACAGAGTATACATTCTTCTCATCAGCACGTGGAACATACTCTACGGTTGATCACTTTCTCAGCCATAAAGCAAGTTTCAATAAATTTTTAAAAAGTTAAGATCATACCAACCATACTCTTGGGCTGCAATGGACTAAAAATAGAAATCAATACCAAAATCTCCAAAAACCTCACAATTACATGGAAATTATATAACTTGCTCCTGAATTACAACAAAGTAATTCAGGATTACTTTGCTGTTTTAGGTAGTATGGCCATTTTCACAATATTGATTCTTCGAATCTATGAGCATGGAATGTTTTTCCATTTGTATCATCTATGATTTCTTTCACCAATGTTTTGCAGTTCTCCTTGTAGAGATCTTTTACCTCCTCAGTTAACTGAATTTCTTGTTATTTTTATGTGTATGTGGCTCAGCTTGAATGTTATTGGTGTATAGAAATGCTACTGAGTTTTATACATTGATTTCATATCCTAAAACTTTACTGAAGCCTTTCAGTTTTAGGAGGATTTTGGCAAAGTCGTTAGGGTTTTTCTGAGGGATAGAACCTTATCAAGAGTGGTTCTATTGATAAATAACAAAGTTAATCCAGAAATTTAAAAAAATTGAAATGAAAACAGAGAACACACCAAAATTTCTGGGAGGCAGCAAAAGCAGTGTTATTACAAGGAAAGTTTATAGTGCCAAACACCTATCTCAAAAAGTTAGAAAGTTCTCAAATTAATGATATAACATCACATCTAAAGGAACTAGAAAAACATGAACAAAATAAAGCAAGCAGAAGAAAAGAAGTAACTAAAGTCCAAGCAGAACTAAATGAAATTGAGACCCAAAAATCCATACAAAGGATCAATGAAACTGAAAGTTGGCTTTTTGAAAAGATAAACAAGATTGATAGACCACTAGCTAGATCAACAAAGAAAAACAACGATCCAAATAAGCACAATCAGAAATGACAAAGGTGACATTACAGTCGATCCCACAGAAATACAAAAAATCCTCAGACTGTTATGAAAAACTCTACACACACAAACTAGAAAATCTAGAGTAAATGGGTAAATTCCAGGAAACACACAACCTCTCAAGATTGCATCAGGAAGAAATTGAAAACCTCAGCAGACCAGTAATGAGTTCCAAAATTGAATCAGTAATAAAAAATCTACCAACTAAAAAAAGCCCTGGACCAGAGGAATTCCCAGCCGAATTTTACCAGACATACAAATGAGCTGGTATGAATCCTACTGAAACTATTCCAAAAAATTAAGGAGGAGTGACTCCTCCCTAACTCATTCTATGAAGCCAGCATCATCCTGATGCCAAAATCTGGCAAAGCCTCAACAAAATATGAAAACTAAAGGCCAATATTCCCTATGAATATAGATACATAAATCCTTAACAAAATTCTAGCAAACTGAATCCATCAGCACATGAGAAAGTTAATTCATCACAATCAAGGAGGCTTTCTTCTTAGGATGCAAGGTTGGCTCAACATACATACGCAAATCAATAAATGTGATTCATCACATAAACAGAATTAAAAACAAAAACTATGTGATCATCTCAATAGGCATGGAAAATGATTTTTATAAAATCTAACATCTCTTCATGATAAAAAACATGAAGCCTCTTCATGATGCCTCAACAAACCAGGCATCAAAGGAATATACCTCAAAATAATAAAAGCCATCTATGACAAACCCATAGTTAACATCATACTAAGCCAGCAAAAACTGAAAGCATACCCCTTGAGAATTCGAACAAGACAAGGATACCCAGTTTCTCTACTCCTATTCAACATAGTACTGGAAGTACTTGCCAGAGCAATCAGGCAAGAGAAAGAAATAAAATGAATCCAAATAGAAAAAAAAAGTCAATCTATCCCTCTTCACTCTTGATATGGTTCTATCCCTAAGAAAAACCCTAACTACTTCGCCAAAATCCTCCTAAAACTGAAAGGCTTCAAAAGTAAAGTTTTAGGATACGAAATCAATGTACAAAACTCAGTAGCATTTCTATACACCAATAACATTCAAGCTGAGCCACACACACATAAAAATACCTAGAAATTCAGCTAATCAAGGAGGTAAAAGATCTCTACAAGGAGAACTGCAAAACATTGGTGAAGGAAATCACAGATGACACAAACAAATTGAAAAACATTCCATGCTCATAGATTGGAAGAATCGATATTGTGGAAATGGCCATACTACCTTAAACAATCTATAAAGTCAATTCTATTCCTATCAAACTACCATTGTTATTTTTCACAGAATTAGAAAAAAACTATTCTAAAATTCATATGGAACCAAAAAGGAACCTGAACACCAAAAACAATCCTAAGTAAAAAGGATTATATTATCTGACTTCAAACTATACTTCAAGCCTACAGTAATCAAAACAGTATGATACTGGTACAAAAGCAAACACATAGACCAATGGAGAAGAATAGAGAACCCAGAAATAAAGTTGCATACCTATAATTATCTTATCTTTGACAAAGTTGACAAAAATAAACAGTGGGAAAAGGACTCTGTATTCAATAAATGGTGCTGGGATAACTGGCTAGCCATATGCAGAAGAATGAAACTAGACCCCTACCTATTACCACATACAAAAATTAACTCAACATGGATTAAAGGCTTAAAGATAAAGCCTCAAACTATAAAAATCCTAGAAAACCTAGGAAATACCTTTCTTGACACTGGTCTTGGCAAAGAATTTATTGCTATTGCAACAGAAACAACAAAATAGACAAGTAAGACCTAATTAAACCAAAGAGCTTCTGCACAGCAAAAGAAACTATCAACAGAGTAGACAGACAACCTACAGAATGAGGGAAAATATTTGCAAATTATGCATCCGACGAAGGTCTAATATCCAGAATTTATAGGGAACTTAAGCAAATCAACAAGCCAAAAACAAATAAGCCCTTTCAAAAGTAGGCAAAGGGCCAGGCGTGGTGGCTCATGCCTGTAATCCCAGCACTTTGGGAGGCCGAGGCGGGTGGATCACCTGAGGTCAGGAGTTTGAGACTAGCATGATCAACATGATGAAACCCTGTCTCTACTAAAAATACAAAATTAGCCTGGCGTAGTGATGCACGCCTATAATCCCAGCTACTCAGGAGGATGAGGCAGGAGAATCTCTTGAACCCAGGAAGTGGAGGTTGCCGTGAGTCAAGATCATGCCATTGCACTCCAGCCTGGGCAACAAGAGCGAAACTCCAACTCAGAAAAAAAAAAAAAAAAAAAAAAAAAAAAAAAGTAGGCAAAGGACATGAACAGACACTTCTCAAAAGAAGACATGTAAGCAGCCTGGAAACATACGAAAAAATGCTCATAATTACTAATCATCAGAGAAATGCAAATCAAAATCACAATGAGAGAACATCTCACAGTCAGAATGGCTATTATTAAAAAGTCAAAAAACAGATGGTGAAGCTACAGAGAAAAGGGAACACATATACATTGTTGGTGGGAATGTAAATTAGTTCAGCCACTGTGGAAAGCAGTTTGGAGATTTCTCAAAAAAACAGAACTATTATTTGATCTAGCAATTCCATTACTGGGTATACATCCAAAAGAAAACAAATCGGCTGGGCACAGTGGCTCATGCCTATAATCCCAGCACTTTGGGAGGCCTGAGGTTGGGCATTCGAGACCAGCCTGACCAAAATGAAGAAACCCCATCTCTACTAAAAATACAAAATTAGCTGGGCATGGTGGTGCATGCCTGTAATCCCAGCTACTCAGGAGGCTGAGAATCGCTTGAACCCAGGAGGCAGAGTTTGTGGTGAGCCGAGATCGTGCCATTGCATTCCAGCCTGGGCAATAAGAGCAGAAAACAAATCATTCTACCAAAAAGACATACACCTTCATGTCCATATAGCACTATTCACTACAGCAAAGACATGGAATCAACTTCAGTGCCCACCAACAATAGATTGCATAAAGAAATTGTGGAAAATATACACCATGGAATACTACCCAGCCATAAAAAGACTGAAATCATGTTCTTTGCAGCAGAATGGATGGCACTGGAGGCCATTATCCTAAGTGAATTAATGCAGAAATGGAAAAACAAATACTACATGTTCTCACTTATAAGTTGGAGCTAAACACTGGGTACTCATGGACATAAAGATGGGAAGAGTAGACACTGGGGACTCCAAAAGGGGGGAGGGACAGAGGTCGAGGCAAGGGTGAAAAAGCTACTTATGGGGTACTTTGTTACCTATGGGGTACTATCTGGGTGATGGGTGTGTTCACACCCCAAACCTCAACATCACGTGATATACCTTTGTAACAAATCTGTACATGTACCCCCAAATCTAAAATAAAAGTTGAAAAACAAAAGACAGACATGTAGACCAATGAAATAGAATAGAGTCCAGAAATAAACCGTTGCCTGTATGGTCAAATGAGTTTTCACAGGGGTGCCAAGACCAGTCAATAGGGGAGAAAACAGTCTTTTCAACAAACAGTGCTGGAAATACTAGGTATTCACATACAAAAGAATGAAGTTGGGGCCTTTAACTTGAATGGATCCGTGACCTAAATGTGAGACCTAAAACTATGAAACTCTTAGAAGAAAACATAGGGCAAAAGCTTTACAACATTGAATTTGGCAATTGTTTCTTGGATATTATACCAAAAACAGAGAAAGTATAAGGAAAAAATAGAAAACTGGAGTTCATTAATTTTTTTTTTTAGTTGTGCATGAAAATACACTATCAACAGAGCAAAAATGGCGGCCCACGTATTTGGAGAAAATGTTTCCAAGTTGTATGTCTGTTAAGGGACTAATATCCACAGTTACTGTTTAATGGGTATAGAGTTTCCATTTAACAAGATGAAAAGTGTTTTGGAGAAGAACAGCAGTGATATGATTGCATAGCATTATGAATGTATTTAATACCACTGAATCATACACATAAACATGTTAAAGATGGTGAATTTTGTGTATATTTTACCATAATAGAAAATTGAAAAAAAAATCTGTCTTAATATCCTTGTTTATTCTATCATCTTTGTAGCTTCTAGCTTGATTTTAATTGATTTTGTTGCCTTCACTAGAGGTCTCATTTCTCTGTATGGCATATAATTTTTAATTTGATGTCAGACATTGGGAATTTTATCTTATATGTTGCATACTTTTATTTTTATAAAATATTATTGAGCTTTGTTTTGGGATACTATTAAGTTACTTGGAAATAGTTTGATCCTTTCTGATCTTGCTTTTAAGCTTTGTCAGGTTAAACCAAAGCAGTATTTATACAAGGGCTAATTTTATCCCACCATTAAGCAAATCCCTTCTGAATATTCCACCTATTGTTCCACGAATTATAATGTCTTTCACTTTGGCTGGTGGGAATGAGAACTATTTCTGATCCTGTGTCAGCTCTGGAAATTGTTCCTTCCAATTCTTTCAGGTGGTTCTTTTCTCAGCCTTGGGCGGTTTTCTCCTATGTATGCCCTTATCAATACTAACTTGAAGAATCTATGGGGACCCTGTGAAGATCTGTGGAGCTCTCTCTTTGTATAGTTCTCTCCTCTCCGCCACTCTGTCCTGTGAACTTTAGTTCCCTTGTCCTTCTCACACTATCAACTTGTCTTCTCAACTGAAGGGATCTGGAGTCCTCATGGTCTCCCTGCACTATAGCTTAGAAACAATCTTTTTGTTTTGTGTGTATTTTTTCTTTTTTTTTTTTAGAGTCAGGGTCTCACTAGTCTTAAACACCTGGCTTCAAGCGATCCTCCTGCCTTGACCTCCCAAAGTGTTAGGATTACAGGCGTGAGCCACTGCACCCAGCCAGAAACAATCTTTAGGCAGAAAGCTGGAACAATTGTAGGATTTCCTCATGCATTTATCTTTCTGTGATGACTGGCATTCATTGCCTAGTGTTCAATATCTTGAAAACCGCCCTTTCATATATTTTGTTTTTTTCAATTGTTTCAGAGTGGAGGGTAAATCTAGTCCATCTGACTCCACCTTGGCCAAAAGTGGGAGCAGTTTCACCTTGCTTTTTAAAGCATATTTTCACTGTATACAAAATTCTAGGTTACCATTTTTAACTCTAGCACTTTAAAAATGCCATTTCATTGATTTTTGGCTTTCATCGTTCCTGATGACATGGCAGCCATCATTCATGCTTTTCCCTTTGGCTTTTTTCAAGGTTCTTTTTGGTATCTTTCATTTTCAACAGCTTGATTATAAAGTTAATGTGGTTTTCTTGGTGGTTTGCCTATTCAGGGTTCATTGAGTTTCTGGATGTATGAATCAATGTTTTCTCATCATTAGAAGGCATTTTCCTCTGATATTTTTTCTCCTCTTTTCTCTTTTTCTCTCCTAAGCCTCCTATTACATACATACATATTAGGCCATTTTATATCATCCCCCAAGATGCCTGAATCTCTGTTAATTTTTAAAATATATATGTTCCCTGTTATTTAGATGCTAAAATTTCTCTCAATATTCAGATTCACTAGCTCTTTTTTTAAATCTGTGATCTTCTCTTTTCTATTAAGCCAATCAAGAAAATTTTTCATTTCAAGTATTGTGTAAGTTCTAGAATTTACATTTAGTTGGTTTATACAGCTTCCATTTCTCTGCTGAGACTATTTGTTTACTCATAAAATAATATATTTTCCCTTAATTCTTTGAACACACTTTCTTTTATTTCCACAATGCACAAAGGCTACTTTGCAATCTTCATCTGCTAAGCTTAACATTTGATCCTTCTCATGCTCAGTTTCTGCTTATTGCTTTCCCCACTAACATTGGTCCTATTGTCCTGTTTCTTCGTGTGTGTCCTAATTTTTTATTATATATTTAACATTGCAGATGGTATGTTTCAGATATTCTAGAATATGTTATCTTTCCTTGAGGAATGTTTATTTTTGTTCTAGCAGGGAGTTCAATACCAGCTGATCACTTTAGAATTGTATAGGCTTGGTTTTATGCTCTGTTAGAATGAATTATAGAAAGCAAAATGTTTTTTGCGAGAGCCTCTAACTTAATGGGACTCGATCTAAAAACTCTCCTTTGCAAATCTTGTCAGGGCATGGTTCTAGGCTTTGTTTGTACCTGAGAAGAGCAGCTTTTACTCTAGGCTCCTTAGTTCTAAGTTCCTTTTTGCATTTTGGATGAATACCCGGGATATTTTTAATCTTAGCTGAATTTACATCCCAGGTTGTTAAAAGGTGCCGAACAAATCTCACTTTTGCTGAGCTGGACTGCCAATGTCCCTTGCACAGCTACCCTGGTAGCTCTAGTCCACTCTCAGCCTTGTAGCAATCACTGTTTGGTAGGCCTCGGGTGATGTTGCCTATGCCAAGGATGGGGGGTGGATCTACTTACAGATTTCTGTGGCCACTCTGCACAAATCCGTCCACCCTTGTGCCCCTTTTTAGAAATTTCAGGCACTTCAGGTGAACTGAATTCTGGTCTTTGCCTCTTCAGTTCAGTGGGACTATCTTGTTCTGCTTGAATTATAGCTTGCTGCTCTGAGGTTGCAGAATTGTCCCCAGGCGGAGAGCCGACAAGTTTTCCTTATCCCAGATATGATAGTCTCGTACTGCTTGTAAAAGGGGACCAATAGATTTTATCTCTTTCCCTCTCCTTAATAGGCACTGGGTCATGGGAAGCTAATGTGAGAGGTACTCTAATCACTTAAAACTCTTCACACTTTTCTCTAAGAAAATTTATAGGAAATATGGGATTCACTTGTTTTCTAAAATTAACTTTATAGAGGCTGCACTAGGGCTTGGGTGGAGATCTCACCAGGTCTGAGTCTTCTCACTTTCTTCTCAATGCTTGCATAAGGAAGGTGGAACAACATTAGAAAATTGTAGAGAGCCCATAAAGGAGTTTATATGAAGACTGGTTGTTTCTAAGTAGGAGACAATGTTCATTTAATAAACATTTAGCACATGTTTTCTTTTAGAATTGGATATTCAAGGGAAAACCTGGACAGGGTCTCTGCCTTCAAGGAACGCACACAATCTAAAGAACCGTTGCAGTTTGCCTTATTTATCCCGGAATCTAGTTTTACTGATTTCTTAGGACAAGATTACATCCTAAAACTAGCAGTGCTGACTTCCCAGACACTGTAATTTTACGCTGTGACACTTAGTTTTTCCCAAAGGGCATGGCCTTAACTTAGTAACTAGCATGAAAGATGTTCAGAGGGTTGTACAAAGGGCCCTTAGGAATGGATTGGGCAAGGAAGGCATTTTATCTTCTGTAATACCACCTTTCTCTTGCATACTTATTAAAAAAACTAAAATAAAACATAAAATACTTATAAAGCCATGGTTGCTGCAAGTGACTTCCAGAGAAAGGGTGCATTCTCAGCAGTTCTGGGTTCTATATGGGAATTTCAGTTTGTATGACGTGTTTCTTTTTCCCCACGCATTCTCTCTCCATCATCTTTGTTCCCCAATCCCTTCTTTTCTCCTCCATTTTTAAGACCTACTCCCACATCATCTCACAGCCCCTTTACTTGCCTCTTTGTTCCTTTCTATCCTCAGTTGAGGACAGGAAAAGAAGCCAGTGTTCTGAGAGCAGTTTTTCGGGAAATGCTCAGTTGTTTTTTGTTTTTGTTTTTATTTTGAGTGGGGGGCGCACTTGGCAGAACTATCTTCTAATACCCAAATGTTCAGATTTATCTCATCACGTTTGTGAAAGAAAGGTTAAAAAATGAAAAGTTAGTATAATTCTGATAAGATAGCATTACTAAGAACTACACAATTAAACGTGAAGGTGAATTGGAGGAAGATGTGGCTATTACGTGCTCTGAGAGAACTAAGGTCCCGGATGTGGATTTCTGTATGAACTGGTTATCTTAACAGTTGAAATGCCTTCGAAAGAGCTTTGGGCACATCACCTTGAGCTTGGTGCTGGAAGGAGGTGTGCGATGAGCCAGGACTGCTGAGGGGCCCAGATGGTCCTGGTCCAGGCGGCTCTCACGGCTCTTTCCTTCCTGACTGTAGTCCCAGGCAGTTGGCCCAATTCCTGCTCCATTTCTGGGCTGCCTCGGGTGGGAAAGCTCTGCATATGGAGTAGAATATAATTTCCCCATGTTCAATCATTCCTGTTTCCTCCAAAAATGAAATGAAGGCCCTTTCAGCCCATGGAAAAATGGAATAAAGCACACATGCATACACACACACACACACACGCACACGCACACGCACACACAAACTGGCCAGAAATTGAAATCTCTAGATCTTTCACAGTTTGTCCTGTTTCATTGTTTCTTACTCTGAACTGGTACCATATGACAAGGCCTTCTGCCCTCCCATCTATTCTAAGGAAAGGGAAACAGGAACTGAATTCATGTGTGCTGAGCACTTTCACATATATCCCACTTTATAAGAGAGGAAATTGAAACCCAGATAAGTTAGGTAGCTTGTAAAAGATTACAAAGTGGACAACTGAATTTGGACTCAATTTCTTGGACTTCTATATATCATGCAAACTTTTTTTCTCTCATGTATTATATAGGTCAGTGTATACAACAATTTAAGCAGAAAAAGCACTTTTTTAAAAAATGAAATTTTATATAGTATGCCTCCATATAACACAGGTAAAATCAGCACTGAAGATGCAGAGAGGAGTCCGGGAGCTTTATTTGGAAATCTCTGGACCTTGGAACTCCAGGTCCCATGAAGGCCCTTGCGGGTGGACATGAAGGTAGACTGGACAGTGGTTGTTCCAGGCAGCAGTTGAACCAGGAGATATAATTCTCAGTTGCAAAGGTCATTTGCATCTGTGGGGAATTTCAGATGACTGACCACCTCCTCAAAGCGCTATTTTGTTTAGATAGAAAAATTAGCTTTGGACGTTCTCTCATAGGTCCACATTTATGCTTTGGAATCGACATTACATAAAATACCAAGAAATCAGGGCAAAAATTACTGGATCTTAGTCTCAACCCTGCTCGTAATAGCCAGGCCCAAACTAGGAGTAGATATACATTTGCTTCAAGTTAATCTGTGGTGTGGTTTATTCAGTAAACACAACGACAGTGTCCTCTCCAGCTCTTAGGAGGTATGTGGGAAAAGGATTGATTTGTCTTTCACTAGTGAAGGAACCTAGCAGCAGAGCTATTGGAACATAGGCTAAAAGAGGCTAAGACAGGTGCCATGAGCTGTTGCTAGCTCATAAAATATAGCTCTTCTGAGATCACACCACTGCACTCCAGCCTGGGCGACAGAGCGAGACTCTGTCTCATACACACACACAAAATACAGCTCTTTGCAAGGTAAGCAGGTCATGGTGTTAATAGCCTGTAGCAACCTCGTATCTTGCAGTATATAAGTAAGGGCGCACTTTTTATTAGGAAAACAGCACAGGGAAGTTAGTCTATTGCCTCATCTCCAAAACCAATCTTATTATAGGATGGAATTTGGAAGTCTGGGTAATTTGTTTCATTTGCATTGCAGCAAATGGAAAAAAAAAGAATGAGAAAATGACTATTGTTATACCTTGGTGACAGCGCAGTGGATTTACAGAACGCAAATTAAAACAGATATCTGAAATTGCCTGGATGCTTCCAAATTCTTTTATTATTTTTTCCAACTGAGTTTTCCACCCCAATATGTGACATGTATGTGCAAACAAAACTTCTGCCTCTTTTTTTTTTTTTGACGGAGTTTTGCTCTGTCGCCCAGGCTGGAGTGCAGTGGCGTGATCTCGGCTCACTTCAACCTCTGCCTCCTGGGTTCAACCGATTCTCCTGCCTCACCCTCCCGAGTAGTTGGGACTGCAGGCATGCACCACCACGCCCAGCTAATTTTTTTATATATATTTTTAGTAGAGACGCATTTTCACCATACTGGCCAGGCTAGTCTGGTGTTGAACTCCTGACCTCAGGTAATCTGCTGGCCTTGGCCTCCCAAAGTGCTGGGATTACAGGAGTGAGCCACTGCGCCTGGCCAAACCTCTGCCTCTTACGGGAGCTGCTGACTCCAAGTGTGGCAGCACTTCATGGGTTGGGTTGTTACTGCTGCTCTGGGAGCTGACCTTGTGTAGGGGGCATGCTCATGCTAAGGGCGCCCATGTGGGACTGAGAAATCAAAGGGGCACACTCACTCTGTAGATGTCTTGGTACTGAAAGGAGTAGGTGGGTTTGGTGGCCTAAATGCACTAAGAGAGGGAGAGATTTGGAAATTTGAAGAATCATACTGCATTTATGCTATGCTGACTCTGCCAGGTTTTTGGCCGGTGCTTTACACAACCAGTTATAAGTTTTACCACAACTTGAAAACGTAGATATTATTTTTTTATTGTGGGAACACTTAGGCTGAGAAATAGTAGGTGACTTCTCAAGGCCACACTGCTAGTCAGCATAAGAGCACAGAGTTCTGTGACTCTGAAGACTATACTTTCTCAATTATGCCATTCTGTACCCTCAGACCACCAGGCACCATGCCAAGGGCTTTACATTTAATCCTCAGTGCAGCCCTGTGGAGGAGGCTCTTATTATTGCCATTAACAAACAAGGAAACCAGTTCACAGAGGGATTAAGTGGTGCTCACAAGCGGTGTCTGTTCACGCCAAGCATCTCTTCTTAACTTGACCCAGGCGTATGTACATATTAAGGTTTGTACAAATTGGCTGTCTTGTCTTAGAAGCAGTCAGCTCTCTAGATATAGTTTTAGTGCAAGGAATTTGTGCAGATTATCTGTACAGCTGCAGACATCTTCATGGAATGTAAATTAGGTGCTGACATTGCTTTTCTGGGAAACCCGCTAGCATAGATTACATACACTGGACATAAAACACACACATTGGTAATACATTTGCTAGTAAAGAATTGGAAATCCAGGCCTGGGAAATCCAGGACTCTTATCTGGAACACTAGCTTCTGCTTTTGCATCAAATGCCTATGACACAAGGTCATCCACATTGGGTCACAGACTATACCTCTTTTATATTCCAAGGTCTGTGACTGTGAGGGTAGCTGCCAGGGGAGGGGGTTCAGGTGTCACCCTGGAAAAACCCAGTCAGTCTAGGTCAGATACCAGCTTCAGATGCTCTTACCAAGTCTATTGAAGACTATCAGGATGGCCCTTAGAGACTGTGGGAGATTGGCTTGTAACAGGGTGGTATGTAATGTACTAAACTATTCCTGGTATTGTTTTCAGATCCTTACACATGTTATCTTCTGATGCCCTATGCAATGGACTGAATTTGCCCCCAAAATTCATATGTTGAAATCCTAATCCCTAATGTAATGATATTAGAAGGTGGGGCCTTTGGGAAGTAATTATATCATAAAGGTGGAACCTTCATGAATAGGATCAGTGCCCAGATAAAAGGAACCCCAGAGAGCTCTCTTGCCTTGTTTCTGCCATGTAAGCATACAAGAAGGCAGCTGTCTGCTACCCAGAAGAGGGCTCTCACCAGAACCGACCATGCTGGCATCTTGATCTTGGACTTACTGCCTCCAGAACCGTAAGAAATATTTAAAGCCACCTAGTTTATGGTGCTTTGTTACAGCAGCCCTGACTAAGACTCCCTATGTGAAAGCTACCATCAGGATGTCATTTCATAGATTAGATGACTGAGTTATATGTAGTCAGGAGCAGAGACTTAGCTCAAGCCTCTCTTCAACCACAGTCCCTTATTCTAAGCCCCTCTGCTCTGCTGTCCTGCTGGACCCTGTCCTGTGTCACTTCCCAAGTTCATTGGTTAAGGGGCAATATGATCTAATTTGGTTTTGGACATGAAGGAACCTTTCTAAGACCATCCTGTTTTATATTTATAAAGGATGTAGTGGTTACAGTTAACTTTTTCTAGTTTAAACTGCCCTTTGAACTTTTTGGTGCTCTTAGAACTGAACAAAAATATTTCGTGTCAGCTGGCTTTGAACTGTGACCATGGCCCTGGAACGCACCAGGACACGCACAAAATGTAAAGGATTGGGTTGCCCAGCATCACTCCAAACACCAAGCCTCATGGGCTCCTGTATGTGTGAGCTTTTGTTGATGTGAAACCACTTTGGGGTATATTGTTAATAGGAATCCAGGAGTCTGATTCAGAGGCAATGGCCTAGTGTAAGGGTAAGAAGTTCTAGTGGGTGTCCTGAGTCATGGTCTTATGATGGGGTGTGAAAAGCAATGACAACCAAAAGATCAGGAGAGATCTAACCTGGAGGAAAACAACTTATAAAGAAGAATTCATATATTTCTGTTAAAAAGTTTATTTATTAAAGGAACCATTATTGCTTTTGTGGCCTTTCCTGAACCCTTGTTTTGCATTGTGGGTTTACTTTGCTCTGCACTGCTTCATCTTTAACTGTCTTCTGGGAATTTTACTGGGCAGTCACACACCATTGCTCTGAAAACTTCCTATTGTAACTTAGATGGAACATTGTTGTAAAGGTTATCCTTGTGCTGCCATATTAGTTAAGGGCAGGTTGATTGCTGTAACTGACAATGACCAAGTTTCAGTGACAATGCAATAGAAATCTATTTCTTGATCACATAATGGGCCAATGCTACCAGATATCCCTGCCCCAAGTGGTGATTCAGGGACCCAGAGTCCTCCTATCTGTGGCACCACCATCTGTGTTGGGGTAGAGGAGAGGGAGAGAGAGAAAGAGACATACACACATTCACAGTCACACACACACAGAGAGAGAGAGACAAGAAAGAAGAGGGGTGGGGGAGGGTGGAATGGAAGGTTGCTCCTGGGTAATTTTCATGGTCCAGAGGCCAGGAAGCACACATTCCATTGCCCAGAACTCTGCAAAGGGTCTTGAAAAGTAGTCCCAGTATGCTCTGTTAGGTTTGCAGTAAGAGTAAATCCACTAGATTCTGCTGAGTGATACATGAGCTGGAGCTGTTTGTGGACATCTTAAGAGAAATGGTCCCCTTGGAAGGTGCCAAGAAGAATAGGTTCAGAAGGCAGGGTGGGAGGATTAGTCATCCATATGGGCCCCAGTGACTGATGCATACTGGGTGTTTCATGTTTGCTGAATGAGCAATGAATGTTCCTCTTTAGTATTGCTTAATGTGGCCCTATAGTTATTAGTACTTTAATATAGTAGTATAGTGTTTCCTGACCCTTCTAGAAAAAAAAGATCACCTATCCTTCCCTTGGACCTATATTGGATACTTTTTGTGTTTCTATCACGGTGTCTGTTACACTTTGTTGCCCTTATTTTTACTTCTGATTTCCCCTATTAGAATGTAAACTAGAAGCAAGAATCTTGTTGCATCCATCTTCATAGCCATAGCCCCTTCTACGGTGCCTGGCATGAAAGGTTCAATAAATAAATGATTTTCTTAGAAGGTTAGAGATTTACCATTTCTCAAATTGAATGTCTGCCCTCTATATTAAACACATTACCTGGAGATGAATCTATTAATTCCATCCTACTGCACTTTATCCATGCTAAGTATGAACGAGAAACAGCATGAAGTTGTGGGGGAAAAGGTTTAGGGCTGGGCAGAGCTGGCCGGGAATCCTGCTTCTGCCACTTTCTAACCCTGTAGTTGTAATTTAACTACGCTGCCTCTTCACCTTATTGTCTCTCAACTTCGTCACCTGGGAAATGAGTATTCTCACTTCCTAATGATGTTTTGAAGTTGAGGATATGAACATAAAGGGATTAGCACATTAGAAAGAAACCCCCATTGCTCCCTGAGTCAGGTGCCATCTCCTTTGCTGCCAAGTGAGAAGCCAGTCCGGTATTCAAAGCAGCCACAGAACCTGATCTTTTTTTTTTTTTTCCAAGATGGGGAAGTAGATTTGGGCTTCAAGCCTATGCCCATGAGGGGCACAGACTCATACATTCTTAATATTAGTAAGGTCCTTGGATGTGTAAACAAAAGAAAAAATGCTTTGCTACCTTAGAAGCAATTCCTCCCTCTAAAAGTGTTCTGTAGAAAAGAATTAGCCATCCACCAGGAACACGGTGGAGGAGACTCTTGTTATGAGCAGGAGGGCAGGACTAGTTTGGTGACTCTCATCAAGCAAGAGCGATCATGTCAGGCTTTCTAGTGGTTTATGAGTAAAAAAACAATGAACATTTGTTGTTTCTGTTATATAAGCCATTGAGGAAAATATTGAACATCATTAAATATGATGGCTGGTGAGTATGTCCAGAAGATATGTTGACGAAGTTTTGGAAGATATAAATAAAAATGTTGAAAAAGACTTGGCTAAGGCTTTCTTGAACATTCCAACAACAGTATTAAAACTGATTATATAGCCTATTTTTAAAAGCCTTCATATTTGTGCTTACCATAGGGCCTAGCATATTGCAAGTGGTCAAGAAACCTTAGATGGATTGATTGAGTGATTCCTACAATATGATTAGATAAACACACATTTGTTGACTGAGTGATTCAATAAATGACTTCCTTTACTCCAGATTTAATAGCCCCAGTTTTCCCAGGTTTTGTTATCATAACCTGTTATTTCTCCACATTTCCGGTGGTTCTAGTGACAATGTCTGGACAGCCTTCAGTCTGTTCATGACCCTCCTGTAATGCAACTCCCAGAGTTAAACCTTATACTTCATCTTTAATCCAGTGACCCACCAGGAAAAGGCCTTGTGATAATCACCAGATAAAACTAAAAGCAAAAAATCTTACTGTTCTGGAAGGCCAGGGGTCAGAGATGTCACAGCTGAAATTTCCTTCAAATGGTTCCAAATGAGGCTATTAAAAGTCAGGGGTGGAAGTCTGCAGGTTTTGCATGTTATATTTTGTTGCTTTATAACCCCTTTGGCCAAAGTGAATGTTATAATCAGCGATGGGCATGACTCTCAGACTTCATCGCTGTGCCAAGTACCAGACTAGAGATCTGTGAGCTAGGAAGCGAGCCAGCTATTTGAAGCACATTACATCAGACATTTCCTGAGGTGTAAAGGAAGGCCTCCTTGCTAGAAAGCAGGGAGAATTTTGGCTCTTAGAGGTTGGACTCAGTAACTTTAACTCCTTGGCTAAGGGCCAATCCTCTAGCAAGCAGCTATCAAGTAGCCTGCAGAAAATTCAAATCCAAAGCATCTGATCCTGCTTTGCCTGTTGACACCACAGCCTCATTTGAGAGCTGTGTCACCTTTTTGGGAGTAGGAACAGCTTTTAGGAAAGGAGAGACATTATAAAATCTGACATTAAAAAAAAGTAGTAACTTTTCTAGTTTTACATTTTGGA
Source organism: Homo sapiens (assembly GCF_000001405.40). NCBI lineage: Eukaryota > Metazoa > Chordata > Mammalia > Primates > Hominidae > Homo > Homo sapiens. Next base: position 15,599,195 of record NC_000012.12, on the reverse strand, counting down.
GGCAATGTTGTCTTTACAGTGGGAAATTGTAGACCCCGAATTAAAATGCTTTTCCAAAAAATGCTGTCATCCATCACTTTTTTCAAGTTAAACGAAATCATCATATGAAGTAATGGATATACTGCTGTCAACTATTACATTTATTAATTAGATCCTAATGGTAGTTTCTCAATTAACTTCATAAATTATCTTTTGCAGCCAAGGAATTTGATCTCAATAGCCCTCAAGGCCTGGTGTGGTGGCTCACACCTGTAATTCCAGCACTTTGGGAGGCTGAGGTGGGGGGGTCACCTGAGGTCAGGAGTTTGAGACCAGCCAGGCCAACATGGTGAAACCCTGTTTCTACTAAAAATACAAAAAATTCGCTGGGCGTGGTGGCACGCACCTGTAATCCCAGCTACTCAGGAGGCTGAGGCAGGAGAATCGCTTAAACCTGGGAGGTGGAGGTTGCAGTGAGCCAAGGTCACGCCATTGCATCAATACACCCCAGCCTGGGCAACAGAGAGAGGATCTGTCTCAAAAAAAAAAAGAAAAAAAAAATAGCACTCAAAATGAAATGTTTTGTAACGCTCAAGTTTTTAGATCTTTTTGTGTGCCATACAGGCTATTATGAACACATGCACTAAGGCCCCTGTGTTCTTTTAGAACAAAGCATTACTCAAATGAATTTTAAAAACCCTAGTTAATAATACAGAGGCTCTGGAAGCCTCCCTTCTGAATGCTTAAAGTTGGGTCCTGGTGTGGAAACAGAACTGGTTAGAGTAGCCTTACGGAACATACATGAGAGAACAAGACACAAAGCACCTTTGGGTCAATTATCGTATCTGATACTTCTTATACCTGTTGCAAGATATGGAGTTATGATTAGGTCATTCTTCAGTTTATTAACTGAGACCCAGGAGAGATAATTCCAAAGTCATTATCAGGATTAAACAAGTCTTTTGACAGACTGATGCCTTTTCCATCATAAACTCTACAAACTGAAGAGCAACAGTGTTCCAGAGAACAGTGTGACCTTCCTGTAGTTTTGACTCTAAGCCTTCAGTCTAAACTCTGGATACTTCCTCTTTCCTTTTGGGAAAATTGATCTGGCACTATTTGATCCCTACCTTGAAAGGGTGCTCAAGAAAAACATAAAATATTTATGAAGTGCTTTGTTTCATGGGAAGCAATGTTCCAGGATGCAAAACTTCTGTATGCTCTGAGCAGCAGTGTTGGAAACGTACTTCAGCTTACCATACATTGTATCAGCTCTTCCAAGGTTGCACATTTCACTCCTGACTGCCCATGTGTGAAAATCTAAGAATGTCACACATCCCTTTGCCACCTTTCATTAACCATGTTTGTTCCTGAGAATGGTGCGACACATTATTAAAATGTCCAAAAAGGGAAATAAAGGAGTCGGGGGTGAGAAGAAGAGGAGGAGGTGGTAGCAGGGAGGTGAGTAGGAACTGACAACCCCTGAGGAGCCCAAGCTGTTAACCTGCAGGGTATGGGCATCCTCTGCCATTCACCCTGCAAGGTGAAACTGAGACTCACTGGCCAGATCTTGCAAGAAACTCTGCCAAGGTCTGCCATGGCCAAGCCTTTTCAGTGACAAGAGACGGTGGGGTGCAGAGCTGTTCATTTGGCATCCTTCACCAACACTAAGGTCACTGATAAAATATTAAGCTGATCTTATATCTGTGGCTTCATGAAGATGATCAGGGATGGAGGGAAGCCAGGGAAGGGGCAGTGTCGGGTGCATGAAGAGGAGCAAAGCCTCCTGGAAGCACACACACGGAGGCTCACAATAGCCACAGTTGCCACAGGGAAGCAGCCAGCTTGTGTTTACTTTCAACTCAAAGTGTTTTCTGTTGTATATCCATGTCATCACCTCTTATTTATCAGGAAGTGACACAAAGTAACAGGCTTCACAATGCCATCAATGTCATTTTGACAGCATTCATGTCACAATACACAATCATGTACTGTAATTATACAAAATCCAAAGAATAAAATGTTACTAGTTACACTCGTTAAAATGAAACTGACAACCAAAAGAATAACAAAACAAAAAGAAATCTCTGTCAGAATCCATAGAGACATTTGACAATATTACAAAAAAAAGTAGTCAAATAATTGTCCCAGCATGCTGCAGTTCATTGCCATAACTTCATAAATTCCCAGCTCTTTGGGGGAAAGAAAGTGCGTTTTCACAGCCTATATAGTTCTTAAAGAAATAGCTCTCACATGTATGCAGGTCAACAGAACAAGGAATGCAAAGTCTAGGCACCACGATTGCTCAGACAGCAACAGAGTTCAAAGAGTCCAACTTGACACTCTTCTGAACCAGATGTGGTTTCTTGAGAAAGAACTTGGACAGTAACATTAGTCCAAAAGGGCCAAGGAAGAAACACCAACTGTTAATAAGGAAGAAAACCATCAAGAACTAGAACAGTTAAGACAATTTTTTTTCTACTCTACTTTGAAGCTGAATTATAGCTTGAATAGTAAAAGATTACACAGTTGATCTGTGGGTAGAACCCCTCTCTTCCCTGACCAACCTCCCCAATCCAGATCCGGTAATGTTGGAGTACAGATAGTGCTGGCTCAATTTCTTTGAAGTAGAATGACCATTTCTTCATGTGTGGCCATGCCTCCTTTTAATAATGAGGTATAATCTGATGCTAACAATGCCTGTTCCTTCCTGGGTTATGGGGCTGATGAACGGTGTAGGCAGAAAACAATTCAACTTTCTGATAAGAATCACACACACACAAAAATTATTGCACTGAAAAACAAACACTTAAAAATAAAAAACTCAGCCCAACCAGCAAAGGGCCAACTAAACTCTTCGGAAGTGCTGTACTTCCTGCCCTTTGGAGAGCGTCTTGACCTTCCTGGTGTTCTGTTGAATTTGGTCCATTATTAAATGTCCCGAAGTGAAAGAGTCCAAAAGGACACTGTAGGCTCTTTAAGGCTAAGTCTTCCCGGTGCTTCTGTGAGATAAATTATCTCCTTGGCCACATATTACAAAGCAGGGCCTCTGTTTAGAAAAATGACCATCAGGGCCCACTAAAACAATCTGGAAGCAAGGGAGGATGGGCGCACATCATGTCCTCTCCTGTGAATGAGACAAAGAAAGACAGTAAGCAGCCTGGTGTCACAGCAATCTTCTATTGCTCCACCACTGCTCTCACTATGCTCAGTCTCACAACCCATGCAGATGTGGGTTGATCTGTGCATCTTTCTCTGTGTGCTGCCTCCTTTCTGTGGGTCTGAATGTCTTTCCCTCTCCCAGCAAATTTGTTTCTCTCTGTCTTTCTTTATTTTTTATCCTTCCTGCTCCATTGTGCGCTCTGTCTCTCTTGATGGATGTAGAGGTGCAGTGCTAATCCTATCCTTCCCACTGGTCCATATGCTTCCCAGACTTTCATGATTCTCCCATCATGCACCACTGTCATCTCCCTACCCTGTCATTGGCTCCTCTTCCCCCAGTATAGTCAGACACTCTACAGTCTGTTTACTGAACTAAATGGGCAGATTACTGTTACCTCAGCCAAGTTTACTTACACCTCCAAAATCTGATCTCGTAGTCAAAACTGGAGTACAGGACGTTGAATATGTTACAAGTGTCTTCATGAAGCTCTCAAGTAAGGGCTCACATAATGGGGGAGACCAAGGTATTTTCAGACTCTGCTATCCTGAGACTCTATTGTCACTGTTGTTTTTGGTTTTAGGAGTGTCCAATCCAGCTCATGTCTTTTTGTAACCCCGTATACAGCCCTTGTAATCAATAAAATATTTGCACAAGATATCTAGATAGATTTGGATGGTAGTATCCTGATATTACAGGCACAGATCCAATAACAGAATAATTTAGGGTTCTGGGTAGAGGGAATGGAGGTAAAGTCATCATGATGTGCAGAAGCTCCTGTTTGTTGCCAACACCAACCAAGGTGCATTGAAACTCAAAGATCTGCTACAGTACTTGTTTCTCCCTGTGACCACCCATGTGAGGCCAGGAGCTGGGAAGAAATACTCATGTGAAGTCAGAGTCAATACAAATGGCTACTGCTGTCTTTTGTCCCATCCATCACATCCCCCTCTAATAGTTCTAAGACTGAGCACTCGTGGAGAGCTCTTCTCCACTTACTGCTCCGGATTCTGAACTAGGACTTGCTAACATTCTCGTATATGACATCACTGATGCAGAACTGCTGCTTCTTCTTCATCCACATCAGTTGCACACACTGATGGATAAAAATGTACTGCTCCTGGAACAAAAGACAAAAACAGGTTTCAGAGCAGACATGTGCAAAGATATAATATTTTATACTATGACAATTTTAATGATCAAGATCTGGTGTTAAAGGAAACCATTTTCATTATTTACAGAGACACAGTTTTATAACTAGAAAATCCAAGAGAATCAACTGTACAAGTATTTTGATTAATAACAGAGCTTAGAACATCATGGCTTTTTTAAAAAAACAGTGGAATTTTTTTCCCCTAACTTTATTGCAGTATAATAAAAATTGTATATATTTAAGGTGTACAATGTGATGACTTGATATACATATATGTTATGAAATGATTACCACAATCAAGCTAGTTAACACATTCATCACCCCAGATTATATATATGTTTATATATATGTGTGTGTATATATACATATATATGTATGTATATATATTTGTGTGTGTGTGTGTGTGGTGAGAACACTTAAGATCTACTTTCCTAGCAAATTTCAAGTATACAATACGGTATTATGAACTATGTTCACCATGCTGTACATTAAATCATTATTAATGCTAAAGGAAATGAATATTCAATCAAATCATGGGGCTATTTTGAAAAAAAAAGGATATCCCATTATCATACACCAAAGCAAATTCCAGGTAATTTAATAAATTGTCTTTAAAAATACAGAGGAAAATATTGGTTAATTTCTCTCTGATTCCTTTAGGAAAGGAATTTCTAAAATTAAGAGCAGTAGAATACATTACAAATAAAAATCTCAATCTACTGTATATTTTAAAAAGTTAAAAAGAATAAAACACAGGGTAAACCACAAACTGGAAAAGAAAAATATTTTCTAGAATTATGACAGAATATTGATGCCTTTATTTTTGTGATAAAGTCATTCAAATCAGTAACATATACAAATAGACAAATAAGTAAAGGACATCAACCACTAGGCCAAATATTCCCTGGAAGTTAGAAACTATGTCTTTTTATTCCTAATGCTTAGCACTTAGCTGTGTTTATTAAATGATTTTTGAAGTAAACTGAGGAAATATTAAAATATGCCAACAATAGTCAAGTAATACAAAGTACATTGAAATAATTATTTTCTATCTATGTAGTGGACAAAGCTAGAAGGAAAAGAATAATATTTAATGATGACAAGTTTGTTGAGGCAGTCCATTTTACCTATTGTTTGTGGAGGTAGAATTAATAAAGTGCTAATAAATGGTGTGGACACAGATAATAGTAAAAAGTGGAAAATAATCCAATTTAATGTTCTATAAAAAGGAGATTGGTTTAAGTATGCAATAGTGTATCTTTAATGAAACATTAGTCTGTCCTTAAAATGAGATTTATAGAGTTGTAGGTAATTTTTGATACTATACAGGCTACATAGTAAAATCCTAAATGAGAAACTACAATGTAAATAGAATGTAAAGTAACACACATATATACATACATATAATATGAGCACAATCATGTAAAAGTTATACTTGAATGAAAGCCAAAATGAAATCACCAAAATATATCTTTCTGCCAAGAAGTAAGGGTAATTTCACAGTGTTCCTCCTTTTTCTTTGTTTCCCAGAGTTTCTCTATAAGTAATAGCACTAGAAATAACATTTAAATGAGATCCGGTCAAAATATTCATAGGATTTTAAGAAGCTTCCTGTGTAACAACTTCATACAAAAAACAAAATTAATATTTCGAACATCACTGGATTGATGCCTCAGCCTAACCTGTATTTTTCAACACGGTTTGGAGAAAATATATTCCCTTTTGTGGTGATGGTATCCTATCAGTGGCTGAGCTACCCCTTGTGGTCATCACACATGGACACCTAATCCATTGCTTCTGGTGTTATGTCAACACAGGGAATAGATAAGACCAGAGATTGCCTGGACATTCAATCTGCATCTGCTTAGTGGCTACATTTTGTATCAAAACAAAAAACAACCAAACAACAAGACCACAAGAAAAGTAAATAAAGACTATTTATGGAGGGACTTGTCCTTGAAAGTCCCGAAATTCAAACTGCAGATCAAGAGGATGGGCTGCTCAAAGCAAAGCCCCAACTGACCTCCAGGGAAGGATATTAGAGGAAAACCAAACAAAATATTCGATAAAAATAGAAGAGAGGAGAACATCATTCATAAGTAGCACTTCACAGTTTCAAATCACTTATCTAGGTTATATTATTTCCCATCATGTCTGCTTTACAAAAATTAGTGAAAGTTATCATTCATATTTTACAGAAGAGAAATGGGAGCCTTGAGAGGTGACATGACTTGTGCAGCAGTAAAGTGGAGATTCAGGCTCCCCTCAGGGTCTGGCATTCTTTCTAAATACGCCTCTACTTGCGTGAAGAAGTCTATGAAGTGTGTCTGGTCAGGTGAGGAAGAGGAAGAGGGCAGGTCACAGTGCAGTCCAGGCAGCATGTTGCACCTGGAGACATGGCTCATCCTATCAGCTACTTCTGCAATTTTTTGGGTGAGGTGGAATGGTGGGGTCAAGGCAATGTAGAGAAGGCTGGAAAATTAGATACCAGTGATGGGAGGAAATATGGTCTATGTGGGTTGATTATATACATAAAAACAGAGCTCAAGTGGAGAACCATTTCATTCTCTTGAAAATCATTAGCGTCAAAGGAGTACTCTAGGATGATACATGTGAAAAGAATAACCTTTTTTTACTTTGTTCTTTCCTTGTTAACTTTTGTGACCTGGCAGCAGAATTTGAATGTGAATGGGCTTAAGGAGAATCTTAGGCAGATCAATCTGTATTCAAAATACGGGATGAACCATGGTAAGCAGAGGAACAAGGAAAAAATAAAGGTAAATGAAGAAGATGTTCTAGACATAAGTTAAAAAAAAAGACACAGATAAATAACTGGAACTGGAAAACATCCACCAGGAAGTCCTGCGGGAATCAAGGGTCAAGCTAGAAAAGTTGGAAAAAGTAAGTAACCCGGGGAACCTCTGCCCCCTTTGCTGACTTTGAACTCCCCATGAGAGTTCAGGGAAGGGATACTGCACTTTATTTTTTATTTAATTATTTCATAATTAATTTTAATTAATTATTTTATGGGGTTTTTTTTTTGAGACGGAGTCTTGCTCTGTCACCAGACTGGGGTGCAGTGGCACGATCTTGGCTCACTGCAAGCTCTGCCTCCCAGGTTCCAGCGATTCTCCTGCCTCAGCCTCCCGAGTAGCTGGGACTACAGGCGTGTGCCACCACGCCCAGCTAATTTTTGTATTTTTAGTAGAGAAGGGGTTTCACTATGTTGGCCAGGATGGGGATACTGTACTTTAAAAAGGCTGTGTCCGCGGAGATATCAACATAAAATGCTGGCATAAACAAATAAAACAACCAAAATTTAGGGTAAAACATTTAGGGAGAAAACAAAACGTTTTCTTGGCTTTGCAGAAAGCGACATGGTGGCTGCTTGATAACCACCCAAAGAAAGATAATGACCCTAAAAATGGGATGGAGGATGTGTCATGTGAAAGAGATTAAGAATCTGTAGTTGGAGAAAAGTCAAAAGCAAACAGGCCATAATTAAAATCTACTAAGTTTTTTTTGTTTTTTTTGAGATGGAGTCTCACTCTGTCGCCCAGGCTGGAGTGCAGTGGCACCATGTCAGCTCATTGCAACCTCCGTCTCCTGGGTTCAAGCAACTCTCTTGCCTCAGCCTCCCGAGTAGCTGGGATTACAGGTGCCCATCACCAGGCCAGGCTAATTTTTTAATATTTTTAGTAGAAACGGGGTTTCACCATGTTGGCCAGGCTGGTCTCCAACTTCTGACCTCAGGTGATCCGCACGCCTCAGCCTCCTAAAGTGCTGGGATTACAGCTGTGAGCCACTACGCCAGGCCCCAAAATCTATGAAGTTGTAAAAGGTATGAATTAAGTAAATTGAGGAGACAATTCATTAAATGCAAAATACTTAAAATAAGGTGTGGCTCTTTGAAGCTTGGTGATTCATATACATAACGTGGATTTTTAATCACATATCAAGGTGCAAATTTATGGAAGTAAAAGCCAAAAATATGGACCGATTAATAAAGCACTGTTTACTCACCAGACAGTGGACTCCTCTGGGAAACCAGACATTTTAAACTTATGATTAAAAAGTGATACTGATGTCCCCACCACACTAAATTACTAGGCAGCATGATTGAAACCAAGTGAGGAAACCAATTGGACTTGCTTCCTAATTATCAATGAGAGGTCTGAATATTAACGAGGATAACTCTTTCCCAAGTGGTATGATCCTGCTGTAGTTCAGAAATGAATGTATTGAAACAGCCTTGCCAAAAATTGGTCAGACAAGAATGGGGAGGTAGGAGGAAAGAAAAGTAAAAGGAGTGGGAAAGCAGAAACAGCTGAGACGGCCGCCATTACTCTAGGCTTTTGAAGTGATACTGACATCTAGTGGTGCTGGGTAGGAAAAGCATGAGGAAGACCAAAGCATTTTAAAAATACCCTGATTACAGGTCGGGCCAGGTTGTGTTCTACCCAAGCGCTCCACCCACACATACTCTTTGAGAAAAAGGATTATTGTAAGACCGAAGCTAAGAAGTCGCGAGTATGGCTGGGTGATGAGGCTTATGAACAAGCTGTTGTACTTGGGTTTTTGCGCCCACAAGGGTACACACCCACGGCTGCTCTGAGGCAGGCGGTGCTGTCTGCCGGCGTTGCCTTGGGTTGTCGCTCCAGACTAAGTGCATCCTCAGGCTTTCAGGGAGGGAGGACTCGGGAGAAGAGGAGGAAGACGGAGCACGTAACACTGTTGGATATTTCAGGGGATGCTTCCATGTTGTTAAAATAATAAATCTTCATCATTGAGATGAAGGGAACTGGCAATGCTGGTAGGTTGGGGACTGGGAATCTTTAAAATCATAAAAGGGACAGAAAGCTCAAATCCAACTTCTAATCATCATCAAAAGTGAATTGGGATAGAGTCACACGGAGGATAAACTAATGACAAATGTATTGAATCAAATCCAACATTTCAAATATAAATCAAATTTCACCAGTTCAACAGTCTCTATTTGGTGGCATTTACCCAGGATGGCTGTTATCTGCAATTGACTCTGAGTCTGTTCAAAGAGGTTTTACTCTTACGAATCTACCCATGCACTCTGAATTATGATGCCAATAAAAGTATAATCACTATATGTCGAATGGATTTCTGGAGGCTAGTGTCTATTTCTTTTATGCCTCAAAGCAGTTTGAACATATACAATAAGAAAATGGGAAAGAAAGATACAAAGAAGTTTGAGAGAATTGTTTTGAAGCATATCATTGAATAATGGTAAGTTTTTCAGTCCAGGGAAAATTTAAAAATACATATAGATTATGTTCCTACCTCTGTCTGTACCATAGACATCCGGTATGACCTCATTTCTGACACCAGCCCTAAGATGTCAACAAACTCATGATCCCGAATGTGCTGCAAGAGCCTGTCCAGGGCAATGAATGTTCCTGTCCGTCCCACGCCAGCACTGCAAAAGAATGTTCCGATGGCATATTATTCAGATGGTGCTTCTTTTTTTTCTCCCCCCTCTTTTTTTTTTTTTCTTTGAGATGGAGTCTTGCTCTGTTGCCCAGGCTGGAGTGCAATGGCATGATCTCGGCTCACTGCAACCTCTGCCTCTCGGCTTCAAGTGATTCTCCTGCCTCACCCTCCTGAGTAGCTGGGATTACAGGTATGTGCCACCATTCCTGGCTAATTTTTGTATTTTTAGTAGAGATGGAGTTTTGCCATGTTGGCCAGGCTGGTCTTGAACTTCTGACCTCAGGTGATCTTCCCACCTCGGCCTCCTGAAGTGCTGGGATTAGAGGCGTGAGCCACCTCGGCCAGCCCAGATGGTGCTACTTTACTGTTGAAATAAAACTGATGATTTCTAAAAAACTACAAATAGTACCCTTGTGGAAAAACGCAGACTAAGCTCCTGACAATATTTTCCACTTAACTGATTTTTAAGTATGGAGTTGTGGTTGGTGTTCCTTCTAATGTCACATTTCTGACTATCATGGCTACGTTCCTGAGAGACATTTGCACTGCATTGGCCACACCCTTTATCGGGGTCTCTGCTTCTGCAGAAAAGTAGGGATTCCATGTTGAGTACTCTCGGGAACTGATTTCTGAATTCAGAGAGCTGATACACATAAACAATACCCTGTCTTTTGAACAGCATCAGAGTTAAGCCCTCAGATCAGCTCAAAACTCCAGTTGAGATGTCCATACCCTAACTCTAGGTCTGGGACCACAGAGATTTGTGTATCTTCAACCCTAAGTTCAGTTCACCACCCCAGACCTGCCTTACAGCATGCCTGCCATTTTAGTGGGTCCTGGGCCTGCTTCCATCTCACAGGGACCTTTGAGATAGTTGCCTTAAAATCAAATGAAAAATTTGGACCCAGTCTCAGCCAGTCCCCCAATCCCAATGCTCGGGGCACAGATGGAAGTGGACTGACATGCGCTGACCAACTGCCCATCACAGTCCCTAGTTCTATGTGTTGAAGTCAGCCCTTTTTTCCCTCTAATCCTCAATAAAGAGTCAAATGGCTCTTAGCTTTGAATCACTGTGAAATGATGGGAAAAGAGAAAGTTCAAGCAAATTTATATGGAAAGTTTGCTAGAAAAATCCCACTCTATAAACCTTGAGTTTAAGGGTTGCTTTTTCTACTAGACAACTCTTCCCTCCCAGGATTTCTCAGATAAAATGATCTGCCATTGGGTGAGCACCTGTAAAGTCATATCCAGAACTGCACTTACTATCTTCCATGAAAGGAATCTGTGAGTTTGACCCCAGAGTTGAAGAGCTTCATTTTCTGTTCTTGAAAAGAACCATTTTGAGAACAGATAATCTTACCTGCTAAAGCACATCTTTTAACCTGTGAATGCCTACAGTGGATTGACAGCAACAATATCTGCCCTAAACAGAAACTTAGTAGCTTATGAAGCATTTTCCTTTCCAGGGAGACACACACTCCACACAAACACACATGAATGCACACATATACTTCCTCATTCTAGTCATTCTAATTCACAAGGGCCAAGGCAGTAGGTCTGGGATTGTAGATTTATTTGCTTAGGTTGGCATGGCTGCCAATGCTTCCCTTCACATCTTCATCCCACTGCCACCTCTCACTTGCCATTGGAGCACGTTTATGTCCCCTGTTCTTTTGAGGTTGCATAAGGATTTTACAGCAATATTGTATCACAGAGATAGATTTTGATGGAGCTCTGTTCATACAGTAGGAAGAACAAATTAAATTTAATGATAACTTTTCCTGTTGGGAATTAGTGTGGACCTTGATTTTTTTATATCCTATATCCTTTTTCATTCTACTGTCTGACAATTTAAGAGACAATCCCGAAGAGGAATCATAGCAAATATGTTTATCTTCCTAAGCTGAATATTTTCATTTTTCTTTTCCTTTTCTAGTTTTTATGCCTATTTATATTATGTCAAGCTGTGATCAGCTTTCTATAATTTGACCTTGTATTTGTCCATGTTGTAACTACCCAGAATCCTTGATGGAGTAGGATAATATCACATATTAAGGGCATGATCTTTGCAGATTGGCATGCCTGGATTTGAATACTAACTCCTCCATGTTCTAGTTGCATGAACTTGTGTGAATCCCTTAACATCTCTACCCTTCTCTATTTTTTTCATTTAAAAATTGGAATAATAACATCTATTTTATAGGGTATAGATACAGGAAAGCCAGAATAAACATTGTATATAGTGAGACATCAATTAATCATAGTTTAAAAAACATCAGAGTTTATTTAATTTTCAACTAAACCTGATAAGGGCTTATGGAATGGTGAGCTGTTCCCCTTACAAAACCAACTCCTAATATTTAATAGAAAATGCAGTTGATGAGGTTACCTGCAGTGAATGATCATGGGACCTTTGCTCTTGGTAGCTTGCTGTCGGACCATGTGTACAAACTGCAGGATACTTTCTGCAGCATTTGCTGTGGGCACACCATGATCAGGCCATGCAGTGTAGTTAAAATGCATCACATCCTGCATCTCGTCAGCCTTTAGAGAAAAAAGCCAAAAACAAGCATTAATTTTTCAGTTCACTGTTAGGATGACCCAGGACTCTGCTAGTTAAGCATGCAAAAAGGTAGAGCCACGTTCCACTCCTGGTCAGTACACTTTCCTTTCCAGCTTTGAGCACCATATCTGGCATAAAATAGGTATTGAAAAAAAAAACCACGCTAATTGTATAAAGCTTCAAATAGTAGGATAAGTAGGCTAATCTGTACCTGTGGACAACACTTAAGCAGATTAGGGTTTGCATCCTGGCTCTGTCATTTAGAAGCTGCATCAGTTTTGGCTAATGAATTAAACACTGTAGAAAGTGCTGTTGGTGCCCTTTAGATACACTTTGCCAGCCTGGGACACACTTTTCCCAGTTGCTGCTAACAGCACAGCAGTACCTATCTCTTGATAGTTGCCTTCCACTGCACAGAGCTGCCTCGATAGAAAATGCCTAAGAGGTTGCGTTCTCCTGCTGAGGGAAGCCCACAGCTAATGACTGACTAATTGTGGGGTACAAAAATCCAGCCTTTTTCAGAGTGAGACAGTACCATGGTGCTGTTCATGCCCCCAGCACTCTCTGTGGGATCCAGCACAGGTGAGATTTTCAGCTGAATGCTCTGTAGGGCTTCTTCTCTGTCAATCTGCTTCCCTTGCTCCCTTATGGGCTTTCCCTAAGAATGCACTTTCACAAAATCACTTATATGAGAATCCTTGTCTTGGGCTTTGATACTAGAGGACTTGACTCACTGAGCTTCAGTTTTCTCATATCTAAAAATGGCCTAATGATACTTATAACAAGAGTTGTTGTGTGAATTAAGTGTAATCATGTGTGTGATATTACTACTTACTAGTACCTCATTACCATCACTCACCGTCATCCAGCTCCGTGCAATTGTATGGTTGATTCTGGGAGTCCCCAGTAAGTGAGTATAACTTGTATATTTTCCTATTCCTATTAACCCATACATCAAATATATTGTTGTTCTCTCTGAACTGAGTACATATTAACTAGAATGTATATCTTTCCAGATCAACTCTTTTTAGTCCCAACTAACTTGTAAGAGTTACATATTCTCCACTTGTTATCAGCCATCAGAAATATCCCAAACCCAGGCTTCATAAAGGTCTGATTCATCCCTCAGTTCTCAAACTTGTGAAGAGCCTAGAATTCACTCAGAGGCTGGAATACTATATCATAACTGGGAAGGAGGGAAGCTTGGCCTCGCTGTCAGTTTTGAGCTAAAATTTAAGTTCAGGTATTGAAAGAGAAATGAATTTCAAAGAGTCAGTGGTCTTGGACAGAAAATAAACGTATAAAGACAATTCATAAATAAAATGTATAAATAAATATGTAAGATTTGTTTAAATATACATAAGTTATCACCTCCCCTACACCCATTGTACCCTTGGCACCTAATATATCCCCAGCAGCATGCAGTGCCTCCCCTACTATGTTCAAGGGCTCTGGCTTAGACACACAGAACATGAAGTCTACAAAGACGCTGGCTACCCTCACTGCTCTCTTCAGGAAGTATGTTGAGAAACTATCTTGGGCATAAAGAATTGTGCAGAATAATTTACTTATTCAACATCATGAGGATTTAAGAATACTCAGCCACCAGATAACTTTGGTTGCCAGGAAAGTTCAGGAAAATGCTTGCCCTGTTTAAATGCTGATCATAATTTGTATAACATGTGTACATTGTAGCCAATATATATATTCCAGTACGGTTGAAGTGAAAATGTATTCAGTTAAAAAGTGCAAGGTGATTTAAAATCAGGAAATCATTAAATTGTAGTTAGTTTCTCCGCAGCTACACGGCAGGGGTCCTGGAACTGGGGTCAGCCCTGTGAGCTGAATAGCAGGGCACAAAGTCCCTGGCAACAAACACGTTTTTGATGATCTTTAGTCTCCAGCTCTCACTCAGTTGATGCCAAATTTCAAGTAGTAGAAAGTGACAAGTTGTGTGTTATGGTCATTTCTCTCCTTTCTTGTTAAAGGAGAAAACTCTTCTGGTTTTATCTTACTTAGCTATTCCTAAATTTCTCTTACCTTGAGTTCCTTATTTATGTAATTTTATCTTTTTATAATTGGAAAGTTTCCACATATCAATATGGAATGGATAAAGAAGGGTATAAACAAAAAATGAAACAAATTGAAAAATATATTAATTAGCATAGCACAATGTTCTTTGGGCAACTTAGCCTTCATTGTAGCTTAACATTTAGATTCATTATGCTTATGGCCAAAAGGGGGCACTCTGGTACCAGACGCTTGTAACAAGTAAATTCCTTACAAACAAACACTACTGTTCAATGTTTTATTCCTATTTTTCAAGTCCTTCACATGATTGTCATTGAAAGATAGGTCATCACTTAAGACCAAGGACAAGAAGCATAGTACTGACCAAGCAATAATCTATGTGACTCTTCTTTGTCAACAGAATAGGCAATGGAACAGACCCTATTTTGTGCTCTGAAATTTTTTCTACTACGTGCAAACCTAGGGACAGATTTGTACTGTATTTGGTTATCAGTTTGCACTGGCTTTTCAATTGAAATATCTAAGAACAAAAAACAGAGTTCAAATGGCATTTGGATTGACAAATATTTTCTCTGACGGAAAGTCTATTGATGCTTTACAAGTGCCTTATTATTTTTGAAATAACTCATTCATTCACTGATTTATTCATTCCACAGGGATACAGCACTTGCTTCTGAAACTCACAGTATACTGGGGAGGCAGACACAAGAAGCGAGAATTGTAACTATCTATGGTGTGCTGTGATAAAGCAGCTTACTTAAGACTCTGCCCCAGAGAAGGAATGGGCTAACGGTGTCCAAGCCCAGAGAAGACGCCACAAAGGGGGTGACACTTAAGCTGAAACTCTGCATTTGAGTAAAAACGTGCTTAACAAGGAAGCAATGTGAATTTTAAATGACCGAAACAACACGAAACACAGCCTGTTAGAGTCATACGGGGATTTGCCTGAATTCTCCTGGTCATAAAAGACATTGTTAACTGCCAGTTAACAAGTGGCAATTAACAATGGCTAAGAAGTGATTTATCTCCTGTAGAGATCAATCAGTAGGTAGTATCAAGTTCTAACGTTGTATTGATACGGGCAATCTTTGTTTCCATTGCCTATTTTAAGGGTCAGCAAACATTTTCTGCAAAGAGACAGTTAGTAAATATTTTAGTTTTTGCAGATCATATAGTTTTGGTTGCAGCTACTCAAGCTTGATGTAGCACAAAAGCAGTCATAGACAATTCGTCAACAATGCAGGCTGTGTTCTAATAAAATGTTATATATGGACATTGAAATTTGAATTTCACATAATTTACATATAGCATTTCACATAAAATACTATTTTTCTTGTTGATTTTTTTTGTGTGTGTGTGTGTGTGTGGAGATAGAGTCTTGCTCTTGTTGCCCAGGCTGAAGTGTAGTGGCACAATCTTGGCTCACTGCAACCTCCACCTACGGGGCTCAAGTGATTCCCCCACCTCAGCCTCTTGAGTAGCTGGGACTACAGGTGTGTACCACTACACCAGCTAATTTTTGAATTTTTAGTCAGATGGGATCTCCCTGTGTTGCTCAGGCAATCTTGAAATCCTGGGCTTAAGTGATCTGCTCGCCTCAGCCTCTCAAAGTGCTGGGATTACAGGCATGAACCACCATACTCAGTTGTCTTTTTTCAACCATTAAAAAATGTAAAAACCATTCTTAGCTCATGGGCTTTATCCAAAAGGCAGTGGGTAAATTTGGTCCACAGGCTACAGTTTGCTATTTCCTTAACTATTAGAAAGGATTGTTTCTAAGCAGGGAAGAACATCTCAGTGAGAACTTTCCTATTCAATTTTGTCTTCATAGACAGCATGTTCAAGTGGAGAAGACTATTAATAGTAAAAACTGTATATTCTATAGGCTGAGGTCAATGGCATGACTTCAATTGATGTTAACACCTAAGCCTGTCACAGAAATATTCAGCGTTTGCTCAGAGACTTGTCAGCAGAAAGGTGTCAGGCCTTGTGAGAAAAACAGACATTTTTTTTGGATGTGTTATCCATCAGAAATCAATAGCCCTTCAAGAGAGATAGGGAATTATGATAATAAGACCTAGAAGTACCTTACAAATAATGAAAACCAAACCAGAACAAAACAAGAAAAAAAACAAAACAAAACCCAAACTACTAAATCAGGGTTTAATTATTTAATTTAAAACATAAGTGTGCCTTATATACCCCAATTATACTCATATATGATTAATATAAGTAATGAGAACACTTCTGTCCTCAATGATGCCTCATAAACAATGATTAATAGTGTCTTCTATGATCTTGAGCTAATTCGAGATGAACTAGTGCAGACTTTTTACTGCGTCTTCTCAGCCTCTCCAGACCAACCATATCATCCACACCATCACTGATGAAATGGGAAACAATGACACTGAGAATGGATTTTTCCTCTTGAAGGAAGCAGCAATGCAAAGCTCAAAGTGCTCATTGGGTTGGTCTCCCAGCACTTCCCTGGTGGTGGTGGTGTAGGTGTCTGTTGGGAACAGGCCCCCAAATCTGGCCATAAACTGGCCCCAAAACTGGCCATAAACAAAATCTCTGCAGCCCTGTGACATGCTCGTGATGGCCTTGATGCCCATGCTGAAGGTTGTCGGTTTACCGCAATGAGGGCAAGGAACACCTGGCCCTCCCAGGGCGGAAAACCGCTTAAGGCATTCTTAAACCACAAACAATAGCATGAGCAACCTATGCCTTAAGGACACGTTCATGCTGCAGATAACTAGCCAGACCCATCCCTTTATTTCCCATAAGGAATACTTTTAGTTAATCTATAATCTATAGAAACAATGCTTATCACTGGCTTGCTGTCAATAAATATGTGGGTAAATCTCTGTTCGAGGCTCTCAGCTCTTAAAGCTGTGAGACCCCTGATTTCCCACTCCACACTCGATATTTTTGTGTGTGTGTCTGTAATTCCTCTAGCGCCGCTGGGTTAGGGTCTCCCCGACCAAACTGGTCTCAGCAGGTGTCAGCATAGGGACAGCACCTGCTCTCTGCCTGGTGACTTACATAGTTGATCCGGAAGTGTCTACAGGCCCAGTCGTCCTGCTCTTCCTCTGAAATCATCTCCACAGTGATGTCTCCATAGGCTATAGGTTCTTCCGTGAATGGCCAGTAATGGTCACATTTCACCTGGAGCAAGGACAAAACAATTTTTTAAAACAAACAGGCTAGGAAAGGAATTAAGTGTGCTCACTTAGGGAAAACAAAGGTATTCGCCTCTAAAGAATTAGATAGGACCGTGGTGAAGATGAAACATAAAGCAAACCATTTCTGCTACGTAGTGTGAATTCTTATCACATGACTTGGGTCATTCTTATCATATCTAACTAAAACAGAGTTGAGGGGTCAGGGGACAAAGCACTCAGAATGCCCCAGCTACTCGGGAGGCTGAGGCAGGAGAATCGCTTGAACCTGGGAGGCAGAGGTTTGCAGTGAGCTGAGATCGTGCCACTGCACCCCAGCCTGGGCAACAGAACGAGACTCCGTCTCAAAAAAAAAAAAAAAAAAAAGAAAGCACTCAGAACGCATAACATTGTTCCAGGAATGTAATTCTCTGTAAGCCCCGGTTGCTGAAACTGCCTTTAGTAACTTGAAACCAGTGGTATCTAACAGCAACTGAAACAGCCTGTTGGGACTCTGAGACTAGTTTTACCCACCACCATGCATTCACCAATCAGAGCTTGCCAGCTCCCCAAAACTTTACTAGTGCTAATGAACTTTCCTGCAAAACAATATGCAATATTTCTCCTTTTTAGAAGACTTCCAACCTTCTCTTTTTTCCTTTAGACATTGCAAAGACCACCGGGTCTGTGTGTTTACCCCCAAATTCTAATTCTTGCTTCCCGAATACAATGTTTTAAATTTAGCGATTTGTCTCTATGTTTTATTTGACTTTGAAAACAGCAAGCATTTCATCAACGGCAGTGGCTAGGGCAGGTTTTGCTGCTAAGTGGGAGCAGTTTCAGTAAGTACGTACCCTCCTTTTCTCATTACACTGAGTGAGCATGACAATAATCTGAGACTTTTGTTGCAGGACCATCTTCCAGAAGTCATTTCTGGTTTCAGGCAGTGGCCCCTGGGTGGCAATATACTCCTGGGGTGAGTTGTATCCCTGAAAGATAAGTGACAAAATTATCACCTAACCAGACACTGTCAACACCAAATGCTGCTTCACGCCTATGGGAAAAAAACTGAAAACTTACTGGTGATAAAATTGGCAAAGGATCACACACCTATGTAATGTTTTCTCCTGTTTTAATCAAAGAGGCTATCAGAATAACTGACCATAATTAGTCTGTGTGATTGTAAGCATTGTTATCCAGAAGGCTGTAAAAATCACATCCACACCTTTTTATGACAATAATAACTGTCTTTATATTTTAAAAGTGCAGGTGCTAGGGTGGAACCCTTTGAATTTGGTTGCTGAATGTGAAATTTAAACATAAGAGAGGTGATCTTTAACCTTTCTACTTTCCCTTTCACTGGACCTTTATAAAGAAATAGAAACATTAGTAATCTATGGACTTTTTCTTTCTATTCTTTATTATGAAACGGAGTAATGCAAACTTTTTAGAATTCAATTGCTGGGTTGGGAAAGGCTCTCTTTTGAACTGTTTGACACATCCATATAGCCCTGCTAGTCTTTCTCTGGCTGGTTAGCTTTGGGATGCCTGATTTTTTTTTTCTACTTACAGGAATATAGTTGGCATTGATGTAGTCTGCACCTTCCTCTTCATTCATGGAGACTAATCTCACACGGCTGAAGTCATCTGTAGAGAATAAGGAGAAAAAAATATTAAAATTCAAGATGGAAGGAAAAATTATTTTGGCCCTTTCTATCCAATATTAAGTTAAATCAGTCAGTGACAGAGTAGGCAGATAATAATTTTTAGCCTGATATTTTAGCTATTCTTCAACTTTGGTTTGTTGTTTAAATAAATAAGTGAATATCTTCCAACCACTATTTTTTTTTCACTACCAGCTCTCCTGTCCTTGAAAGAATTGTTTCCAGGATTGTTTAGGTGTTGTTCAGAGTATTTCAGGAACTACAATATCTGTGAGATTGATTGGACAGCTATAGTATATAGCCTAAGCACACGATTTTCATTTCACCTAGAGATATCCAGAGAGTTCACTACTTTAAGGAGACCTAGAGAACAGAAGATGCATGGGTTTCTTTTGTAGGTGGACATTAAATTAAAGAAGTAATTTCTGAACTGTGTACAGATGTGAAGTGTTATTATGATAATATATCTAATTTCATCAAGAAACCATATCAAGAAGAGACTTCTCTTTCTAGAGCTTTTTCAGCCTTTCTCTTCTCACTTTTCCATTCATGCCTAGCTCCACAGCGTGTAGCAGAGAGAAAAGTGAAATCTAAACTGGAATGTATTTTAATTGTTTTGTAAGTGCTTTATATTACCTTTTTTTCCTTGAATGCTGCTTTTTATTACAAAATGCTAAGCAACTATATAACTTGTCAGAAGTTAGAGAAGGCATTTTAATATACTGCATCGCCTTCCCATTTGCCTCTTTCCATTACCAATGAATTGGCTGAAAATATTTTATGAGAGTACAAATGATCCAATCCCCAATTTGACTGTGGCTCTTTAATCTCTAAAGGGCCAAATGATCAGTCTTTTTGTTCAGATGCAATTCATTTAAAAGCACAATAATTAAATCTTCCTCCATATGCTAAGATCTAAAGACATCAAAGGAGAGTGAGATCAATGCAATCTCAGACGTGGCCTTGAGATCCGGACCACAAGTGGGTATGGCCAGAGATTGGTGAAATTGATTAATCTGCAATGACAGTCCTTCAACCCTTAAGACATGAGTGTTATTGGCACAATTGACGATCTTACATGGTAGGATGTTTGTGTAACGGTTTTTACATCGATTCAGTGGAAGATCTGCAGCAAAGTGTGGGATATCCAGTCCAATCAATTTCAACTCCTGTAAAGGACAGAGAATGGATTTGAGAGTTCCATACGTGGTGTGAATTGGATTATTGTTCAACTGGTTTATTGCTCACAAGCCCTTTGCTATATGACATTGCAGTAGCTCCCTTTAGAGGTGGAAGGTACTCCACCCCACTATCATCAACTTGCTTTGGCCAATGATCTTAGATAGAAATCAAGTCCACTCAGAAGCTTTCAATGCACTTGCTTGTTTGGTTTGCCCTCTTGTGTGCCTGCCATCTACCCTGAAAAAGACATGCCCAGGGAAGCTGCTAGTCCGAGAATGAGGAGGCACATAGGGCAGACCTGACTCTGACCCACAGCCTGAAGCAGAACTGCCCCAGCTGTTCCACAGACCCATGAGTGAGAAAAGTAAATGTTATTGTAGAGATTTTGAGGTTGTTTCTTATACAGCATTATTGTGGTAATAGCTATCTAATACAACACATAAATACCTTGGATAACTTAGTGGTCATTTGGAGAAGTAAGAACTATATGTATAACACTCAGGGTATGAAATATTTGAAAATAAAAATGCATTTCAGATTTTTGGAGGAATAGAGTAACTTAAGTTTATGCAATTTGTATAAATATTTCCTATTCTCTGAAGAAATCTAGGCTTTTTTTTTCTTGTAGGCAATGAGCCTTAGAGAAAGTAGTAAAAAATAGTGAGGAATGAGTAGGGAACAATCTCCATGTTACAAAGTATGGGATTAACAGTCACTAAATATCTGGTAATGAAACCTCAAACATAAAGATGGATCTGTAGTTGTTGGGGAAAATCCTTCAGTGAGAATAAGAACATCCAAATGTCTGCCTGCGTATATTGGTACTCTTATAAACCTCATTTCAGAAGGTGAACTGATGGGAAATTTTTATATAAATAACTGTCACACTTCAAAAAGGGTATGTTATGGGGAAAGGGGGATTTCTAAGTTGCTATGCCATGTGTCTTACAGGAAACGGGGATTACGGTCAGGCCACCTGTATTTCTTGGAGGCATCATTCACATTGTGGTCTATATGAACGGTGTTCACTGGAGTTGTACAATGTGCAACCAATGCAGTGGATCTAGTTATATTCCTATACAAATGTTAGAGGAATGTTAGTAAACAGTGTACATAACTGTGTATAAGTGGGATTACCCACATAGTGTGCATCTTTCTATAAGACTACTAAGCGAGGCAAAAATCACTTGTTATAAATTTTATTTACATTTATAGAATGTTAATATTGAGCACAAGTTTTACTCTTCATAATTCCTCCCAATTATTACTTCAAGGAATCAAAGCTGGAGGAATACTTCCCTAGGAGAAGAATTTCGGAGGGTCTTTTAACACTGTTGAAGAGAATTGGAGCCACTTGACCACGTTCTAGGATTGAATAGGGATATCTGTTTCATGCCCTTTGTGTCTTTATTCAAGTGCTCTTTGCAAAGCACATGCTTTATTAATCAAGTTATTGGGTCTTCTGATGCTTTTAACTAGAAGATCCTTGGTGGCAAATTACCTTGCGCTTAATGGCATTGGGTTGCCTGACTGTAGCCAACATGGATGAACCAACAAAAATTGCCCAGATTTCTCTCTTCCTTTGATTCCTCATCTCTTTTGGCTTTTCAAGATGACAATATCTGAAGTTCTTTGGACTAAGTTGATGTCAGTTTTATATACAAACTATGTTACATTTGATTTTCAACTCACAAAATTGGTTTTTTCCATCTCAGGCACTTACTTGCCAAATATATTTAGGCAGATGCTTCCCATTGTTATTTTATAACTGAGTGTTCCATTTTAAAGGGTATTCAAAGGTTGACTCTATTTTTCTTGTAAGAAGCAACTTATTTTTAGTAAATTTCAACTAAATCAGTGTGATGTTTAGGTTAGTTCCTTTTGGTAGTTATAAGTTTATTTAAATGATGCTTCCATTGCTTAAATTATTTCAGAAATCTACCTCCTTTAGAAAATGCCTGCATAGATATTTTTTCAAAATATCTCACATATTCTGACATGCCACTTATAAACTGTATGTTCTTGGAAGGGTAGTTAAACTCTTTTAAACTTTGCTTTAATTACCTGTAAGATAAGGCTAGTAATTTCTCCACACCTTCCTTTTTTATAGTGATTATCAAATGGAATAATTTAACTCAACAAATACTAATACAGCACTATTGATGATCATTGTAAAATACTTTTGTGATGATTCTTTGTTTTGCTTTGCCTGGCTCCATAATTTCTTCCTCCTCTGCCATTTATGCCAGCAGACCAACAACTCTTCCCCCAATTCTCTTGCTTTGGGGACAGACTGATAAGCCATGGGAAAAGGCCTCAGATACAAAAGGAATGGTGGAAACAGATTGAGGCTGAGCGTTTGAGCACATGTGGAAGCTGACTAACTGACAGAACTTTAATTGTGGAAGCTGACTAACTGACAGAACTTTAATTGTGTGTTGCCTTCCTGCTGTAAATACTCTAAGTTGATAAGAGAGGTTTAATTGGCTGAACACTGTAAGTGGAAGTTGCCAAAGTTGAATTGCAGCAAAGTGGGAACTGCATGTAAACACAGTATGCTTTGAAGCCTTTGTAATTTAGCCTGTCACTAAGTGGAAAATAAAATATTAAGTTTCCAGTTCAGCAGCTTTGAAGTTATTTTCTTTCCAACCATATGGAAATTCCACTGGCTTAAATCTTTATGAAGACAAACTATGGAGTGATGGACCTGAAACCCACATAAATCATTTCTGAATTTTCTTTTGTCAGTTTTGTTTCTAAATATAATTTATCACCCTTTTCTTCTAGGCTATACAGTCATCTGTAGTGGGTTGAATGGTGATCCCCAAAAAGATACGTCTACCTCCTAACCCCCAGAACCTGTGAGTGTGATCTAATTTGGAGAAAGTGTCTTTGCAGTTGTAATTAAGTTAGAGAACATGAGATGAGATCATCCTGGAGAAGAGGAAAAGGCATGTAAAGATGGAGACAGATCAGAGTTATGCAGCTGCAAGCCAAGGAATTGCTGTGGCCAACAGAAGCTGAAAGAGGCAAAGAAAAATTCTTCCCTAGAGTCTTCAGGGGGAGTGTGGCCCTGCTGACACCTTGATTTTGGAATTCTGGCTCTGCAATTGTGAGAATAAGTTTCTGTTGTTTTAAACCACGACAATTGTGGTAATTTGTTATGGCAGCCATAGGAACTAATACGGTCACCCAAACCCAGTAGCAGGCTACGTTTTGTTGGCTGTGTTTGAAGCATACAGGTCTTGGAAAGCAAAGCACAAGCATATACATTACATTAGTTGGCTTGGGCTGCCATAACAAAACACCATAGAGTGATAGTTTAAACAGTAGAGATTTATGTCTCACAGTTCTGGAGGCTGGGAAGTCCAAGATCAAGATGGCAACAAGGTAGATTTCATTCTTAGGCATCTTATCTTGGCTGATCCTGAGACAGTCAGGTGGGAGGGGGTCCTTGGAGAAATTCCAACTAGCCTGCTCACAGAGGTGGAGCCTCGGGAAGTTCACCATGTTTGCAGTGGGGAAGGAACCTGGCCTCTCCTCTTCCTGTGTGGAACCTGAGATTCAAGCTGCCAGTGGGAAGTGCTCTAGCAGGGACTCCAGCCTAGTGAGAGTCCCTGTTTCTCCCTTTTCTTCCTTTTCACCGAATAAAACCCTGTTTTACTCACCCTCCAAATTGCCTGTGAACCTAAATTTTCATGGCTGTGGGATGGACAAGGACCTCATCTTTAGCTGAACTAAGGAAAAGTCCTGCAACAATCCTACCACGAAGTCCTCACCCTCATGAGCTTATCTAATCCTAATTACTTAGCAAGGGCTCCATCTCCAAATACCATTGCATTGGGGGTTAGGGATTAAACATAGGAATTTTGGGGGGCCACAGATATTCAGCCCATAACCTGCAATATCATCTTCTGAGGAGAGCACAATCTGCATTCTGGTCTTAGGGTTTGTAACAATGTCAGCAGGTGAGAGTTTGCTTTCGGTGTTTGCTTTGGGATAGGGTGGACATTATGTCTTGAAACCCAAGCATAACTATTACTGTTTCTGAATCGCATGATTACAAAAAATCCAACAAGTCATTTTCCAGTAAACACATTATTTTAGTTGTGAGTGACAAAAACATAGCTCAAACTAGTTTAGACTAAAGGAAAGGGGGTTTATTCAAACAATACTAAGATTACTAGATTACGTGTCCATAAGGGGTGGAAAAAGTGAGGAGAAAGAAAGTGCCAGTGGTGTTGACAGAAGAGGTTCCATCTATAGCAAGTAAAAGCTACTACCAGAAATCAAAGGTCACCTCTTGTGAACTGCATGGCCAGTTCTGTAGTTTTGTTTTGATCTTTGCAGCCACATGTCTGAACAGAGATGGTGAGGGCCTTTACTAGTATCCTGATCAAACACTAAGCACAGACATTAATAGCAGAATGAGCAATATGTGATATGTCTTCTGGGCTCTCACATTTCAGCTATAAAGTCTGGTTCTTCAAAATCTTTCCCATGTGAAATGTAAAAAATGAGGAACCTATTTTAATCCCTGGGTCCCAAGACTTTTAAAGGAACGGTGTATATTTTTATCAGAAGGATAATCAATCTTTCTAGCAGATTTAAAATCAGATTCAGAGTAAAAAAGAAATTTATTCAGTAAACACAAATTAGTAACTCATATAGCTTCATGTATGACTTATGGCTGTATTGGTAGTATCTATAAATCCAGACATTAGTTTCAATCTGCAAAATGCTTATAAATGATGTGATTTCTCAATGTGAATGTGATATTTCAATGTCAGTATCAAAATGAATACAAATACTAGGCATTAATATAAACAGAACAAGTACAAGTTCAGCTGCTGGAATTATCTAGACCAAGGTGATTTGGCCATCTCATACCCTCTTGAATTCTCATTAGAGTTAGGAACATTTTTTTCCTTAAGTCTCAATTAACTATCAATGTATTTCAAAAAAATGTGAGGGCTGCCATGTGAAAGGTCCAGCATACATCCTGAAATCAGGCATGGGAGCACACTACTTCTATGAAAATTGATGAGGAAACCCTGACGCTGACCCTGAGGATGTAGGGGGCAGAATGGGACTGAGGACTGGTAATATCTGAAGTCTGTCAAATGAAGAAGGAAGTAAATTGGACCAGCGGGCCACTGCTTGAGCAAATGTTAGTCCAAAACATACAGTCTAAGCCTGTGACTTAAAACAGAGCCCTAGAGAGTAAGTTGTATTTTCCTACCAGAATATGTAAATAATGTCAGGACTTACCACCCAATTAATTACATATATGACCAATAATGTTCTAAGAATAGAAATGTATGAAGAGAGCATCAGAATAAATAACAATATTAAAGACTTTAAAATCGTGGTGTAATGGTTAATTTTAGACGTCAACTTGACTAGGCTATAGTGTCCAGTTGCTTGGCCAAACACCAGTCTGCTGCTGTGAAGGTGTTTTTCTCATATGTGATTAACATTTACGTAAGTAGAGTTTGAGGAAGGCTGATTATGCTACGTAATGTGGCTGGGCCTCATCCAGTCAGTTTGAAGGCCTGATGAGAAGAGACAGGTCCTACAAGGAGGGAGGAATTCTGCCTCCCCATTGCCTTCAAACTCAAAACTGCAAACTCAACTTTTCCTTGGATCTCCAGCCTGCCAGCCTGCCCTTCAGGTTTCAGACTTGTCAGCCTCCATAACCTCAAAAGCCAATACCTTAAAATAGATCTCTCTATATATACATCATATTTGTTCTATATAAACATCCCATTGGTTTCTCTGGAGAACCCATGACTAATACACATGGGTTATAAAGCTTGATTGTAGCCTCATCCCATATTTAACCCATATTTCTCAATCAAACACTTTCGGCCTAGGACAATTCTCTATTGTGCGGGAATGTCCCACTCATTGAAGAGCATTTAACGCCTCGTCCCTCTTCCATAAAATACTGTTAGCATCCTCCTCCTAAGCTATTATAACAACCAAAAACACTCCCACACATTTTCAAATTTCATCTGGGGGCTGACTGGTACTTGTCCAGTTGAGAACCATTGATCTAGTTCAACTCACCCATTTTATACATAAAGAAACTAAGGTGATGAGAAAATGTACTTAAAAAAAAGCAGAACATGATTATTTTTTAAATACACAACTTCTGTACAAACTCCAAATAAAACCCCAATGTAAAAAAATGAGAAAAAAATGGTATTTCATTTTCAGCCCTTCACAAAATGTTAACCTCTTTAATCATAAATCAGCTGTTAGAAATCAGTAACAAAATGATGAAGATTATAAGGTACATGAAAATAAAAGAAACAGAGGAAAATGAAATAACACAAATGACTAATAGTGCTATATGAAGATGATGTAGCTTAACGTTAACAGATGAGAAAGCAATTTCTTTGTAATATTACATTATCAATGATTACAAATGTTGATATCTACTCTTTGTATAGTTTTAGGAAGTATATACTATACTATACTGTTTGTATAGTTTTAGGAACACTGGGAAAACTTACTCCACTTATGGGAAATTTACTCAAAATGCAGATTTTGTATATACTTTGCCTGGGCAGTTTCAATCCATAAGAATTATTCCAACAAAGTAGTTGGATAAATTGAAACTTATACATGAGCATGTTCACTACATAAAAAATCTGTAGCTAATACATCATCCGCCCCCAAGCCCACCCCAAACTCATTATATATCAATTGGTTAAGAAAAAAACATATTTTTTAGAATGTTAATTAGTAGCAACACTGTAGTGAGGATTCAGGATTTTAGATTCCTAGTTTAGCACATTTCTTATAAATCCTATGAAGTCAGGCTAAATGTATTCATTTATCCATTGAATGAATAAAAGCCCTCAGCATATTATAAATTGAACATTTAGCACATAAAATTTATAATTCTGCTTTTCATATTTTTGTGATATCTAAAGATAGCATGCTAATCGCTTATGGTTTGGTTCTCCCAATACCCTCTCTTTATTGGGAGATAATGCCCTTCTTAGGTTTTGCTACTTGAGCCCACATGGTTCCATTTAGAGATTCTGTGCATCTGCCCTCTCTGGCTGTGATTGGTTTGAATGGGCACCATGACACAGGCTCGTCCATCAAAATCCTCCCCTGTTAATTTTCAAACTACAAACAAGAAAGACAGACAGTAATTCCCTTTGGAAACCATGGAAACAAAAGGCTGTGGTGCTCAAGGGTTGTTGTTGGCTGCTTTTCACTATGAAAAAGAGGTTGGGCTGGGCATCGTGGCTCACGGCTGTAATCCCAGCACTTTGGGAGGCTGAGGCAGCTAGATCACAAGGTAAGGAGTTCGAGACCAGACTAGTCAATATGGTGAAACCCTGTCTCTACTAAAAATACAAAAGTTAGCCGGGCATGGTGGTGGGCAACTGTAGTCCCAGCTACTCAGGAGGCTGAGGCAGGAGAATCACTTGAACCTGGGAGGCGGAGGTTGCAGTGAGCCAAGATCGCGCCACTGCTCTCTAGCCTGGGCAACAGAGTGAGACTGTCTCAAAAAACAAAACAAAACAAAACAAAAGTGACAGAAAAAGAGGTTGTTTGTTGTTTCACTGAACACAAACATCTGCCCTCTCTGGCTGCGTTTCTCTTTGTTTCTCTTTGTTCAGTGAAACAAAGTGAAACCAAAACAGAGAGAGAAGCAGAAATGAGAAATAGAGGGGCCCCTGGCTCCAGTCATCCCTGAAACTGTGCTGCTTCCCTGCACGTAGTCTAGCTACTCAACCTTTTCTTTGATTGTATGAGATACCTTAGTATCCTTTGAATAAACCCCCTTTCCTTTAGTTTAAACAAGTTTGAGCTATGTTTTTGTCACTCACAACTAAAAGAATATGTTTACTGGAAAATGACTTGTTGAATTTTTTTTCATGCAATTCAGAAACAGTAATAGTTATGCTTGGGTTTCAAGACATAAACTGTGAGTTGCCAGCAGAGGTTATGATCCAGCTGTGCCACCAAGGGCATGCCATCTTGAAGGAATTAAGAAAATGTGGCTTTAATAAGGTAAAAGTGTAGCTATACCATAATTTCTATCATCGTTAGAATCATCTAGCTATTTATTTTTTCAGAGTTTTGCCTCATGTTTGCTTAGAAAAAAAGTCCTCCTTTCCTTGATATACTTTCTGAAATGCCATCCTCCTCATTCATTTCCAATTCAAATTGAATTTCTTTGAGTATAGCATTTGGTGTAGCATCTATAATATCCTATGCACCTGGATACAATGGATAAGTGAGCAGGCTCTGTGTGGAATTTTTCAGGACACAGGTGGTAGTTAGCGGTCTTTGTATTTGGTAATGTATAAGATTCTTCTCATCCTCAAATTCCCCATTAGTGTCTCCACACCAGGACCACTGATGCTTTTTGCAGACTAAAGCTGTCCTTGGCTGAGAAGTGGAAAGGAGAAATGATTTTAAAAACTGAAGAAAAAGCAGCTACCTTAATAGAAAAGAGCACTTAAAAGGCTTTATAAAAAAAAAAAACTACAGAATTTAGAAAAATCACTTTATCTTCCCCTTTTCCCTGAATCACTGACCACTCAAGCCATGCTATAGAAACCTGAAGGATGGGGGGCCATTTAGACTGTGTTATGAGCTATAAAATATGTAGAAAGAAAAAGTGAGAACTAATTATCTTCCCCCACACTGCTGAGATATTAGACTCACTCACTTCCATCTCTTCTGACATATGGTTTTAGATCCAAAGAAATATGTGTCCTTCGGAAAAAAAGAGATGTTGTCAATTTTTTTCTTAACACAAATCATGTGTAACTTTATCTCCCCAATTTGTCCAAGGAAAGAAAATAAAACTGCACAAAAGTTATTAAGTAGAATGCCAGGAGTCCTATAGCTTGAAAAGCCCTACTCCAGGATGTTATGTGCCCAGGACACAAAGGGGGTCAGTTTTATCCACTATCCGCCACTACTGTGGCCTAAGAAGCATGAGAAACACTACAAATCCCCTGAAAGGGAAATTCTGTCTCAGGCTTCATGCCTCAGCTTGCATTTTTCTTCTTGTACTCTCGATTTCCCTGGTTTTCAATGATGGCTTCTACTATACCCATGTTTGCTCACCTCAGTACCTGCACCTATTCTCTTCTTCCCCTCATCTCATTTGTGCCACCTGAGGCCTTGCCTACTAAGCAAGGATTGACAACCCTTGCTCTAAACCAGCAGATCAGCAATCCCCAGGCCAATACCCTTTTTGTTACGCACTGCCAGTGAGCAGGGACATGACCGCAACACAAACCCCCCAATTCCCAGGCCCTTTCCATTACAGAAGGTAGAAAATGCCTTAACCAACTCACCTCAAACTGAAGAGAAAATTTATAGTCAGAGTCTTTGGCCATATCCTTAATATAGGCATCAAAGTCATCCAGTTGAACCGGGCTTTGCCAAACACAAAGAAATATACATACATTTTAAAATTCTTGTTGATAGGTATTATATATTGTTTAATATCATACTTCTTAATCTTCTTGGAGAAAATAGAAGTTTTACTTCTCTAAGGTTAGCACTCACCTTTTTTTTTTGGTTCAAGTTACCAATCCTTAATATATTGCAATTGAAAAGAAGGGCATATATATCCAGCTTCCTTGATAGGAGAAATCTCTAGATTTCCACTTGGCTCTTACTGTAGCAGTACAGTAGTATATATATGCATACTCGTATACACACACCCCCATCTGTGTTGCTTCTAAAAAACTCTGGCATATGGAAAATAACAAAGGAATGGATTCCAAAGACCTGTTTGAGTTATGGTTTTGCTTTATTGACTGTGTTATCCTAGAGAATCGCCTAACTCTTCAGAGTCAATGTTCTCATCCATAAAATACAGTAGTTACAGCTACAGGGTTGACATACAGTACATAAAGAACTTTGTAAGTTTCAACAGCTTTACAAGTATAAGGAATTGTGCTGCTAGCTACAGTCTCCCCAAAGCAGAGGCAGGATCAGTGGGATGAAACTTTTGTCCAGAAAGCTCCCAGGGTCTCACTGGAGTGAGTTATCTTTAGAGGCTTGCATATCTATAAAAGTATGGAAATGGCTCAGAGGTTCAATCAAGTAACACATCTGAGCTATGTTTCTGCATCCGCAGCAGAAGTTCTCACTTTTTTTTGAGAATAAGAATCAAGTTTTATCTCCTGTAGTTTTCTGTAGCTGCTTATCTCCTCTAGAGCCTACCTAAACCAATTTGCTCTCTAAAGTAGCTCTCTGCTTCTGCAGAATTCCACATTCTGTCATCTAACTCAAGCCTTTCCACTTTGGCAGGGTCTTTATAGTTGACCCTTCCCTTGGTCTTGTGGTGTGTTACTCAGCTTATATCATCTAACTGTGGTCTTTTTTGTTTTGTTTTGTTTTGTTTTGTTTTGTTTTGAGACAGAGTCTCACTCTGTCACCCAGACTGGAGTGTAGTGGCACTATTTCGGCTCACTGCAACTTCTGCCTCCTAGGTTCAAGCGATTCTCCTGCCTCAGCCTCCCAAGTAGCTGGGACTACAGGCAGGTGCCACCACACCTGGCTAATTTTTGTATTTTTAGTAGAGATTTGGTTTCACCATGTTGTCCAAGGTGGTCTTGAAATCCTGACCTCAAGTGATCCACCTGCCTCAGCCTCCCAAAGTGCTGGGATTACAGGTGTGAGCCACTGCACCTGGCCTAACTGTGGTCTTATGTCCAATTAGAAAATACATAGTATTTAATAATGCTCATTTAAAGTTGTTGATTAGCTAATCTGATTAATTCATTTATGTTAACATTTTAGTAAATTTTAGAGGGCGTTATATCTTCCAGAGAATACCTTTAAACTGAAATGTTTTTACTTAATAACAATAACTCATTTATAAAACACGCTACACTTCATAAATAGTCACATGCATTATCTTGCTTAATTGATCCCTGAGGTAGGAATAGACAACATTAGCTCCATGCTCCAGCTGAGAGAGCCACGGCTAAGAGAGTTAAGTGAGTAGCCCAACATCACATGTCTACTAAGCAGTAGAATTCTCACTGGAATCCAGGGAGAGTAAGTCCTGGTTCAAAGCTTTTCCCACTTCAAACTTGTTATCCTTCCAAAAGAATGGGCTAAAGTTGGGACTCCTCTCCTGGAATGAACCCCCTTAGAACTGCACTCTCTGGCTGGTGTCTTTGGGCAGTGTATCGACCTTAAAGTTGGATTTAACAACTCTAGCTTTCATCTTGTTACTAGGAAAATGGGCACATGTATACAGAAGGCAAACCAGACAAAGTATTAATGGGTTAAAAGAAGTAAAAGCAAGAAGCAGAGGGAAAAGAGAGAGAGA
The DNA here is from genome assembly GCF_000001405.40 of Homo sapiens. Taxonomy (NCBI): domain Eukaryota; kingdom Metazoa; phylum Chordata; class Mammalia; order Primates; family Hominidae; genus Homo; species Homo sapiens. Next base: position 15,567,504 of record NC_000012.12, on the reverse strand, counting down.
GGAAGGAATAGCAAACAGAAGAATGGACATAAGGGAGAAGGAGAATGACAAGGAGAAGAAAAAGAAAGCTGGAAGGGAGTAGAGACCAAAAGGACAAATATCTACAGAGGAAAAAGAAAAAGAGGAGGTGATGGAAAGGAAGGATGGAATGAAGACAAGTGGAGATAGAAAATGGGAACCAGGGGGATATGGTAGTGGTGGGGCATTTGGAGGGAAAGAGAAATGGTAGAGAAGGCAAATAAAAAGGTGAGAGGAAAGCCTTTCAAGAAATGTCTTCTAGAGAAGGAGAGAGGAGTCAAAGGAAAATGAGAGGGGGGAAGGTGGAAGCCGAATTGATGTGAGTTTTTTTTTGCTTGTGGGTATGTTCTACCACTCCTAATCTCTACCCTATCTTTTGTCTGGGTCTTGCTTCTCCTTCTTTTCTTTGCCTGAGTCATGGGAGGAGCAAGCCTTGACAGTCTCTCCTTTTCGTCCAAGGACGCTATCTTCTAAATGCTCTAGTCTCTGCCTCTTTAGCTCACCTGCCAACCCAACCAACAGTTTTTGGTAACAAAGTCTTTCTGTTTCTGTGAAATCATCCCTCCCAGGTGATGGTACCCTCTCCTCTATTCAGTCTGGTCTTATCTCTCCTACATCAGTTGGTATAAGCCAGTGGAATGTATGCTGGTTTGAAATTGACTTAGAGGCTGGACACGGTGCCTCATGCCTGTAATCCCAGCACTTTGGGAGGCTGAGGAGGGTGGATCACATGAGGTCAGGAGTTCGAGACCAGTCTGACCAATATAGTGAAATTTCGTCTCTACTAAAAATACAAAAATCAGCCAGGCATGGTGGCGTGTGCCTGTAGTATTAGCTACTGGGGAGGCTGAGGCAGGAGAATCACTTGAACCTGGGAGACAGAGGTTGCAGTGAGCCAAGATTGTGCCACTGCACTCCAGCCTGGGTGACAGAGCGAGACTTCATCTCCAAAAAATAAAATAAAATAAATTAAAAAATAAAAATAAAAAATGAAATTGACTTAGAAAAAATTATTCTGTTTTCATATATGCCATAAAATTATATGCCACTCAAGACTAACTAGAAACATTTTTACATCAACTTTTCTTTTGGATTATGTCATGGATTACTCATGATTTCTTTCCATAAGCATAGATGCCACAGACCTGGCTGGACCCCCTAATTTCCTTCTTGTACTAATTCACCAATGTTCTATCCAGGCAGGTATCAAGAACAAACTCTATATAAAGGAAAGTTCCACTTTTCATATGTAGAATTATAACTAAGAAAAGGCATGGAGGTGATAATCTAATAGGCTTTTGAAATCAACTGGGGGTTAATTTTCACTTACCACAATAGTAATTCTTCTCATTTAATGGTTTAATAGATAAGGAAAACCACAGGCTAGATTAATTATCTTTTCTATTTATTATACAGGTTTCTTGAGAAAGCATTATCAAAGTATCTATTATAACATCAAATAGAGTAAAAGCCTTTTCCTGCAATAAACACAGAATTTCAAAATACTAAAAGGATTTTTGAAACCCTTTGATGTAGTTAAATATTAGATTTTCATATACTGTATTTAGAATACCATACTTCCTCCTCCAAGACTTTAAAAATTGCTAACGATCCACTCTCTCAGATTTGATATGATAAACATTGTCCTTATTTCTGATGTGATTTCTGTGATACACTTTTCTAGTGGCCACTGCCACTCAGGCATAAACAACCAGTACATTATTGTGCTTAGCTATTGTAATATGCATTTGCCTCTTTCTTAAGCGTCCCTTCTCTTTGAAGACAAGCAATCTTTAATTGGAACGTTAAGATTATTATAACAAACATCCTTTTAAATGACATAGTAAGAAAAACTTACTTTGTCAGTTTCCTCTTCTTTAAACCATTTTTACTCCTGATAATTAAAAAAGAAAAGACAAATTTATCTGGGCAGAAGAATTGATTAACATAATAATTAAACTTGAACAGCTTTAAATAATTACATCAGGTACCTCAGTTTTATTTAATTTTCATTAAACACATATCAGGTTTGTTTACTTTTCCTTACATGAGAAGATAATAATAATTTCAGATTCATTTTTTAAAACTCTACTAGATTGCATGAACATATCTGCACTTTATACTTCCCATTTGCCAAAAACTGAGTTCTAGAAATGAAATTTCTAACTGCTGTTGATTAAGTTGCTAAAGCAGTTTGTAAATATATAGAAGTATCTATCTACCACCTGAACACTCCAATTTCTACAGGCAGGAAGGAAGAATGGGGGAATAAATGGAGAACTAATAAAGAGACGGTGGAATGTTGTTTTCTTAATTAAAGACTAAAATAACATTTTCTGACATTTTTCTCTGGGGATGTGAATGTGTGCTGTCAGTGTGGACATGTACCTTGTATAATTCTACTATGGCGTTGTTTTTATTCCATCTTGAACTAATTTTTAAGCTATCTGAAGAACTGGACCTATTACCTGCTTGCTCTTCATCATTACTAGTCTATAAGCTCAAACACAGGAAATGCTAATGCATGCTTTAGTTAGTTACATTTGTTTAGGAGATAATTAAGGTAATGATTTTCACCCAACCAAGTAAGATAACTTACCTAAGTTAGCTAAGGCTAACAGTATCTATTGAAGCACTTTGTGATTGTATTCTTATTGTTGTCTATAAATAGTAAATACAGAAACATGATTGACTGTACAAGTGATGTTACAGCAAACTTTTTTGCAAGTAATTTTCAGAGGTCTTTACATAATTTTGATAGAAGCACCCAACTTTTCAGAAAATAAACAGTCTATAGTAAATAACCAGTTGTAATCTTAGTACTTTAATGTGTCCAAATATTTATTTATATTTAAAATTATGAATGTTTGGATATCTCCACTTCCTGAAAGCTTTTAGCAGGACGAAGCAGTACTTTGTGCTTTCACAGCACTTTGCAAACGGAGAGTTTCTCACATTGTGTGATTGTTAGTTGCAGGTACACACCTTGCTACACTCACTATAGCTTCCCCCCAGGGCTGAGCATAGTTAATGAAACACCTAGTGGGTGGTCAATAAATGCTTATTCAGTTGAACTGAAACAAAATAATCTCTGCCATGTTACCCTCTGAATTTCACCTAATGATTCCTTTAACAATTGAATACTAGACTTGGGCTTGTGATGTTCTGATTGAAAAGATGGGACTTGTGGATGAAGAGAAAATAATGCAGGTCAAGAAATGTAGGAACACGTCCACGAAGGCAAGTGGTGTTTGTGGTTTTCAGGTAGTTTTAATTTCTTCCCACTTCTAAGTGAAAACAATCCATTCAATGGTTCTTGTTCTATTTTTTCTCCCTCATCCTCTTTGTCTTCCACACTTGAGATTTAGAGGGAAAAATCAGTCCAGTTTTTACTTTGCCTCTCCCTGATCCCCTCAAAAAACACTATCATGTTGGACATAGCTGTATCTTATAGGCATTTGGGAACCTAAAGGAATATTTATTGATCATGTTTTTTATTCAGCCCCGTGATGGTAATTTAGTTAGTTTTAGGAGTTCCACATTTACTTCCTGTAGTAAGAGCCAATTACTTCAGTGCTTTCGGAAAGCAGAATGTCAGCGGAGATGACTAACAGCTCTGGTAAAGTCAGGAGGCTGCCAACACATTTTGTGATCAGGAGTGAACAAAAAAATACTTTCCTATCCAAACAGGCTTTAAAAGAAACTAGGAAGTAACAAATGTATGTAAGAGGGTAACACTGAATAAATTCAGTGCTGAAATATTAAGCTGCTACTACTCGGCAGCTGCGTAGAAACTTGATTCATGGAGGAGAGACACATTTTTTTTCTTTCAATCTCATTCATTATTGAATGAACTTTCAATATAACGTATAATTCCACTACATGTTTTGTATGACATATTATCATATACTTATTGGCATAAGTAATCATGATTTGTATACAATTTTCATTGTTCTATTTAGATCTTGCTGATTCCAAGGAGTTTCTGTATCCTAAGGCTGTGGAACATGACAGGATTGAATTATGAAACTCCACAGCAACACTGATAAAATGTTCCTACATTTTCAATTGCTGTGCTAATTCCGAGACTAAAACCAGGGGAAAATTCACGCAAATTAAGGCTTTGCTAGCAATTTTAACTTAAGCACATTCTGGAAAGAGCCAATATGTGCACATGTTACAGTGACGATTTTGTGTGACATGTAGGGTTCGCCTTTTCATTGCAAAAGATTTTCCAAATCAATAAATAACCCCCATCAGACATACCTACAGCATATATGCATAGAGGATTGTGCACTTTTAGTTTTTTCTCTTTCACTTATATTAGGTAAGGTTCAAAATCCTAATGACTTCAAAAAGTTAAGATACATTCTGCATAAATTAGCCATGGTTATGACAGTCTTGGAAAGCCATCCATACTGCAATTCATTCCGAAAAAGCAATAGCAAGGACATGAGATTTATAATAGTTAAAACAAGACAAAACAAAACTCTAAAAGTCTCCAATTTTGTAAGTGCTGCTTACTCTTTGATGAGCTAAGCAGAAACCATCCCCAAACCTTAAAAAGGACTTTAGTATATTATATCATTCTTCAAATAGAATGTGCAATCATCAGGAGTAAAGCTGAGCATTTTCAACTAAATGCCACTTCTTGCTTAAAATGCCAACTGCCTAGGATTGAGAACAAGCAGATAAATACCTGAGTACAGCATGAGGGTCATTATGGCAGTAAAAAAAAAAAAAAAGATTTAACACTGAATCTAGATATAGCTAGTTCAACTTAGATGATTTCTTTCAATAGGAAACATACTCTTAAGTTCTGAAAGTCAGAAATCCTTGCAGAACACAATCCTGAGACCAACCTAACTGGGTACTGGTGCTCCACACTGATTCTGCTACCACCCCAGGAAGAGATTCGAGCAACACTATGAGAGAGAGAAAGAGTTTTTTGATTTCCACACAAACCACTAGTGGCATCAGATGGGTTTTAGAAAATCAACAGGAACATATATTTCCAAGAAACCGACAGTTTAGAAAGGAAGTTGGACAGTGTGTTAGGCAGTGTGCGTCTGGGGAGATGGCTCTTGTTATTTGCAGCTGTTGTTCACAGGGTAGGTGAAATATGAAGACAAACACATCATTAGGAGGATTAAAAATGACTCTTTAGCCAATGAAAGCAGGGGAAAATAACCACAAGTTATTAGATGAAGCAAACAGGGAATTGGAGTGGTTGTGTGAGTAGAAGCTGTATTTCCACGAGCGGGGAGCATGAATTTCACTTCTTTTGTATCTGGCATTGTACAAAAGGGCTGAGAACATAGTTTATATCCAGTATGTTTTTACTAGTTGATATGTGTGAAATTTACTGAAGTTACAGAAAGCATGCAGCTCTATGTTTTACCTTCTCTTCTCAACTGGAGACAACCATTTACAGTTTCAAGGTGATTCTTCTAAAAATTACTGAAGGGTATTTTCTCCCCATAAGTTGGGCCTCGTGCTATTTGATTGGTATTAGAAATAGCAGACCTTGTGAGGGTTGCTGAAATTTGAGCATATGTTCATCAATGAGGCCTATTAAGGAATACATGCTTACTTGCACAGGCCTACCTTACAGAAGCTTAAAAACGCACTGTGGAAAATGAGAAAGTCTCAGAGAATTAAGCAAGGAAATGATATATGCATCTTTCTTTCATTTTATTTGCAATCTGGGATACTTTATGGGTATTTGCTGTTAGTATTTTAATGGTAGGCACACTATTTGAGGATGATTAGTAGATGTTCAGTTAAAAGTAAATGTATATTTTGAAGGTTGAAATGGAATTTATGTGTGCTATTCATACCTGAAAACTATTTGATGTCAAATACTGAAAATACGGAGTTGACTGTGCTGAAGCCCTATACTAAAAACTGTAACAATGAACTTAGAATAACAGTGAATGGGTCCTCAGCATCTAGCACATTCCTCTGACTTTATTACCTACACATCATGTCTACTTTGTTTCAAAAGCTTTCCTCTAGTCTCTTTTTTTAAAAGAAGATATGAATTCTGGAATTAACAATCTCTATTTTGAGGAAATCCTTTTTTATGTTCCTTCCAGTGCAACTTGAAATCCTAAATTCTGCCAGCTGTATTTATTCTGTCCTTGGAGGAGCTGGAGAACATTTGGTCAATTGTCTTTTTGAATAAATAAATGCTCCAGATTGCTTTTCATACCCGCACCACCACCCCATAAGCTATTTTTTTTCCAGTCTATGAGATATTTTTATTGTTTTCTTCTGAGACCTTTTCAAGTTGTCCACATTTATGGATCTGTCTGTACATAATTTAGTACCTAAACACTAGGTATTAATATTTAAGGACAATGATTTTCTTGTCAGTTCCCCTGGAAACTGCTACCTTTTATCTTATAGCACAGGAAAAGAAAGAGTTCTTAATTCTTTAGTCTCAGAATTCAAGGTTACTGTTATCATTACATATTAAAAAGTCAAAAGGAACACTTCAAGATTTGATTATTAAAATGATCCAGAAGTTAAGAAAATAAGAAATTAAAGGAGTCTGCTCTTTACAGAGGAAAGAATAGATTTCAGAGAGACCTGAGTTTGGAACCTGGATTCTGTACATAGTGGAATGTGCTACTAAGACAGTAAATCTCCGTAAGCCCCTATTTCCACATTTCTAAAATGGGACTAGTAATACTCTCTGCAGGATTGCGGGGGAAAATTAAATCAGATAATCATACAAAGAGGCTTGCGTATAGTCAGCTGTTTAATAGTCACTGAGTTAGCATTATTATAAAAACAAGGAGGCCTCAGATACAGAGGATTGTATAGACTCTGATTTCTCCATCTTAATGCATTTCTACCTTCTTGGAAATTTGGAGCTCTCTAATGGATGAAGATGATAATGGAAAATGGAAAGCATTATTTGCAAAGATGAGAGGCCAATGGATTGACTCAATGAAGAAACAAATAACTAGTACTAAATGGGAAAAAACGCTTGCCAACAACATCACGGAAAAAAATTTAACGGAAAACCTTATAGTTAATATCTTTGTACCGGTAACTGCTTTAATTCACTTCAATACATGATTAATAACTTTAGATGTTACTGAACATACAAAATAGTTAAAAAGAAACTTTCCTTTTTGTTTACTTCTTGAAAGCTAACTTTTAAAGAGTTTGTGTTAAACAGTAAAAAAAAATCACTTACCAAGGATTAATATAAAATGCCAAAAGATAATCAGTCCAAAGACATGAGGGTAGCAGGGTTAAGAAAGCAAATATACTCCTACGCCTGTGTGCATTAATAGACAACAGATGGAAAGATGAAAAAGTTGCAAGAGTTAGTAATATAAACTGTGAATAGATATCAGTAAATTACCTATTGGGATTAATTAATATGACAAGCACCTTAATTACAATTAAATATTAATCCATTCTGTGAAATATAAATGTGCGGGCTTAAATGCTACAATATTGACAAAATCAGTTTTTATTCACACATGACCTTATTGTAATCAGATATATTTCTTTCAACTTACTTTGTGTTAATTAGTCTGCTACCAGGTGATTACATTTTGCATTCAGTTAAATGAAGCACTTATATGCCTCATTAGTTATCTTGAAGCTTATTCTTGGATATTATTCTTCCTATGCTTAAGCCTATTTTAAGAAACCTCTGTAACATCATTTGACAGCTAAACAGCAGCTTGTGTGAGAAAATAAAAATGGTCAGTTTACATATACTGATTCCGGTGAAGACTAAGCTTTTAAGAGACATTCTTAATAAAGCTGCACTACTAGGTGTGACTTTCTGTATTGTTTTTAAATTACTATAAAATTTATAAATATAACCCTTAAAACAGAGGTATGGATGATACAAGGATATCATTCATTCAAGATAAGTAGCTCATCAACTACTTAGTCTGTGACCTCACTGATATTCAGCTAAGTAGGAGCAAAATAGTTTAGCTTCACTTCAATTCTAATTCAGACTGTTGATTTAAATGCCTGGTTTCAGATATTCAAACCACTTGTCAAATAGAACACCCATTAATATAGATTTTAAAATATCCTGTGACTGCATCTATAGTTATTCTGAGAATTAGGGGGAAAAATACTGTCACCTTGTCACTTCAGTTATTACAAATCTTCACTGAGATATCTATTCTCAGTCAGCTAGAAAATGCTAGAGTCGGCAAAACTGTCTTTGTGAAGAGCTGCAAAATGTGCTTGATTTTATAGAAAGATCCTGAAGTGAATTCTTTTTTGCTTCAGCTCTCCCATGACTGGTCTCCCATAAATTCCATGAATTGTGACTGGCTGTGAAGTTAGTTAATATCTATCTCTCATGAGTCACAAGTATTAAATACATATAATTGGATTGGTTCCTAGATGGGCCACTCATCACTGATCTCCCATTGGGCCTCCCAAGGGTGAACCAGGCATGAAACAAGTATCAGTGAGTCAACCTCTTAATTTTGGAAAGAGTGCTAATATATTTGAACAAACCTAGTAACGTTTCCTAACTTTTCACCATCAAGGGTTGATGGATTTCTTTTTCTTCACAGTTGGGTTGTTTTTTAATAGCAAAATTCTACTCATGTTAAAATTTTTAAATGGCACAACATATTGCCTTATTAAAAGAAATCTGGTTTCAACTAGATTTTCAACTAGAGTGAGTATCAGCTACACTGAGGGAAGTAAAATTTATATCCTAAATAAAGTTCTCCCTCCCTCATTGATTCTGTAAAATTTCCAGTCTCCCATGTGTATTTCTTTAAGATTAACCATTTTAGGGAGTTAGTAAACAGAAAGAAATAACTGAACAATGATTAATATGACATATATTCATTTACATATACTTTGCATAGTTTCTTGCAAAAGAAACAAACTAGACCATGTAAGTAGTACATGTTAGCTTCATGTTAAATGTTTACTTAATTAGTACTTTTGTTGGGCATTGATTGAACTGGATAGGATTGTTAATCTTCATCTATCATTGTCAGGTATAATGTCAACCAATTTAATCTCTTGACAATGCTCTTTAAAATTCGAACACTTCCTCCTTCCGGGTCCTTAATACTCAAGCATAAAGAAAAATGAAGCCATGTTTTCTTATGAAACTTCACTGGCTTTGATATTTATTTATCTGTAAGCATGAGAACTGAATACTGGGCTGTACAACTTTTTAACAGAAGTGGTGGCTCTTATTGCCTCAGGCACTGAAATGTGAGTTTAAAATGGAGATGCTGGGTTGGCATGGGGGCTCAGGCCTGTAATCCCAGCACTTTGGGAGGCCGAGGTGGGAGGATCACTTCAGCCCAGGAGTTCGAGACCAGCCTGGGCAATATAGTGAGACCTCATCTCTACAAATATCTAAAAATTAGCCAGATTTGGTGGTGCGCGCCTGTAGTCCCAGCTACTCGGGAGGCTGAGGTGGAAAGATTACTTGAGCCCAGGAGGCAGAGATTGCAGTGAGTTGAGATCATCCTGCACTCCAGCCCGGGTGACGAAAGAGGGAGATTCTGTCTCCTCAAAAAATACAAAACAATAAAAAATAAAATAAAATAAAATATAAAATAAAATGGAGAAGCCGATCTGTCGCAAGCTGCTTCATTGGAATCTCTTCTCGTGCCTTTAGCCACCACTTGTTCAGCGGCGCTCCTGCATTTAAGCCCTTTTTCAGCACAGGTATGGGCTCCTGCGTGTGCACCACTGTTTCAGTCCCTTGTTTAGTATTGTAAATACAGAGCAGACCATGATGCTTTCCCTACTTCAGAACTGCACTGAGCTTATATAAACCATTATATTCTGTGAAGATCTAGCCATTGAAAGTCTACCATCACCGAAATTACAAAAGGATAATCAGACAAAACTATCCCCAAAGGATAGTAAAATCGACTTTGGAGCACACACAGCATAGTTAAACTATGTAGAAGCTTGTTCCAAAACAATACTCACCAGTTGTATGGAAGCTTTCCATCCCTCTCTAAGGATGCAAAATTGACAAATGTACCAGCTCCACACTCCCTGTTTTAAAGGAACCACAAAATCAAGGTTACTGCTTGACAAAGCATTCTTACGTTGACCTAAAAGTAAAGAGAGTCTTTACCAGCTTATCATCACAGCATTAAATTAAAAAAAAGAAGAAGCTAGGCCAGGTGCGGTGGCTCACGCCTGTAATCCCAGTACTTTGGGAGGCCGAGGTGGGCGGATCACCTGAGGTCAGGAGTTTCGCCAACATGGCGAAACCCTGTCTCTACTAAAACTACAAAAATTAGCTAGGCGTGGTGGCACTTGCCTGTAATCCCAGCTACTCGGGAGGCTGAGGCAAGATAATTGCTTGAACCTGGGAGACAGAGGTTGTGGTGAGCAGAGATCGCGCCACCGCACTCCAGCCTGGGTGACAGAGCAAGACTCTGTCTCAAAAAGAAAAAGAAAAAAAAAAAAAACAAAATAAAAGAAGCTAATAGAAGTTCCATATGTTCCCTTTTGGCATACAATGCAAAACAGAAAGCTAAAACGAAAAGAAATAATCTTTTGCAAGTTTGCAAATCAAATTATTTGAGGCCAAAAGAATTCACTTCACAATCCTTTCCAAAGGGCATTCATGATTCTAAAAGAAATATTTGAACTATTTGGGGTATAATATTTATTTATTTTTTTACAAAGCCTTTAATAGTAACATAGAAACTCTCCTAGATGAACTGAGCATTTTCCATCTTTAGCAAAAATTCTTTGTAGGGTTTTGTTTATGGCATTTTGATTTCCTCCCTACAATGATAGTGGATCAAGTGGATTGTTTACTTCCTCCAAAATCTTTCTCTTATATTGTGATGCCCGTATTATTCATCACTGGAGATTAGAATAAAAGAGTGGAATGTATTGAAATAGGCAAGCTTCTGGTGTGCCTACTGTCCGGAATGTGGCCTATTAATCTGCTAGTAAAAACACTGTTGAAGTTTTTTTTTTTTTTCCAGAAGTAGAGAAAAAGTAAACATATTCTCATGCCTTCTCTATCTTTTGGCTAATTTCATGCATGAATAACAGCTCATTGGGGCTCATGTATCTCATTTTTTCTTTATACGGAATTAATGGATTTAATACTCAGAACTGAAGCAGAGATTTTAACATTACTGGCACAATGTGCTAATTACTTGAATTATCTACCTGTTCTTATTAAGGTGTTCCAAGAACAATTTTCTTCTTTTGAAAAATACACTAATATAATATCATAGTGTATTATAATTTACACATCATTAATGAATTTTCCTATGTCAATTTCCTATATATGGGATTTATTTTACCTGTAACTCAAGGGTTTTAATCTGGAGTTCCAAAGATAGAATTTAGGACTCTATGAACATATGTGGGAAAAGGGTACATATTTATTTTCACAACCTGTGACTAAACTTAGCAGTCCTTTCTATCATTAAAGTAGGTACCAAACCATCAGAATATCCACATGGATGATTTGCTAACAATAGAGATTACATATTTTTTAATAATAGACTTGCTGCAGATATCTTGAAATATTGGTCATATGCATCACCATGATGAAATTGTTAGACTATTACATATTGACATTGAATATACTAATTAAAAAGTGTACAACACATTTGCTTTTTAAATATTATGATTATCATATTTCAATATAGTTGTATAATCCTATGTATTTTATTTTAGGCACAGAAAATGGAAGCATTATTCTTAGAAGAGTTCACCAGACTGCCAAAAAGGATCATAGCATGAAAAATGATGAGAATCTATGCTTTAATAACTAGCTGAAAGAATCAGAACCACCTCTCCTAAATATCTTTGGTATGTACCACAAAAAATGCTCAGAAATACCACTACTTGCATTACATCTATTACCACCTCCTCCACCATTACTATTATGAGCTAACATTTACTGCACACTTCCTATGAGTTGAGTATTACGCTATGTTATTACTGCGTTAATGCTCCTAAGTATCCACTAATATAGGGGCAATTATCATCTCTTCTGCATACACATTGTTCCCCTAGCTTCCAGGCCACCACACTCCCTTAGTTGTCCTTATACTTCACTGGCTGCCTCTTTGTCAGTCGCTTACTGTTATCTTCTTTTCTCCCTGAAAACCTTAATATTGATTGTTCCAGTGATTAATGCAGGGCCTTCTTTTACATTTACTCCCTGAATTTCATCCAGTCTAAAGCTCTAACGCAATTTATATGTTAACAACTCTCAATTTTTTTTTTCCTGAGACGGAGTTTCACTCAGTCGTCGCCCAGGCTGGAGTGCAGTGGCACGATCTCAGCTCACTGCAACCTCCGCCCCCCAAGTCCAAGCGATTCTTCTGCCTCAGTCTCCTGAGTAGCTGGGATTACAGGCACCCGCCACCACGCCTGGCTAATTTTTTTGTATTTTTAGTAGAGACGGGGTTTCACCATGTTGGCCAGGCTGGTCTCAAACTCCTGACCTCAAGTGAGCTGCCTGCCTCCCAAAGTGCCGGGATTACAAGCATGAGCCACTGTGCAGAACCAACAACTCTCAAATTTATATCTTCAACCAAAAATTCTCTTTCAAACATTAGACTTTTATGTCCAGGTGGCTACTCTGCACCTGCACTTGCAAGTTATCTCAAACTTAACATTTCTGTGATGGTTAATACTGAGGGTCAACTTGATTGGATTGAAGGACACAAAGTATTGATCCTGGGTGTGTCTGTGAAGGTGTTGCCAAAGGAGATTAACATATGAGTCAGTGGGCTGGGAAAGGCAGACCCACCCTTAATTGGGTGGGCACAATCTAACCAGCTGCCAGTGAATATAAAGCAGGCAGAAAAATGTGAAAAGGAGAGACTGGCCTCGCCTCCCAGCCTACATCTTTCTCCTGTGCTGGACGCTTCCTGCCCTTCAACATTGGACTCCAAGTTCTTCAGTTTTGAGATTCAGACTGGCTCTCCTTTCTCCTCAAGCTTGCAGACAGCCTACTGTGGGGCCTTGTGATCGTGGAAGTTAATACTTAATAAACTCCCATATACCTATATCTATGTATAATATATAATAGGAGATATATATATATATACACACACACACTATATCTATATATAATATCTAATAGGATATATATATACTACTATGTACTATTAGTTTTGACCCTCTAGAGAACTCTGACTAATACAATTTCCAAAACTGAAGTCTTGATGTTCCCCCAACTCTGACCTGGAATCCTCTCTCAGTTGATGGCAGCTCCATCCTTTCAAGTGCTTGGGCCAAAAACCCAGGAGTTAGCCTCAACTCTCTTTTTTTGTTTATTTGTTTTTTGAGATGGAGTTTCACTCTTGTTGCCCAGGCTGGAGTGCAATGGCGCAATCTCGGCTCATCGCAACCTCTGCCTCCTGTCTCAGCCTCCTGAGTAGCTGGGATTACAGGCATGTGCCACCACGCCCAGCTAATTTTGTATTTTCAGTAGAGACAGGGTTTCTTCATGTTTGTCAGGCTGGTCTCGAACTCCCGACTTCAGGTGATCCACCTGGCTCAGCCTCCCAAAGTGCTGGGATTATAGCCTCAACTCCTTTTTTCATTTCCATTCCATATCAACTTATTAGCAAATCCTGTTGCTCCTATTTTCAAAATATGTCCAGAATCTGATGGCTTCTCTCTGCCTTCAGTGTTGCTGCTCTGGACTGAACTATTAGCATCTCTTGCCTGGATTCCTGGCTACCACAGTTGATATGCCTGTCTCTGTCCTTGCCTCAATACAGCCTGTTTTCTACATAAAAGTCAAAATGAAAGTGTTAAATCTAAGTCAGATGCTGTTAATCTTCTGCTCCAGAGCCTGCAATGCCTGCTCATTTTACTGAGTAAAAGCCAAAGTCCTTCCAAAGGCATACGAAGCCCTGCATAACTTGACATCTCCTTCTACTCTTGTCTTCCTCCGCTTTAGTCACAACGGCCCCTCTGCTACACTTTGAACATCCCAGTCGTGCTCCTACCCCAGGGCCTTTACACCAGCTGTTCTTGCCACTGGGCACACTCTTCCCACAGATAACACAGGCTACCTCCCTCATGTGCTTCAAGTCTCTGCTCCAATGCCATTATTTCAGTGAAGCCTACCCACCTCCTAGGACCCCTAACACCACACTGGTACTGCTTATCTCCCTTACCTGACCTTGTTTCCTTTCCTTATCACCTGCTAACTTAAGGGGCAGTCCTTTTACTTATATCTTTATTGTTTATTGTCTATTTCTCCCACTAGAATATGAGCTCCATGAAGGCACATATTTTTGTCTGTTTCATATACTGTCATATATGTAGCAATATTTGTAATATGAACGCATGAAGTTTCAGTGACCTACACAAATTCACGCAAGTTGGAAGTCAAGATTCGATCTCAAGGAGGCCGAGCATGGTGACTCACGCCTATAGTCCCAGCACTTTGGGAGGCTGAGGTGGGCAGATTACTTAAGGTCAGGAGTTCGAGACAAGCCTGGCCAACATGGTGAAACCCTGTGTCTACTAAAAATACAAAAATTAACTAGGCCTAGTGGTGCGTGCCTGTAATCCCAGCTATTCAGGAGACTGAGGCAGAAGAATCGCTTGAACCTGAGAAGCAGAGCTTGCAGTGAACCAAGATGGCACCATTGCACTCCAGCCTGGGCGACAGAGTGAGACTCTGTCTCAAAAAAAAAAAAAAAAAAAAAAGATTTGACCTCAAGGAGTGTAATTTCAGAGCTCTCCACTGTAGTTACAGTGCAATCCCACATCTCTTCTTATCCTTTTAAGATTATTCAAATGCCAACCTTCAAGAAGCTTATTTTCACATTCAGAATTAGTCTTTATTCTCTAGTTTCATGGCATCCTGTTTTTAATCCCCTTTATGCTACATGTCAGCTTATGCCTTTAAATATATCTATCTATTCATATATCCAGTTAGGTAAGTAAGCTCCTAGTGGACAGCTTTGATGTCTGATTTTTCTTTGGATATGCCATGTCAGGCACTGATTAGATCACTATTGGATAGATGAATTTATTTATAAATATGTGAGTGATAGAACTCTGAGACAGGAGAAGAATGTTAATTTATAATTCAGCAGGTTAATATTGGGCAAATATAAATGTTAACAAAATTTCCCAAACCAAGTAGTATTCAAATAAGCAACAGTTTTTAAGGGAATTGATAGATTATTCTGATAATACAGGGGGCCACAGAAACTACTTGAGAATGTGCTCTGATGAGCAATGCATCAGTGGTCAAAGGAACAGGGAAGAGCTGAAATCATAAATCAAAGGCTTTTCTAATTGCAAGAAAAACTAAGCTGGCTGCAACTCTGAGTAATAGGAATAAAACTAATAGAGACTGCTAATGGACCTAATCATAAACTGTACAAATATTTTCCAATAGAACAGCTTAAAATTATGGAGAGGATTTCCCGCCCCCCACCCCGTTCTTTCTTGTCATCTCCATTTTTATTAACTTTTTTCATTAACTATACTGAACTGTCATAGATATTTCTTTTATTCCAAATGTGTATGAAAGTACCCAAATGTAATGGATCTCCATATATGGGCTACTTCAAATGCCAAGATTGATAGCAAGAGGTCTGACTTTGTGTAAACAAGCAATCCTTTGCTTTCTCATTTCAATGGTAATATTTTCCAATATAATGTTTCGAAGTCTATTTAGAAAACACACACAATAGAAACAGACACTGAAAACTAAAATCCAATATACCGCTATACAACTTAGGTGTGCAAAAACAATATATATATGGCAGATAAAGATATTTTAAAGATTCCGGATAAAATATTAGTAAAACTTAACTTACCTAGCCATCTGCAGATGCTTTTTCCTAAGAATAATGAGGGTAACAAGCAACAGTCCAATTAAAAGTGTGCTAAGGATGGCCAGCACGGAGATCACTACCACATTGGGATTCATCTCTGTAACTAAAGAGATAAGTTGTGCATTTTCATCATAGGTTCTCTTACAGGGAACCAAACAGAACCATTCATTGCTTTTCATCTAGTCTTAAGGGCAGTGAGCTTACGATGATACCAATAATAGTAACAATCATGTTCCCCAAGCCAGCAATGACCTCTTCCTGGTCAACTGTAACTTAGCAAACTAGACTGATAAGTGGTATTGAGGTGTCTGGAAGAATTGAGTCCCTTTCAAAGGCCTACAACATTCAGGATATTCTTACATAGGGAAACTAAAGAATGAAGAATACCTGTGCCACAGTTTAAATTCATTTGAAAGCTAAAAATGTGGAAGTCATTACCATGCATTATCGTTTTTTAACATTTTCACAAGCTTAGAGGGTGGCAACCTCTTATTTTACGCCCATGATTTTGAAGTCAGAAAGCACAACTGTATACTTTGCTTACAACTAATAATGTATATCAAAAAGACATTAGCAAACTACCATCTGCTGAAGCACTTAACACATTACTAGAAGCAGACATTCTGATGATCCGTGGCCATATGTTTAGGGGTTTTCCATCTGCACAGCTCAAGAGATAAAACCTATTAATAGGTTGTAGGGCCCTGAAGAACAGGGGTCACGTCCTTTTCATGTACTCTATATAAAGACTTGTCTCCTGTGGCACTTACACATTGTCTACTTCTTCATACTACACGGAAGAACAGGATATCAAAGGCAGGAACATAGGTTTAATATTCTTATAAAACTCTTTAAAATGGGCCTGAGGACTCATACCATCTTTTGCATTGATCATAAAGTCACAGAATGAGCAGGTGCATCTGATCCCTAAGGTTCTGGGTATTTACCACTTCCCATTTGGGCCAGCTTGGCTCCAGTTTATGAGTAGAGTGCTTAAACAGAAAGAACAATGGACGCATGATCAGAAGAGCTTTTTCGCTTGAGTACTGCTATTTGGAGAGAAGCCATTTCATCTGCCCTATGGGCCTCATTTTCCTCATTTATAAATAAGTTTAATAATATCACCTGTTATGCTACATTGTCATGGAGCTGACAAGGAATGATGGACATTAAGGTACAGTTGACCCTTGAACAAAATGAGTTTGAACTGTGCAGGTTCACATATATATGGATTATCTTTACTCTCTGCCACCCTTGAGACAGCAAGACCAAACCCTCCTCTTCCTCCTCCTCCTCAGCCTACTCAATGTGAAGACCATGAGGAAGATCTTTATGAAGATCTGCTTCCACTTAATGAATAGTACATATATTTTCTCTTCCTTACGATTTTCTCAATAACATTTTCTTTTCTCTAGCTTACTTTATTGTAAGAATACAATATATAATAAGTATAACATACAAAAATGTGTTGATCAACTGTCTATATCATTGGTAAGACTTCAGGTCAACAGTAGCCTATGAGTAGTTAAGTTTTGAGGGAGTCAAAAATTATACATGGATTTTCAACTATGCAGAGGTTGGCACTTCTAAGTCTCTCATTATTCATCGTCAACTGTATATTTTAGAAAGTGTACAAGGATGTAGGAATGAGAGACCATTAAAATACTTTGCAGGTATATTTTTTGTCCTCTCTTCTGAAAAAACAAAAATTAAAAACAGAAAACCAAAAAGAAAAAGAAAAAAGAAAACAGTCCGCTCCAGTCATCCCTGAATTTAGCAGCTAAATATATGACTAATATTACAGAAATGGAACTAAACCAGTGAAGTTATGAGTGACTTTATTACAAGAGGCTTCATAGAGGGTCTCAGGTTGCAGAATCAGACTCTAACAAACCAGGAGTAACACATGTAATACAACTAAGAAAAGAATAAGGAAATAAACAGCATCATTCCAGACCTTTCATTAACCTCTAATTTTCCCACTTATACTTTTGGCTGGATTGGAAACTTTCTTGCTTTGACCCAGTTATCAATTATGTCATTCTCTGATCGGTGACAGATGAAGACCAAGGCTAAATAGATGAAATTGGATTGATAAGAGTACTGTGCCTATTACTGAAGAAGATGAGATGAGTTAGCAACTAGCATTTAGACAGCATATACTAAGGATTTAAGTATTTTATTTCTAAGCTTCAAAACAACTCAGAAAGTTACATATTATTATTCCAATTTTACAGATGAAAGAAAAGCTCAGAGGCACCAAATGTCTTTCTCTAACTCCATAGCTAGTAAGTGCACTTTGGGATTGAAATTAAGGACTCTCTGACTCCGAAGCTTGGGATTTCTTGGTGGAATATTGATACAAATACATATATATATATATATTCAAAAAAAGTGAGAAAATTATACACTAATGTGTATAATTACCCATTGTTGAGACGGCTATGAACGTAGGGACACTGGGGCTGTCATGGCTAAAGCTGGTGACACTACAATTGTAGGCAGTGGCAGGAAGAAGGCTGGAGATGGTCACGACATGGGAAGAAACAGCAACTGGTTCCTGGGGTTTCAGAAAATAAGGTAAATTTTAGGTTAACTTCATCTATATTTTTTAAAAATATATTTCATAGTTGAGTTGGTAATAGATTGACAGAGTAAAAAATGTATAAGATGACAAAGAATAGCATTGAAAAATGTTTCCTTTTTTCCCCATTCCCCATCTGACCAATTCCCTTCCATGGAAGCAGCATTATTCCATGTTGTCAGGCATTATTTTTCTTCCCATATGCATTTTATGGATGTATGAACATATATGACACAGTTAAAAAACATAAGTGATGGCTTAGCCTACACATTATTCTGCTAATTTTTTTACCTTAGCTATCAATATATTTTGGTGCTTTTTCCATATCAGTACAGATTAAGCTGTTTTATTCTTTTTAAGAGCTGGACAGAAATCCGTTGAAAGGACATACCATAATTTATTTAATGAGCCCCGGTTGATGAATGTGTAAATGGTCTCTGATTTTTTGCTATTGCAAACAATGCTACAATGAACTTCATTTCACAAATTTGGGAAGACACACACATATGCATATAGACACACACACACACACACACACACATATATATACACACATATATACACACAATATATGCATGTAATATGTATATATGTGTGAACGTACACACATACACATATACTCATATATTCTTTGCTAGTGTCACATTCTTTGAACTGCTGAGTCAAAAAGTGTACATTTAAAATTTTGAAAGCTATAGAAAAATAGTTCTCTACAGACATTTTGCAAGTTACTCACCTTTGGCATCAATGCGTGACAATGCCTGCCTCCCTACATTCTTTCCAGTACCATACATTTGCAAACTCTGAGCTTTCCCATTATTACTAGTGAAAATTGTATATTGTAGTTTTATTTTGCATTTTTTTTTTACCGTAAGTGAGGTTGCTGAAGTTTTCATCTGTTCAAGAGATTTCTGTATTTTTCTATGAAATATTTGTTTTGGGTTGTTGACCTTTACCTTTTTTGACTTGTAGCAATTCTTTATATATTAAGGACACTACACCTTTGTCTGCATTCTTAGCTTTTATATAACATCCACTAAAACATGGCAACTATCCGCACTAAGAAACATTTAGTATTAACTTATTCTTGAGTCAAAGAAGTTGCTAACTTGGTGGACCCATGGCCAGACTAGTGACAAGTACTACTGTACAACAGCAAAAGATGAGCCAGCATTTTTTTCAAAACAAGATTTTGAAACACCCTTGCATAAAGAAATGAGAGCCATCAGCATTTTCTTCCACTTCCTTCTCTTTCACTATTCTATAAAAGAATTATTCTAAGGAAAGACTTTTGCTAACAGGACTCAGTTGTAGTAAGTAGCTAACTAACCATTGTTTTCTTAAAGGAAGGCATCACTGTAGTTATAGAGAAGAAAATCCATTATTGGCAGAGCAGTTATTTTCCAAAAGGATTCTTAGAATAGAGAAAATTCAGCTGTTCAGTACAAATCAACAAGAGATACATTCATAGAAGGGAATCTCAAAAGGAGAAAGGAATCAAAGCAAATTATCTTAGCATTCAATATGAAAAGATTTGCACTCCCAGCATTCCTTTTTTCTTCTCAATCTCATGAACTTCATTATTTAAAAAAGATCAATTACTTATGTTCGCAGTATTAGTCTACACACTATATTATGTAAAATCCCTAACAAATCTGTCCTTTTCCTTTCACTTCTGGCTGTGAAATATTTTTTCCTTGTGGCGTTGCCACTCATAGAACTGCAGGTTCATCTCTTTCCTTTCATTCATTCTGACCTGGTGAATAACTCTGTTTATCGTATCTGCCATTTGTAATTCTAGAGCTTTAGCAATAACCTTCTCTCAGTCTTCATTTTGCAATAAGACTGTCCCCCTTACAAACTAGATATGCACGTTTCTTTTAAATTCTCTTGGTCGAATGGACCTGTCTTGTGGTACTTATATTTTACTTTACTTTTTTCTATACTTATGCAATGTCTACACCATATAAAAATGTTTTGAAGGCAAATATTGATTCTATCATGTGTGTTCTATTCAGTGCCTTTATATACTTGGCAAATGGTTCATATTTGTTAAATTATATTTTATATTGTAGGGTCTTTCTTCCCTTGATCAATTCAATGGCCTACTACCTTTATTCCTTTGTCTGACCTGGAGTGACTTATGAATTAGGAACAAGTGATACAGACAAAGATAAAAGTTCTCATAACAACTTTTGGGCTTGGTCTAAGCCTGCTGTTAATTTCTATCAGTGAAACACAAAAGAGCAAATAAACAGTTTTCATTTTATATAGCTCAAAGAAATAGAAGATTCTTATTTTGCCCAGATAATTAGCCTTACTTAAGTTAACTGAGAAAAGGTAGATCAAAAGGTACAGTACCTGAAGTTTGGTTTTCTGACTGGAGCCAACTTGTTGACAGAAAACTTCAAAGAAATCAGCTACTCCCTCTTCCACCCACAGCAAAGTCACTGAAGTCTGGGTTTTGTTCACTGCGAAGAGTGATTTGGGTGGAGCTGGTTCTGAGCAAAGACAAAGTTTTAAAAAAAATTTAATTTACTAAGTGTATTCTTTCTTCTTTCACTAATAAGCAGGTGAAGCATCCCCCAATTCAAATATAGGTAGGTAAGAGCACCATAAAGACTTTATATTGCCTTTGAAATATGTCCTTTCATAAAGATAGCTATCTAACTTGGAAGGCAGAATACTTTGCCTTTTCCCCCTTCCATTTTTTTACTTCTCTTTTCAGAACACTTCTGTTTTCTACTTCAGTTTCATCATAGTCATAATCTATTAATAGTTTCTGTGTCATTTATACTGAAGTTAGCATTGCCCTGATAATACAGAACTTCCTGGATGAGAAACAAAAATCTGCACTTAATAAAGGTGGAGAAAAATGAAATTTGGTGTGCTTCCTTCTAATGATGAGATGCAGTTTGGTATTTAGCCAACAACCTGTCTTCCTTTCTCTGGAAACTATCTGGAACAATTCAGACAGAAAAATGGCTGCTTGAAAATTTAGTCAAAATTTAAAAAGATAAAGCTAAACAGATAGTATCATTTTTTTTTTTTTTTGAGGCGGGGGTCTCACTCTGTCACCCAGGCTGGAGTGCAGTAGTGCGAACACAGCTCACTGAAGCCTCATCTTCCCTGGCTCAAGTGATCCTCCTGCCTCGACTCCCAAGTAACTGGGACTACCTGGCTTATTTTTGCATTTTTTGCAGAGATGGAGTTTTGCCATGTTGCTCAAGTTGGTCTCAAACTCCTGGGCTCCAGCAATCCACCCACTTTGGCCTCCCAAAGTATTGGGATTACAGGTGTGAGCCACCGTGCCTGGCTGATAATATAATTTTTTAAGAAAAGAATTGATAGGAGGGGATTGGAAGATTAATAAAACATTAGATAAATTTTTTATCTTAGACATTTTATCTTAATAATAAATAAATCCATTCGTAAAGGAAGCTGTGTTGTCTGTCCTTTTCATACTTATTTCTAGTAATTGAGTCACTGGCATTGCTCTCTTGAGACCAAAAAACCCTGCCTGTTCCTCAATTCTAATAGTCATCTGCTGTCTCATTCTCCATTCCTGAATGTCTCCTGGTCTTCTGCTTGTGACCCTGTCTTTTGGATGTTGTCTTTCCCTCTAGGTCCCCCAGTATGCAGAGTGCTGTGCCTGAACTCAAGGTTTTAAGCTGGGGTCCCTGTTACCTGCTCTCAGACCCCCTGACATTGCTTATTTGGACATATTGTACCTTGCTGCTAGGTTCACATAACAGCATCCTCCATCCACCTATATGCGCCTGTCAGACGACTACCCACTGTTGTAGGTTTCTTCCTGCTTGTTACTTGGATTTTTCATTTTCTGCCCCACTCTCCTAAGTCTGTTCTCCAGCTCCTGTCCTTTAGAGGTGCTTGAAAAAGTCCTGTCAGCCATTTCACTGCTTTGACAGGTACACATCTTTGTGTGGAAAGATTTGAACCTTGTTTCTAGAATATCATCATTGTGACTCTGCCCAGGACCAAGAAGTATGTCAAAATCATTCTTGCCATGATTTATCACAGATCTCCTAAACTTGTGTCCAACTAAAAAGAAGCATGTTTCTTTCCTGCAGCAACTTGACAAGGTTAGGCAGAAGAGTTGAAGGAGGAAAGAGATGAGTTCTTCTTAGGCAAGCAAAATTCACAATAGGTGTCAGGAGCCCTTTTTCACTTGCAATGAATTGTCCAGTCCTCCAGGCATTGTATTGTCCCACTTCTGCTCTGAGGAAGACTGCTAATGAAACACAGAGGTCAATTTCCACTTCTCACTTCCTTTATAACTGCCTTTGCTAATAGGATTATGTCCTTTAGGGATTCTGACTCATGTGGAACTTGAATCTATAGAACCAAGTGTGAAGTTGTTTGGGGGCATAGATGAATGATTAGTTAGGCTGAGCCTAGGCTTTTCTTTTTTAAAAATGCACACTACAGAATTGTTCCTCAGTCACAATTCTGAGGCTCTTCCCTTATTTCTCAGTCCCAGAGAGCATATCTTTTAAAAACTCGTTACCTTTTCCTTTAATCTTTTTTTTTTTTTTTTTTTTTGAGATGGAGTCTCGCTCTGTCACCAGGCTGGAGTGCAGTGGTGGTGCAATCTCGGCTCACTGCAACCTCTGCCTCCCGGGTTCAAAAAATTCTCCTGCCTCAGCCTCCTGAGTAGCTGAGACTACAGGCGCATGCCACCATGCCCAGCTAATTTTTTTGTATTTTTAGTAGAGACAGGGTTTCACCATGTTGGCCAGGATGGTCTCGATCTCCTGACCTTGTGATCTGCCTGCCTCTGCCTCCCAAAGTGCTGGGAGCTGGGATTATAGGCATGAGCCACCACCCCCGGCCTCCTTTAATCTATTTTTAAATTATATTGCATGTCTAGACTTTTGTGATCACATTCATTGATCATCACAAACTTGCTGTGCCTCTTTTTCCCTGGCTCTAATCAATTCTTTCTTCATTTTGTCAACAACGGATTAAAATCACCTTAAAATGCCATTTCACTCATGTTAAATCCTATCTGTGCATTGTCTGTGGTATCACATCCAAACATACCATGTCTTTAAGATCCTGCTTAAACTGGCTGCATGCTATCCAACCAGCTTCACCACCATTCCTGACACACAGATGTGTTGCCTCCTGGGAAAGACAGTCTTCTCACTGAACTTCAGGGCAGTGCTCTATGTCAGCCCATGTTTGCCTTCAATCAGTATGCTCTTTATTCTGCTCATTCGAAGGTCAAGAAAAAGTCTTACCTCCTCCTTGAAGTCTCATTTGGTGACTCTTTCTCTTAATGATTTATCCCTTCTCTGACATTCTACTGCCTTTAATTATTTCCTATATAATCTATGTGAGTGAAGGCCTGATTCTAGTAGATCCTATTAGATTCTTTAAGAACAAGGGTCATGTGTTATAAATGACTTTGTCTTCATTTGAAGTAGCCACCTATAGGTACTCAAAAAATCTTATTTATCGGCTGATTTAAAACATGAGTCAAGATTCATCAACCAAAAGAGGAGGATTCAAGCACCAGGCAAGACCAGACACGCTGAGGTTGTATCTTAATGTTCTCTTCTGTTTTTATGTAGGTAAAATTATCCAATTTCAGGGGCAAAGTCAAGAACTATCATGAATTACTGCAAGAGCTCCCAGTGGTCCAAGGAATACGACATGAATACTGCAGTGAGGGTTTCCTTTGTTCTGGCTGAGAATGTGGCTCTAGGTGATAAGATCCTCAGGAAAATCTCCTAAAGGTCTGGGACATCTAACAACCACGTAACAAATTTTTCTTTTTGGGTGGAATATGAGGGCAATAGATTATTTCAAGGTCCCTGCACCTGTGATCACTGTGTACTTTTCTGGAAGACGTTTACATGTCAGCTCTATAGGTCAATGAATACATACATAAATCACCTGCTTGAGGACTGTTCAGGATCTTCGTGATTGGTGTGCTTCCCTAAATTAATCAGGCAGAAATTTAACTCTGGTATCCCAAAGGAAACAAAGAAAGTTATTACAATTTATTGTTATTATAATTATGAACTTATTACTATTACAAGATTTCACAAGTGAAAGTATAATTGAATTGGGAGTGCTTATAATTAGATTTTCCTACTCAAGACAACAACTGTCCCAGGAAATGTTTTAAAATGTAAGAATCGGAATGTGAATTGTCCAACACAGCCACTAGCCACATGTAGCTGTTGCGTACTTGAAATGTGGCTAGTCCAAATTGAGAGGTGTTGCAAATGTAAAATACAGACAGAATGTCAAAGACCTAGTGTGAGAAAAGAATAAAATATCTTATTAATAATTATTTATATTGATTATATGTTGGAACAATATGACCTTGGATATATTTGGTTACATAAAGTATATCGAATTCAATTTTACCTGTTTCTTTTTACTAATTTTTAATGTGGCTACTAGAAAATTGAAAGTTATACATGTGGCCCTTATTATGTTTCAAATGAATAGTACTGAGTTAGAGCATTTCTTCTTATTGCCTAGAGTAGAAGTCTGGAAATTTCTGGCAAAAACTGGCTAGGGGGTTCCCACTTCTCATGAGAAGTCAAGGCCAGCTCAGTGCCACAGCCTAAGATGGTTTAGATCAAACTTGTCCAACCCATGGCCCGTAGGCCGCATGCTGCCCAGAATGGCTTTGAATGCAGCCCAACACAAATTCATAAACTTTCTTAAAACATTGTGAGATACTTTTAGTGAAATTTTTTTGATTCATCAGTGTTAGCATATTTTATGTGTGGCCCAAGATAATTCTTCTTCCAGTGTGGCACATGGAAGCCAAAAGCCAAAAGACTGGACACCCCTGGTTTACATGACTCATGTTTTCCATTCTCAGAAGCACAAGATTAAAGTAGATAGTGGCTAAATATTAATTAGGCAATTGCATATGATAGGGAATACAATGACATCAAAGGCATTTTGATTGCTTTCTATCTTTGTTATGGGATGAATTATATCCCCTCCGCCTAAAT
The DNA here is from genome assembly GCF_000001405.40 of Homo sapiens. NCBI lineage: Eukaryota > Metazoa > Chordata > Mammalia > Primates > Hominidae > Homo > Homo sapiens. The sequence goes on along the minus strand of NC_000012.12, from coordinate 15,542,065 downwards.
TCATATGCTGAAACCCTAACCCTTAGTACCTCAGAATGTGACTATTTTTTTTTTTGAGGTGGAGTCTTGCTCTGTCACCCAGGCTGGAGTGCAGTGGCATGATCTTGGCTCACTGCAAACTCCACCTCCCAGATTCAAGCGATCCTCCCACTCAGCCTCCTGAGTATCTGGGACTACAGGTGCCTGCCACCACACCCGGCTAATTTTTGTATTTTTAGTAGAGACGGGGTTTCACCATGTTGGCCAGGCTGGTATCGAACTCCTCACCTCAAGTGATCCACCCACCTCAGCCACCCAAAGTTTTGGGATTACAGGCGTAAGCCACCACACCCAGGATGAATAGGGCCTTTAAAGAGGTGATTAAATTAAATGAAGCTGTTAGCACGTGCTCTAATCTAATCAGACTGGTGTCCTTATAGGAAGAGGAAATATAAACAGTAAAGAGATGTACAAGCACAAAGAAAAGACCGTGTGAGGACACAGTTACAAAGTGATCATCTGCAAGCCTCAGGAGAAGCCTACTCTGCTCACACTTGGACCTTGAACTTCCAGACTCCAGATCTGTGAGAAAACAAATTTCTGTTGTTTAAGCCACCCAGTCTGTGGTATTTTGCTATGACAGCCCTAGCAAACTAATACAGTCTCTTACTATTCAAAATACCAAATATGTCCCTTTCTGCACATGAGGGATGAAAAAACCCTATAAAATATCAAATACAGTCAGTCTTCTAAAGCAGAAGGATAGGAAAAAACCAATAATGTTGAGAAGAGTAAATGAAATTTAAGACAATGCATACACAAACACTTTATATAATGTAAAGTCATGTAGATATTAGTTATGGAACATCTCCTGGCTATTGCTTTTTATCTCTCTAAATGACATTTTCAATCATAACATTTTCCATATTCTCATGCTCCAAAAGGTCAAATTTCCTTTTGTTTAAAATAACTTCACAGTCCATGATATTTGGTGTGAGTACCTATGTATATGGGTAAGGGGGATAGACATACCATTTTCATAAAATGAGGTATAGATATAGGGTTGTTTGCTTTTAAATACCCTCTAAAAGCTTTCTAATATTGCTGGCGTTCCACTCAACTAGCTGGCCTTCCCTATTTTCTTTTCTTCTCTCTCATTCCATGCCTCTCCGGGTTTGGACTGAGAATCCAATCTAATTTTATAAGAAAATCAAGTACAATGCATAGAATATGGGCAGACTGGAAGGCTGCAAGGCCATCTCTACCATTTAATTTAGATTGGATTATGAGAGGCTCAAGCTGTTGCCTAGGATCTCTGGGGAGTGAAAGTGACCTTCCTGAAGTGTGAGCTAGTGTCTGATTCTTATTCTGTGCTCTGGCAGCAAATCTCTTCCTTTTCTCAGGAATTCCAAAGGGAATAGTCAGATGTAATATTTAGCCTAGGAGCAGAATGTAATGTGTTTATTGTCTAAAACCCATCTTTCTCTGATAGCTATTACATTGTTTCTTCTTTTAATGTGACTCATTAATTTAGCTGCCTAGAGAATGATGTTTATGAGGCCAAGATTATATCCATAAGGACCAGCGTGGTGAGTCATTTTACAAATGTGCAACATTGGTAATAAGGAAAATTAAGTAGAAAAGTATTGTTAAAATTATCTTAATCCATGATCCACATAACAACATTTATTTTCAATCTTTAGCCTCACTGATAACAGTTTTTTAGAATGCTCTTCATATGCAAAGCATAAATGTTAACATCTATATTGTCATAAGTCTTTTAAATTTATTTTTATTTTCCTCAACTCAAGCAACTCTATGTTAAGCAGCGTAAGTCATATAGTATATTCGACTTGGCCAAAGGAAGCATCTGCAATGTAAGCAGTGTGGACTGCAGAAACTATGCTCAAGTTGGTGAAATAACATCTGCAAAAGAAAGCACTGTCTGAAAGGAAAATAAACAAGAGGTATAGAAATTATTCAGGGTGAGTTAAGATTGATATGCAATGAAATTAAGGAGAGAAATATTTACATTAAACAGCAGAAGTCTTTGTTAGACCTGAAGTTTATTAGACCTTGTCTTGTTGACTTAGGGAAATTCTTTTCCTAGATACATTTAACAAGTAATTTGAACATTTAAAAAAAAAACCAGGAAATAAAAAAAAAAATTCAGGCAAATATTTAGCACCTGAAAACACATTAAATTATGAGGCCTTTTTCCTATATATAAAAATAAAATTTTCTCAGGAGTTAGAAATGTCTGTCATTTGCATTACTTTTTAACTATATTCTTTTTTTTTTTTTTTTTTTTTTTTTTTTTTTTTTGAGACAGAGTCTCAGTCTGTCACCCAGACTGGAGTGCAGCGGCGCAATCTCAGCTCACAGCGACCTCCGCCTCCCGGGTTCAAAAAATTCTCCTGCCTCAGCCTCCTGAGCAGCTGGAATTACAGGTACCTACGACTACACCCAGCTAATTTTTGTAGTTTTAGTAGAAACAGGGTTTCACCATGTTGCGCAGGCTGGTCTCGAACTCCCGGCCTCAAGTGATCTGCCCGCCTCGGCCTCCCAAAGTGCTGGGATTACAGGCAGTGAGCCACTGTGCCCAGCCTTACCTATATTCTTTAAGGCTTAGAGATAGCAAGTATAATATCTTCTTCTGTGAATCACTAGATGGGTTGATAGTTTTAGTACCTTAAGTAACTTCTAAAGATCAATAGAGTTTTTCAGAGAAAGCTCCCATTTAACATTACTTTCTTTTTTTTAAATTTTTAAAAATTTGCATATGTTTATGGGATACTAGTGTAATTTCGTTACATGCATAGATTGCATAGTGGTGAAATCAGGTCTTTCAGGGTATTCATTACCCACATAACATACATTGTACCTACTAAATAATTTCTCATCATCCACCCACTTCCCACCCCCTCACCCTTCTGATTCTCTTCACTTAGTTTCAAAACAAATATCTGAATACCTCCTTTTCAGTGGTTCCAGGAGCATGTGCTTTTACTTAGCATTTTTATTTTGTTAGGAGTCATATATTGCAAAATTCTTAGAATAAGATCAGCACTTTCATTGCATCATTAATCTTGCTGCTTTTATTCTGAACTCAGGTATGGAATGAAATTCTAAAAGTTGAAGGAGCATAAAAGATCATCTAGCCCAGACTCATTTTATAGATAGGAAGCTGGAATTCAGAGGGTCTGAGTTACTTTGCTATGGTAACACAATTTGTTTGTGAGGGCAAGAACTGGGATCCACACCTCTGGACTCCTAATCAAGGGTCCTTATTACACCTGTTTTCCTCCCAATCAGCGAGTTACCCAGTCAGTTGCATATAAGTGGGGATGACCAGGCCTCCAGAAAAATTCCTTTGCTTAGAAGACCAACTTTTCCAGAGTGGGCACTTGCTTGTGTATTTAGGTCAATGCCAGACTTCACAGTCATTGCCCTATGTGTCCCTCCTTCAGATTCTTCCAATACATTGGAGAGAATCATGTACCTGCAGAATATGCAGTACCTTATGATGGGCAGGAGAAATGCCTTTAGAGAAGTGCTAAAGTGGGCCGGGCGCGGTGGCTCACGCCTGTAATCCCAGCACTATGGGAGGCACTTGCGGGCAGATCAAGAGGTCAGGAGTTCGGGACCAGCCTGACCAAAATGGTGAAACCCCATCTCTACTAAAAATACAAAAATTAGCCAGGCGTGGTGGTGCGCACCTGTAATCCCAGCTACTTGGGAGGCTGAGGCAGGAGAATCGCTTGAACCTGGGAGGCAGAGGTTGCAGTGAGCAGAGACTGCACTCCAGCCTGGATGACAGAGTAAGACTCTGTCTCAAAAAAAAAAAGAAGCACTAAAGTGGTTTGGTATGCCTCTGGGCAGTTGACAAACCATGGTGACACTCAGAAGACTGCAGTGAGGAGGGGTATATTGAGGCGAGGGATTGGTTAGTGTCAGGCCCAGGTACAGAGCCATGGGACTGTGGCATGGCTGTCACTGAGAACCTAAATCAGAAAACAATGCTTGCATGGGGCTGCTGGCCATGGAGGTATATATCAGAAGAGTAGCATGGCAGGTATTGCCCCCTGCAAACCTAAAGAACATGCATGTGTTTATCTTACAAGAAGTCAATCAGAAGAAACCATCCACAAGCGGCTATCATGATCTTCACTCTGCTCACTATCCCATTAATGCCCATACTGTCTGTTTGTCTGTCATTGTCTTCCTGAAGATATATCCAGACCCAATCCTTCCACTGGATCCCCGGGTTCCATCTCCTCTGCTCCAGTCAAGGACATCACACCAAGTCTCACCTCTAACTATGCTGCATCAACAGTTTTCTCTGTTTTGTTGGATCATTTTGCTTAGTCTACAGACAAGCTGTTTTCACTCACTTAAAGAAAACAAAATAAAAACAAAAAACTACCAAAAATTCTTGGATTCTTCTATTCTTTAGCTCCTGTGCATTTTAGATTTTTTTTTCCCGTCACCATGGCACCCAAATGCCTCTTCTCAAAATCACCAGTGACTTCTGGGCTGCTAAGATCAGTGGTCAATTCTCATTCCTCATCTTACCAGATTTGTTCACAGGTTTGACCTGGACAATCTCCACTCGCTGAGGCTTTCTCTTCCCTTGGCTCCTGGGACAGGACACTTTTCTGTGCTCTTTCTTGCTTCCCTGGCCAATGCTCCTCAGTCTCTTTTGCTGGTTTTTACTCACCATCTCCATGTCTTAAAGTTGGAGTGGCCCAGGGCTTAGTTCCTGGATAGCATTATTTTTTCTTTATTGAGTCTTTGTTAACTCATCACATCTGTCGCCTGCCTACACTCAAATTTATATTTTTAGTCCTGAAGTCTTCACTGAATCCAAGCTCCTTTATCTAACTGCCTGCTCAGTATTTATTTAATGGTTTCATAGGAACCTTCAAAATGTTGACCCACCCAGACCTGAACTTCTGACATTGCCCCAAACCAGCCTGTCCCATAATCTTTTCCAAGTTAATAAATCAAACCTCTGTCTTTCCAATTGCTCAGGCCGCAAATCTTGCTGTGTCTCTAGGCTGCTTTTACTCATTCATAGACAACATCTAAGTCCATCAGCAGATTTTCTCAGCAACACCTTCAAAATAAATTTTGAATCTGACCACTTTTCATCGCCTCTGTGGCTCCCAGTCTGACCTAAACAAGTATAATCTCTTATCTGGACAGACTCAGTGTTCTCTAAACTTTAAGGTGACCATGTAATTTATCAAAAATGTCCACACGGGAACACTTTTGGGGCAGAAAAGCCTTGCCCCAAATCCTAAAGAGGATTACTGCCTTTTAAATAATCCATAAGAGTTGCAAAGTGGTATTGTCTAAGGCAACAGGGATGTATGGTCATATTACCTAATTGGCTCCTTCCTGCTCTTATCCTTGCCCTGAACAATCTATTATCACCAGAGTGACCCAGTGAAACCCGTTAGGTTATGCGCCTCTGCTTAAAGCATGCAATGGAGAATCATCTCACTCACAGGAAAGTGTCTTTTCAATGACCCTACACGGTCTGTTCCCTTGCTACCTCTCTGCCCTGTATCTATGGCTCTCTACCTTGTTTGTTCCATTGCAGCCACACTGCCTGCCTGACTTTTCCTTGAACTTGCCAGGAACACTATGCTTCCATAGCTGGGCACCTGTGGTTCCTTCTGCCTACAGAATCTCATCCCAGTGATCTCTTTGGTTTACTCCCTCATCTCCTTTAGGCTCTGACTCAAACATCACCTTCACAGTGACACTTACTCTACTCCTCACAAAAATTGCACCCATCCCCCACAGCACTTCCTATCCTCTTTTCCTCTTTCACTTTTCTCCATGACACTTATCACCATTTAACATTCTTATATTTATGTTTATCATCTCCTTTTCTCCATTAGAATGAGGGTTGACATTTTTGTCAGTTTTGTTCATTTCTGTATGCTCAGAACCAAGAATAGTGTGTGGCATATAGTAAATGCTAAGTAAATATTCTCTGATTCACAGGATGAATAATTTTTTAAAAAAGTATAAGACCTTAAGCATTTTATTAGCTTCTTTCTAGCTGACTGGCAGCCTACAGATTTCTATGTATCTATAACCATATTTGAGAGAGACAGAGAGAAAAAGCCTACTATCCCCCAAATACTTAACATTTCAAAGTATTTTGATTTTTTTCTTGTCCATAGCCAAATTATGTTTTAAAGATTTCTAATCTCTATAAAGGTTTGTATGAGTAAGATTAAGAAAATCAAGCCAATGTCCCTAAGACCAAATTCCAAAGAGGAACGGAAAGTCACAAAAGTGGGTATGAGGCTCCTCCCTGTTCTGTTAAATTTTTTAATAGAAAAAATGAAGTTTGAAGGAAAAAGGCCACACCCCAGTCCAGGAATAGAAGCAGCAGATGGATAAAAAGTACGAAATGACTGTTTCTGGACCAAGACCTAGCAATGTATAAAGCGTGTCACATTTCTCTAAGCGCCAGCTTGTTCAAATGAGGACATAGCACTGAATTATCTCCAAAAGCTCTCCTAGCACTAAAGTTATATGATTCCTTATCTCGAACGTGCCCGAACATGTCTGTGGTCAGGATAAAGCATAAGTTTGATGATGGTGGTGTGCAATTCTGTTTTTGTTTTGTTTTGTTTTGTTTTCTCTGACCTCCTTAGCTGTTCCTTTCCACTCTCTCTTTCTGATGCTTCCTGCTAAGCTGAATTTCTAACTGCTGGGGTGGCTCCTCTAGAGTTGATCCAGGGCTTCTCTTTTCTTCCCTGTCTTTACTTACTACTTGGTGATTTCATCCAGACACTTCCAAATTTATATTTCCAGCCCAGAATTCTCCCCTGGCCTTCACATCTGCACCGGGATATCCAATAATCATTTTAAATTTGTTTACATCCAAAGAAGAATCCTTGATTCTTACTTCACCCTAAATGTCCTCCTCCTGTAGTTTTACTAGTCATCTCAATCTCAGTGAATTGCGCCACCATTTGTCCTAGTTGCTCAAGGGTGAAGCCTGGGAGTCATTAATTTCCCTTTCCCTCACTTCGTGTTTCTGCCGTATCAGAAAGTTCTGTGGACACAACCTCCAAAAGAGCTCCTGAATTCTGTCCACTTCTCTTCATCTCCATTACAACCACCGTAGTCAAAGTTACCATCACTCTCTTGCAACTTCTTTGAATTAGAATATAATTTTTAAAGCTGGCACAAATAGCCCCTTAATTAGTTCCCCTACTTTCATTGTTGATACAATAATCCCTTTCTCATTAAGCAACCAGAGGGATTGTTTTAAATGTAAATCGGACTGTTTATTTTAAGTTCTCTAAATGGCCCTTCATTACTCTGAAGATAATATTCCAACTGCATGCCTTAAAAGATCTATACTCAGGCCTGCCTGTTCCCTCTGTCTGGCATCCTCCTTCTTGGCCTTTTTGTGGCTGGTTCTTCTTGTTATTCAGACCATAGCCTCCATGGCTTCCTCAAAGAAAGCTTTGACCACACAGTCATTCTGCACCACATTTCCCTGTTGTAGAGCACTGTACAGCACTATTACCATCTTCCCCTTCACTAGATCATAAGCTCCTTGTGAACAGAAAGTGAAAGTAGCGCTCTGGGTTCATTACCATCACGACTACCACAAGTACTCTGGCATCTGAGTAGTACTTAGAAGGTTCTTAATATATATTAGTTAAATGGATTGATGAATGGATATTCTATTACCAGAGAGCTATTTGTGATGTGTCCAACACGTCTCATTCCTGTTTTTTCTTTCCTTTCTTTTTCTTTTTTTTAAGGTTGGGAAACTGATTATCTTATGTAGACTTAACATGTCCTCTTAAAGTTGGCCCAGGGATCCAGGTTGATTCACCAAGACTAGAAGATAGTAATGACTGACTGTCAAAGGGACCTGTCACCACATACCACCAAAGTTTCGTGAAACTGCTGGCAACCTAAAATTCCTAATGGGATGGTTGGTTCAACATCCTGGGAAAAGCACCATTATTGGTGCATTTCTTTTTATGGATGTTTATTGATGATACAATGTTGAGAATTATTGGCAACTGTTTGAGGGCTCTCTACCCTTGCACATGACACATTAGATTAATTTATATGATACTGGACTCATTGGTAGTTTGGTTTCTTTCTATAGAGGTAGAACCTACCCTCCATGACACAGGAGTCATTCAGAGGCATTCTAAAGAGGCCTCTATTATAGATAAATTGAACTGCAGGTTAGCCCAACCAGTTACGGCCCCAGCTTTAACAATGGCATTCTGATTCAAACATGCTCTGAAAAATCTGTGCCAAAGTTGTATTTTTCTTTAAAGGAGAATGACTATGACTTCTATATATATCAAAATGAATGCTGGGAAGAAACATAAAACAACTAGAATGAAAGTTCTGTAAAAAACACACACAAACACACACAAAACCTGCAATTCAGGTACTACTAAAGCAAGATATTATTTCACTTCTCTGAAAGGTTAAACTTGTTCCGATTAAATATTAACTGCAATACTATGTTCAACTTTGAGGTCCGCAATTTCAATTCATTCAACAGTATCTGTTAAGCAGTTATAGGTGTTCAGGCATTGTGTTATATAAAATGGAAAGGGCTTATATACACAATAACATGATTAGTAGAACAGATCTTTTGACTAAAGGATAAAAACCAACATTATATGTTTTCAAGAAAATAAGAAAGGCACATCATAAAAAGATTGTCTTGTCTACAGAGAGGAATAAGATAGAAACAATATTCCATTTGATATTTAAGATACCAATAAGAAAAAGGTTATTGATCCTAAGGGTTACATTAACTAGAAATAATTTCCATGAAAACTCAACTTTCCTTCTTGTAAAGTTTAAATAAATTTTCCAAGCTGGTTTACATAGTCCATTCTATTATCAGGGAGACATGGAGACTCCAAACATTTTGATAAGTTTGGGAAACTATCATGGTTTTAACTCACAGTCCTATGTAGATACAGTTGTACTAGTTCATGACTTTGACTCATATTCCTGAGGCACCTTCGACCATGATGTCACATAGAAATTTCAGTGAAGTATCCAATAGGCCCACTAAATGCTACTTTGATAAGACCACCTCTGAACTTAAATTTTAAGGGAGACTGAAAAACCAAATGAGTTGGAGAAAGCTGCTAGGACCTGAGAAACACTTAATAGCTTCCTGTATTAGTAAAGCTTGGAAAAAGGAAGACATTGGGAATATGAGCTCAATCTTCAAGTAATTACAGTTACCTGGAAATGAGTTTTTGAACGGCCCTTTACACCCACAGAGGTCAGAGTCAGAGATAATGGCTGGAATTGGTAGACAGGCAACTTTTTTCTTAATAGAAAGATTATGCAAAGTTGGAAGTTGGTGCTCTCCACATTCGTAGAATTTAAGTATAGACCACAAGGGAGGAAGAGCAGATTGCCTTCAGTGCAGGAAAGGTAAGAGACAACCCTTGATCCTCAATTGGGGCACTAGTGCCCCCTTGAGGGTGTTTGAAAGTTTGGAGGAATGTTTTTATTAGTCACAGCAGAGGGAATTAGCTGTTCTTTTGTGGTCAGGACTTAGAAATGCTAGCCGTCCTGGAATTATTAAGAGGACACCAAAAGACAAATTGTCCCATGTCCCACATCCCACATGACTTTCAAATGTCATACCAGAGAAAATCCACCATAAGTGTAAATTGCAAGTACTTTGCTACATAATATTGAAAGTTTTTAAAAAGAAATTAAGTAAAATAATTTAGAAGAAAGTTGTCATGAAAAGGCATATTTAAATCCAATTAAGATAGTATTTAAAATTATAAATTATTCAATATTATAATTTTTACTTCCATAGTGTCTAATCAACACATCACATATTTCCAAATTACCTATACAATTTTAAAGTATTTCAGCACAAAAACTTAGCTTTTGTCTTGGCAAATAGGAGACAAAGAAATTTAAGACTCAGTGACCTATGCATTGAGTTCTGGAGAAATGCAATTACTGGGTAAATTGAGGAAAGATCGTATTTTTTGTTTTTTAGATTTTCTAAAATTTTTCTAAAAGTACATCACTGCCAACAATACTACCCATGGTATTTAAGCTACTAATAAAACAACCACGAATTAGTCTTTACTTACAGCTGCTAATATGAACACATGTAATAACAGAGATGGCTTGAGACTGTTATGAACAAATTCAGACACAAAAATTAGCAGACATCTTAAAAAATGATGTCACTAAATTGCATTAACTATGTGGAAAACACTTTTATTGCCATTAGATAAACTTAATTTTTGAAATATGAAAATTATAAAATCTCTGCTGTGAAAATTACATATTGAAATTATGCATTTAGTTTTGGGTTGCCACTCTTTCGGTCATACTGTCTCTAAAGGTCTATCACACAACTTTGTGTCAATCCATCCTCCATTGTCTGTGGCAGATTTTAGGATACTGTCTTCGAGTTTCCCTATAAGTATCAGAAACTAAATGTATACCGCAATAAATGGTCAATTTTTGAATGTAGAAGATGTGTTTTGTGTTACACAGTCACTTTCCAGTTGTATGCTACACAGTCACTTTCCAGCTGTATGTCATAATATAAAGAATTATTTTGACATTACACTACACAAAAAGATCCAGTTCATTTGCAAGAATGTTAAAGTATCTGTTTTTCCTTATCCACAGCCTATTATTTTTCTTGGCATATTATCTTACAGAATGAATTTGGAAGTATTCCTTCCTATTCAGCTTTTTTGAAAAGTTTGAGCAGGATTGGCATTAGTCCTTCTTTAAATGTCTGGTGAAATTCAGGGGTCAAGCCATCAGGACCTGGGCTTTCTTTGGTAGGAGACTTTATTATGACTTTCATCTCACTGCTCATTATTGGTTCATTAAGGTTTTCTTGTTCTTAATTGTTCAGTCTCATTAGGTGTGTTCAGGAATCTATCCATTTCTTCTAGTTTTCCAATTTGTTGGTTTATAGCTGTTCATAGTAGTCTCTCATGATTCTTTGTATTTATGAGGTCTCTTATTATGCCTACTTTATTGTTTCTGATTTTATTTCTTTGGGTCTTCTCTCTTTTTTTCTCAGTCTAGTTAAAGGTTTGTTGATTTTATCTTTTTAAATAACCAACTTTTTGTTGTGTTGATCTTCTGTATTTATTTTTAGTCTCAATTTCATTTATTTCTGCTCTGACCTTTACATTTCTTTCCTTCTACTAATTTAGTGTTTGGTTTGCTTTTGCTTTTCTAGTTCCTTGAGGTACATCATTAGGTTGTGTATTTGAACTTTCTACTTTTTTATATTAAGGGCATTTATTGCTATAAAATTCCCTCATACTATGGCTTTTGCTATATCCCACAGATTTTGGTATGTTGTATTTTCATTTTCATTTGTCTCAAGAATTTTTAAAATTCCTTTCTTAATTTCTTCATTGACTCATTGGTTGTTCAGGAACATGTTGTTCAATTTCCATGTGTTTGTTTATTTTTTGAGATTTCTCTTGTTACCACTTTCTAGTCTTATTCCATTGTGGTCAGAAAAGATACTTGATATGATATGTACTTTTTGAATTTGTTGAGACCTGTTTTGTGTCCTAAGATATGATATATTCTGGAGAATGTTCCATGTGCAGTGAAAACAATGTGTATTCCATAGCAGTTGGGTGAAATGTTCTTTAAATGTCTATTAGGCCTATCGGGTCTCATGTGTAGTTTAACTCTGTTGTTTCTTTGTTGTTATTCTGTTGGAAGATCTATACGTTACTGAGAGTGGGGTGTTGAAGTCCCCTCCTATCACTGTAATTAAGTCTATCTGTTCCTTTAGATCTATTAATGTTTACTTTATTTACTTAGGAGCTCCAGTGTTGGGTGCATAGATATTTATAATTGTTATATCCTCTTGCTAAACTGATCCCTTTATCATTATATAGTAACCCTCTTTGTCTGTTTTTACAATTCTAGATTTGTGGTCCATTTTATCTAATATAAGCATAGCTACATCTGCTTTTTTGCTTGTTTGTTTTCCAGTTGCATGGAATATCTTTTTCCACCCCTTCACTTTCAGTCCCTGTGTGTCTTTACAGGTGAAGTGGGTTTCTCAAAGGCAGCATATAGTTGGGTCTTATTTCTTTATCCATTCAGCCACACTGTGACTTTTAATTGAGAATTGAGACCATATACATCCAGTGTTATTATTGCTAAGTACGGATTTACTACTGCCGTTTTGTTGCCTGTTTTCAGATTGTTTTGAGAATCCTCTCTTCATATTTTGTGGTTAAGTGATTATTAAGTGTTATGTATTAATTTGTTGCTTTTTATTTTTAATGAACTGATTATATGATTTTGTGCTGTGGTTACCACAAGGCTTATAAAAAATCTTATAGATTTAACAAGTTTATTTATTTATTTGCTTATTTTTAAGATGGGGGTCTTGCTCTGTCATGCAGGCTGGAGTGCAGTGTTACAATCACAGCTCACAGCTCACTGCAGCCTCAATCTCCTGGGCTAAAGTGATCCTCCTGCCTCAGCCTCCCAAGTAGCTGGGACCACAGGCATGTGTCACCATACCCAGCTTTTCTTTTTTTCCTTTTTTTTTTTTTTTAGTAGAGATGAGGTCTTGAATTCCTGGGCTCAAGCGATTCACCAACCTTGACCTCCCAAAGTGCTGGATTACAGGCATGAGCCACCATGCCTGGCCATAACAAGTTACTTTAGAGAGATGACAACTTATCTTAGATCATGAGCAAAAGAATAGAAACAAAAGCAAAACTACCACACCTAAAAATTTAACTTCATCTCTCTCCACCACCCAATTTTGACTTTGTTGCCTCAATTTACATGCTTTACATTACCTATCTCTTAACAGGTTGCTGTAGCTATTATTATTTTTAAAAGATTTGTCTTTTGGGCTTTATACCAGAGTTATGGATGGATTGTACACCACAATCACAGTAACAGAATATCCTGGGTTGGTCCATGCATTTAATTTTCCCAAAGGTCTAATACCTTGAAAAGTTTTCTTTTCGCATGTGTCTTTTTCTCTCAGATTGAAGAACTCTCTTGCATTTCTTGTATGACAGGTCTGGTAGTGGTGAATTCTTTCATCTTTTGTTTTTCTGAGAAATACTTTATCTTTCCTTCATATTTGAAGGACAATTTTGCTGGATACATTATTCTTGGATGGCAGTTTTTTTTCTTTGAGCACTGTAAAAATGTTCTTCCTCATGGCCTGTACAGTTTGTTGCCAGGTGAATTGCAGCTTGTTTACCTGTTATTTGCTCCTTTTCTCTTGATGCTTTCAGGATCTTCTCTTTGTCCTTGACCTTTGAGAGTCTGAGTATTATACGCTTTGGGGTGATTTTATTTGAGTGGTATCTGTTTGGTATTCTCAGACCCTCATGAACCTGGCTATTTGTACCTGTCTCAAGTTTTGGAATGTTTTCTATTATTATTTCTTTCAGTAAACTTCCTTATTCAGCTCCCCCTTGAATACTAATAATTCTTATGTTTGATCTTTTAAGGTTTTTTTAATACCTTTTTTTTTTTTGACAGATTCTTGCTCTGTCACCCAGGCTGGTGTGCAGTGGTGCGATCTCGGCTCACTGCAAGCTCCACCTCCTGAGTTCACATCATTCTCCTGCCTCAGCCTCCCGAGTAGCTGGGACTACAGGCACCCGCCACCATGCTGGCTAATTTTTTTTTTTTTTTTGTATTTTTATTAGAGACAGGGTTTCACCATGTTAGCCAGGATGGTCTTGATCTCCTGACCTCGTGATCTGCCCGCCTTGGCCTCCCAAAGTGCTGGGATTACAGGTGTGAGCCACCGTGCCCAGCCTTTTTTTTTTAATATCTTATAGTCAGACTTCACTTACTTTCAGTCTTATTTTTCTTTTTTCTCCTCCAATGGTGTATTTTCAGATAGGCTTTTAGCTCCCTGAATCATTCCACTCCTTTGTCCATTCTGCTGTGATGTGTTTTTCAGTTCAGCAAACGTATTTTCCAGTACCAAGAATTTGTTTGATTTAAAAATTTCTCTGATAAATTTCTGAATTGCTTTTCTGTGTTTTCCTGGACATCACTGATTTTCCTTAAACTGTATTTTGAATTCTTGTTCAGAGAGCTCACAGATCACCATCTTGTTAGGGTCAGTCATTGGATTTTTGCTTTGTCCTTTTCCTGGGTAGCGTGGGCGGGTCACAGTTCCCTGTTTGATGTTGTTTCTTATGGGCATAGAACTATGTCTTTGCATTAAATAATTAACTATTTAGTCCACTTTCCTTTGTCTGCCTTGCCTTGTTTTGTCTTTTATTGGCTATGTTTGCCTAGCAAATATTTACCACTAGATCACTGCCTACATTTCAGCTCTAGGTGGCACCTTAAGTCCAGATTTGCCTTGGCTCTGCCTGTCCTGAAAAAGAAAGGTCTTAAAGGAATTATCCTGGCAGTGTGTCAAAGTTAGCTGGGGGGCTCATGCCCAAGGGACCTGTGAAATGTACCTCCTACAGTATGGTGCTGCTGAACAGCCACTCTGATTTGGTGTCTCCTTTGGCCAAGTTACAGAGCAGAGTTGCTGGGACTGGGAATGGTAGTTCCATCTCATCTCTTTGTTTCTGCCTATCCTCAAGCTATTTCTCCCTTCAGGCAGTCACGATGCTTCCTGTGGGTTAAGGCAAGGACAGATTTCCTGCCAGGGAGCCCAAGATAGTGGGGAAACTAGTTGACTACCTCAACCTCACTTTTTCCAGTGTAGAAACATGAGTTGGCAGAAGATTTTCTGCACACTTGTTGCCAGGCAGAATCGCGGGGGAGGCGTCACGAATGTGGAAGCCTGATTCTCCTACCATCTGCCCAGAGTATTTTCACTTCTCTATGGCTCTGGAATCGGTCGCATCCTCGTATTTGAGTTCTGGGTTGTTGCTGGTGAAAATCTCAGAGTGTATATTTGCTTTTGGTTTTCTGTTGGGTAGAGGGGAGTGAAGCCAGCTTGCTTCTATGCTGCCATTTATAAACTTTTGGTGTGTTGTCCCTACTTTAATTAAAATTATTTCCATCTTTCTCTCATTATATGAAAATATATCTCATCTTTTAGTACTTATTTTAACTCTAGTTTTTATTCTAGTATCTACCTGTATCTATGCTTGTTTAGTTATTTGTTATCAATTTATATTAACTTGTTCATTTCTTTGCTTATTTTTATACTTCTTATATGAAGGACTAATGATCTTTTTATTTCTTATAAACCCCAACTTATTCATTTTAATTATATCTAGGCATCAGGTAATTTCATTATGTCTTTTAGAGTAGTTGTGTCTGACCATATATTTAGGAAATCCATATTATTTTATTATAAATTAGTTTCTTTTTGTCTTGATTTTATTCTGGAGTTGGGAAACTATATAAAATTTAAAAAATCAATATGTAGATTTTTAAATCCATTACTATTTAAGATATTAAAGAGAGCATTACATAATATTAATATGAAAATAGAATGTTGTCTTATAGGGTTGTGAACACTGCATTAGATAATCTCTAATGTGCTTCCATCTCCAAAATCCTATGACTACCTGGTTTCTTTAACCTTACAAAGAACAGCGAACACCACTGTTTCCCAGAACAGTATACAACCCACTCACAGAAACTTGTACCAAGTTGAACATACCCTTTTGCTAGTACAAATGTCTATTTTCTACTCATAAAAAATTAGCCATTTTTCTGTTATTATTTCATTGAATTGAGGAGCTCTTGCTGAATCGAATGATGCAAACATTAGTGATTATTTCACACCCATCTCTGTGCACTCTTCTTACCTAGCTTGACAAGGCGGAGCATGGAGGTATTACTTCCTCTTTCAGTACAAGCAGTTACTGAGAGGTTATAGATGTCGCCTGGAGGCAAGCTGAGAATTGCAGTCATGACATTGCGTGTTACCTGCAAGATCATCAAAATCAAGGGTTTAAACTTTTAGTGAATGAATCAGTGCACCACCCCAAACAACTAAAGGACTATAGCAGACACATTCCCTCTCTGTTCTATGCAGCAGTCTGCAATTGATTATATTATAGATACGTTATATCTTCTGAAAATTTTATAAATTCCTCAGCTGGGCCCAATGTGAGGTAGCCTTAATAATGCATTATATACATCAGAAAAATTTTGCAATGAATTCCCTTATTTGGAATGGGTCTCATTCTGACATTTTCTCACATATTGATAACAGGTTTTAGAAAAGACAATTACTGAGTTGCTACTGATATGTACATTCTAAGACGTTCAAAAGAAACCTACCCATATCTGTAGACGTGTGGCTTCCTACCTAACAGCCATTGTTATTTCCCATCCTCTCCTACAGCTAGAGGGGATGATGTGACCCAGCTCTGATCAGTGGATTGTAAGTAGAAGTCACATGGACAAATGACAGTTCAGTTCACATCCTGTAAGTGCTGGGCTTCCACATCATCCCTTTTCTTTTCCCCTTCCTGCAGGCTGGAACATGCATGTAATGGTGATAAAGCTTCCTCTCTAGAGACAAGGACTATGCATAGTGGCAGATGGAACAACAAAACAGAATTTGCCTCCCTGGGTGACCCCTTAAAGCAGAAGTGCCTGGTTAGTCCTGTGCTATCATGGGAGAGGTATAAACTTCTATTTTGTTTGAGCCACTCTCTTTTTGTTTGTTTCTTTATTACAGTAGTTTAGTCTGTCCCCTTATCAATAAACATCCAAAAGCGTATTTTGGAGAAAAGAAATCAGTAGTCCCAAGGTCCCCAAATCTTTAGGTGTCGGTGATATATGGGAAAAAATGGGAAACACGTTAATTGTAGTTTTCTTGAAAATGTTTGGCATCCTGAAGAAAAAGCTCAAATCATAATTCTAAATATAAATGAAATCAATAGTTGGAGCTCTTACATCTCACTGTTAAAGATTAAACGGTAAGCTCTATGAAAGGAAGAATTCAATTTTTGTTCACTGTCTTATCTCCAGAGCCTAAAACAGACAACTGGTATGCAAACATTTGACGTGTCAATAAATGATTGCTTAGTGGTTTTCAATAGTTCATAAAACTAAATTTACAGACACACAATGCTGGCATTCAAAGAAACATACACTCTTTTTAATTTTCTTTTTTCCTTCTGCAACCACCATCCAGTGAAGCATTCTAGAATGGGACAAGTCCGTTGTATCATCCCCATATGTCCAACTGATATATAACAGACTGTTGAAATATTCCACAGAAGTGATTTCCGGAGCCACTGGGGCTACAAGGGAGAAACGAGGCACAATTTAGTATAATAGATGGATAAATAAAGTACTTACCAGCAGAGCATGAAATCCCATATAGAGTCAACTTAGCGAATTAGAATTCACAGCACACGATAGTCCCGGTAACTTCAGGACCTCTCAATAACAGTGAAGGATGGTGATACAGGATGGGCACTTGTTTAATGGGATCCCACATCTTGTATATCTAAGATACAAGACCCCCAGACCCATCTGTACCTGAGGATATCAAAGTCTTTTGGATAAATGTCACCATTACAAAATTCCTAAAAAGTTCACTTGTTTGGGTATATTTTTGTTACATCAACCAATTAATATTAATAGGTATCAGTGGAGTTATTAGCCAAGTAGGATTAAAAAACTTAGAGTCCTGCAAACTAAGTCTCTTTCATTTACTTGCAGCAAAGGTGTTTATGGGAATAAAGAACAGTAGGATACAAGGGTAGGAAGATAGAAGATCATAGTACTACAAGCAGGATAGAAGACAAATGTTATTTGCATAAAATAACAAGACATTATTTTTGACAGTGTCTAGCCCAGTGCTTTGCAGAAAACAGGCTCTTAATAAATGTTGCTGAGTGAGTAGTGAGAGAGAGAAAGAAGGGAAGAACAAGTTTTTTTTTTTTTTTTTTTTAGCCACGAAGCTAAATTCTAACACTGAGCTTGCTACTTTATCATCTTATGCATTTAAATTTTTAAAAATTTAAGCAGGGAATGCCTGTAATCCCTGCATTTCGGGAAGCTGAGGTGGGTGGATCGCTTGAGTCCAGTTCAAGACCAGCCTGTGCAACATAGCAAAACCCCATCTCTACAAAAAAATTAGAAGATTCAGCTGGGCATGGTGGCACACCCTGTTGTCCCACCTACTAGGGAGGCTGAGGTGGGAGGACTATTTGAGCCCAGGAGATCCAGGCTGCAGTGAGGCATGAGCCTGCCACTGCATTCCAGCCTGGGTGACAGAGTGAGACCCTGCCTCAAAAAAAAAAATTACTTTTATTTTATTTTATTTTTACTTTTGAGGCAGGATCTCAATCTGTCACGCAAGCTGGAGTGCAGTGGCGCAATCTCAGCTTACTGCAGCCTCGACCTCCCAGGCTCAATCATCCCTCCTGCCTCAGTCTACCAAGTAGCTAGGACTACAGGTACAGGCCTTCATATCCAGCTAATTTTTATATTTTTTGTAGAGACAGGGTCTTTCTATATTGCCTAGACTTGTCTTGAACTCCTGGGCTCAAGCAATCCACCCATCGTGGCTTCCCAAAGTGCTGGGATTTCAGGCGTGAGCTTCCACGCCCAGCCAAAAAACGTAAATAAATAAAATAAAAAATTTGCCAACGAGGGAAGAGAATTCATCACAAGCTTTATACTATATAGGCTCTGAAAACATTTTAATTACCTTTTTAAAGTAACTGCTAACTCTGATTATTTTAAAAAACAAATACACAATTGAATTTAAATTCCAGGTGTATGTTGGTTTGAAGACAGTCGGTGTTCCATTCTGAGATACAGCACAATGTCAACTAAAATCTATGGAAATTTTCTATAAAGAATCATTTCCCCTAATGTGATGCTAATACTTACAACAAACATTCATAACTAGCTATGCTTTCAAAATTATTCACTGAAGAATTTGTAATATATGAAGTAAAAATGCATTTGTTTCATGTGAAATACGAGTAGCACTTATATAGTATGCTTAGCAATAAAATCTTGAAAGATCATCAATGCATCTAACAAGTAACACAAATCTACATCATATTTCAGAATATTCTACTAAAGGAAAATAACCTTGGCTTCCTTATAGCCTCCTAATATATTCCAACATATTTCGTCATATACAAGAACCTATGCATATATTTCTTCAAAGGGTATTTTCTCATGTCCTAATTTTAGTGAGGAAAAGAAACATCTTTAAAATTGCAAACCCAGAAGTATATATCTTTCCTCTCACATGTCAGATTTTTATTTCCATGTTGTTGCTTTAAAACCTAGCATATTGCTGGAAGGCCACAAGATGTCACTATTTGTTTATTAATACTTTGGCCCCTCCGCATAATTACTATGATTGAGGGCTAGCCAACTGAATTGCCTAACAAAGATGGTAGACTTGAGTTCCTAATAAATCACACCTAATTCAAATATTTTGTTCCTATTTTCTTTTACACCACACAATTTGGAAAATTCAAAGCATAGGAAAGTTAAGCATGAGATTCTTATTTGCTTTAAATAAGAAGGTAAAAAAAATCACACACACACGCGTTTTTACTTTATATATTACAAATTCTTCAGTGAATGATTATTTTTGAAAGCATACCTAGTTATGAATGTTTGTTATAAGTATTAGCATCACATGAGAACTGTCGGGGGGTGGGGGCAAGGGGAGGGAGAGCATTAGGACAAATACCTAATGTATGCGGGGCTTAAAACCTAGATGACAGGTTGATAGGTGCAGCAAACCACCATGGCACATGTATACCTATGTAACAAACTGCATGTTCTGTACATGTATCCCAGAACTTAAAGTAAAAGTAAAAAAAAAAAAAAGAAGGTTAAAATAAAACCTACTAGAATTTTCAATATGTTTAGAAAATAAGTATAAAAAAGACAATAATCTATTATAATAGTGACTTACATTACATGATTTAATTCTCACACATACTGTGAGGTATTTATTATTATGTATTTATTATTATTATACCCATTTTATAGATGTGAAAATTGAGACCATCTCTGTCAATATGCTGAGACAATACCTGTAGACTGCTGGTTCAGCATCACTTATTTATTTGACCCAGGAAAAGATAGAAAATCATCAACATCAATACATTGGTGACAACAGACTGCTTACCAGGTAAGTAGCTTGTCTATTAACCATAGTTTATTGATCCACACTTGCTATGTCCATTTAAACTGTTATAAACTATGCCCAATCCTAGTCAGTTTTCCATCTTGAAAGGCATACCTTAAACCACTTGAGCCAGGAAGCCAAATCCTATTAATATTTCATTTCTTTTGTTCCCCCTTAAAAGACAGTGCAAAGACTGTCAGGGTGGTGTTCAATATATTAAGTTTTGCTCTACTAATCAGTTGTCTCTAAGTAGGCTTTAGTGCCTATTTAGCTGACATTTTAGGGGGTTCTACCGGTGAGAAAATAGAAGCCCAGAATCGTTAAGATAATTCAAAGTTTGACAGCTGGAATTGAGCAGTCCCAGGTTGAGATGTTACATCTGAGCTTTTTCCAGACAACTGTCCTGGTGAGAAGGAAAGAGCATTCTCAGAAAGTTTACATCAATATAGTTAAATTATAAGAATTATTGATACAGTGAAGTTTACTTATAATTAAATATGTGATTATCATTATAGGCAAAAGACTAACAGCGCTTGCCAAGTAACTGCTATTTTCTCCTTTTTGGGTATTCTTTCAGTTTTCTGCTCTAATATTACTATTAACATCTGGAACAAAAAGTGCTCTGGATATTGGCTAGTAAAGAAAAGAGACATGCTTATGTAAGTTAATTGTGTAAGAATTCACAGATGATTGATTTCTTTCCACTTTTTTTTTTTCTCATACATTTCAACAGAGTAAACTAGATGTCTACTGAGGAAACTATTTGCCAAAATTATTCCTCTAAGCGGTATTTTTCTCCTCTGTTTTCTCAGGACAACTCTAATTACAACCTTGTCGTTCGATAAAAGGTTCTTGAAACGTCTTAGTTCAAACCACAAGGGTTAGTGTTTCTTTGATGAATTTCCCCTTTTCATTGCTATCTCTGACTACTGATGATGCAACTACATAATTTAAGGTTTCCGAGGATCTAAGACTAATTGTTTTTTAAGTGCTTAAACTTTGTGTCGTGTATTTTGCAAAGTAGCTTATATAATAATGAAGTTGTAATAAATAATAACAGATAACTGATACTATTATCATCCCCATTTTCCACATTAAAAAAAACATATTTAGAAAAGTTAACGTGCTCAAGGTTATATGTGGTATGCGGAGGGTCTATTCAAATCCAGATCTACCTGTCTCTAAACCCTATTTTTTAATTTCCACAAGGGACCCTACTACAGTCAGCCTATGACTTTAAAAATGGCTTAATTAATAAGAAAATGGAGGCACTCTAACAAATATAATCATCATATGGGTAAAATCAATCGACTGTGCAGTGTGAAGCTGATGGCTGTGCCTGCCATATTTCTATTCTAATCAATCCCAGCCGGAGAGTACATTAATCAAGGTCAGTGCCTCAGAATAAAAATAAGTCAACGGTGGTAACACAAAATAAAAATGGTATTTTGATTTCTAAAGATTATCAACTAAACAAAATAATGAATGATCAGAATCAATATTATCTCCCATGAAATTGATGCTCACCCAGTGCTGGGTGAATGACTGGCACTTTCTAGAGATTTGGAACCTTGGTAACTCCTCACAATAATGCTCTCTCCTTGTGGAACTGTTCCCCACACATGCCTCACCTGTTATGAAGCTGATGGTAGAGCTGTCACAGCAGCTCAATTCTGGATCTCCCCACGTCACCATGGTAACCCGGAAGTTGTAGTACCATGCTGGCAGCAGATTAGCTATTCTCTGAATGAGAAAAGCAAGCAAGGAGACAAAAGACTGTGGGAGAAAGTACTATTTTTGGAGTAGACTTACTTTCATAAAAAATTAATAAGTAATTTTAATTTTCCTTTATATTGTCTTTTTGTGTTTCCTAAATTTACTATAATAAAATATTCTTTCTAGAATGAAATGAGACATAAAGTAAAATACAAAAATATAAATTTTTAAAAGTGATTTAAAGATATAGAGCCAAAGATTTCCAATATTTGTTTGATTTTGCAATTTCCTAATATTACACATGCGAAACAGTCCTTATTTATAAGTGACTGTACATACATTTCTCCCTATTTCTAAGACAAGTAACCTCTCACAACTCAGTGTTTTTTCAGTGTAAACCACGAACAGGAGTCCTTCAGAGTCTTCAACTGGGTAGAGGGTAATTGTGTACTTTGTGAATAGCCCATGGGTAACCCACACTTTTCAAAATTATCTCAATTTCAGAAAGAGCAATTTTTACCTGTTTTCTTAAAAAACATCCTCTAAAAGCCTGACATTAGAGGTATTTAATTGATCTGTAGATGCCATGAAAAGTCATCATTAAAATTAGGCAGTGTCAACTAACTATGGAATGCCAAAGGGAAATCTCTTTGTGTTCCTCCCCAGGATCCAGGAGAAGCAGTAAGCACTTGATTGCTCTATTCTGTGCTTAGGAAAAAATGTTGATTAACAAATACATTCAATTAGAGTTGACAGCTAGCTTCACACAATTATCTCTTTCTCTCCCTCTCAAAACAAAAGAGAATCCCAAAACCTAAAAGCAAAAACAATGAAAAAAACTTGAAAATAGCCATACCTATGTGATATGGTTTGGCTGTGTCCCCACCCAAATCTCATCTTGAATTCCCACGTGTTGTGGGAGGGGCCCAGTGGGAGATAACTGAATCATGGGGGCAGGTCTTTCCCGTGCTGTTCTGATGATAGTGAGTAAATCTCATGAAATCTGATGGCTATTGTAAGGGGGAGTTTTCCTGCACAAGCTCTCTTGCTTGGTGCCATCCATGTAAGACATGGCTTGCTCCTCTTTGCCTCCCGCCATGATTGTGGGGCTTCCCCAGCCACGTGGAACTGTAAGCCCAATTAAACCTCCTTCTTTTGTAAATTGCCCAGTCTTGGGTATGTCTTTGTCAGCAGCATGGAAACGAATGAATACAGTAAATTGGTACCGAGAGTGGAGTGCTGCTGAGAAGATACCCAGAACTGTGGAAGCAATTTGGAACTGGGTAACAGGCAGAGGCTGGAACAGTTTGGAGGGCTCAGAAGACAGTAAAATGTGGGAAAGTTTGGAATTCCCTAGAGACTTGTTGAATGGCTTTGACCAAAATGCTGATAATGATATGGACAATGAAATCTAGGCTGAGGTGGTCTCAGATGGGGATGAAGAACTTGTCGGGAACTGGAGCAAAGGTGATTCTTGTTACGTTTTAGCAAAGACACTGGCAGCATTTTGTGCCTCCCTTAGGGATTTTGGAACTTTGAACTTAAGAGAGATGATTTAGGGTATCTGGCAGAAGAAATTTCTAAGCAGCAAAGCATTCAAGAGGTGACTTGGTGCTGTTAAAGGCATTCAGTTTTAAAAGGGAAACAGAGCATAAAAGTTTGGAAAATTTGCAGCTTGACAATGTGATAGAAAAGAAAATCCCATTTTCTGAGGAGAAATTCAAGTTGGCTGCAGAAATTTGAATAAGTAATGAGGAGTTGAATGTTAATCCCCAAGACAATGGGGAAAATGTCTCCAGGTCAAGTCAGAGATCTTCATGGAAGCCCCTCCCATCACAGGCCTGGAGGCCTGGGAGGAAAATGTGGTTTTGTGGCCCAGGCCCAGGGTCCCTGTGCTGTGTACAGCCTAGAGACTTGGTGCCCTGCATCCCAGCTGCTGCAGCTGTGGGTGAAAGGGGCCAACGTAGAGATCAGGTGGTGGCTTCAGAGGGTGCAAGCCCCAAGGCTTGGTGGCTTCAGAGGGTGCAAGCCCCAAGGCTTGGCAGCTTCCACGTGGTGTTGAGACTGTGGGTGCACAGGAGTCAAGAACTGAGGTTTGGGAACCTCCACCTAGATTTCAGAAAATGTATGGAAACACTTGGATGCCCAGGCAAAAGTTTGCTGCAGCAGGGCAGGGACCTCATGCCCTCTGCTAGGCAATGTAAAAGGAAATGTGGGGCTGGAGACTGCACACAGAGTCCCTACTGGGGTACTGCCTAGTGGAGCTGTGAGAAGAGGGTCACCATCCTCCAGACCCCAGAATGGTAGATCCACTGACAGCTTGCACTGTGCACCTGGAAAAGCTGCAGACACTCAATGCCAGCCTGTGAATGCAGCCAGGAGGGGGGATATATGCTGCAAAGCCATAGGAGTGGAACTGCCTAAGACCATGGGAACCCACCTCTTGCATCAGCATGACCTGGATGTGAGACACGGAGTCAAAGGATATCATTTTGGAGCTTTGAGATTTGACTGTCCCAGTGGATTTTGGAGTTGCATGGGGCCTGTAGCCTCTTTGTTTTGGTCAATGTTTCCCATTTGGAACAGCTGTGTCAATGCCTGTACCCCGAGTGTATCTAGGAAGTAACTAACTTGCTTTTGATTTTACAGACTCATAGGCAGAAGGGACTTGCCTTGTCTCAGATGAAACTTTTGACTGTGCACTTTCGAGTTAATTAGTTAAGACTTTTCGGGACTGTTGGGAAGGCATGATTGGTTTTGAAATGTGAGGACATGAGATTTGGGAGGGGCAAGGGGCAGAATAATATGGTTTGGTTGTGTTCTCACCCAAATCTCATCTTGAATTCCCAAGTGTTGTGCGAGGGACCCTGTGGGAAGTAACTGAATCCTGGGGGCAGGTCTCTCCCATGCCGTTCTTGTGATAGTGAATAAGTCTCATGAGATCTGATGGCTATTATAAGAGGGAGTTTTCCTACACAAGCTCTCTTTGCTTGCTGCCATCTGTATAAGACATGACTTGCTCCTCCTTGCCTTCTGTCATGATTGTGAGGCTTCCCCAGCCACGTGGAACTGTAAGTCCAATTAAACTTCTTTCTTTTGTAAATTGCTCAGTCTTGGCTATTTCTTTATCAGCAGTGTGAAAATGAACTAACACACTATGTGTATTTACAAAATAATCAAATTTATAGATAATTTCTTAAAGACACATTTGGTACATAAAGGTTTGCCTGTTCCCATAGGAAAGACTGACAGTTGGTTAAGGGAAGATTACCACGGATGCAGTTAAGGAAACAGTTGCTGCTATTTCATAGTAGGTGGTCCACTCTGATGTCATTGTAGCAGGGTTGAAATAAAACATTTCAACCACGTATTTTCTGAACACGCCTAAATAAGGTCTGGTCCAGCTCAGAACCACGGCCGTAGGACCCAAAGGATAGAGCATTAAATCCTTTATTCCTGTGGGAACTAGAAAGAAGAGGGCAGGGGGTAGAAAAAGAAAGTTAAGAAGGAATGTCTTAGCAATGGCCTCAAACTTCTACTTAATGACCCGAGTTTTCACTCTCTGATACAATACCTACCTCCCTCCCTCCCTTCCTTCCTTCCTTCCTTCCTTCCTCCCTTTCTTGCTTCCTCCCCTTCCTTCCTCCCTCCCCCTGCCCTCCCCCTTCCTTCTTCCCTCCCTCCCTCCTTTCATCTTTTCTTTTCTTTTTCTTTCTTTCTTTCTTTTCTTTCTTTCCTTTCTCTCTCTTTTTCTTTTTCTCTCTCTTTCTCACTCTCTTCTTTCTCACTCTCTTTCTCACTTTTTCTCCTTTCTCTCTTTCTTTCTTTCTCTCTCTCTCTCTTTCGTTCGTTCTTTCTTTCTTCTTTTCTTTCTTTTCTTTTTTTTTTTTTGAGACAGGGTCTTGCTATGTTACCAAGGCTAGATTAAAACTTCTGGGCTTGGCTGGGTGTGGTGGCTCATGCCTGTAATCCCAGCACTTTGGGAAGCCAAGGTGGGCAGATCACGAGGTCAGATCGAGACCATCCTGGCTAACACGGTGAAACCCCGTCTCTACTAAAAATACAAAAAATTAGCCAGGCATGGTGGCATGTACCTGTAGTCCCAGCTGCTCAGGAGGCTGAGGCAGGAGAATTGCTTGAACCTGGGAGGCAGAAGTTGCAGGGAACTGAGATTGCACCACTGCATTCCAACCTGGGTGACAGAGCGAGACTCTGTCTCCAAAAAAAAAAAAAAACAAAACAAAAAAAAAACCAGACAAACAAAACAAAAAAAACAAACAACTTCTGGGCTCAAGCAGTCCTCCCACCTCAGCCTCCCAAGTAGCTGGAACTGTAGGTGTGTGCCACGGCACACAGCTTTACTCTTGTTGTATAATCATTGAAAACTAAAGTAAGAATGTTTGCCTCTGATTTTTTCCCCAAGTAATAAATATTAAGAATGTTTTCCAAGTATACAATTCTTGTTATTTATTACTCTGAAGGTAGCATATTGGATGAACTAATATGGACCTTCCAAATACGATGATAATGATTTGAGCTCGCACATTGCACCCCTCCGTCAATACCCTAATATATAGGTCAGTCATTCTTCTTGTGGCTAGCAACTTACCAATAGCAAATGTCACAGGATCTGAAGGTGGTCCAATCAAAGGGCCTTTCCTTAGGTATATTACAACCTGGTACTGGGCACCAGGAACCAGATTTTCAATAATAGGTTTGCTTGAGTTCACCTTTAAACCAAACACCCAATAAGATTTATTTAGAGCTGGGATTTCAGAATGTTACACAGAGGCTGGTATAATATTCAGAGACTCTTTTTGGAATCACAGATGACTTTGAAATCCAGAAGGCTTTACTGAAGCTGTCAGATTCCAAAATTAGGATGATTTATAGTTTATGTGAACATTGAAGGGAACCTAGAAGATTCAAATTTTGTCTGTTCTAAGCCCTGTGAACTGCTTTATACCCATCAGTGTCAATTATAACTATGCACACTAGAGACACATCAGCCTCTAACCATAATCAAATCAGCAATACCATGAGGATAGTTTGACATTCTAAATTGTGGTGTCAGCTGATTACATACAAAGGTCAGTACGGAAATGTCTTTAGTCTCTTGTCACTTAGAAGCATATAATATCTAATTATAGAAATGAAAATGACCACCGGGAACAGTGGCTCACGCGTGTAATCCCAGCACTTTGGGAGGCCAAGGCAGGCAGATCATTTGAAGTCAGGAGTTCAAGACCAGCCTGACGAACATAGTGAAACCCTGTCTCTACTAAAATACAAAGAAAATTAGCCAGGCATGGTGGCAGGTGCCTGTAATCTCAGCTACTCAGGAGGCTGAGGTAGGAGAATTGCTTGAACCCAGGAGGCAGAGGTGCAGTGAGCCGAGTTTGTGCCACTGCACTCCAGCCTGGGCAACAGAGTGAGACAAGCTCTCAAAAAAACAAAAATAAAAAATAAATAAAATAAATAAATAAATAAATGGAAATGACCTTAGAGATTACCTAGTCCAAAGTGCTCATTTAATAAATAAAGTAAAGCCAGAGAATGGCCAAGGTCATATATTTAGATGCAGTGTTGGGACTGGAAGCCTAGTGTTGGGACCTTTAATCTACACTATGGGCAAGTCACTGTGCTAAGCATCGAGATATCCTGGTAAGCACCCTGCCAGGCTGTTGTAGCCCCCTAAAATAATATTGTAGAGAACATTTCTCATTTACATGAGACCTTCTTTACTGTTCTTTCTTTTTTTTTTTTTTTTTTTTTTGAGACAGAGTCTTACTCTGTCGCCCAGGCTGGAGTGAAGTGGCATGATCTGGGCTCACTGCAACCTCCACCTCCCGGGTTCAAGCATTTCTCCTGCCTCAGGCTCCTGAGTAGCTGGGATTACAGTTGTGGGCCACCACGCCCAGCTAATTTTTGTATTTTTAGTAGAGACGAGGTTTCGCCATGTTGGCCAGGCTGGTCTCTGGACTCCTGACCTCAGGTGATCCACGTGCCTGGGCCTTCTAAAGTGCTAGGATTACAGGCATGAGCCACCACACTTGGCCCTGCTTTTTTTAAAAAAAATTTGGATACGTAACAAATACCATATAGAGAAAAATAGTGAGAACGTATAGATGAATAAAATGCATTTATTAAATTTGAATGTTGGCACACACAAGAATTGATAATTCAACTAAAAGGTTAAGGTGCTGCTTTGACCTTCAGTGTCTCTAATATTTAAGACAGTATTGCTTGGTGGAAAGAACACACATTCTTTTTTTGGACTACCTGGAATCAAATCCTGACTCTACTCATTATTAGCATGGGGGTTTATTTATGCTTTATAATTTAATTAAAATTCTTACCTTGGTTACTTCATTGCTAAGATATAGGTAATAAAATTATATACCTCATAGAGTTTGAGAATGTTTAAACCAGAGTATCAATAAATATTAATCTTTATTCATCTTATTAACTTTTTGGCCTTTTGGATACATAAAATTGTGGAATTACTCCAAGGAGGAACATGAATCAATGGAGAACAATGTTGTTTACAGCTTATCTATGCTGTAAGGTGTTTTTTAGAGTCCCATTAAGATTTTAAGGATTCATACAGAACTGGTGATATGATATGAATTTTAAACCTTTTCGCACTGGAAACTGATTATACACAGTAGAAATTATGTAATCTGAATTGGTACAACTTCCTCTGCATGTAAGTAAAAGGAGCCATATACCAAAATTTATTTCCCACTGACTTAAACAAAATAAGATTATATTGAATTAATAAATTGGGATTTTCATTCTTTCTTTCATATTTATACTCTTTCATATCAGGGTTTCTTGCACAAGTTTTAGATTTTTAATTCTGCTGGAAGCCGTATAGGCAGATTTAGTCAACTATATCTCTTCATCTGATAGAGAGTTTCCCTTCCTTCCTTCCTTCCTTCCCTCCCTCCCTCCTTCCTTCCCCCTCCCTCTCTCCCTCCCTCCCTCTTTCTTTCTTTTCTTTCTTTCTTTCTTTCTTTCTTTCTTTCTTTCTTTCTTTCTTTCTTTCTTTCTTTCTTTCTTTCTTTTTCTTTCTTTCTTTCTTCCTTCCTTCCTTCCTTCCTTCCTTCCTTCCTTTCTTTCTTTCTTTCTTCTTTCTTTCTTTCTTTCTTTCCTTCTTTCTCTTTCTCCTTCCTTCCTTCCTCTCTCTCTCTTTCTTTCTTTCTTCTCTTTTCTTTCTTTTTGAGACATAGTCTTGCTCTGTCACTGTGTTGCCCAACCTGGAGTGCAGTGGCACGATCTTGGCTCACTGCAACCTCTGCCTCCTGGGTTCACGTGATTCTTGTGCTTCAGCTACCCAAGTAGCTGGAATTACATGTGTGTGCCATCATGCTCAGCTTATTTTTGTGTTTCTAGTAGAGACAGGGTTTCATTATGTTGGTCAGGCTGGTCTCAAACTCCTGGCCTCAAGTGCCTCTCCTGCCTTGGCCTCCCAAAGTGCTAGGATTACAGGCGTGAACCGCCGTGCCTGGCCTGATAGAGAATTTTCTAAAGAGACAAACTATGATAAGAAGATGCATATTATCCACAACTAAGCAATATTATTTTATTTATTTAAAATACACTTTATATGATACAACATATATGCTTATTGTAAAAATTGCTCACCCAATAAAAGAACAAATGAAGTAAATTGGAAGTTTTGTTTGTTCTCCTCCTCCCACAAATCCTGACATTTTGATATGCCTTCTTCTAGACCTTCTTCTAACATATACACATAAATAATACGCTATTAAACCATATAATGTGTTATATTATCAACATTGCTCCAGGCTGGGCGCAGTGGCTCACGCCTGTAATCCCAGCACTTTGGGAGGCCAAGGTGGGCAGATCACCTGAGGTTGGGAGTTTGAGACCAGCCTGACCAACACGATGAAAACCCGTCTCTACTAAAAATACAAAAATTAGTGAGGCGTGGTGGCTCACTTCTGTAGTCCCAGCTCCTTGGGAAGTTGAGGCAACAGAATCGCTTGAAACTGGGAGGTGGAGGTTGCAGTGAGCCGAGATTACGCCACTGCACTCCAGCCTGGGTGACAGAGCAAGACTCCATCTCAATAACCCCCCCAAAAACAAACAAACAAAAAAACATTGCTCCATTTAAACTTAACACATTGTAGACATCTGACTATAAGTGTAAATGCTGACCTAGCTCATTAATCACCCATTTTGCCTATTTAGAATGTTTAGAATAATAAAGGGCATAAGGAGTATAGATTGTTTCATGGTGATGTTAAGGTTCCTTTCTTTTGATAATATTTTATGAGTTGATTCTAACTATTCAAATGACTACCTGGAATCATAGCTGTTTAAATACGCCATTATAGCCGGGCACGGTGGCTCACGCCTGTAATCCCACCACTTTGGAAGGCCGAGGTGGGCAGATCATGAGGTCAAGAGATCGAGATCATCCTGGTCAGCATGGTGAAACCCCGTCTCAACTAAAAATACAAAAATTAGCTGGGTGTGGTGGTGTGCACCTGTAGTCCCAGCTAATTGGGAGGCTGGGGCAGGAGAATCGCTTGAACCCAGGAGGCGGAAGTTGCAGTGAGCCAAGATCATGACTTTGCACTCCATGCTCCAGCCTGGCAGCAGAGCGAGACTCCGTCTCATAAACAAACAAACAAACAAACAAAAATATGCCATTATAATAAATTTATCCTAGGGATATTATACTTTTTAAAATAAGAAGTAGCTATGGGCATATACATCATATTACTTAAAAAATGACAAAGGGGTAATTGGATTACAGATTACCTGACTTGGTAATAAATTAAAAACACTAATTTCCATCCTCCCCAATTTCTGAATATTTACTGAGCTGCTAACCTATATTTACACTTCTATGTTTCTCCATGCCTTTTTATTTCTCCTGGACCTCCTTGGGTGTGTGTTGGAGGAGGAAAAGTGGAATGCCTCTGCATTCTGCATGTTAAGTAATGTGTTTTATTTTTTACAAAATACTTCCACACTCTGCTCCCCCTTAATTTCCACTCATTTAGCATCCCAATATTTTTCCTGACTGTCTTAATCTTCATTCCTGAGAATTTAGTTGAGTCCAATGTCCCTCCAAATGGATACCAGTTCTATTCCTCTTCAGCTAAAGGAATAAGGAGAAAAATGTACTAGACAGCATAGCTAATTGAAGTAAGTACATGATAGGCAATTTTTTTTTTTTTTTTTTTGTGGAGACAGAGTTTCACTATGTTACCCAGGCTGGTCTCGAACTTCTGAGCTCAAGTGATCTGCCCACCTTAGCTTCCCAAAGTGCTGGGATTACAGGCATGAGCCACTGCACCTGTATATGATGGACTCTTAAATAATAGGGTTGAACTAGATGATAGTGTAGGTTCCTTTGAGCCTGAGATGGTCTTATTTCCACTTTATGTAATCTTCTTTCCATTGGTGCTTTTCTACACATTTATTTAGTGGCATAATGGACTATAGTGGTATGATATTATACAAATCTCAAAAAGGTCTTGTGGTAACTGAGATGATGCCTAGCATGGTGGTCTCTTTCCTGCACTCCCCTTTAAATATTGGTCTTCTTGCTTATAATCCTGAATAGGACATTTCATGTTCTGTTTTCCTATTTGCATTTTGAGAAGATATTGTAAAAGTACATTTGGACTAGTCTTTTCTGGCTCATTGATAATTTACAATATCTATCTCTACCTTTAGCCTTTTTATTCTTATGTGAAAGATATATAATGTGTACATTAAGTAGGGCAAGGGGAGAAATGTACCTTGAAGCAGTTGAGTTCTAGGTCAAGGTCTGTAGGGGAAAACACGTTTTTCTGTCAATGTAATGAGTCAGTCATCTTGGGTATGCTCAGGAAAGGAAGCTAATAAGTTACACAATGAACTGTGATTACTAGTTAATCGGTTTAGCATATTTATTCCTTAATTTAATTCAACTCAAGGGGCACCTCATTCTCAAGCATTCTATGGCTTTCTAGTGCTCCAAAGAACACGATTCCTGAATTCATCTTATCAATTTACAATTTATCATTGTTTGAATTTCATTAAATGCTTAATTTTCCTGGGAGGAATGGAAACATCCCAAATTGCTGTCATACAGCAAACATCTTTTCTGTGCATTACATTTCCAACGTACTCCACAAGAATTGATAATTATTTTTTTCCTTTTGCCTTTAGGGAAGAAAATGTGTTTGTAAGACACCAAGAACCACCACATTTGACCTTGTAAAAACATAAGGCCAGAATTTAGAAATATAGGACTGGGCCCCAGGTTCTCAGGGCATTTGAGAGCAAGGTCCACTCTGGGCTCCAGTTGCACAGTTTCACTAGGGTTTGTTCTGGCATATGCGTTCCTTCTGCTAGCCACTCACAAGACTACTGAGTTGCACACCGTCTCTGCCTGCCCCTCACTCTCCTCTGTGCACAGCTGTCTCCCATATATTCTTCAAAGCTCTTTTCAGTTGTGACTGGTGAGGGGGTAGTTTTTTACTTTATATTCTTTTTTTTTTTTCTTTTTTTTTGAGACGGAGTCTCACTCTGTTGCCCAGGCTGGAGTACAGTGGGCTCACTGCAACCCCCACCTCCCGGGTTCAAGTGATTCTCTTGCCTCAGCTTCCCGAGTAGCTGGGATTACAGGCACGTGCCACCACGCCTGGCTAATTTTTGTATTTTTAGTAGAGACGAGTTTTCACCATGTTGGCCAGGCTGGTCTCGAACTCCTGACCTCAGGTGATCCACCCGCCTCGGCCTTCCAAAGTGCTGGGATTAAAGGTGTGAGCCCCCACACCCAGCCTACTTTATATTCTTTACATTTTTAAGTTTTTTTTTTTTTTCAGCAAGAATGCGTTACTTTTACAGTAAAAATGAAAATTAAAAGAATGGAAAAAAGTAAAACAAACAAACAAACAAAAAACCCTCCAACCCTCTGCTTGGTTGTCTCCTGCTCTGTGATGTTTTTTCCAACCAGTTTCCAAATCCTCTTTCCCCTTCATCCATGTTACTCACGCTCAGCTCCTTCTTCCGTGAACTCCTCTGGACTCTCATCATTCATTTTAAGCTGAGGCCTTATTCCATACAGTGCAGTCATTATATGTTCACTTATCTATTGTTCTCATTAGATTACAAGCTCTGCAAGAGCAGGATGTTTAAAAATTTCCAACATCTATCTTAGAACCTGGCACATCATAGATGCTCAGCAAATTCCCTTGAATAATGAATGAAAAAGAACATGACCCTCCTCTGAAGAGAAAGGGAGATGACAGTGCCATCAAAAAGCCATTGCCAGTCATTTCTGGCCCCTCTGGCTCTTGGGAACAGTCACAGAACACACCCATCCCAGCAGACCTCAGCCTGGCTTCCTACAATTGCCTCCTTGGCATTGCCCTGTAAGGTTGTGCTTAGGAAGGACCGGCGAGCCCATTCTCATTTCCTCTCCTTTACCTGAGTGCAGTACTGCTTTTCAAGCCTCTGGCTCTCCTTTTGTTTCTGGCAGGTCAGCGACACCACAGACACAATGGTGCTGTTGTAGTTCTCTTGGGAAGATGTCCAGGACATCAAGGCAGTGGTTGAGCTTAAAACGTGGACACTCACGTGCTGCGGCTTCTCGGTCAGTTCTTCAATCCACTCTCCTGAAGGACCTGCACATTTCAAATTGGAACACAGGGGAGGCTGCACGTTACACTGATTGAGATAAAAGATTCTGGTTTAAAAAATCATGTTTTCTTTTTGCCCTTACAATGAGATTCAAAGAAAGATTGGCGGTCGGACTGGCAACTCTTCAGGTCCTCTGCCCAGCTGCAACCCTCTACTCCTTGACCTCACCTTGATCTAAACAGCAGCCTCGGCAATAACAGCAGAAACAAAAGTGCCACTTCAATCATCGTGTGCATGTGAGAGTATTCTGGTAAATTCTTCACCTGAGAAAACTTACTTCTCTTTTAACAAAGAGTGAGCGTGGCAATGTGGCATTTCATCAGGGCTTATTATTCCTTTGCTACTAGGATCTTTGATCTCTAGGAATAATTACTTTGAGATTCAAATCAGCCTCGACTACTACCCTGTGCAAACATTTGAATTTGGCAACAGTGAGAACGAAAAGGCAGGCTGTGATTATATTAGAGAAGAAACACACAACAGGCTGGCTCAATTAAAGAAGCTGGCTAAAACCTGGGTGATAATTTGAGGAACACAACAGGATCCTTACCATAAAATGTCTCCACAGAAGTGCCCATCCTTAGCTTTGTTCTCTTATGTTCCTAAAGTGGTTCTTAACACAGTGCCTGACACCTAGTAAGGACTCAAGACATGTTAAGGTGATTATTATCTACAGAAATTCCCTGCTGAAATGCAAATGTGAAACTTCCATTTATTTGCTTAGGATGCATTCTCAGCTCCTTAATTTGATGCTGTATTCCTAAGCTGAGATCCAGGAGAGGAAAAGGAGCAAGTCGCTCTACTGGGGAGGACAGACTAAGGTTTGGTGTAAATGGTGCAAGGGAAATGATAATACAAAATGATAGTAATTATAGTAAAGAGATATGGAACCCATTACATATTTATAGGTTTGTTCCTGGCAGGTCAGTGACACCACAGACACAAGGATGCTACCGTAGTTCTCTTGGGAAGATGTCTAGGACATCACAGTAGTGGTTGAGCTTAAAACACGGATGCTCACATATAAACTGCTTTTCAGCATGTAAACTGTTTTTTAGCATATAACCTTCTTTAAGTTTTTATGTGTTACGTATTTCATTCCTTATTTATTTATTTATTTATTTATTTATTTATTTATTTATTTTGAGATGGAGTCTCACTCTGTCACCCAGGCTGGAGTGCAGCCTTATCTAGGCTCACTGCAACCTCCACCTCCTGAGTTCAAGCGATTCTCCTGCCTCAGCCTCCCGAGTAGCTGGGATTACAGGTGCCCACCACTATGCCTGGCTAATATTCGTACTTTTAGTAGAGAGAAGATTTCACCATGTTGGCCAGGCTAGTCTTGAACTCCTGACCTCAGGTGATCCGCCCGCCTTGGCCTCCCTAAGTGCTGGGGTTATAGGTGTGAGCCACCGTGCCTGGCCCCTTTAACTTTTATAACAAGCCAATGAAATAAGTACTTTTATTAAATCTCACTTTTCAGATGTGAAAACTGAGGTAGAGATAGAGTAAGTAGAGCTAGGATTCACACACAGGAAGTCTGATTCCAAAATCCATGCTCTCAACCCTGCATGAGACTTCCTGGAGCACTATGAAATAGTAAAAATTTGGAGATACGATAATTGCACTAAGACTCAGTTTGGTCATTATTAGTGGTGCAACTTTGGACAAATGAGTTAACCTCTCTGAATCTCAGTCATTGCATCTGTGAAATGGATAAATCATGGAATTTTAGAATTGAAGAGAACTTTAGAGACCCACTGCTTTATTTTGCTGATATGGTTTGGCTCTGTGTCCCCACTCAAATATCATCTCGAATTGTAATCCCCACTTGTCGAGGGAGGGACCTGATGGGAGGTAATTGGATCATGGAGGTGGTTTCCCCTATGCTGTTCTCAAGACAATGAGCGAGTTCTCATGAGATCTAATGGTTTAAAAGTGGCAGTTTCCCCTGCTCTCTCTCTCTGTCCTGCCACCCTCTGAATAAGGTGCTTGCTTCCCCTTCGTCTTCTGCCATGATTGTAAGTTTCCTGAGACCTCCCTGGCCATGCAGAACTGTGAGTCGATTAAACCTCTTTCCTTTGTAAATTACTCAGTCTCAAGTAGTTCTTTATAGTAGTGTAAATATGGACTAACACATTTGCTGATGAGGAAACTGAGGCCCAGAGATATAAACAAGCTGCCTGAAGTCATAGAGCTAGTAAGTGCTTGTGACCTAACCCAGACCTCCTGTCTCTTGAGTCATTGCTTTTGAAAATCTGATTAATTTACCTCATAAGGTTGTTGTTGGGATCAAATGAGATAATATGTGTTAGAGAACTACATAAACGTGAAGTGTTACTACTGTTCTGAAGAGTACTAGTGTAGTGGGGGCACAGAGGGTGGAGGTTGGAGTAAGCAAAACAAATTCAATTATTTAATAGTTTTACCTTATGACTGACTTGATAATCAACCCAAGGACATGGGTCATGGCAGGCTAAATGAAAATGGGTTTTGTTATCAAATATTCCTGAGTTATAATCTTAATTTTGACACTTGGGGAAGTCACTGAAATTTCTGCGATTCAGTATGTATTTTAATGTGAAAAATGGGGGTAATAAAAGTGTTTTCTTCATAAGGCTATTGGCAGTCTAGTGCAAATTCCTACCTGAATTCTCATCTCTGGGAAGGCATTCAAAGCTACATAAATGTAAATTATAATGCAACGACATAAACATATAATAAATTGTAATGTAACAGCTCAACACCAGAATATGTGAAACAGTTTGGTCAGGAAAAACAGGCTGCAAATATACTTTTGCTGGTGTGTGACTACATTATGCTGAGCAAACGTAAGCCACCCTAATTTTTGCTCATTTACCCAGTTAGGTGTAAGTATTTATGTCTGCGGTATCCATTTTTTAAACCAAAGAAGTATACATGGTACATCTGAATAGCTCATTACCACAGAACAGAATCTCCTTAAAAAGTCATTCTTTTAGCAACAGAGAAAAAACAAAACTTCTAGGAGCCTATATTTTTCTAGATAAATATTAAGATGCATCTCTTTAAAGTAATTGCATTTTTGAGCAATTCCGACATATTCTCAATGGCACTAGTCGCTTTAGATACTCTAAGAATAGAGCAGAGTGCATGAAAGATATAAGTGGTTCCATAAATATTTCTTGAATGTACAAAAGAATGAATAAATATGCAAACAGTATAACTCCAGCCTGGGATTTTACAACTTGACATGAGAAGCAAGATGTACATAAAATAAATCTAGAAAAATACCACACACTAATAAGTTATGTGTTTTGTGCTGTCTACTATGAGACAGAATAGGAATTCAGAGAAGAGAAAAGTCAGAAAGACCAGAATTGTTGTGGAGTTTTCGTGGAGGCTGTTCACATGTGCGGTGGATCTGTACTGGTGCAGAAAGAAACTATTTGGTAAGTGAGGCATTTTTAGTCTTATGGGAAGAATGAAATACTCGACTTTGTCCTCTTTCTTAAGTAATCACATGTCCAAGGTCTCTCACACTTGAAAGACACACAAGGCAGTTGGGAATACCCTTTCTACGCATCTGATAAATCTTTAAGGCCTTTCTTTTGCCAGAGGTGACATTTTTGGTTTTTCTTTTAAGTAAAAATATTATATGGGATATTTTCAACATTTTTAAGCTGCTACATAAGCTGAGCTCCTCTTCTGCTCTCATCCGTCCTTCAACGAAAGGTGGTATTTGCCTTTCCAGATGGCAATAGGATATGTGGTGGTTATCCTTTTCTGAAAGCAATTTTTATTCTTTGCCTTCTGGTTTTTCTTTCTACTGATCGGAGGCACATATAACTCCTGATAGGGTAGGTTACTGATTTTTGACCTCTATACTTCCAGTAAACATAGTCAGTTTAGCTAAACACGTTATAGAGGCAGGCACTGTTTGTGCAACCTTCAGAGGCTAGCTTTTGCTGTCCTGTTACCCTTATGGAATGGTAGAGGCCACCCTAGGACTTGACACTGGGACTTTCAGGTTGCTCTAGCTATGACTTTTCCCACCAGTTTTATTGAGACCATCGGGGTGTACCCACACTTGAATCTTTGTCTTTCTTTTGAGCCTCACAAGCTCAATACTCTAATGAGATTTTTCACAGTCCTATAATATCATTTCGTTATGGGCTCAAACAAATGTCGTATTTCCCAAACTGTATGTCCACATCCTTGGAGGCTTTGTTATGGCTAATGTGAAAGGTCAGTTTAATAAATGTTCAATTATCACAATAGTAAAAAAAAAATCCTCAAGTTAAACCCCTGGATAGGATTGCTACTATTAAACAAGCATTCATTTCCTCTGCTATCCAAAGCTTGTGGATCTCAGCCTCTCCTGATCTTGAAGACTTCTCATCATCCCTAAGGTTTGTGAATAATTGACATCTGAGCATCATTAATCCCACCAGTTCCATTGTTCTAGCTCCCCAGTAAGTGTAAAATGATCTCTTTGTTACTTACTGATATAAAAGCTGAGTGATTTTGCTGACTGACTTTTTCGAGTTTCACAAGATCCTGAGGAACTAAAGGTTGTCACAGATAACTTATATTTCCCAGGTTCCTTCAGTTCTGCAACAAATTCATGTGCTTCTTCATCCACCATCAAATATTCAGTAAAGTTCTCTAAATCATATATAAAAAAGAGAAGATACATGAATAGACACCTGGAAAGGCCCTGGGTATAGACAAGTCGATTAATGAAAAAAAATTAGGTGTTTTAAATGTTCCCTCCTTTTGTCAAGTTCAATTACACCTCTAAACTAAAGGTACCATTAAAGAATAATAAATAAGAGTTCAGTATTTTTACAGTCTTCCAAATAACAAAACTCAAATACGGCATTCAAATCAATAAAACTAGGGATGGGTCTACACTGTGTATCTTTATGTACTCCTACCCAACAAAATTATGTGTACAAAATAGAAGTAGATAATCAGGAAAAGTTAACAATTGTTGGCTTTCTCATCACGAGGTAAGGGCTAAAAAATAACCAGGATCAAATATCTTGTAAGTTCTTTGTGGTAGTATTAACCATCCAGAAGTGCTTTAACATTTATTTAAAATACATCTAATTTTTAAGGTATATTTTCTGATGTACCCCTGAACTTAAAGTAAAATTAAAAAAATAATAATCATGGTAATATTTTTCCTTTATCCATTTGCTTTCAGATCTTCTTAAAGAAAGAATTATTTCACATTGCTTCACAGTCCATCCATCCTCTGCTGCTTATTACTTCATTTGAAGTCATTATCATCAGTTGGTGACTACAACAGCCTTCAAAAGAAGACACTGAGTCAGATAAATGCATAATAGAACCTTCATGAGAAGAGGCAGTAAAAAATTTTTGTAATGACAAGATCCTATTTGCCGTAGGAACATATTTAGGAACAGAAAAATAAATGATAGATTAAGGAAACTTTAAAAAAAATAGGAAATTCCAGGAAAATGACTTTTGACTCAAATAATTAAGAATTTTCATTTTATGTAATATTTGGGTATGGTTGAATGCTGTATCATCTTGTATAGAAGAATCCACAGATTTTGTATCTCATGCTATTAAGTAAAATAGGAGTAAACAATATGTCAGTATATGAGACTACATGGGCCTTAAACTCTCACCCTAAAAATAAGGCTATCACTGTAACTTCAAATTTTTACAAATTATAACCTCTGCCACTCAAACTACTAGATCAGAAAATGGAAAATGAAGTATATTACTGTAAAAACTAAACAAACAACAAATAACCATAAAAATCTACCAAACAACAATTGAGATAGGTATCATGACCCAAACTTGTTGAAAGTCATGGCTCTACTTTCCTAAGTTAGTGGCTAAAATATAAAGAATGAACCTCAGATGCTGAGTTAGTCAATGCAAAATATAATATAGTAGCTATATGGAAATGTCAGCAGCTGTGTATTTTCCATTTTACTATCAGCTTCTCTTTGGAAAACTGTGGTGCTTTTTCTAGAGGGGCGCACCCTAAAGGGAACAAGAGCGGCTGGTTAGCAGGACACATGCCTCATATTCTTGAGGAA
Organism: Homo sapiens; assembly: GCF_000001405.40. Lineage (NCBI taxonomy): Eukaryota > Metazoa > Chordata > Mammalia > Primates > Hominidae > Homo > Homo sapiens. Next base: position 15,502,492 of record NC_000012.12, on the reverse strand, counting down.
GTAGTAATGTTTTCATAAGTATTACTTTGCTGCCATGTTTAAAAATTTGCATATGAGAAAACAGAAAATTTCTCTAGGTTATGTTGTAACATTCTGGGATAGTTAGATCTTTAATTCAAAATATTTCCAAATATGATGTTTTCCTCATTGTTCTGAGACATGAGAAATAGTGGGCAGTCAAATGTATACAGTTGGCAGTACTTACAACTTGTGAATCACCCAAACCTTCTGATTCTTATCCAGTCTATTCATTTGGGTTTTCTGCTCTCAGTCTGCATTGGATACTCAATTAAATTCTCCCCTTTCATTACCATTATTCTTTGACTAATAACTGTCTATGATCAGTCTTTCTAAACTCAAATTTAAAAACATTTCAATTCCCCTTCCTTTGTATCAGTTCTTATTTCCTCTGATTTCCTACTGCTTTACCTTCTCGTTCAATATGGATATGGAACCCATCAAAAGCAGTGGGTGGTTTGGGTGGTAACCAGGTCAATATCATTTGCACAGGGAAAAAGGAGAAAGAGCCTGATGTTGACTTCTCTGTCTCACTGAGTGTACTGTTATTTTCGTATTCCATGGGAAGTACGCTGACAAATTCATCTTCACTTTCAGGAGCTGCAGATGCACTGTCCCACCAATATGGCTGAGACGTAGTTTCATAGTCACTGCTATTAAAATCAGGCCAACCGGAAGAAATGTTGCCCGAGGGAATTTCAGGGGTTTCTTCTGTAAAATGGAAGAGTTTTTCTTTTCCTATTGTATCTTGTGATCTCATGAAGGATTCTTCTGGGAAATTGCCACTCTGTTCTTCCCAGTTGTTTTTGTTCAAGTTTACGATACGAACGGAAATATTTTGAGGTGGATAAGGGGCTGTAAGAGAGAGAATTTTCATTTTCAAGTATTTTTTAATTCAATTAGAGTGAATACTTAATCTCTTAATGAGTCAGGTACACAAGCAGATTTTTAAAAGTGGAATTTAATTTTACTTCTGATACACAGACAAATTTACATCAAGATAAGCTGTGTTTTTTTCCATATACATACTTCTAACATTTTGTGGATGATGTATACCTATCAACATACCACTAGTCACACTTCAAATATATTAACTTACAATATTATGCTTGTTGAAGTGGTAATTCAACCACTTCTAAAAGCAGAGTATATAAATATTTTTCAGTTTATCGTAATTCCACTTACAAAAAAATGTATCTCTGTTCCTGGATTTTTATTACAAAAAAACCAAAACAAAACAAGTATAGTGTACTTATAGCTATGAAGATGAAAATACTCCATGTGACATAGTTGCACCTACAAGAGTTGCATACATGTGTTGCCTTTAGAGATGTTAACACACATGTTAGAAATATAGCTTCACTCCTCACCTCCCTAAAATGAAACATATAAACTCAAAATGAGTTTACAAATTATGGAAGCACACTTTACTTACAGGGAGAAAATTATGAAGACGCACTGCGTAGTCTCTGCCTGTAACAGTTTCTACTTGTTCTTCAAATAGCAGTTCCATTATCACCTCTTCCATGAACTTTTTTGTTAATTTTTATTTTGAGACAGTATCTCTCTCTGTTGCCCAGGCTAGAGTGCAATGACGTGGTCTCGGCTCACTGCAACCTCCGCCTCCTGGGTTCAAGCAGTTCTCCTGCCTCAGTCTCCCGAGTAGCTGGGATTACAGGCACCAGCCACCATGCCCAGCTAATATTTGTATTCTTAGTAGAGATGGGGTTTCACCACGTTGGCTAGGCTGGTCTCAAACTCCTGACCTCAGGTGATCCACCTGCCTCGGCCTCCCAAAGTGCTGGGATTACAGGCATGAGCCACCGTGCTAGGCCCCATGAGCTTCTAATAAAAATTTATCTCTCCTTCCTTTGTGTTGTTAAATAACTTTGTACCTCTGTTATAATATTTATCTCATTCTGCCTTGTGTTAGTGCCATTCGTGTATTATGAGTACCAATTTTTGAGCACAAGGATCCTGTCTCATCAGTCTTTGTCTTCATGTCTCAGTACTGAGAACAACTTCCAGGTAGAAGGTGCTCAATTAATGTTTTTCTACTTACATTGAATAATGAAAAACATAAATAGAATCTTAACTGTTGACATTAGGTGAATTAGTGATTTAGCTGAAATAGTTTCCTGGTCTTAGACTAATGAATAAGAATCATGACATCTTAGAATTTCAAATTGTCAAGACCTTAGAAGTAATCTATCATAATCCCTTCCTGATGCTCATCAGAATGGCCTCTCCAGCATTCCTATTGAGTATTCAGGCATACTAGGCACATACGATTTTGCTTATATTGGTGATGGGTACTTAGTAGATATATGCTTATTTTATCCATTCATTATTCCATCCATCCATCCATCCATCCATCCATCCATCCATCCACCCATCCATCTATCCATCCATCCATGCAACTATCCATCCATCCTACAATAGTGCTTCATATTAGTGGTGCTACTAAAATCAAGCACCGCAAGTTTTAGATACATTTGAATTTCAATATTTTCCTTTAATAATCTGATAATCTGTACTAGAATGTCTTCACTCTGTTTTCTGCCATAGGGTCACTTGTCAGCAATAACTGATGTCTACTAGATCTGGGTAAGTCAGTTAATTATAACCTTTGGTAATAGTATAGTAGCTTTTTATTCAAAGATTAGAAATCTATGATTACATTGACATATTTTAGATTTTTCTTATTGAATATTTTGCCCAGTTCTTTTTATATTGATAGAAAATCTGTTTTAGGTTATTAAACATATATATTTTCTTTCTTTGCTCTGGATCAGAATATTTCTTAGGATAAAAAATAAATGTACAGCAAAATATAACTGAATTATTTTTTCACTGTATTTGATTCTTCAGGAGACTTACCAGTTCTGTGCTGTTTGGGTTCGTGACTGACACCACTGTACTCAACAAGGGTACTTTTATTAAAAGTTGCCTCAGATACCAGCTGAAAGGTGATATTACTATAACACATTCCTGGCAGCCAGTGATTAAATACTGTTTTTCCCTTAAAGAAATCTGTGAAGAGAAAATCAATTACATGAAAAATATGGTCTTCTAAACATCACACACTTCTGGAAAGTTTGAAACAATTATGGCTAAACATTCACAAAATAATATTTCCTTCAACTACTGTTATGGGCAGTAATAAAGAGTTAGTAGAAGGCTAGAGATGAAACGTTGAATGTCTAGACTCAATCCTGAAGGGCTTTTTCTGACAAAATTCCTAAGCAGATCAAACACAATTGGAGTTAACCTTTTTGTGATAGGAACTTTTGGGGTATGTATTAATTGAAGGAGATAATATAAAGAAATTGTAGAGGTTAAGTTTACACTGGCCATTTACTTTAAGATAAAAATCCAAGGTATTTTGCCACCTTATGACCTAAAAAAAGAGCAATTTTCCAAGAAAAGTTTTCATTTAGAAAAACTAGCCTAATTTAAAACTGGTTTATTTGCCAGTTTGCAGACAGAACCTGCCCAAAAAAAGAAATAATAAAAGTTTGGATTCCACTTAGAAAACTTTAAAGAGAATAACAATAAACTAAAAATCCAATCCAACTCAAAAGAAATGAGAGAACAAAACTAAAAGTACCACTTATTGAATTGAAATCTAAAAATAGTTTGAAAAAGTAATTGACTTAAGAATGGGATTATATTAATTATTTTAAAATTTATGATTGTTAACAAAAGTTTCAGTAATTGCTTTTTAATCATTCATAAATATATTTGCATGTGATCTATAAACAAATAACTTTCCATTTATTAATTTGCAGATTATGTTTTCATTGTAAATAAAGAACATAATACTTTGTGGAATTTGTGTTTCTTTGATTTTTTCAAAGTTTAAAAAAACCAAATTCACTGCATATATTTCATTCATTCATTCATTCATTCATTTTGAGATGGGGCCTTGCTCTGTTGCCCAGGCTGGAGTGCAGTCATGTGATTTAGGCTCACTGCAACCTCTGCCTCCTGGGTTCAAGGGATTCTCCTGCCTCAGCCTCCTGAGTATCTGGGACTACAGGCGCCCGCCACCACGCCCGGCTAGATTTTTTGTATGTTTTAGTAGAGACGGTGTTTCACCATGTTAGCCAGGCTGGTCTCAAACTCCTGAACGCAAGTGATCTGCCCACCTCGGCCTCCCAAAGTGCTGGGATTACAGGCGTGAGCCACCACTCCCAGCCCCACTGCATATATTTTAAATAGTGTCTCAGAAAAACTAAATCCATTGAAGAAATGAGTGTGTAAAAGCAGCAAGTGAAAATGACATTTTCCTGGATGTCATGCTCTGTGTGCTTCAATACTTTCTCTTTCCACCAATACATGTTTCCAGTTACAGTCAGCCAACTCTGATATCATTACCTACCTCCCACCCCCACCCGATGTGCCCTGAGCGTATTCAAGTTCCTTCACTAGGATTCACTCCCAAATGAAACTGAATGCCCTCTCTTCCCTCTCCCTCTAGCCCCTTCCACCCAGAGAAGTTGATTTTGTTCCTTTGAGTAATTTGAAATATTACTTCTCCTGGGCTCTTTTCTCTCCCTTCCCCTCAAGGTTCCCATCAAGCCAGTGAAAAAGCGAAACTAATTTTTGTATGTTAATGTATGCATTTAGCTGGTCATACAGCATTGCATTTGAGGATGTTGGATCATCTCCAAGTGAAACTTTGCAAAAGGCACCACTCTGACTTCCCAGTCCCAGAAATGCCCATCTATCATACCCAGAAAGAAACGGTTACTTGTGCTTCTAAACTTAAGTCTGAATTTATTTCCTGCACCAGGCATGCTGCCTTAGGGAAGAGTAACATGTAAGTGACAATAATGAGAGTATTTCTCATGCTGAACACATGACACACGACTCTCAAGTAATGAACCAGATGTTCTAGGCTTCCTCATAACACGATTTTCATAAATCAATAATTATTTTTAATGGCTCATTTATAGGTCAAATAGTGAATTATAAAACCTCTTTGCAGTAAGAGAGAACATCATTTGGGAAAAGCTTTGTAAAAAGTGAGGGTCATCATTGATTCAGCTTTCCTTTTGCTGCTTACCTTTATATAGCATTGTCCGGAAGTCTTTACCTTCCCAGTAGCTAATGTTCACTCTTGTGAAAACGTTATATTTTTCTGGATAATGTATTTCAAACAGGACTCCTGTTTCAGGAGAAGGTTTATAGTCATATATGGAAACACTGGTTACAGGTAGAGGTTCTACAGAAGTGAAGTAAATGGAGAAAGGGAAAAGAAAGAGGAGAGAGAAAGGCCGATATCAATACTTGAATTAAGCAAGGATTACACCTACCAGAAATTCACGCATAATTTTCACTGTCTGTGGGCACTAAACTCCTCAGTAACCATGAATTGAATGTTCTTAGCAGTAATTAATAAAGTACATTTTATATGGTGCTTTCTGCTTTTTGAAGAACTTTTACATTTATTTTTCCTTTTGCAACAGTCCTGAGATCTAGGAAGAGCAAATAAAATATCTCCATCCCACCTATAAATATAATGATGACTCACAGACTAAATTACTTGTCCAAGGTAATTTAACAAGTACATGACAGTCTGTATCTCCAGATTCCTAGTTTATTTTTCTTTTTCTCATGCAAAGGAAATTTGATATCAGTAACAGACCAGTAACAGAAAATAAATTTTGGCTCAGACCAATGATAGTTATATGATCATTTATTTCTTCCTGTGAACATAGCACTTATTTTTCCATATGAAGTATAAAATTTTAAACTGTCCAATGTTGTAAAACATATGTTTTGTGGTGTTTATCAAACCACTCTTTCTGTAGAAATTTAAAGAAAACATTTCTATTTTGCTTGAGTAGTTCATTCACTGGAAAACTTTAAAAATACTCATTTTTTAAAATCCATGATCGATATATGCCTGCCTCTCCTCCCCCTCCCACTCTCCTGCAAAATTCTTGTAAATAATGCATTTTGCACCTTTCTAAAGAAGCTATTAAACAGATTTTACCTGTATGAATTTTATTAAGAAGATATGTTAAATAATTTGGTTTGGGGTCACCTGTAATTCCAGCATTGTGGAAGGTCAAGGCGGGTGGATCACCTGAGGTCGGGAGTTTGAGACCAGCCTGACCAACATGGAGAAACCCTGTCTCTACTAAAAATAGAAAATTAGCCAGGTGTGGTGACACACGCCTGTAATCCCAGCTGCTGGGGAGGCTGAGGCAGGAGAATCACTTGAACCTGGGAGGCAGAGGTTGCCAAGAGCAGAGATCCCGCCATTGCACCCCAGCCTGGGCAACAAGAGTGAAATCTCAAAAAAAAAAAAAAAAAAAAAACAAAAAAAGAAAAGAAAAATGAACATAAGTAAAATTTAAAAGCTGTTGGAACCCCAAAAGACGTAACTGTGATCTGAGTCACATATAGTTATAACTTCTGTTCTCAAATTACAGATTAACTCACTTCATTTTTCTTGTTCTGTGCAGTGACTAGAGGGAATTAAATGATGTCAGGGACAAAAATCTCCTGCCTTCTTAATTAATGACCCATGTTGTAGATTAACTTCCCCCCTTTCTTGTCCTGCTTTGCTTAGGCTGGATGACAGAAAACCTATAAATAACTATTACACTCTGTGTAAAAAAATGTTAAATGTACCCTTCCCCAAAAGAAACACTGCTTATAATCAATGAAATTTCTGTAACCAGGTGCCATCCTTATATGAATAATTTTTTTGTAATCCTGATAAAATCTTCTCTGTTTCTGCCTATAGAAATGAGATCCCAATTTCACTACTTCAGAGCACTGACTGAATTCTTTTGGAGTTGGTGTTTCCAGGTGGTCCAGCCTCACACTTTGTGCTTGATAAAACTCTCTTTAAATGAGATTCTGACCCTTTTGACGATTTTAGGTTGACAGAAAAAAAAATTTTTGATTCACACTTTTAGAATTGAGAGAATTCTTGGACATCATCTATAGGCTGACCTAAAGAAATGTCCTTAGTTTAAACTTTACATTTAAAAAATTTCAATTTCAATAACATGAGAACTCCAAATTTGACTTAGTTCATTCAATAAATAACTATTGAGGATCTAGTATGTCTCAATCTGTAGCTGAATGTATTTTATTTTGTTGCTCAGGTTCTTAATCTATCTTTGTTTTTGACTTTAAGAAACCCAGAAATAATTGAAGCTACATGTTCATGCTTTGATTTTTCCTGGAGTTTTCTGAAAAACAGCATCTACAAAAAAGTTAGGAAGACCTTCAGACTCCAGTATATTTTATGATCATGTCACTGTAGACTATGTGCTATAGTCTGGTTAAAAGGTTTGAATTTTATCTTTGTCTCATCCCTAGTCTTCCTACATGAAGGTAACATTTCTGAATGAACTCACTAACTCACTTACGTACCATGTCAACCAATCAACCAACCCTTGAAAACTCTGTTTTGAGTTCAAAACTCCCAAAGAAGTTTTGAACTGCTTCAAGTTCTTTTTTTCAACCCAGCCTAATTTACTAACCCATGGAGTCTACCAGATCCAGCTATTGACTCTGACCCTAAGAGAACTAAAATGAAAGGAGACAGAAAAAGTAGCCACGGAGCAGTAACTCCTTCACTGCTGCAGTCCTGTTTCACATCCTCATCAGGGTTTCTTCTACTGAAAAGAGAAGTTAGAAGGGCACTCAATCTTTCATGCCCTGAGGCACGAAGTCTGCACATCAAAGCCACGGTCAAACTTTGAAATTCAAGACAGACAGGAGGATTAGAGAACAGATATTTTATTTTCCAATTTTTTTTCTGCAACAAGCTACTTAAACTTTAAACTAAGAGAATGTCTTAAAATGCTTGCTTGTATGTTTTTTTTATGTTTCCCTCAGCTTCAGTGTAAATGACCCAGGTCAGCAGTAAATCCTGTTGATGTCTAAGCATCACTGAGGAGTATTCAATTCAAGAATTACTGTTTTTAGAAGAACTCAAACGTATAGTCTAAAAATATTTTACTATCTCTCCAGTGACTTCTCTCATTGTCTTTCTTTTTAGAAATTAAGTGGTGTGGTATGAACTAGAGCTATAGTTACTAACAGGTATTTCAGTGATGACAAGGTTAAATCCTAATCTAAGCTGATAGTCCTTGCCCTGTCAGTCACTCCATTGTACTTCCCTTTTTTTCTTATGACCAGCCTGGACTGGACAGAGAAATGGAGTTGTTGGACAAGGTGAATCACTTAATATCTTTGTTCATTACTTTCTTGTCCACAGATGTTTTAATTTTTCAAATAAATAAAGTATTAGAAAATATATTTGAAATTCCCCCCTGTAACTTACCCAAACCCCATTCTTTTCCCACCATGACCAGAAGTAAATTATTACTCTGAATCTGGTATTTATCTTCTCATGCATGTTTTTTAAACTTATATATTTGTAAGCATCCAACATTGTTTCATGTTTTAAATTATTATGTAAATTATCATAACTATCCTGCAGCTTGTTTTTATTGCCTAACATTGTTTTAAGATTTATCACTCTTGATACAAGAACGTCTAAAAATTTTATTTTAGTGTCCGTTTTGCAACTATATAACCTACACAATATACCTGTTATTCTTTTAGTAGAGTAATTGCTTTTAATCATTCACTCTTACAAATAATGCTGCAATAAATGTTTGCGGCATGTCGCCTTAGGTTGAAAATCCTGAATAGAAGGGTCTACACATCATCTGTGTCAGATAGTCTAGCCTCAGAAAGTTTTCTAATTAGATTAGAAATAGATTAGGGCAATTTACATATCTATTAGCAGTGTATGATAGTTCCTCTTTCTCCATATCATTTTCCAACTTTCGCTGATATCAGTCTTTTTAATTTTTGCCACTCTGAGGTGTGTGAAATGTTATCTCTTTGTTTTAATTTCCTGCTCATGGAGATTAATGATTTTTTCTTATGTTTTTTGGTCAATCAGCTTTCCTTTTCTTAGAATTGTTAAATTCTTTTGCCTGTTTTGGGGTTCTTTTTCCATCTTCTCCTGCTAATTTGTAACACAATCTTTGTCATATACCATATTCCCATTGTCATTTTTTAAAATTGTGTCCTGGACTTTCCTCTAGATTCACCTTTTTTCTTGCTGAAATCTATCTATTAACAGTTCTTTAACTCAGAGCTATAGGTGTTAAGTTCTCTAGGGTTTGTATATTAGAAGATTTCTTTATTTTATCTTTATTCTTAATGTGGTTTATTCTTGATGTATCTGGGTATAAAATTCTAGGTAGACAGGTATTTTCCTCAGTACTTTGAAGATGTTGTTTTTTTGTTTTCTTTCACCAGTTATTGCAGAAGGGAAGACTTCTGTCAGTAGAATAGTCATTCCTTTGTAGATACTTCGCTTTTTTTCTCTTGTACCTTTCAAGCTTATTTATCTATTTTCATTCAGCCTTAGTAATCTGATGATATATAATAACAATAATATAGCATTATATATTTAGGCGTAGTTTTAGTTTTGAATTACTCTATTAGGTACTTAGTTGGAATGCTCTGTCAGTCTGTGAATTCATGTCATTTTTCAAGTCTTGGAAATTCTCATAATCATCTCTCCAAATATTGTGCCCACCATTCCCTCCTTCTTTTTCATGAATTCTTAAGCCTTCTTAGCTAGAGCCTCTCCCACTTCCATGCCTGTGAATTGCCTCACTGTGCTATATTATGAGGCAAATTGCATGGTATTATCTTCCAATTTACTAGCTCTTTATAACTTTTATCAGTATAGAATTTGTCCTATCTACTGAAGCTTTTCAATTAGTAAACTTTAAATTTAATCAATCAAATTAATTTTACCTAGTTTGATGCATTAAATTTTAAATTAATTTAAATAATTATGTTTTCATTTATAAAAATTTTAATTTATTCATGTTTATTCTATATGTTTTTATTTTATTTCTGCAAATTTTTTTTGAGATAGGGTCACATCATGTTGTCCAGCCTTGATTTGAACTCCTGGAATCAAGGGATCCTCCTGCCTCAGCCTCCTGATTAGGTGGAACTGTAGGCACAGCACTGCACTATTTCTGCCAATTTTTTTTCCCACTAATTCCCTGGTTTCAAAAACTGGAGGTGGTTCTTACATTTATGTCCTTGAACATTATAAACATAATTAAATTTTTGTTAAATTGCTATTTAAAATATAATCTGAACTGTTATCGTTGTTTTGATATCTATCTTTTTTAGCATAAGTTCTTCATGTGTTTTGAGACACAGGCTCTGGGCTCATTTGATGCTTTTTCATCTCCCCATTTCTCTCTTATTATGCCTTGCTTTTAAAAATAATTAAGCCATTGCATCCTCTCAGCCCACCAAAGCACCCAGTCTACAGCAAGACATATGACATTATTTTGCCATTCTTAATATTGTGGATGATATAGTGGTTATCACTATAGATTCATTCACTGAGTCAGAGAGTAACTAGCCTTGGACCTCGGTAGTAAGATGAATATGTGTCTCCTGCATCCTCAGGTCTTTATGTATGTTTTTGTTTGTTTGTTTGTTTGTTTGTTTGTCAAACAGGAAGAATCTTTGCTGTAAGCAGAGAGGCTGGCTCTGTGCCCTGTCTAGCGTGGAGCATTTCAGTCCTTCTGACTATATTGGGGCCCAGACTCAATAGTGTCTTTTCCAGACCCAGAGCACAGAGGGCCCATTACTTCAGCCCATTTCCCTGCTTTGAGTTTTTATCTTGTTTCTGGTTCTTAGAGAACTATTGTGGCTTTGTGTCTGGAAATGTGCTTCTGCTTTTCTTTTTGCTTTGTGGTAGGAGCAAAAAGTGGATGACAAGAAGAATGGACTGCATATTTTGACAAGAAATCCTAGCATAAGTTCCTAGTTTTTTCTTTAATAAAAAATGACATTTAGTGTGATCATTTTTTCCCTCATTAGGTGTCTCATATAATGAAAACTCATGTTCAAATTGAACAATATTTTATGCCCCTTAATTATCTTTGAATCATTCAAGAGAGATCATGAATAGGAAAGTTTTGAAAGTTCTGGATGTGACTATCTCGGAGAAGAGACAAGAAATACAAACAAATGTGGAGCACATATTGTTTAAAGAAAACAAAAGTAGCTATGTATTACTTATTAAATGCTAACTGCTGAGTTGCTTCTTTCTGAGATTGCTCTGTTTAGCTGGACTAAAGAATACAAACTAAAGAAGCAATTGTGTTCATGTTCAGTAACCTCTGATGTGACCAGCTGAAGAATGTGTCTCTTCTGGCACAGTTCTCTTGAGGGAGAGGATCTGGGATTAGACCCTCACTTCTGATGGCAGGCACAGGGAAAAGAGACTGGACTGAGGCCAGAGCTGCTGTTTGGTGCATAGATGATCATTTGAGACCTGACCTGGCATCTCAGCTACATCAAAGCAGGCCAGCGAGGTAGGTCTGGCAACACCAGCTGCCCACAGTCCAAGTGAGGTGGTGACCATCACATCCAGTACCTTAGTTCAAGTTCTCATCATTTCTTTCCTCGAACATTTCAACAACTTTCTAAATTATTCTCCCTGCCTCCATTCTCACCTTAATATTCTTATTCATTTCTGCTCAAAATTTCAATGTCTGTACGGTACTTGATATTCTCACTTTAGTCAGAATCTTTGTCCTAAACCAGTCACCTCCTTCTCACTGATATTTCCCTGCCCAATCTGTCTCAATCTCCTTCACTTCTGACACCTTGAGTAACTTTCTATTTAATGCCATTGATACTTCTTATCTTGATTGATCCTATACTGCATGCTTTGTTAAGGCGCTTACTTTATATTATTTTATAATGCCCCCACCAAGTAGGCACTCTAATTATCCCAATATTACATATTATAATGATACGACAGATCAAGTGAGCAAACTACAGTCCACAAGGCCAAATCTGCCCTGCCACCTGTTTTTGTTTGACTTTTGAGCTAAGAAAGGCTTTTACATTTTTAGATGTTGTGCCTAAACAAAAGAATAGTATTTCATGGCACGTGAAAATTGTATAAAAAAATAAAATTTTGGTGTCTATAAAGTTTAATTATAATATAGCCATTATCATTTGTTTATGTATTGTGTGTGGCTGCTGTTGTTTACAACGGCAGAGTTGTGTAGTTGCAATATAGTCTGTATGGCCCTCAAAGCATAACACACTTATTATCTAAGCCTTCATAGAAAAAGTTTGCTAACCCCTAGAATGAATTGTAGATTTGAAAACTAAGATTTAGAGAAAGTAATCATCTGCCTAAGGCTATACATATGATTGAACTACTACCCCAAATACTTGCTTGATAATTTTTCTATTCCAATGCAGGATTCAGGATCTCTTGGCTTGCAGCTTTGCTACAAGAGAGAGCTTTCTCCATTCAAATCCTATTATGTAATTTCTCCCTCATCACTTATAGGTTAAAGTCTAAATTCCTCTGCAAGGTACTTAAAGTTCTTCAACATTTCTAGCCACCTTTCTTGTTATTTTCTGGAACAGCTAACACTTGCCATCTTAACTTTCTGCAGTCATCAAGTGTGCCATGCTATGTATGCCTCCATTATTTGCATATACGATTCCATTTGACTCTGTAACACTTTCCTTTCTTCATTCTTGTGGCAAATTTTCCTTTATTTTTCAATGATTGTTTCTTCTGTGCTGCCTTCCCAGTGCTCCCTAGGAAGGCAAGGCAGTCTCTTTCACATAATTCTTTCACAGTGTCAGAGGCATTTGAACAGGGCAACCCCATCATGAATAGGGACTGGGTAAAATAAGGCTGAGACCTACTGGGGTGGACCTTGGTGATAAAACAGGCTTCAGTAAAGAAGCTGGCCAAACCCCACCAAAACCAAGATGGCTATGAGACTGACCTCTGGTTGTCCTCACTGGCTCACTATACACTAATTATAATACATTAGCATGCTAAGAGACACCCACCAGTGCCATGACAGTTTACAAATGCCATGGCAATGTCAGGAAGTTACTCTATATGGTCTAAAAGGGGCATAAACCCTCAGTTCCGGGAACTGTCCACCCTTTTTGGAAAACTCATGAATAATCCACCCCCTTGTTAAGGATGTAATCAATAGATAAACATAAAAATGGGCAACCAGCAGTCCTTGGGCTGCTCTGCTTATGGAGTAGCCATTCTTTCATTCCTTTACTTTCTTAATGAACTTGCTTTTGCTTTGCGGTGTGCACTCGCCCTGAATTCTTTCTTGCGTGAGATCCAAGCACCCTCTTGGGGGTCTGGATTGTGACCCCTTTCTGGTTACAATAGCAGTTATCATATTATTTGTAATGGTTTTTATTTGTCTCTTCCACTATAGTATAACATCTTTGATTATGAGTATTTTTATCTATCTTTATTTCTTTGGTACCTAGGACATGGCACAGAGAATGTACCTGATAACTAAAATAAAAATTCATGAATTATTTTTATTTAGAATAGGACTGTATAGAATATTATATTTGTAGAGTGTCTCTATGTGTATTCTTTAATGTGTACAGCCACTATCTGTAGAACTTCACTGACACATGACACAGCTGTGTGTATGTGACATTTCCTCAATTTCCAAGGAACTGATTCCAGGCATCCTTTTACGTGCTGAGAAACTACCCCTTCCCTCTGAAGGGCAGGCAATATACTGAAGGTTCTCAATCAATTAAATATTAATGACATGTCACAGCCTAAGGGTTGTGAAATTCTTTTGAACTGGCCAAATGACTCTGCTGTGCCAAATTTATTCTTTGCCATGTTTTTCAGCTTTCTCTAAGAGTGACAGACTCAGAACAACTATAGTGAAATATCAAAGGACTGCCCTGGGGCCAATTGCTTTGTCATTGCTTATTTCATCAAGACAAGCATCTAACACACAATAAATGACTGCTATAAAGGTACTCTTTTATTCTCAGGAGAAATATGTCAACTCTGTGAGCAGATACTACAAATGTTTTCCAAACTTGTTTAAAAAGCTTTCAGTTAGAAAAATAAAGATGGCAAAAACACATCATTAACTGACAGATAATGTTAGTTTCAGAGCTCAAAATTTATCTTAGTCATCATGTACTTCAATTCCCTCTTTTATGAAGGTGGAAGCTGAAACCCAAATGTCACCAAATGCCAGCTCATGCCTAATGTCACAGAAATATTTGTGCACTAATTCCCACTTCTGATATTCCCAACCTATTATTGCCCCTCAAATTTGGGATAATGTAATTGAACCTTTAAAAATGAGGTACAAGATAATATTTAATAGACCATCATGAATTAATTTTACTCTTTGGAAATCAATACGTGTTTTCTCTTCCCCTTAAGATGTAGAAAGCCCCAGGACAACATCACTTCTTCTCCACCTCAACAAGGAAAAGCCACATAATTCACGAAATCATAACTATTCTTGAGGTTACAGGAGAGGTGAGGTAGCAAGTGAACCAAGTGATGTGAATTCGAAGGAGTGACCAGCCCCTCTGGAGAGAGGCGACACACTATTTCACCTTTGGCAAAGCACAGCAGGAAGAGGATACAACATCGAAGCAGATAAGAAGAAAGCAGCTCCGAGTTTAATGGATTCATAAAGGCTGAGTATGGTCTAAATGGATGCAAAGAATTGCTCTGTCCAATATGGTAGCTATTAGCTACATAGAGCTATTTAAATCAAATTTTAAATGAACTAAAACTAATTAAAATTAAAAATTAGTGACTACTATGTTGGACAATATGGACATAGAACATTTCCATCATCCCAAAGTTCTAGGTCACCACTGGTCTAGACTAACTGGGAGACACAGACACAAACAGAGTCTACTGTCTCTCTCTAGCTTTCCCCTTGGGCCTCTACCCCATGCTCATGAGGACTACCAGAGGCAGGATAGGGGACTAGAGAGAGCCTCCCTCTGGGGGGCTGGGGATGGGGGTATGGGGGTGACAGGTGTGCAGATGATAATTGAAACCACTAAGAGGACAGCAAGAAAACTTACTTCCCTGGACCTTTCCTGAATACAAAGGAGAAGCCTTAATGTATTGTGGAGGGGCAGAAAAATCTTTCCTTTCTAGTTCTCAGGAAAATATCCCTTCTTTTGAAGGATGAATAGAAACAAAAGACGCCTGTTCCTGGGAGAGGAGCAGAAACTCTTTTGGGACCAGAGTCCTGCACTAATACAAAGTAGAGTATCAGTGGTTCTGCTACCACTGGAGAAGAGGCAGGAATCTCTCTGACCCATGGATTTAATGTAGAATTTCAGTGTCGGTGTAGTTTGAGGGGTAAAAATGTCAAGAATGTCCCATCTAACATCACAGGGTCTGCCTAAGCCTGAGGCTGGACCACGAGAACGAAGAACATCCTCTGTCCCCACCAAAAAGTTAGCAATGAGTGAAAAGCAACAGCAGTCTATTGCTGGGGG
Source organism: Homo sapiens (assembly GCF_000001405.40). Lineage (NCBI taxonomy): Eukaryota > Metazoa > Chordata > Mammalia > Primates > Hominidae > Homo > Homo sapiens. The sequence continues at coordinate 15,487,090 of NC_000012.12, read as the reverse complement.
AGCTCTTCTGTGGTGCCGGTGTTCAGGGCTTGCTGCATACTGAGGGTGAAACTGAAACACTGAGAAATACCCACTACCACTCCTGGCAGCCTATCATGGGAAGAACTGGAAATCTGTGATGAACGAAAGGTGTCTAATACCTTAAACCCAGCTCAACTATTGACTAGATCGACTCACTCCCTGTTCTACCTGACAGCCTAACAATATGGTAAATTCAAATTCAACCATAGAAATAATTGTATTATATTATAATAATAAATATTAATAATTACATATATATTGTCTAAACCTGCACTATTTAAATTGGTAGCAACTAGCTACATATGGCTATTGAGCGATTAAAATTAGGCTAGTGCAACTTTATTTCTATTTAAATTTATGTATGAAAGTAAAAAATGTGTAAATATGTATATTGATTATATGTTGAAATAATATTTTGAATATAATGGATTAAGTAAACCATGATATTAAAATTAATTTCACCTTTTTAAAAAGCATTTTAATGTGTCTACCAGAAAATCTACTATTACATATAAGGTTAACATTCTCTTTTTATTGGATAGTGCTGTCCTAAATACTCCAGTTAAAAGACAAAGATTTTTAGATTGGAAAAAAAAAGCAAGACTCAACTCTATGCTGTCTGCAGGAAACCCTTTTACACGTAAAGACAGAAGTAGGCTGAAAGCAAAAGGGTGGATTAGGTATGCCACACAAACACTTAAAAAAGAAAACTATGGCTATTTTAATATCAGGCAAAAGGGAAATTAACACAAGGCATATTGCTTGGAATATAGAGGGACATTACATATAGTCAAAAGGGTCAGTTTATCAAGAAGACATAGCAATCTTGAAAGCTTTTGCACCTAATAACAACAGAGCTTCAAAATATGTAAAGCATAAACCAAAATAAGTGAAAGGAGAAATAGACAAATTTACAGTTACAAGTGGAGACTTTCAGATTCCTCTATCAGTCATTATTAGAACAAATAGACAGAAAATCAGTAAGGACATAGAAGACTTGAACAATCAACGTGACCTGGTCGGTACTTATTGAAACTTCACCCTGGAAGTGCTCACAGAATACACAGCAAGAAAGACCATATTTGGACCCATAAAACAAATCTCAACAATTTTCAAGTAAAAGAAATCATATAAAATATGTTCTCTGATCACAACAACACTTCCTCAAGGAATCAGTGAAAAAAGATGTCTGCAAAATTTCCAAATTTTTGGATATTCAACACACTTGTAAGCCCTACAGGTCAAAGAAAAACATCACAAAGGAAAATAGAATATATTTTGAATGGAACTCATTGCAAATGCTAAGTGATATTCTAGAAATTTTTTAGCATTGCTTACCTATCAAATTTCTTCATGAACAGTTAGCTAAAGGGCTGAATCATTCAGCTGCAACTGATGAGGAATGGCTGAGTGCATGCTCATAAATGTTGGATCAGCGACCGTCATTACAGTCCTAAATCTATTTTTCTTTGTGCCTTAATTTTTCCCCCCGGGTCTCTCCTATTACTTGCTCAACTAAATTGTACTAATATTTATGGATCATCTATTAAGCAAGCATAAGGCTTGGGCTAGGTGTTTATGAAATTATGAAGATAAGTAAGACAGAGCTTTTGATATTAAGGAGTTTGTATTGTAGGCGTTATGTGCCTATATCTGCTGCCTAAATCTGACTTGCAATTCATCTTTTTCTAGAGCTTGTTTAAGACAGTATTTTACCAGGTAAGTTCTCCCTTTAATTCAACTAGTAGATCTGTTCATTATGTCTATAAACTTTGAAGGTCTTGGGTCTATGCCATTCCTAATTTTTAGGACTCACTACTGATCCTGGGATTGTGCCAATGGAGACTTTAATTAATTTTTGAGAGATGTGTTAAAAATATGTCCTCTAGCTTGGTTCTGAGTTTTTGCTTCTTGTAGTTTCTGCTTCCTTTTATCCCAACAGATAATATCACTGTCTTTCCACGTATTTATCACCAGAACAATCACACATAGATGGCATTTAACAAATTGCAGCTGTTGCAAAACTTACACTAAAGAACACAAGCAAAAGGGACTTTGCTGAGCCATTATATTGTGCTAGTGATAAACTCTACTGTCTTACAGATATCAGTTTTTCTTCCACATGTCAACATAGACAGTAGAGTCACATCTTAATTTGAGATTAGATATTAAAGTCAGTGAGTAAAGTGAAAAAAAATCACATGGAGTTAAAAGTATTCCTAAAAATTTCCCAATGTCAGCCTTAACTCTTTATGACATGGACTAATGAAGGTTAAAATGCCAGTAATTTTTTTTCTTGGCATTTTTTCTTAAGAAGTAGAAGGCAAAGCTATTTTGAAGATGAGGTGGGGAATAACAATTGATAAATAAATATATCTTTTTCTCTCTCTCAGCCAAAGACCTATACCTGAATTTGAGCAGGTTAAATAGGAGTATCAGTTCATTGTCCCCAAACTGAATTGCTTAATATGAGAATACATGCTCTGGAAAAAAATAAACAAGTTATGATGACATTATTAAGCAACATAGCAGAAAATTACATGGTCCAATCATGAATTTGAAATTGTTACTCAGTCTCAAAATATACTACATCATTGAGGTTTACTTTTTTGGGTTTAAAAATATTTTTGTTATCACAAGGTAAAGAGTAAACATCAAACTTCAGCTGTATTCTTAATATAGCTCATAACTTTGAATCTACGTCACTTGGCATTAAGGCAAGTGATTTTGCCATTCTGGGTGGAGTCTGTCAATTCGAGCCCTACGGGAAGAAACAGGGGAACAATAAGAAGAAACGGGACAATATTACACATGATGCTTACTTGTTAACACAGTGATTGATCTGGATGGCTTGGTCACCACATTTCCATTTACCACTACCAGAGTGATTATATAATAAAGGCCATGATAACTGGCCTTGAAAATAACAGGAGGAGGCAAAGTGCTGTTGAATTCCTCAAATTCGAAGAAATAATTTTTGGATTCACCAGTTATCTTCACAACATACACAGATGCTGGACTGATGACGTCTGAAGCTTCTAATGAGACAACGATGTTATTATCATCTTGGACAGTTACATGGAAAGCTGTAGCATTCTGTTGAATGAAACAGAATAAAAAGAGATGGAGGTTATATTCAGATAATTGGCAATAAAGTTATGCTAAGATAATTTTTACATATTGTTGTGTATCATAAACATTAGTTATGTTTATGGTAAGCCTTATTTCTTAAAATAGAGTTACATAGGTATTTTAGTTACACAAAGAAAATCAGAAAGAGATTATCCTTCTTAGGATTAATAATCTTCTCAGGGTTTTACTTTGAGGATTTTTTTCCACTGAAAATCTGCTTCCAGTTTGTGGACAGTGTCATGTAATAAACAAAATAAACATCCTGTGGAGGAGTAAATAATGAATGAGTCATTTTGACACTCAAGTTCTAGAGAAGTTCTTGGTTTCAACTGTGCTGGCAAAGTTACATGGTTTAAAGAAGTACTCTTTTTACTTTAGAGGGAGTGATGCTAGCAGAATATATCAAGGCAGTTATTTCGTCTATTTCCTCTCATCTGCTAGCTCTGAAAATTATAAAAAGGTCAGGATTGAGAAACTGGTGTTGATCCTTGTCATTAAAGATTAACCAGCATAATCTCTTAAAGATGAAGGAAGCTATGCTAGTGAGGAAGAGACCAGATGGAGGATCTGCTGGTGTCTAGGGGATCAGCGGTTGATGGACTTTTTAAAAACTTTGCTCCAAGTCTCCAAATATGTATTTATGGACAATACCTGAAAAGTCATCCATGGAATTGGTTTAAATATTCCTCCCTGATTCTGTCTCAGACTCCATAGGCAGAATTAATCTTTCTTTCTGGTCTCAAACAAGACTCATGTACTTTGTACCATGTGCTTGGGTTTAATTTATCTTCTAGGTATGTAGTGTCCCGGGTGAGTAAGTTATTCACTGCACTGAGCCTCAAATTTCTTTTCTATAATAGCAGGGTGGAAAAATTGCTGAAACTTGTTAAGAATCTACAGGGATCCAGGCACTATGCCAGGCGCTCCATATATAAAAACATCTCATTTAATGTTGAAAATAACCTCATGAGATACGTATCGTTACTTTTAATCTCACTTTGTAGCTGAGGAAACTGAGGCTCAGAAAGATTAAGTCACTTGCCCATGGTCACCAGTACAAAAAATCAGTCTCATTATTGTTCCACATGTTCATTTGTCTTCATCTCTTAACTTACTGTCCTAACACTGAGTCTGTCATATAACACATAACACATGACTGTTAAGTTTCTGTTACATCAGTGAAGGAATGGCTGATTAAATTGACGATATATGGGCATTTGCCTCTAACAAATTACTCAATTTATTGATTTTGGTTTTATTATTCTTATTTTTAATTGACACATAACAACTTTACATCTTTATGGGGTACCTGTGATATTTTGATACATATATACATTGTGTAATGAGCAAATCAGGGTGATTAACATATCAACCACATCAAACATTTATCATTTCTTTGTGTTGGGAACATTCAAAATCCACTCTTCTAGTTATTTGAAAATACACGATAAAGTGTCAATATAGTCCCCCTATAGTACTATAGAGCATTAGAACGTATTCCTCCTGGCTAGGTATACTTTTGCATCCCTTAACAAGCCTTTGGCTGTCCCCCTCTCTCTCCCTTCCTTGGCTCTAGTAACGACATCTGCTAGAGCAACTTGCAAGTTTTTTTTAGCATTGTGAGTAAAAACGTGGTATTTATCTTCTAGTGCTTGGGTTATTTCACTTGATATAATGTCCTTCAGGTTCATCTATGTGGTTGCAAATGACAGAATTACCTTTTTATTTTAAGGCTGAATGATATTCCACACACACACATATATATATATACACACACACACACACACACACACCATATTTTCTTTATCCATTCACCCTCTGCTGGACACTTAAGTTGATTCTGTATCTTGCCTCCTGTGAAGAGTACTGCAATAGACATGGGAGTGCAGAGAAATCGTCAACATACTGATTTCCTTTCCTTTGGATAGATACCCAGTCGTGGGATTGCTGGATCATATGGTAGTTCTATTTTTAGGTTTTTGAGGAACCTCCATACTGTTTTCCATAATGGCTGAACTAATTTACATTTCCACCAACAGTTTAACTTATTGATTTTTGTTTCTCACATATTTTCAGCAACCAAAGCACACAATACACATCACTACTCTCCAAGAGGTTTTATAGACTGAAAAATGTACTGACTTTTTCTTGTTATTTTATTTTTCAGAAATCCAGTTTTTACAGGCCCTAGTACTTATAAAGAATGTCTGGCATAAACAAATTTAATTCTGTCTTAACATTGAATAGACTAAATTGTGTTCCTAATATTCTTATCATACTAGACCATAAGTACTCTAAGGTCGGGAACTGCATGTTATTTCCAGCTGCACTTCCAGCTCTAGGATCAGTACCTGGCATATGCTAAGTGCTTTTCATGTGGTTGATCCTAGGCAGATTTCTGTAATATGAGATAGGCATTGAGAATGAACTTTTAAAACATCCCTTTATTGGACTATGTCATGTAATAAACAAAATAAACATCTTGTGAAGGAGTCAATTAATGAATGAAAGTCATTTTGACACTTAAGTTCTAGGGAAGTTCTTGGTTTCAGCTATGTGGTGAAATTACATGTTTTGAAAAAATACGAGGGAGTGAGGCTGTGGCCTCCTAGGAAAATTCTAGGAGAATGTATCAAGGCAGTTATTCCAGACACATGGGCAGGTTTCTAACATTGAGCAATGTACTTCTGGGATCAAACACAAAATATGAACCATGCTATATTGCCAGTGGTCCACGTGGAATTGTGAGGCTAGCATAAAGTTCATAAGAGCATTTCATTGTTTGGGCAAGAAGGATAAAACACAAGAAAACAGAAAAAGAACAGAAAAGGTATTTAATGTGCTGCCTATACATGGAGCTTAACAAATACTAGCTCCTTCCCTTATCCATTACTCTTTTCTTTCTTTTGAATTATGCTTCTGCAAGTTCTGCTTCAGTTATGGCCATGCAAGTTCCTCTCTGACTGTTTCTCCAGCAAATAACCATATACTCTGGACAAATTACCAAATAAACAACTGACTAAAGACTGAATCATGAACAAAGCAGAGAGATTTTGGAGGGCAGTTGACACTTGACAGAATTGGCACAGAATGAGTTATTTTTATGTCTATCTATCTATCTGTCTGTCTCTCTGTCTGTGTGTGTGTCTGTCCGTCCGTCCGTCCATCCATGCATCCATCCATCCATCCATCCATCCATCCATCCATCCATCCATCTTCTACATCAGCTTATAGCCAGAGGGCAGATGCTTCAGTCAGTGTGAGATAGCTGAAACTCTGACAAAATCTCAGTCTTTCTGGCCTGAGGCAAAAGATGAGAGAATCTTGGCAACCACTGCTAATGGAAAGTGAGTAGGTAATCCTGAAAAGGAGGGGGTCCTAAAGTCTGTCCAAACCTCAGGCTGATTCCTGAGCCATGCATGGGGAGGTCAGGCTGCAGGTAGCCCAGCCAAAGCTAAAAGAATTGTCCTAAGGTTCAAGCTGCCACCCACGAGAAAGCATGTGTAGGTTCCATCCAACCAAGTGAATTTCTTGCTAAGACAAAAATATTAGTTTAATCCTGAAACATAAATATTACAGCCTTTATAACATAATACTCACAATATTCAAGAAATAGTCCAAAATTAGTCAATATACAAATATCCAAGAAAATGTGACTAATTTTCAAGAGAAAATCCAGGTTTTGGATGTAGCCAAGTACTTTAAATCAGGTATTATTACTATACTTAATAAACTAAAAGTATGCTCATAATGAATGAAAGGGTAAAAATTCTCACCAGAGAAATAGAAACAACAAAACAAGTAATTCTAGAACTGAACATAGTTCTGTGTTATTCAAAGGCCTTTTTTAAAAAAAATCAAGAGAATCCTTGCAATATAGGCATATTTGGTTTCATCCTCAGTCATTTAGTCCTAGCCAATGTCCTAAAGAATGCAGCCCACACAACCGAAAGGAATTTAAAAATATCTAGGGCTCAAGTAGTGTGCCGCCTGCACACCAAGACTGAGGGAAGACCCCTTGGCTCATGGGTGCCTGGTCTTTCCGCACATTCAGCTACAGTGAACAGGACTGTGGTGATCCTCATACTCATCTGAAGAGGAGAACAGTGCAGGGCTAGGCTTCTGCATCAGGGTGAGACCAGCGCCAGATGTGCCCTACCTCCCTGCCTCCTGAAATCTTCCTCTCTGCTACTCAGTACTGATGGCATCACTCATCAAGACCAGTGTATTCTGCTACTGTCTTGTACCTGTGCTGGGGGAGAGAAATCTGCTCCTATCTGAGCAAGAACTTGGAGAACTTCCCTTCTAGGTTCCTTTTAGGAGAGCAAATGCTCTGACTTAGATGAAGAGATGAGATGGGCTTTGCCCCACCTACAACCTCCTCTCCCCTCCCTTCTCTTTGAAGAAAAGATCAAGAAACCTAGTGTCTCCAGTGGAGGTGAGGGAGGCTCTCTATGAAATAGTGGGGAGCAGAACACATAAAAGGAAAAAGTCATTGTTCACATGGGAGCAATTGAAACACAGGCTGCCGTCTGTCCAGCTGGCTGATTACAGATTAATGAAGGGCAGACCCCCTCCCCTGCTGGCTGAGGTGCTATCAATTCTCCCCTTCTTCCTCAGTTAACCCCAGAGCTTCCAATTCCATGTTGGGGTTTGAGTGCCCCTCTAGAGGAAGGGCTTGTTCTATAGTCAAATTGATTCCCAGGGGCTCTTTCTAAGGAAGCAAAAAGGGGCTGGGGATGATAGTATCTGACGGTTAAGGTAGCAACAGATGCCTTCTTCCCCTTCATAAACAATTTTTTATTCTTCATCCTCACCGTCTCAGGCTTTACATATGAAATCCCTAGAATAGAGGGGTTGGGGATCTTCTGTTCCTCCCTGGAGTCTTTCCGCACATTCAGTGCGGTGAAGGTGAAGGTGAAGAGTGAAGATGAGAAGAGTATGTATTTTAAAAAATTAAATTTAATGGCCGGGCCTGGTGGCTCACGCCTGTAATCCCACCACTTTGGGAGGCCGAGGCGGGCGGATCACGAGATCAGGAGATTGAGACCATCCTGGCTAACACAGTGAAACCCTGTCTCTACTAAAAATACAAAAAATTACCCGGGCGTGGTGGCGGGCACCTGTAGTCCCAGCTACTCGGGAAGCTGAGGCAGGAGAATGGGGTGAACCTGGGAGGTGGAGCTTGCAGTGAGCCGATATCGCGCCACTGCACTCCAGCCTGGGCGACAGAGAGAGACTCTGTCTCAAAGAAAAAAAAAATTAATTTAATAATAGGCTACTCTAACCTCCTTTTGCCTGTGGTTGTGACCTGTGCCTGTTGGCCCTTTTCTGCCAATAGGGTAAACAGAACTCTCTAACTGCTTCTTCTCCCTTCCCCATACCCAAATTAAACACACATGCGCAAAGGTTTGTAATCCTTAAAAAGAAAAATTGATCTTAGATTGTTACCTGTATAACATAAATTGGGATTAACACTAATGCACATTAAGACCTGACTAAGCCAGGCTCATTCATCTGTAGAATATTTTTAAAGAGAGTTGACATTTTTCAACCACAGCATTTCATAAGCTAGGATTTGAAGTTAATAGACTTCTATTAGTAATTGAAGCAATTGTCAGTATCCTTAATATGACTAGAAAGGTCTAGGTTGCTATCATAGATGCTTGATCTCTTTTCCCTTACTATACTTTCTGTTAAAACCTATTGGCTGGTGATCACAGACATTCTAGCCTCCTGCACCAAATCTAGAAGTATTGCATTGTTAATGGTTCATGGCCCTATGTGCAGTCTGCTCTTGTACCCATACCCTCCAACTTTGCTTTGTCAGTGTCCCAAGGGGGTGTCGAATCAATAGTGGGTGTGAAAAATGAATTGAGAATGTAGGGAACAATTTTCTTGGCCATCAGAAACACAGAGCAGCTGAGTCATGGTTGTCCCCTGCTTGGTGGAGCAGGGCAGTGCCAGCAGTCCAAGAGCAAGCCCTGGGCAATGTGCCAGGTGAGGAACATTTGTTGATGAGTGTATAGTGTGGTGGTGGGTCACAGCTGTGCAAGAGATACCCATGCACCCAGAGGTTCCAGGCCTCAAAGGTAGATGGGATGCCCTCTCATCCCTCTGATGGTGCCATGGAGGATATCAGCACAATGTGTGCTTATGATGGACAGACCCAAAGTGCAGCGGGAGCACTTGACTGTCTAGTGAAGTCATCAGCCCCTGTCCTGGTGGGCTGCTTTGCCCAAGGGTGCTCCTGTTCTTGCCACTTTGTCCCGACTCACGCTCTGAAGGCTAACTCCTGCTCCTCCTTAATGCCCCCATACCCTTGCTGCTACAGCTAACCCAGTGGGGTTGGATCCTGTCTTTACTAGGGGCACTAATTCTTCCTCTACCATCATCAGCTTACTTTAGTGTGGGGAATACAATGCATTTTTTTTTAATTATACTTTAAGTTTTAGGGTACATGTGCACATTGTGCAGGTTAGTTACATATGTATACATGTGCCATGCTGGTGCGCTGCGCCCACTAACTCATCATCTAGCATTAGGTATATCTCCCAATGCTATCCCTCCCCCCTCCCCCCTCCCCACCACAGTCCCCAGAGTGTGATATTCCCCTTCCTGTGTCCATGTGATCTCATTGTTCAATTCCCACCTATGTGTGAGAATATGCGGTGTTTGGTTTTTTGTTCTTGCGATAGTTTACTGAGAATGATGGTTTCCAATTTCATCCATGTCCCTACAAAGGACATGAACTCATCATTTTTTATGGCTGCATAGTATTCCATGGTGTATATGTGCCACATTTTCTTAATCCAGTCTATCATTGTTGGACATTTGGGTTGGTTCCAAGTCTTTGCTATTGTGAATAATGCTGCAATAAACATACGTGTGCATGTGTCTTTATAGCAGCATGATTTATAGTCCTTTGGGTATATACCCAGTAATGGGATGGCTGGGTCAAATGGTATTTCTAGTTCTAGATCCCTGAGGAATCGCCACACTGACTTCCACAATGGTTGAACTAGTTTACAGTCCCACCAACAGTGTAAAAGTGTTCCTATTTCTCCACATCCTCTCCAGCACCTGTTGTTTCCTGACTTTTTAATGATTGCCATTCTAACTGGTGTGAGATGATATCTCATAGTGCTTTTGATTTGCATTTCTCTGATGGCCAGTGATGATGAGCATTTTTTCATGTGTTTTTTGGCTGCATAAATGTCTTCTTTTGAGAACTGAGACCTAAAACCATAAAAACCCTAGAAGAAAACCTAGGCATTACCATTCAGGACATAGGCGTGGGCAAGGACTTCATGTCCAAAACACCAAAAGCAATGGCAACAAAAGCCAAAATTGACAAATGGGATCTAATTAAACTAAAGAGCTTCTGCACAGCAAAAGAAACTACCATCAGAGTGAACAGGCAACCTACAACATGGGAGAAAATTTTCGCAACCTACTCATCTGACAAAGGGCTAATATCCAGAATCTACAATGAACTCAAACAAATTTACAAGAAAAAAACAAACAACCCCATCAAAAAGTGGGCGAAGGACATGAACAATGCATTTTTTAAGGAAAGCAAAGAGCCCTCCCTCTAGCCTTCCTAAGCAAAACAAAGAGCCCTCCTTCATCTCACGGTGAATGCATTGCCGGGATCAAGCAGGGAACACAAGTAATATGTCGGTTGGCCTCAACATCTCCTGCCTCATCATCTTCCCTTCCTCTTAAGGAAAATTCATCAGCATTGAAATACTTCTTAAATTCTGGCACCACCACCACCACCACAGCAACAACAAATTAGACCCCAATCAACTAGAGCACCCGAGGTCTCCAGCAATACTTCTTAAACTTCTCATTTTTCCCCTATCATAGCGCCCTTCTCTCTTTAAACTTCTCTCTCTGCAAATTTTATCTTTTCTTCTCTTCTATCTTTTTGCTTTCCTTACAATCCTCTGTAGACAGACTTTACAAGAGGGGATCTGGAACAGCTGAGATGTCCTCATTGGATAGAGGAGACTTGGGTACGAGGAAAAGAAAGAGTAATCATACCCATGATAGAAGTTACTAATTGATATTCTCATCTAGTCGATACAAATTAAGAATCTACTAAGAACCACACAGCCTGCTAAGTACTGGGGATCCAAAACACAGTCCTGCCTCCAGAGCTGCAAGTTTGCTGGTGGTCAGTGGCTGTTTATTCATTAAATGCTTAGTGAATGGGGAATCCTGGTTATAAATATGCTTTCAAATTCACCGAGAGCTGATGGAAAATCCTTTTACTTTTAACCTATTGGAAAATTTGCCAAAGTGTGTTTCATTTTTCATGATACATTTTTTATACTAAACGTACTTTAGGACTTATTCGGAATCTCAGAATTTTTGTATCTCAAAGACCTAAAAATAATGATCCTTACTAATAAATCTTACTGTCCACAAATATAAATAGAAATCATATACATATTGTGCTTCATATCTGAAAGTTGCATTTTTAGGAGAAAATATTTATTTATATTTCCTTATTATTCACTTTTCACCTAGATAGTACTGTTTGGTGCATAATGGGAAAGTCTGTTAAGCAAAATGTAGACAAATCAGGCACTGAGTAACCAGTAGCATTGAAATCTGGCTTTTAGTTCTTGTTGATTATAGCAGATGATTCACTAACTCAGAAAACAATAAGTTCATAAGCATCAAATATGTAATTATGAAGAATTCTTTCTCTATGTTTTAGCAGCCAATAACAGAAGGTGGTTGTGATAATAAGAAGAAGAGTAAATAGACTCAATTTTGTAAAGTGTTTAAGAAATACATGTCTAATGTGTGTCGTGATGCTTCATAGGCAATAAAATCATCCAGAGAAAGGGACTAATCTTCCAAATGCTAACGACAGCTTTGGGGATGATTGTATCAGCCATGAAAATAAGCATTGGCCCATGCACTTCCAGGTTGCCAAAAATAAATCAGAGTGGGCTAATCAGATTCAGTTGGTGCGACTAATGAGAGGAAGACAGCAGGCCAAGTGCGATCTAGGCAGTGCGCCTAAAAGAAGTGTCATCTGTGCTCTTGCTTTCTACTCTGTCTTCTTTACCTTAGCTTTTCCTGGAATCTATGTTCAGGAGAAAATTCTGAGTGTACGCTGCAGGCATGTAATCCCTGCTGAGAAGTAGAGCAGGAAGGAACAGTTAAAAGTAATAGAAACTGATCTGATAAATGTAGGCAAGTCCAATGCTGATTTATTTGGTTAATGTAAAAAAATATGTAAAACTTTTTTTGAGATGAAGTAATAATATTGCTTGACTCTGCAGGAAAAATATTTTTACTGAGATTTCCTTTACATAACAAATTTAATGTAGTGATTTCTCTGGTCCAGCATTCTCATTTTACGCTTGAGAGAACAGCGGTACAAATGTCACACAGCAAATTGATGTCAGGACAAGGTCTAGGATCCATATATCCTTATGCCTCTTGGTACTTATCTTTCCATAACCAGTGGGGCCAGCTAACCGAGGCAGCAAAAGGGGTCTGGGCACTTGGCTTCAGCAAGAAGGGGAGCCCAGGAGCCTGTGACCTGTTCTGGAAGCAGTCTTCGGGGAGAGAAGCTACTGGAGACAGAGTGGGTGGCACTAAAGAGGAGAATAACACAGGACGAGTTCCTGGGCTGCGGGGCAAGGACAAAAACGGGTCAGAGATATGTTCTAGTCAGAATTGAAGGAAAGCTCCCACCATCACTGAAAATTTAGCACTATTGTCCATTAATGCCCTCATCTGGGCCAGGCTATGTGCTCATTTGTTTATATATGTTTTTTCTTTTACTCCTCACAGCAATCCTTAGAAACAAGAGTTATTATCTCCATTTTACCCAGACAGGTTAAATAACTTGCTTAAGAGCAAAGCAATAGCCTTGAGATCAGAAGTCCTGGGTTTCTCTTCCGCCTCTGTAGCCTTTTACCTGTGAGAACTAGGGGAAGTCCAAGCATCTCTTAACTTCATCTTCTTAATTTATAAAATAGGGCTAATTGCTAAAACTCATGGAATTTTTGTGAGCATAAAATGTCTTTCGTAAAAATGCTAACACTATGAACTCAATAAATACTAGTTGTATTTCAAAGGTTATTGTGTTATATTTTAGTTTTGAGTCACTTGATGCTTTTTTTTTTTTTTTTTTTTTTGAGATGGAGTCTCTCACTCTGTTGCCCAGGCTGGAGCACAGTGGCACCGTGTTGGCTCACTGCAACCTCTGTCTCCTGGGTTCAAGCAATTCTGCTGCCTCAGCCTCCCGAGTAGCTGGGATTACAGGTGCCCACCACAACGCCTGGCTAATTTTTGTACTTTTTAGTAGAGATGGGGTTTCACCATGTTGGCCAGGCTGGTCTCAAACTCCTGACCTCAGGTGGTCTGTGCGCCTCAGACTCTCAAAGTGCTGGGATTACAGGCATGAGCCACTCAATGTCTTTTAAATTATAGCGGTTTTATAAACATTTGTTTAACTAACTTCCAAACACTACAGAATTCGGTAATTACGTTCACCGGATGTTTTGTTCACAGGGCCCTGGAGAGCTATCCATTTGTTAATTCAATAACACACAAGCATGAGCTAAGTGGCAACCGGGCAACAGGCATCATGCTAGGTGTGAGCAGAGGCACATGAGTAAGATGGGTACTGGAACTCTAGGAGCTCACTCTGTAGTGAGAGGCAAACTCACAGACACAGTTAGGATCTGAAGTGTTATTAGTTATCGAATTTGAATGACAGTCCAGATGACACCTACTCTTCTGCCTGTCTGAAATTCTATCTGAGCTTGCACCTTCTTATGGGACACTGCTTCTTTCCCACTCTAAATCTAATGAGGGCCTGACAAGGGTTGCTGATCATGTTACCCTGTCACTGGGTCTGAGCAGGCACCTTGAAGCAGTCTAGGGGAATCATGGCACCTGGTCCCCTTCCTGTGATGCTCATGTGGACTAAGCCAGGCCATCCAGAGTGGTTCCTCTGAAGTTTTATAACTAGAATTCATGGGAAGGAGCTCTTGTTCCTTTCTGGCTTTCAGTATGTATGAATGCAGAGCTGAAGTGTTTGTAATTTCTGCCCCATGAAGATAGTTGCTAGTGGTAGACTCCCTGATTTGGTCTGAGGTCCTGGTCACACTCATCCAAAGGCTCAGCCACTGTGCAGTTTGGTGACACGAGTGAATAAAGCCCAACATATTCTTTAATTTGTTTGATCTAGACTTCCAAGATTTGCATCCAAATATCCTGGCCAATACAAGAGAACTGTTCAGTGCCACGGACATGTAGACAAGAAAGCCCTCAATTCTGCTCCTGCAGATGGGTGTGAGGGAAGGCTTCAGGGAGCAAGTGATGTATGAAAGATGCTCGTGAGTTTGCCAGGGGAATCTGGTTCAGAAAAGGCACTTGTTAAGCGGGAAGAGCATCCAGAGACCTCTAGAGTGTTTAGATCAACGGAGGATGATCAGAATAGAGTGCTGGTGACCCAAGACCAAGACACGCCTTGCTAAGGAGTTTGGATATTTTTTAGGCCAAAGGAAATCATGAACTCTTGTAATGCAGAAAAGTGATATGATTCCATTACAGTTTAGCAAGACTTATATAATTAGGAGTATGCAGAATAACAGGCTGACTGGGATGATGTAAGGCCAATAGGCAGTAAGGAGGGTGTTGCAATAGTTCAGGCAGGTAAGATGCTGAGTCAGAGCCAGTGTTGATTGCACCAAATCAGACTGTGTGACGTACATCCAGAGCATGGTCAGTGCTCCAGCTGGCAACCCAATAAATGATCAGACTTATTAAAATTCTGCTGTGCTCAGGTTACCACCTAGGAAGGAATAGGCTGCTCAGTTCTTTTAAATAGTAATATTAATGATGTTTGGTGCTTACATAGCACTTATGGCCATGATTCTCTGCAGACATTGCATAATGCATCCACTAAACATCCTGTCCAGCTACCAGGGTACCTTTTCCACCTGGGTATTCTTTCTTTTCAGTTTCTTCAGGAAAATCAGAGTCCCGGGGCTACACTCGCCAGGTTCCTTCTGACACCTGGCTAGAATTATTCACAACTCTCAGAAATTGTCAGAGCAGATTTTGGCTGTTGATCTCAAAGGCCAGAGATGGCCTCTCTCTAGTCTTCCATTATTTATGCAGCCATTCCTCAGATATATTTTGGGCAACAAGCATGCATCAGAAACTGAGCAGAACACTGGGGATACCCTCTATTTGGGAGCAAAGAGGAAGACAGGAGTTAGGAGCCTTTGCCCTTCCTAGAATTGTGTCTGACCAATAATAATAGCAATGATGATAATAAAGATGATGATGATGACATAACAAAGAGCATCTACTTACATCATACTTACTCTGTGCCAGAAACTTTCCTGAAGATCATATGGCAGGTTCTTAAATGCTTGTTGAATTAGAATATTTACAATGGGCTGTGGATTACTAGACTTTTTAATATGTATCCTAAATGTATCCTTTCAGATAGAGTATGCCAGTTCTCTACTCCTGTGGGATTTGGTGCCTGAGCCTATTGCATGCTCAGTCTTTCCTGTGTTAAATGATCAGATGCAGGCTGGAGTGCAGTGGCCGGATCTCGGCTTACTGCAATCTCCACTCCCCAGGCTCAAGTGATCCTCCCACCTCAGCCTCCCAAGTATCTGGGACCACAGGCATGCGACACCAAATCTGCTTATTTTTTTGTATTTTTTGTAGAGACAGGGTTTCACCATGTTGCCCATGCTGGTCTCAAACTCCTGGGCTCAAGCAATCTGCCCACCTCAGCTTCCCAATAGATACATTCTTTATGGTTTCAAAATGAAGAAAACTCATCTCTTTTGCCTGTTGTTTGGTAAAGGGACTCCCATCTCCCAATTACTGTCAGGCAGGTAATATACATGTGAGAGGCAGCCAGGTGTAAGAGGATACAAATGATGGAATGTTAGCAGACTGGAGGGTACATGCACTGTTTAAGAACATCATTAAAAAGCACAATTACAACAAAATAAACCCCTGCTAGCCAAAGAAAATACATTGGCAGGTCTGCCCCAGCCTGTAGGCTGCCAGGTTATAGCCCTTGAATTCCTTGCACTGCCATTTCCTTGACCATTACTCATCTTTTGTCCTTCAGTTTCTAGATCATACTCTATTTTCTTGGCCCAACCAGAGTGTAGGTGATAGCTAAAGTCTGTCACCAATTAAGCATTAATTTAAAATAAGTACAAATGATATTTTCTCATCAAGTTGCCATGTGTGCATGTGTAAAATGACAGTTCAATATATATAATAATGCAGCAATTATTTCCTGACTTCTAAAATGAACTCAGGCTGGAAGCTCTGCACAGCTCCTAATTTTGGAGATTAAACAAAACACACTTGAGGAAAGAATTCAACCTGCCAGTTTTAAGTGAAAAGAAATTGTTCTGCCAAAAAGAAGTGCCAAGATTTTATGTGATATGTAGGGTAATAATAATAGTCATATACCAAATTTTATATTTTAGAAAGCACTTTCAAATATATTTTCTCCTTTGATCCTCAGAACATTCCGTTAAGTTACTGTCTCAATTCACAGAAGAAGAAACTGAGGTTCAAAGAATTAAATGGATTTCTCAAGGCTACCCTATTATATTGTGGAGGAGCTAGTACTCAAGGCAATTCTTATAACTACAGATTTTGTGACTCTATTGTACTACAGTCCCCAGACTGTAAGATCCTGGAGCCAAGATGATTTCCCAAATGCTACCTTTCATATCTGTACTTAATTGGTGGCAAATTCCCTCAGCACAAACTGTGACTGACTTCTTCTAGAATATGCCTGATAAATCCTCAAAAAGTGTAGCATCATGAAAAAAACAGAAATTTTGGAGACACAGAGATCTGGGTTCAAATCCCACTTAAGTGACAGTCTCTCACTTTTATTCTTTGAACCTCAGTTATTTAAGGTAAATCATGGAAATACTAAAAGCTTATTATGACAGTTTTTTAGGGGGTAGGGACAAATGAAACCATACATGCAAATTTTCCATCCAAGGATCCGATATTTAGGAGATCCTCCAAAAACAGTAACTAATGTTTCTACAAAATTTGTGATCTGTTTTCTCATTGATTTTCTTTGAGACATACACATTTTAGAAGCTGTATTTTTTTTTTTTTTTTTTTGTCAGGACACTAACGCCATGATTCCTATTTAGTTCAACAGCTATTCTGACTTTCAGTCTATTTATTCAGTAATCAGTATTACTTCTCTTTGTGGCATCACGAACAAGAGCAGTCAGTATTTCTTTTTCTTGTTTTGTCTGCAAATGACAGCCTGAGCTCACCTGTTTTACAGCTCGCCTGTTTGATGGAAGGTTACCATGGGAACAGTTTTAGGGCCTACTGTGCTGAGAAGTTTAAAGACCTGGAAGCTGTGCTTGGCTGGTGTCTGACTGGGTAGGGGGTCGGCCCACAACCCAGGAACCCATAAAATACATTTGTTCTCAACAGTTCAGTGATCAGGCAAATTCCAAAACTATGCAACATTCTTCTGGCATAATTTGTTATGAAAAACAGGGGTTCCTAACAGGTTCATTCTGCCTCTGAAACAAGTTTTATTTTCATAAAATGAAGCACCCACAAATATCATTTTGCCTGACTTTATTATTTTCCATCCTTCTTTTCCATGCTTACTGGTATTTAGAGTTTGAAAATGGTTTTTCCCCAGCAAGTTGTGAAAATGTAGCTGTCCCACTTATTGAAAGATAATGTGAAAGATGGTGGTGCTAATCATTTATTTCGGAATGGATGAGTTCAGTCAAATTTCCCCACAGGCATGAAATGTCAATTCAGCTGTGACACCAGTTAATTAAATCCTGATGATAGCTAACAAGAGTGCAGCCTACTTACGAAGCTCACAGCATATTTAGGCAGTATATTGTGACCTTTTGTAAGCACTGCCCTTTAACTCCCCTTCTTGTTGGGTTGTTAATATCAGCAACAACAAAATTGTCAGAACTTTAAAGCAAATAGTTTAATAAGCCCTCCACCTTCACTAAGGTTTTCTGGGTCTTCTGAAAGACTGATCCCTATATAGGCAGAATAAATTAAAGCCCAGAAGTTAAGGGAGATTTAGGGCAATCCTTTACACAGATGCTTGACTCAATGTTTACTTCAGATAGTTTTTAACAATTGAGTGCCTGCTGTATGCTTCTTGCTGAGAATATGACAGTTAAGAAATCTGGTTTCTGTTCTAGTGGTGTTTTGAGTCTGTGGAGAGAGAGGAAATACATTATTTTAAATAACTAGATAATTGCAAGTG
This sequence comes from Homo sapiens, assembly GCF_000001405.40. Classification (NCBI taxonomy): domain Eukaryota; kingdom Metazoa; phylum Chordata; class Mammalia; order Primates; family Hominidae; genus Homo; species Homo sapiens. Next base: position 15,468,630 of record NC_000012.12, on the reverse strand, counting down.
GAAAAAGCATTGTTAAGAAATATTTGATGATCAAGGAGCTCCTAGCAGGTGGCTGCAGCCTAGAGTAAGTGCTAGTTAGGCAGAGACCTATGGGCTGGTAAGAGTTGACCTGATGATTAGTTGGAGAGAAAGAACAGGACCTAAGGACAGTGAATGTGAAGGCCTGGGTGCTGGAGAAAGCACAATGTGGATGAGAAACCAAAATAACATTTGAATGGCCAGTAGAGGTGGCATCATGGGAAACTTTGTAGACCCTTCTAAAAAAGTTAGAGGCTTTATGCTAAAGGCGATGGGAAGACACTTATGGGTTATTCAGCAGGGGTGTGGGATGATCTGATTTACCTTCTGTAATAGAAGCAAAAACTTTATGATGTTACTTGCTGGCTCCAGAATTCCTATTGGGGGTGGAAAGTTTTATTGGAAAAATACTTGGTAACTAACCACTTGGGATAGAAGGAAATACTGATGGGGTGAATTGAGGAACCTAGGCAAGCAAACAAAAACCAGACATCCAAACTGGGATTCAAATTACAACGGATTTGAATAAAGAATAAAGAATAAAGAAATCTGGAATAAAAAAAGGGTATAAGATGAGAGCCCCCAAGATGATATGATGCTGGGATGAAGAAGGGGCAATCTGCCAATGGAAACATCCAGATGGTGAGGAGGGCAGAGGACATTCAAGACTGGAAATATCTAATGCACCATTGGGGAGTTCACATTCTGAATAGCAAATAGTTCTCCGTCACCCTGAGTCCCAACGTTCACAAATGCTTTGTATGAGTGGATCATCCATGGAACTTGTAGAAAGGGCTGGGTTTCACCTGGAGGTGTTAGGGCACAGAAGCAGTATTTGTGGAAGTTGGCTCCTGAGGGAAGAAGAATTTATAAGAATGAATGTTTACACCAAATTAACAAAAACTCCAAGGGGGATTTGGATTTCCATCAAAGTGGAATAAGACTTTAAGCCAATCTTAAAACTCAAGGGGCAGGAAGGTCCCTCTGGTTAGAGTATGGCTAACTGGTTGGTGAGTATAGGCAGCAGTGGATATGACTGCATTAGTTAGGAGAGAAATGATGGCCACTAGGACTAGGGTGGTATTGGGGGGAATTTAGAAGGCATATCCCTTAGCACTGAGTGACTTAAGAATGGATTAGTTGTGGGCTGGTTACAGTGTTGATTTTGTACACACACACATACACACACACACACACACACACTCACCCCTACCTCACTACCATAAAAGCAGGAGAGCACATACTAGCAGGGAAGGAAGGAGGGTGACATATATCATTAGTTCAGTTTGATATATATAAAGTATGAGATGACTGTGGGCATCCAAGTGCAGATGCCAAGTAGGTGATGGGATACACGGATCCAGAATTCAGAAGAGAGGTTTGGACCTAATATTTGGAAGTGATTGACTCAGAGATGAAGCTATGAGAATCAAGGAAATAGCATAGTGTGCTATGCACCTAGAGCTTACTTTTATTGAGAGCCTACTTTGTGTTAAGTACTTTTTAGGCATTATTTCACTTAATCCTCTTAACAACTCCCTGAAGTAGATATTACTATTTGCACTTTTCAGATTAGCAGTCGAGCCTCTGAAAGATTAAGTAATACATCCAAGGCCACACAGCTTTAAGATGGTGGATATGAGCGTTAATCTCACATTCCTTTGATCCCAAAGCCTATGTATTAACATAGATTCTACACTCCCTGCATTTCAGGTTTGTGCCACGGATGATTCCTTATTCTTTTTCAATCATGAAATATGAATTATCACTTTAAGATCAGTCGTTTTTATTACATGAGGAGTTACAGGGCAGTTGGCTGTAGTGGAAACAGTAGTGATTTAAAGACAAATAGGGCTGAATATGAACGTTGGTTGCATCGTATACAGACAGAATTTCTCTCAGCCTTAGGTTCTTCATCTATAAAATGGGAGAAGGACACCAACATCACAAGGTTGTTGTGAGATTAAGAGGAAAAATGTAATTAAGGTGCTTGCCATAGTTTAGATGTTACACACACTATGTGCTTAATTTTGATGGTCTAAAAAGGTGGAAATTACATTTAATGCATATTACTAGGAAAGTTCCCATTATAGGCATTGCAAAACTTTCTGAATAACATAAGAAATCCAACAGGCAAAAAACAAATTTAAAATTTCCCTTGCATAGGAAACCTCAACATCATGCTAAAAATCTAAAATAACCATCATACAATTTTTCAATGTGCATTTTTTCAGAAACCATGGTAACTCAGATTTGCCGTTACTTGAACTAGTGACAAACATAACTGAATCAGAATGATTACTTCTTGCGCTATTAAAATAGTCTCTGACATATTCTCAATCTTTTCTATTTTTATCTTCTTCAAAATACTAGATTATGAAGCATAACAGGATTATAGTGGAACAGGATTTTGTTAAAACAATAGAATTATGAAAACAACAGGATTATGTAGAGTAATGAACAAAAAGATTTTGATTAAAAAAATCAGCTTGTTAGATTGTTGTACACAGGCAAATTATATAGCCTGAGACTCAGTTCTCTCATCTGAAAAATGGGGTTAATACTTCTTTCAACCATACTTTTGTGATGATCATATTGGATAATATTTATAAACCACCTAACATAGCTGGGTGCATTCTAAGTATCCAATAAATAGCCAGCTCTGATCATGTGTGTATTCAGCATTTTAAAACTTGGGGGAAAAAAAACCATGGGGTTTCTTATTCATTACCAAATAAAAACTGAATTACTTAGCTTAGCACTCAAAACCTTCCACAATTAGTCCCCTATTTACCATCCATCTTATCTGACACTACTTCTCTGTCACAACCTCCATGAACCCCATTAAATAGCCAAACTCCCCAGTCTCCATATGCCCCGGCTGCTTCCCTGTCTATGTCCTATTTATGCATTCCTTCTTGTTGAAATATCCTGTCCCTGCTTCAAATATCTGACACTATTCAAGTGCCACTTTCTGTGAGAAGCCTTTAGGATACCCCAGAAAGAATCGATTTCTTTCTTCCTGTAAACTCACAACCTTCTGTCTGAATCTTAGGACACATGGCTGTGTACCTGGAAACATACAACTCTACTAATTGGCAGATTGTTCTTAGAGTAAGACGTAGAAGTAATTTTAAATGTCTCTTCTCCTTTACTAAAATTCTTCTGTCCCCAAGTTAGGTATTTATAACATCTTCTTAAACCAATATATAAAGAAGAAATATGTTCAGGTTATTCACATAAAACAGAATATAGCTAGAACATTTTGCACGTTCATCTTCATTTCACAATGTTAACTTCAAATTGTCACCATTTCTAACTTTCCAATGCATGAGTAATATGTTCAGCCAGCACTGATGCTATTTTGAATTACAAGAAGGCTGGAACAACAATATGATATTTATGTTTTATAAATGAAGCTCAAAAATATCTTTGTCTTTGAGAACAGCTGTAAAAAGACAGTATTCAACTTATTGCACCAAGTGAAAGGATTCCATTCTTTGGAAGGATGGGCATTTATATAAATCATGCTGTGCTATTTGGTGTTAAGGAAACATTATTACTTTTACTTGACATATTGAACTTGTTAATTGGCATGTCATCATTAAATATTTTCTTATTGCTTGCTACCATATGTATTTCAAAAAGTGAAAAATAGAAATTTAGCATCATTAAAATAATTTTTAAAAATGATTTTTATTATTAGAAAATTTTAATGGTACAAGTTCTAATGACAATGTTGAAAATTTTCATAGAATTCTTTACAGAAATGTTTAAGTCTCTTTTCACACATTTGCCTATTATTTGAAAGCCTCTGTTCATAAGATGGCTGTTATTGGTGGTCTGAAACAAGTATATCATGCTAATTTACAATAATCCACACAGGTTACAACAAACAAAATATCTCTATTTACAAAGGTTTTATTCAATTTATAATAAAGACTAAATAAAGTCAGCTGGGCACGGTGGCTCATACCTGTAATCCCAGCACTTTGGGAGGCCAAGGTGGGCAGATCACTTGAGGTCAGGAGACCTGCCTGGCCAAGATGGTGAAACCCCCCTCTATTAAAAATACAAAAAAAAAAACAAAATTAGCTGGGCGTGGTGGCATGTGCCTGTAATCCCAGCTACTTAGGAGGCTGAGGCAGGAGAATCCCTTGAACCCAGGAGGTGGAGCTTGCAGTGAGCCGAGATTGTGTCACTGCACACCAGCCTGGGTGACAGAGTGAGACTCAGTCTCCAAAAAAAAACCCAAAACAAAACAAAAAAACTGAATAAAGTCATAGCACGCAGCATTTTCACCAGTGGCTGTGTGTTAGATCCACATGATTTGAAAAAACCAATGTTAATGTGCTTGAAGTTCTGAAACATGCCTTTCTTGTAGTCCATGTTAATTTTCCATTTGTTAACTACTTTATTTCTATTTCCTCCTCCCTGCATAAGATTCCCCTTCTCTCTTCTGCTGTGCCTCTTTTTTCTCACTTCTTCCTCTCTTTGCATTGTTTCTTACCATCTCCTTTGTGCTATGTTTAGTTAGTTCTGTATATAAAATTTCTGGGAGATTTTAGCCATTGAAGTACAGAAAATGAGACCTCACCTATCATCTATCACAGTATACAGCATAGTACTTTACTGTTTGGAACTTGAGAAATATCTGTAAAATTAAATTTATCTATCCATCCACATAACCAGCCTACATGTTTTGAGCCTTTAACCACATATTCTCACTGTGGCTGTCCAGCCTACCCCTCCTGTGTCAGAGTATTTATTTTTATTATTATAGTTCAGTTTCTGGGTTATTAAGGTAAAACCATATTATTGTATTATAGAAATGAAAGAATACCTGGACAAACAAAGAGAGCTAGTAGGAAGAGAAGCATGAAAGTAAAAAGGGAGGAAGGAGGAATCAGATGGAGAGAAAGAATATCAACAAAGAATAGCTAGGAGACAATGAAGAAAGCTTGTAAATTGGGAATAAGAGTAATATTGAATGATATAATGGTGATAGAATAAGACTGATATTTTGCATCTTTTCTGGTTATAACTCCTACCTGTATAATTATTTAATGCCTGACAAAGAAGGAAACTAATATAAATATCTCAATTGTTTCCTTATCCACCATCCATCTTCATTTTTTCTTCTATGACTATGTTATAATTTGTTTCTGATTTGCAGAGAATGCATTCTTAAAAAAATCATAGATAAAACTTTAATAAATCATATGTTGCTATGGGAACTAATAGAGCTTTAATCTTCTCCCTTTCCATGCAGTGGCTGTTCATTCACCGGGCTAAGATGGTGCCACAGAGATTCAAATATTGGATGGGAGATTGGAGTTTAGGATCTATTGATTCATAACTTTGAAGAGTTATGAATTAATAAAAGCTGAACCTTTGAGTAATTTCTAAGAATATTAAGAGATACATGCCAGATTTCCTTTTAGGTCATAAGTATCCAGGATTTATTTTCTTTACAATGACAATTTCTCTCAAGCCTTTCCCATTAAGTTAAGCTTTGAGAAAACAAATCACACACCATTTGCAGAAGAATTTAATAATAATTCAATGCATTATTTTGCAAATATATTGGTGCATAATTTATAATAATATGATGAGTTATATATATAGTATATAACAATATGATTCTTTGTTTCATTGGAATAAGAAATACTATTAACCTGATGCATTTGTTTAATTGATTAATGCATCTACATTTTTAAGTATTCCATTTAGCTTCAAAGTAAGAAAGAAATTTTTAGTTATCAGGTAATTATAATTAAGCCCATACTGACTGCTGTAATTAAAGAGAGAAAAGAATAATAACAATTGTAATAGCTAGCATACATTAAGTGAATAATATATGCCAGGAATTTCTCTACATGTCTTGAGTGAATTATGCCTATTCCTTAAAGCAATATTTAGAGCTTATTATTATTTAATCAACAATGGAAGTAGAAGACAAGAATTCATATAGGCAATTCAAGCAATTATTTTTAGTGCTTACTTGGTATTATCTACAAGAACATGATTGTGAGCACGGAACACTGGTCTCAGCCCTCACAGAGATAAGTTACAAATAAGCAATAACAGTAAGAAGCAACAAATATTATGACTAAAAGCACAGAGCACCATGGCAGCAAGAGTATTTTACCAGTGACGGTGAAGATGACACTTAAAAGATGAGCAAGGGCAGGTGTGGTGGCTCACACCTACAATCCCAGCACTTTGGGAGGCCGAGGCGGGTGGGTCACTTGAGGTCAGGAGTTTGAGACCAGCCTGGCCAACGTGGTGAAACCCGGTCTCTACTGAAAAAATACAAAATTAGTCGGGCATGGTGAAGCATGCCTGTAATTCCAGCTACTTGGGACACTGAGGCAGGAGAACCACTTGAACCCAGGAGGTGGAGGTTGCAGTGAGCCAAGATTGCACCATTGCATTCCAGCCTGGGCAACAAGGGTGAAATGCCGTCTCAAAAGAAAAAAGATGAGCAACATTAAGCTAAGTAAAGAGGCTGGTGTGTGTGGTATATTTCAGGCAAGAGGGGATGGAAAGTAGCAGTGTGGTTAGGGACAGAAGATGAGCATAGCACCTTCAAGCAACAGAAACAGCCTTGGGGCTGTTAAAGTGTTCCAGGCATGAGATGAACATGGTCAGCTTTTCTTTTGGGAACAAAGGAATACTAGTTGAACTGAGGAAGCAGGAAACCAAGAAAGCAGGAATCAGGAGACTAGTTAAAATGCTGTAGCAGGCCAGGCATGGTTGCTCACGCCTGTAAACCCAGCACTTTGGGAGGCTGAGGCGGGCGGATCACGAGGTCAGGAGGTCGAGACCATCATGGCCAACACGGTGAAACCCCATCTCTGCTAAAAATACAAAAATTAGCCAGATGTGGTGGCGCACACCTGTAGTCTCAGCTACTCAGGAGGCTGAGGCAGGAGAATTGCTTGAACCCAGGAGGCGGAGGTTGCAGTGAGCCGAGATTGCACCACTGTACTCCAGCCTGGCGACAGAGCGAGATTCTGTCAAAAAAAAAAAAAAAAAAAAAAGCTATAGCAATAAATGAAGGACTTGGACTAGGAAATAGCAGTGGGGGAGGAGATGAAGATGTTGACAAAAAGAGTCACACTCTGTAAAATATTCAAAGAGATTTATTCTGAGCCAAATGAGTGACCATGGCCTGTGACGCAGCCCTTGGCAGACACTGAGCACATATGTCCAAGGTGGTTGTGGTTCACCTTGGTTTATACATTTTAGGGAGACATGAGGCTTCAATCAAATACATTTAAGAAATACATTGGTTTGGTCCAAAATGGCAGGGCAACTTGGAGCTTGTGCTTCCAGCTTACAGGTAGATTTGAAAATTTTCTGCTTGACAATTGGTTGAGTTTATGTAAAGATCTGGGATCAATAGAAAGAAATGTCTGGGTTAAGATAAAGAATTGTGGAGACCAAAGTTCTTATTTGCAGAGGAAACCTTCAGTTAGTAGGCTTCAGAGAGAATGGGCTGTAAAATGTTTCTTATCAGGCTTAAAGTCTGTATTCATATTAATGCCAGAGAGGTAGAGTGAGGCATGTCTGACCTCCAGCTTCCTGTCATGACAAGAACTGGTGTCTCAAGTTAAAATTTAAGAGTGCCCTGGATGAAGAGGAAGTCCATTTAGATGGTTGGGGCCTGAGAATTTTATTTTTGGTTTACAAGGGGAACAAGGAGAGATCTATTAAAGAAAAATTAGCAAATGTTCTGCGTGGGAAAAGACCTTGGAGCACAGGTTATGCCAACTTCTTAATATACATGAGGAAACCCAAGACCCAGAAAAGGAAAGAGTCCTGTCCAAGAATATCTTGATGGTTCAAGGAAAATTCTTACTTAAACGTAGGTCTTATTGAACCCAGTCCAGTGATATTTCCATTACAATGTTTCAACTTCAAAAACTTACCAAATCAACTTATTTTTCTCTTTTTTTCCCATAAAGAATATAGCTTACCTAGGTTGGCTCTGTGGGCATGCTGTAGAGCTACAGGGCAAATTGGGCATTTAGATGAATTGCTGGACTTGTAAAGCTATTGTTGTAAATAAGTGATTGTTTTCTAACAGGCAATGAAGACTCTCTTCATTATTTATTATTTTAAAATAAGGGAACATAGAAAAATAAGAAATTGAGGGCTTTCTTGACTGCATTTAGTCACAAACATACTAGAAAATTATTACATCATGAGAAAAGCATCAAAATGTATATTGTGCTTTAGAGTAGGGCTTTTTCAAACAAAAAGGCATATGAAATCAGGAGGTCTGGGATACGGCCTGCAATTCCACATTTCTAATAAGCTTCTATGTGGTGCTAATGCTGCTGATCCACAAGACACATGCTGGTAGCAAGGCCTTAGTTTTCAAAAGTTTTATTTCATAGTTTGCAGGCATAAATAGTTCCACCAGCAAGATCCTGAGCCATCTAGGGTAAGCCTAGCCTTAACAAGTCATTCTTGTTTATTGACTCAAAAATATTGAGAAGTATTTTCAGCATGAAAATAGGTGAATGAATGGAAAAGGTAATTTGCTGTCCATCCAATGTGAAGCCTTCTTAGCAAGATAGTGGTTTCCACTACTACAGCAACACACACATGAGGCTCAGAGGCTTTAAATAAACCCAAGGAACATAAACCATGTGCTACACATTGACACATCTCCTTGACACCCTGGGTAGAGGAGCACTACACTCTGCTTTGGGTACCTGAGTTCAAATCCTCTTACCAGCTTTGTGATTAAAAATTTTGAGCCTACATTTTTACTAAATCTTATACTTTACGATTTAGTTTTTGTCAACTTGGTGTTCAGAATTTTAAGAAAAGTAAATGAGATAGTGTGCATGAAAATTCTCTGTTACATAGAAGGCATTCAAGAATTAGAGGACAGTAACATCAGCAAGATGGCAGAATAGGAAGACTTGGATCTTCGTTCCCATCATAAACCCAGTGATTCAACAACCAATACACAGGTCAACTCCTTTTGCAATAAATTCAGAAGCCAGTTTAGAAGCTCTTGGATCTGAAGTGAACAAAAAACCAACCACACTGAAGCTGATAGGAAACTTTGAGACATCCTCTAACCATAATCCCCACCCTCAGTGTATTGCTATATGCTTGGGAGGAAACCCCCAGTTCCCAGCTTCTCTCCGGAGAGGGAAGGAAAGAACTACATTATGTGTTCAACATTCTGATTTTCCTGGGGGTTGCCCAAGGATCTGACTTCTGTCTCACCTGTCTCAGAGTGCAAATGAGACTCAGCAATTTTCCAGACACCTGGAGCTACTAAAAATAAAGATGGCTGTTTGAACTAGCATGCCGGCCCCCATCACAGACCTGGGAGGGTCTTGCTCAGCACAGAGCAAGTGGGAGAAAAACGACAGATCTCATCTACTTCCTGAGGAAGAAAAGAGTTGGATCACATATTTAACGTTTCAATTTTTCCAGGGATTGCCTGAGGAACTGGCTTCTGTCTCACTTGTCTTAGAATGCAGATGAGTCCCAGCATATTCTAGACATCTGGGAGCTACTAAGAACATAGCTGATGGTTTTGCCTAGCATACAGATTTGAGAAGCCCCCAGAATCTCTGGTCAGGCTGATAGGTGAAGGTCTTCTTTTGTTTGAGGCCAGTCCATGAAGGCTGGAAGAGGTAGCTGTTTTGTATAACATCCAGATATACTAAAATGAAGAACCAAGGGAAAAACAACCAGGTAAATATGTCCAAAACAAAGTACAAGATTAATCTCCAGAAATCAAACTTAATGCAATGGAGATATATTATGTCTCTGATGGAAAATTCAAAATAACCATCAGAAAGATGCTCAATGAGGTCAATAGAACATGCATGAACAAAGTGAGAATTTCAACAAAGAAATAGAAAACATTAAAAAAGACTACCAAGAAACCAGCTCAGAAATCAATGAGCTGAAGAATACAATAACTAAAAAAATTCACTAGAGGGATTCAACAGCAGACTAGATCAAGCAGAAGAAAGGATCAGCAAACTTGGAGACACAACATTAGAAATTATTCAGTTAGAGGAACAAAAAGAAAAAAATGAAAAAGAGTGATAAAAGCTCACTTAAGGGACTTATAGGGCACCATCAAGTGGCCTATATATGCATTATGGGAATTTCACAAGAAGAGAGACAGAAGTGGAAAGAAAGCTTATTCAAAGAAATAATGGTTGGAAATTACCCAAATCTGGAGGAAAAAAGGAAGCCTAAGAGCTCCAAATAAGATAAATCCAAAGACATCCACACTGAGATGCATTATAATCAAATTGTCAAAAACCAAAGATAAATAGAATTTTGAAAGCAACAAGAAAAAAATGACTTATCACATACAGGGAATCTGCATAAGGCTGTCAGCAGATTTCTCAGCAGAAACCTTGCATGTCACTAGAGAGCAGGATGATATATTAAAAGTGCTGAAAGAAAAAAAATCTGTCAACTAAGAACACTATATATGGCCAACACCATCATTCAAAAATGAAGGAGAGATAATGACTTTCCCAAAGAAACACAAGCTGAGGAAATTCACCACTACCGGAACTGCTTTACAAGAAATGCTTAAGGGAGTTCTTTAAGTTGAAACAAAATGATGTGAAATGACAGAACAAAAGGAAAGGGAAGTACAAAAATTTCTGGTGAAGATAAATATATAGACAAAACAGAACACTGTAATACTGTAATGGTGCTGTGTAAATTACTTTTACTTTCAGGATAAAAGTTAAAAGCCAGAAAAGTACTGACATAACCACACCTATAAAAATATTTTAAAAGATACATAATATAAAAACATGTGAATTGTGACATCAATAATATAACAAAGTATGTGGGGGCAGGGATTTTTGTATGTGATTGAAAATAAGTTGTTATCAGCTTAAAATAGATAACATAATAAAAGTTGTGTTATGTAAACCTTTGGTAACCACAAAGATAATACCTACATAAAATATCAATATAAAATTTCAATATAAAATATCAATATAAAAAATTTTAAAAAATACAAAGGAAGATAACCAGAGATAAAAGAATTGCAGGTCAGACAGAAAACAATTAACAACAAGGCAATAGTAAATCCTTCCTTAGCAATGATTACTTTAAAGGTAAATGGATTAAACTCTCCATGAAGACTTAGAAATAGCTAAATGGATTTTAAAAACCTCAAGTTCCAGTTATGTGCTGTATTATTCATGGTTCTCCAGAGGAACAGAACTAATAGGATACATGAATATATGAAAGGGAGTTTATTAGGGAGAATTGTCTCACATGATCAAAAGGCAAATACCCACAATAGGCTGTCTGTGAGCTGGGGAGAAAAGAAGCCAGTATTGGCTCAGTCAGAGGCTAAAAGCCTTAAAGGCAGGGAAGCCGACAGTGCAGCCTTCAGTCTGTGGCCAAAGGCCCAAGAGCCCCGAGCAAAGCACTGATGCAAGTCCAAGAGTCCGAAGGCTGAAGAACCTGGAGTCTGATGTCCAAGGGCAGGAGAAATGGAAGGAAGCATCCGCATAGGAAAAAGGTCATCTTAAGTAAACAACCTAATTTTACACCCCAAAGAACCAGAAAAAGAATACATTAAGCCCAAAATTAGCAGAAGGAAGAAAATAATAAAGATTAGAACAGAACCAAATGAAATATATAATAGAAAAATAATTTAAAATTTAATAAAAGAATTGGTTTGTTTAAAAGATAAGATTAACAAGATATTAGTATAACTTTCCCCAATAGTATAACTGTGGAAAAAAGAGAGAATACAAATAAATGAAAACAGAAGCAGAGACATTGTAATTGATACCATAGAAATAAAAAGAATCATGAGGCTACTATGAACAATTATATACCAGTACATTGGATAACCTAGAAGACATGGCTGTATTTTTAGGAACATACAACCTACCAAGACTGAATTACTGAGCAATAGAAAATCTGAAAAGACCTATAACTAGTAAGGACATTGAATCAGTGATCAAATACTTTTCAACAAAGAAAAGTCAAATGGTGACTCCTACCAAACATTTAAAGATGTTCTCAATTTCTTCCAAAGAATCTAGGAAGCAGAATACTTCCAAACTCATCTTATTAGGCCAAATATTAAAATACCAAGTAAAATACCTTGGCTCTGATACCAATGCCAAACAAAGACACTGTAAGAAAAGCAAACTACAGGCCAATAACCCTGATAAACATAGATGCAAAAATCCTCAACAAAATACTAGCCAACCAAATACAACAGCATATTAAAAGGATCAGACACCATGACCAAGTGAGATTTATCCCTGGGATGCAAGGATGATTCAACATATGAAAATCAACTAATGTGATATACCATGTTAATAGAATAAAGGGTAAAAACCACACAATCATCTCAATAAATGTAGAAAAGAAATTTGATAAAATTCAATACCCTTTTATGATAAAAATTCTAAACAAGTTGGGAATAGAAGGAAACTAACTCAATATACTAAAGGACATACATGAAATGCTCAAAGTTAACATTATACTCAATGCTGAAAATGGAAAGTTTTTTCTCTAAAATCCAGAACAAGACAAAGATGCCCACTTTTACCACCCTTCTTTTTAAATTATGTTTTAAGTTCTGGGATACATGTGCAGAACGTGCAAGTTTGTTACATAGGTATACACGTACCATGGTGGTTTGCTGCACCCATCAACCTGTCATCTACATTAGGTACTTCTCCTCTGGAAGTCCTAGCCAGAGCAATTAGGCAAGAAAAAGAAACACAAGGCATTCAAACTGAAAAAGAGGACGTCAAATTGTCCCCGTTTGCAGATGACATTACCTGATATATAGAAAACCCTGAAGTTTCCACCAAAAAACACTGTTAGAAGTAACAAATGAGTTCAGCAAAGTCACAGGATACAAAATCAACATACAAAATCAGCTGCATTTCTAAATATTAATAATGAATCATTTTTAATATCTGAAAAGGAAATTAAGCAACAGTCCCATTTACAATAACATTAAAAAGAATAAAATACTTAGGAATAAACATAATTATAGTGGTAAATGACTTGTACTAAAAACCACAAAACATTAATGAAAGAAAAAGACACAAACAATTGGAAAGGTGTCCTGTGTACATGGACCATGGACCGGAAGACTTAATATTGTTCAAATGTCCTTACTTCTTATTGTGCAATCTGCAAATTTATCATACTTCCTATCAAAGTCCCAAATGTTATACCATTGAGAAAAAACTCAGGAAAAACCTGCCTTAGGTAGGCAGAGATTTCAGGTATTGTGTGTGTGGGGGGGAAGGGGCAGTGGGGAGGTGAACAGTGTTACTGAAAAACATTCTAAGGAATTACTTTTCAGCAGAGATCTGATGGATAGCAGTTAAGCAGGTATAAGTGGTATAATGGTGGCAGTGAAAAGAGAGGAGGAGAGCATTCCAGGCTACAGAGAACAGGATGTGCAAATATTATCTGACAGAAGGAAGTGTTGATATCTGAAGGTAGGCTGATATAGAAAAATAAAATAATTCTAAAATTAATATGGAACCACATAGGATTCTGAATAGCCAAAGCAATCTTGAAAAAGAACAAAGCTGGAGGCATCACACTTCCTGATTTCAAAATATATTACAAAGTTACAGTAATCAAAATTCAACTAGCATAGAGACATATAGACCGATGGAAGAGAATAGACAGCATAGAAGTTAACACGAGCATATATGTTTTATTGATCCTAGATGTGGATGCCAAGACTACACACAATGGGAAAATGAGAGTCTCTTCAACCAATGGTGTTGAGATAACTGGGCATCTGCATGCAAAACAATGAAATTGGACCCTTATCTTTCCCTACATAAAAATTATTTCAAAATGTATTGAAGACTTAAACACGAGACATGAAATTGTAAAACTCCTAGAAGAATGTATAGGAGAAAAGCTTCATGACACTGGTTGTGGTAGTGATTTGTTGGATATGACACCAAAAACATAGGCAACACAAGGAAACATAGACAACAGACTATATAGACAACAGACTATATCAAACTATAAAGTTTCTGCACAGCAAAGGAAATGATTATTATAGTGAGAAGACGATCTATGTAATGGAAGAGAATATTTGCAAACCATGTATCTCATAAGGGGTTAATAACCAAAATATATAAGGAACTCTTTCAACTTAATTAGCAAAAGTATAGAAATAACCAGATTAAAAAATGGGAAAGTCCTTAAATAGACATTTTTTTCTAAAGAAGACATACACGTGGCCAAAAAACCTTATGGAAAAATGCTCAACATCACTTACAATCAGGGAAATGCAAATCAAGTCCACAGTGACTTATCATTGCACAACTGTTGGGATGGCACAAAAGATAATAGTTTGGTGGGGATGTGGAGAAATTGGAACCTTTTTACCCTGTTGTTGGGAATGAAAAATGGTGCTGCATCTATGAAAACTATGTGGAGGTACCTACACAATTAAAAATAGAAATAGCATGTGATCCAGCAATCTTATTTCTAGGTATTTATCCAAAATTATTGAAATCAGGATCTTGAAGAAATATTTGCACTCTCTTGTTCACTGCAGCTGTTATTCACAATAGCCAAGATATGGAAACAATGAAATGTCCACTGATGGATGAATAAATGAAGAAAATGTGGTATATGCATATAATGGGTTATTATTCAGCCTTAAAAGGAGGAAGTCCTACGATATGCAACTACATGAATGAAACTTGAAGATATTTTGCTAAGTGAAATAAGCCAGTCATAGAAGGACAAATATTGCATGATTCCCCTTATCTGAGGTATCTAAAACAGTCAAACACAGAAGCAGAGAGCAGAATTGTGGTTACCAGAGGCTGGGGGGAAGAGAAAATGAAGAGTTCCTATTTTAAAGGCTATAAAGTTTCAGTTATGCAAGATCATAAGTTCTTGAGGTCTGCTGTTTAATATTGTGCCTATAGTTAACAAAACAAATATACACTTAACTTTTTAAGAGGGTAGATCTCATGTTAAGTGTTCTTACACAATAAAAAACAAGGTAGTATTTGCTAGATTATGCTTGCTATAGAAAAGTGTATTTGTTCACTTAGTTATCTGCTATGTTATATTATCTGCTAAAGTTATCTTCTGTGTTTGTCACAAGCAATAGAATTTGATTACTAGCACTGAGGAAACTGAATCACTGTCTAAGGCCTCACTGTTAAGACTCAATATAAATTCATAAATTCTCCGGGCAATTAGGAAGTATGTCAGACTATGGTCCAGATTTTCTTTTCTTTTCTTTTTTTTGAGACTGAATCTCACTCTGTCACCCATGCTGTAGGTGTGGTGGCTCATACCTGTCATCCCAGAATTTTGGAAGGCTGAGGATAGTGGATCACCTGAGGTCAGGAGTTTGAGACCAGCCTGGCCAACGTGGTGAAATGCCATCTCTACTACAAATACAAAAATTAGCCGGTCCAGATTTTCTAAATCTGGATCTAGATTTTCTCCTTGCTAGGCATACAGAAAACAAAAATTATTTTCTATGATGGGTTTTTGAAAATAAAATTTGAAATCTTATTCTTCTACCAAGAAAAAAAAAGGGATGTGTGTTTCAAAATTTTATGGGTAATCTTCACTTAAATATTCTTTTTCTCACTCAGATCTGGAAAATTTATGAAACAGCTTCCATATCCAACAAATAAATGAGATTTTTTTCCAAATGGAAACAATCTATTAAAGAGTCAGAAAAGAGTGTTGCACCTATTATGTTTC
This sequence comes from Homo sapiens, assembly GCF_000001405.40. Taxonomy (NCBI): domain Eukaryota; kingdom Metazoa; phylum Chordata; class Mammalia; order Primates; family Hominidae; genus Homo; species Homo sapiens. The sequence goes on along the minus strand of NC_000012.12, from coordinate 15,452,850 downwards.
CTGGGTTGTAATGATTGTGAATCAGATTTAGAGCTAGAAAAAGTAGCAGATGAAGTTGATCAACTCTGTGTAGTAAAGGCAGAAAGCCTAGACTTTTAAGATTTTTTTTTGTTTCTAATTCAGTTTATGTAGTGTAAAACATTTATTGACTTGTATATGTTAAACCATCCCTGCTTCTCTGGAATGAAACCCATTTGATCATGGTGAATTATCTTTTTGATATACTGTTGTATTCAGTTAGCTAGTATTTTGTTAAGGACTTTTTGCATCTATATTCATCAGGGATACTGGTCTGTAGTTTTCTTGTTTTCTGTCACGTCCTTTCCCCGTTTTGGTATTAGGGTGATGCTGGCTTCATAGAATGATTTAGGGAGGATTTCCTCTTTCTCTATTTTGTGGAATAGTGTCAACAGGATTGGTACCAATTCTTCTTTGAAAGACTGATAGAATTCACCTGTGAATCCGTCTAGTCCTGGACTTTTGTTGTTGGCAATTTTTTTTTGTACCATTTCAATCTCACTGCTCGTTATTGGCCTGTTCAGGGTTTCTAATTCTTCCTGCTTTAAGCTAGGAGGGTTGTATATTTCCAGGAATTTATCCATCTCCTCCAGGTTTTCTAATTTATGCACATAAAGGTGTTCATAGTAACTTTGAATGACCTTTTGTATTTCTGTGGTGTCAGTTGTAATATCTCCTTTTTCGTTTCTAATTGAGCTTATTTGGATCTTCTCTCTTCTTTTCTTGGTTAATCTCACTAATGGTCTATCAGTTTTATTTATCCTTTCAAAGAACCAGTTTTTTGTTTCATTTATCTTTTGCATGCTTTTTTGTTTCAACTTCATTCAGTTCTACTCTTATCTTAGTTATTTCCTTTCTTCTGCTAGGTTTGAGTTTGGTTTGTTCTTGTTTCTCTAGTTCCTTGAGGTGTGACCTTAGATTGTCTATTTGTGCTCTTTCAGACTCTTTGATGTAGGCATTCAAGGCTATGAAGTTTTCTCTCAGCACAGCCTTTGCTGTACCCCAGAGGTTTTCATAGGTTGTGTCACTATTATTGTTCAGTTCAAATAATTGTTTAATTTTGTCTTGATTTCATTGTTGACCCAATGATCATTCAGGAGCAGGTTATTTAATTTCTATGTATTTGCATGGTTTTGAAAGTTCCTTTTGGAGTTGATTTCCAATTTTATTCCATTGTGGTCTGAGAGAGTGCTTGATATAATTTCAATTTTCTTAAATTTATTGAGACTTGTTTTGTGGCCTATCATCTGGTCTATCTTGGAGAATGTTCCATGTGCTGATGAGTAGAATGCATATTCTGTGGTTGATGGGGAGAATGTTCTGTAAATATTTGTTAAGTCCATTTGTTCCAGGGTATAGTTTAAATCCATTGTTTCTTTGTTGACGTTCTGTCTTAATGACCTGTCTAGTGCTGTCAGTGGAATATTGAAGTCTCCCACCATTATTATGCTGCTGTCTATCTCATTTCTTAGGTCTAGTAGCAATTGTTTTATAAATTTGGGAGCTCCAGTGTTAGGTGCATATATATATATATGTATATAGGATTGTGATACTTTCCTGTGGAACAAGGCCTTTTATCATTATATAATGTTTCTCTTTATTTTTTTTAACATTGTTGCTTTAAAGTTTGCTTTGTCTTATATAAGAATAGCTACTCCTGCTTGCTTTTTGTGTCCATTTGCATGGAATGTCTTTTTCCATCCCTTTACCTTAAGTTTATGTGAGTCCTTATGTGTTAGGTGAGTCTCTTGAAGGCAGCAGATACTTGGTTGGTGAATTCTTATCCATTCTGCCATTCTGTATCTTTTAAGTGGAGCATTTAGGCTGTTTACATTCAATGTTAGTATTGAGATGGGAGGTACCATTCTATTCATTGTGCTATTTGTTGCCTGAATACCTTTTTTTTCTTTATTGTTGTTTTATAGGTCCTGTGAGACTTATGCTTTGAGGGGGTTCTGTTTTGATGTATTTTGAGGATTTGTTTCAAGATTTAGAGCTCCTTTTAGCAGTTCTTGTAGTGCTGGCTTGGTAGTTTTTTTATTTAAAAAAAAATTTTTTTTGAGACAGCATGTAACTCTGTTACCCAGGCTAGAGTGCAGTAGTGCGATCATGGCTCACTATGGCCTTAACCTCTCAGGCTCAAGCAATCCTCCCACCCCAGCCTCCCAAGTTGCTGGGAATATTGGCACACACGACACACCCAGCTAATTTTTGTACTTTTTGTAGAGACAGAGTTTCACCATGTTGCCCTAGCAGGTCTTGAAATCCTGAGCCCAGACAATCTGCCTGCCTTGGCCTCCCAACGTGCTGGGATTACAGGCATGAGCCACCATGCCTGGCCTAAACTTTAAGAATTAAATGAAACATTTATGGATGGAAAGGCTTAAAAATTGTGTTCTTGGTAAAACGACAGCTTTCTATAAAGTAGTCAAATCATTTTGGCCAACACAGGATGAAGGGCTAGAAACCAAAAGTGGAGAGGATCTGAATAGAGAATGGGAAAGAGTCGTTTCCTTAAGCTACTTCTGGCAGAGGGTCTTTAATATTCAGGAGAGGAAAAACTGGTAAATTCCTCATAGTACAAAACCTTTTCATTGGCAGGAATATTGCTTTTGTAATTCATTCAATTTTAGAGGGAATTTCCTGAATGCAGGCCACTGCCATAGGGCTGTAGGAAATATCAAGTTAAAAATGCAGCATCGCTTAGAGAACTAGCAAATATAATAGGAGCCATAAGACATGAACATAGATGTATAACATAGAGAGCATGACAAGAAAAAGAGAAGGGAACTGAAAAAGCAATATTGTATTTAGCTGGATAAATAAAATAATGTTTCACACAGGAAGTGATCCTTACTTGAATCATAAATTGTCAATTTAAAATTAAAAGGAGCCTTGGAGGTAACTTAGTCTGATCCTCTGGGGCAGTGAAAATGATGACAAAAGTTTGTTAGGGGCAGAACCATTTTATTTTAGGATAATTTTAGACTTACAGAAGAGTAGCAAAGATAGTACAGAGAGTTCCTGTACATTCTTTACTCAATTTGCCCTACTGTAACATCTTAGATTACCATGGTGCATTTGCCAAACTAAGAAATTAACACTGGTACAATACTATTTTCATTGTATAAATGTAAGGTGTATAACATGAGGTTTTGCTATACATAGCCATAATGAAATGATTACTATAGGTAAGCAATTTAACATATCCATCACTTTCCATATTTTTATTTCTATAGTAAGAGCATCTACTCTCAGTAAATTTTCAGTATTGCAATACAATGTTATTAATGATAGTCCTCCTACTGTACAGTAGATCTCTTGGTCTGTTCATCCTATATAACCACAAGTTTGCTCCCTTTGACCTATGTCTCTTCATTTCCTCCTCTTCCCTGTCCATGGTATGCACCATTATACTGTTAAAGCAAACTAAATATGGTCTGAGAAGGACTCCATACTTCTATATATGAGTCCATGTGGATGAACTGTAACCTAGCTTAAAAGTCAGACAAAACTGAAAACCAAGCTTAGGAGTATGCACCTGTAACAATAACTGAGTCTTGGCCAATCCCAGTGGCCATACTTCAGCCACTCATAGACTGCTAAGTGTTCAAACTGTTCAAATAAGGCAAATGCCAAGCTGTAACCATTCTAGTTGTTTCTGTACCTTACTGCTGATTTCTGTATGTCATTTCCTTTTTTTTTTTTTGTCTGTAAATCTTCTTTCACTACGTGGCTGTGCTGGAGTCTCTGTGAATCTGCTGTGATTCTGGGGGATGCCCTATTTGCGAATCGTTTGTTGCTCAATTAAACTTTAAATTTAATTCTGCCTAACTTTTTCTTTTATCAATATTCTATATGTATTCACCTTTTTTTTCAGATTCCACATACAAGTAAGTCCATATAGTATTTGTCCTTCTGTGTCTGGCTTATTTCACTTAGCATAATGTCTTGTTCTCCAGGTTCATCCATGTTGTTATTTAAGGATGAATAATGTTCCATTGTATATATACATAGTACCCTAATTATTTTAATCAATTTTTCAATCAACAGAAACTTAGATTGTTTTTATGTCTTGGCTATTGTGAATAGTGCTGCAATGAACATGGAAAGCTGACGTCCCTTGGAGTTGCTTATTTCATTTCCTTTGGGTATATACCCAGATAAAAGATTGCTGGATTATATGGTAGTTTTATTTTTAATTTTTTGAGAGGCCTCCATTCTGTTTTTCCCTATGGCTCTAGCAATTTACACTCCCATCAACAGTGTGCAAGGTTTCTCTTTTCTCCACAACCTTGTGCACACTTGTTTTCTCTTGACATTTTGATAATAGCCATCCTCACAGGTATGAGGTGATTATGGAAAACATCCAACAAATGTCTGATGAATACTTACAGTGCAAGGCCTTTCTGTAAGTGAAGACAGATGATGCTATTTTCTGTTCCTTACCACACTTCCTTCTCAATCGGTGCTTTTTTTTTTTTTTTTTTTTTACTAGGAACAGGAAGATAGAATAGAGAAGAAGGCAAATATATAATGCCAGGTGGATTCTTTTGAATAAGATTCCATAGGGAAAGTTCCTAGTATTAGGAAAAAATCATTTTTAACATACAGTGTAAGCAAGTTACCTGGAATGTGGTAAGTAGGAGAATTACATATGTATGTAATGTTTGGCATTTTGATATCTTATAGGCTAAAGAAATGAGATATACAGCATGTGTTTCAGAGTAGTTCTATATTGCTATCACATTGCTGTAAATGTATTACTCTATTATTACAGTTACCACAAGTAAATGCCATTTGGAATATTTGAAAATGGAAATCACTCTATCTCAATGATAACAGAAGCAATTTCACTTGTTTCTGCTAGGCAGATCAACTGGAATTATAGTTTGAAATAAAATAAATATTTCCTGAGAAGACTGACATGAAATCCACAATTTCCCTCATACAGGGGATTTTTATTTTTGGAAATGAACCTGATGAATTTGACGTGATCAATCTGCAGAGAATGAAACCATTAGTTTCCAAGGAACCAGGAACTCAATGTACCTATAATTGTCCTTTTTGTTCAAAGACTATAAGATGCAACCCACTCACATCGATGGCAAATTTGGCTCTTAAAAATTTGCTTTTTGGTGAAAAGTCATAGCTATGGGGCATAGGATTGTGGCAAATTCAAGAATCTATGTTTGAATGCATCCATCATGCTTGCCCAGGAATTCACTAGTTGTCTTTAAATTTAGTAATTCATTACATTGTGGATTGGTTTTCTTTTTTAATCCTACATCTAATTTTGTCAGTGCTGCCTTGCTCATCAAAACCTTCTCCATCTTTCTTGATGGAGATCAAGTGAAATTAGTGAAGGCTGGTGGGGAAACAGTTAAACTCATAAATGAAATAGTATTCAAAGCTAAGGTGGCAAATTCCTTGCTTTTCACCCACATTGCTTTGCCTTTTTATTCTCTGCAAATGGGCTGGAATTGAGCAATAAGAACCTGCTGCAGTTTTTTATTCCAGATTTACTTAAGCACAATTTTGGAGCTTAATATTCTTTCTTTCATGTCATTTATACTTTCTACTGCTGCCCTCCCCCCCATGAAATCCATCCACAAAGACAAAAATCATAGCCGTTTGTTGTTATTCTATTTCACTTGTCATAATAGTTGTGTGGTCAGAACCAATGATCAATCCATAGGGCTGGTTCTCTAAAACCTTATTCTTTCCAGGCAGCCTCTTGCGGAGGGCTAGATGATTCATATGCTGAATGTAGGCTTCTGTAAGCAAAACACCAAGAAGTCACTGGAAAGTGGGTGTGCTCACCGTGTGCTAACATGCAGGGAGGAGGGGGCTAGATGATGTGTCATGAGTATCCCAAATATGAGTAATGTGTGCTCTCTGCAGGTGTTACTTTCTTGAGAGAATTGCAACTTGGCCAGCTCTTTCCAAGCTTCCCTACTGAAAATAGACTTTTCCTCAACGGCTCCCTGCTGGCACAGTGAGATGAATTTTGAGGGTATCTTTTCCTACTTTTATTTTATATAAATAAAATATTTTAATAAATAAAAAAATTAATATCTTTTCCTACTTATATTTATTTACCCTAAGAAAAAAGGACTTCTATTATAACTTTCATATGACTTCTATCCTACTTATGACATCCCAAGTAACTTGCTTACTATATGTTAAAAATGATTTTTCCTAATACTAGGAACATTCCCTATGGAATTTTATTCCAAAGAATCCATCGGGCATCATATATTTGCCTTCCTCCCTATTCTATCTTCCTGTCCCTAGCAAATATTAGAATAAAATATTTTAATTATAAAATAAAATATCTTTTCCTACTTATATTTCCAGGTAAATAAGGAAGAACGGAATGAGTCTCCCATTATTTTAGTTGCTGCAGCAAATGCTGCTCTGAGTGTCTTGTGGTGACCTCCTTGCCTTCCATCTCTTTTGTGGACAGGGCAGGGAATTAGGAGGTTTTGAAAGGTGTTTTTCTGATTCAATTTCTTCTATAATAATAATTTTCTCTACATTGACCATGATTCTTTAGTTAGAGAAATGTAGTTTACATTAGTAAAATTTGAACTTCTAGTACCACAAAACCCATATAATTTGAAAAACAAACCCCCAACATTTAAGGAAAAGGCTTGAGATTATTTGTTGTTGTTGTTGTTTTTCAAATTGAACAATAGAATAACATGCTGAGAAAGTGCACTGCTATTATGCATTGTTCTGAATAGATTGACACCATATTAATGAGGCATTAGAGTAATGAGTGGTTCACTGTTTAAAAAATCCATATATTGAATATTTTTAATCAATATGCTACAAATGCTGCTTTACAAATGTCAATTTCATGAGTGCTCTGCATCCTAAAAAGCATAAATTCATCCAACTTAGATTTTGCTAATATGTTTCAGTTGAACTGTTTCTGTCCTCCCATTTTAATATTTGGCTGAGTTTTGTTCCAGACATGTCAAAGACCTGGCCTAGGGAGATAAGGATTAATTTATTGAAGATAATTTACAATAAGGAAATCAAGTAGAAATTTAGAGTAACAAGCCCATGTCAATTTAAGTTGATTCATTTTAATGAAGTAATTTTTTTTCTAAATGGAGATACCAAACTACATTTTTATAAAATAAATAAAAGTAATGATTATCCACCATTTAGTGTAAGCACATGATTGATTGTTAACTCAAAGCGGGACAGAACATTTTACTTAGCTGTAACTCCACTTAACATTAGGTTAGGCCACATGAAATTGATGACACTCAACCAAATACATTTTTGACACATAATGCTTTAAAAATAAGAACCAAAGAACTTCACTCCTTTCATTTTCTTACAATAAATGTTTCCTGTGCACTTACATTGTTTCAGCCTCTAAGGCTACGTACTTTATTTACAGAGGTGCCTATCCAGCCATTTATAAAAGCACTTAGGGACTCAGTAACAGACCCTAGATTGAAATATAAAAATATTGAATGAATAATCAATTTTAAAATAGTAATCCATTTCAATGAGTCCTAATATTTAGATAAAAGAAATATATGACCACTGTACAAAATTAGCATATATAGCTAATGAAACATAAACAACAAAGGAAAAAAAATCCTTATAAGTCCATTACCCAGAAGTAACCACTATTATACTTTCTGACTCTTTAAACCTGCTCTTGTTCTTTAATAAAAGTGGGATCATACTGTTTTCTAATATGCTTTTTCCCATTAATGTATGGAAGAAACTCAGCACATCAGTAAATATTCTTTGCTTATATTCATTTTAAGTGATTGCATTATATGACATTTTTTGGGTACTTGAAACATTATTGTGGTTGCTAATTATAGAACCCATTGAGAGACAAAAAGTCCTAATTTTTTTAGTCATTACTATTCAAAGACTGGTCTGTGGAATAAGGCCAGTGTGAAAACTACTTATAAGTCATCTATTATAGTTTGTTCAGCCAGCTATAAAAAAAACATGGACTAGATAGCTTATAAACAACAGAAATTTATCTTTCACAGCTCTGGGAGCTGGGAAGTCAAAGATCAAGGCACTATTAGATTTGGTGCATGATGGTTTATAGATGGTCATCATTTTGCTGTGTCATCACATGGTGGGAGGGGAGGAGGATCTCTCTGGGGCCTCCTTTATAAGGGAACAAATAACCTCCTGAAGGCTTTACCTTCAAATATTGTCACATTGGGGATTACGTTTCGGCAAACAAATTTGGGCGGGGGAGGGGAATAAATTGTCTATGGCGTTATATGTAACAAAGTAAGTATATCAATGGAGGATTTGCCTTTAAAACTTTTTTTTTCTTTTTCAATTTTTAGTTTTGATTTGGGGGTACATACACAGGTTTGTTATCTGGATATATTGTGTGATGCTGAGGTTTGGGATACAAATGATCCCATTACCTAGGTATTAATCACAGTAGCCAACAGTTAGTTTTTCAAACCTTGCCCCACCCTCTCCCTCTCCCCTTGAGTAGTCCCCATTGTCTGTTGTTGCCATCTTTATGTCCGTGAGTACTGGATGTTTATCTGCCACTTATAAGTGAGAATGGTCAGGACTTGGTTTTCTGTTCCTGTGTTAATTTGCTTAGGATAATGGCCTTCAGCTGCATCCATGTTGCAGAAAAGGACATAATTTTGTTCTCTTCTATGGCTGCATAGTATTCCATAGTCTATATGTGCCATATTTTCTTTATCCATTCCACTGCTGATAGGCCCCTAGGTTGATTCCTTGATGTTGTTATCACAAATAGTGCTGTGATGAACATGTGAGTACATGTGTCTTTTTGGTAGAATTTTTTTTTTTTTTGATATATACTCATTAATGAGACTGCATGGTCAAATGACACTTCTGTTTTAACTTCTTTGAGAAATCTCAAAACTACTTTCTGTATTGGCAGAGCTGATTTACATTCCCACCAACAGTGTAGGAACATTCCCTTTTCTCCACAGCCTCGCCAACATCTGTTGTTTACTGATGTTTTAGTCACAGCCGTTCTGACTGGTGTGAGATGCTATCTCATTGTGGTTTTGTTTTGCGTTTCTCTGATGATTAGTGATGATGAGCATCTTTTCATGTTTCTTGTGTGTCTTCTTTTGAGGCGTGTCTGTTCATGTATTTTGCCTATTTTTAATGGGATTATTTGTTTTTTGCTTGTTCAATTGTTTAAGTTTCATGTGAATTCTAGATATTAGACCTTTGTCAGGTGCAGTTTGTGAACATTTTCTCCCTGTCTTTAGGTTGTCTGTTTACTCTGTTGATAGTTTCTTTCGGTGTGCAGAAGCTCTTTAGTTTAATTAGGTCCACTTGTCATTTTTTGTTTTTGTTAAAATTGCTTTTGAGAATTTAGTCATCAATACTTTCCCCAGGCCGATGTCCAGATTGGTGTTTCCTAGGTTTTCTTCTAGAATTCTTATAGTTTGAAGTCTTATGTTTAAATTTTTAATCAATTTTCAGTTAATTTTTGTATACAGTTAATTGTAGTATATGGGATCCAGTTTCATTCTTCTGCATATGGCTGGAAAGCTATCCCAGTCCTATTTATTGCTGAATAGGCAATTATTTCCCTGTTGCTTATTTTTGTCAACTTTGTCAAAGATCAGATGGCTTTAGGTGTTCTACACATCAGATGGCATAGGCTTTATTTATGGGTTCTCTATTCTGTTCCATTGGTCTACGTGTCTCTTTTCGTAAGAGTACCATGCTGTTTTGGTACTGTAGCATATAGTGTAGTTTGAAGTTGTGTAATGTGATGCCTCTGGCTTTGTTCTTTCTTTTTAGGATTGCTTAGACTATTTGGGCTCTTTTTTGGTCTGTATAAATTTTAGAATAGTTTTTTTTCTAGCTCTGTGAAAAATGATGTTGGTAGCTTGATAGGAGTAGTATTAAAAGTGTAGATTGCTTTGGGCAGCATGGCCAATTTAATGATATTGATTCTTCTAATCTATGAGCATGGAATGTTTTTTCATTTGTGTGTGTCATCTGATTTCTTTTTGCAGTGTTTTGTAGTTCTTCTTTTGTTTAGATGTACTTCCAGGTATTTTTTTGTGTGTGTGGCTATTGTAAATCGGATTGCATTTTTGTTTTGGCCCTCAGCTTGAATGCTATTGGTGTATAAAACTGCTACTAATTTTTGTACATTGATTTTGTATCCTGAAACTTCGCTGAAGTCATTTATCAGTTCCAAGAGGCTTTTGGTGGAGTCTTTAGGGTTGTCAATGTATAGAATCATATTGTCCATGAAGAGAGATAGTTTGACTTCTTTTCCTATTTGGTTGCCTTTTATTTCTTTCTGTTGCCTGATTGCTCTGGCTACCAATTCCAGTACTATGTTGAATAGGAGTGGTGAGAGTGGGCATCCTTGTTTTGTTCCATTTCTCAAGGGGAATGATTCCAATTTTTGCCCATTCAGTATGATGCTGACTGTGGGTTTGTCATAGATTGCTTTTATTATTTTGAAGTATGTTCCTTTGATGCCTAGTTTCTTGAGGGTTTTTATCACAAAAAATTGTTGGATTTTATCAAAAGCTTTCCCTGTGTCTGAGATAATCATATTGTTTTTGTTTTTAATTCTTTATGTGGTGAGTCACATTTATTGATTTGTGTACATTGAATCAGCCTTGCATTCCAGGAATGAAGTCTACTTGATCATGGTGAATTAGCTTTTTGATGTGTTTCTGAATTCAGTATGCTAGCATTTTGTTGAACATTTTTGCATCTATGTTCATCAGGAATGTTGGCCTGCAATTTTCTTTTTTTCATTGTGTCTTTGCCAGGTTTTGGTATTGGCCTGATGCTGGCTTTGTAGAATGTGTTAGAAGGGACTCCCTTCTTGATTTTTTGAAATAGGTGCAGTAAAATTGGTACCAGCTTTTTGTACATCTGGTAGAATTTGGCTGTAAATCCCTCTTGTCTGGGGCTTTTATTGGTTGGTAGTTTTTATTTTATTACTGATTCAATTTCAGAACTTGATGTTGGTCTGTTCAATGTTTCAATTTCTTCTTGATTTAATCATGGGAAATTGTGTGTTTCCCAGAATTTATCATTTCCTCTAGATTTTCTAGTTTTTGTGTGTAGAGAGGTTCATAATGGTCTCCAAGGATTTTCTGTATTTTGGTGGGATCAGTTGTAATGTCATTCTTTGTCATTTCTGATTGTGCTTATTTGGATCTTCTCTCTTCTTTTCTTTGTTAATCTAGTGTATTGATCTTGTTTATCCTTTCAAAGAACCAACTTTTAGTTTTGTTGATACTTTGTATGAATTTTTGGGTCTCAATTTGATTCTCAATATCTGCCCTAATTTTAGTTCTTTCTTTTCTTCTGAGAACTTTGGGGTTAGTTTGTTCTTGTTTTTCTAGTTCCTCTAGATGTGATATTAGATCGTTAATTTGAGATCTTTCTAACTCTTTGAGGTAAGCATTTAGCACTATAAACTTTCCTCTTAATACTGCTTTTGCTGAATCCCAGAGATTTTGGTATGTTGTGTCTCTGTTTTCATTTATTTCAAATAATTTTTAAATTTCTGCCTTGATTTCATTGTTTACCCAAAAGTCATTCAGGATCAAATTATTTACTTTCCATGTAATTGTGTAGTTTTAAGAGATTTTCTTGGTATTGATTTCTATTTTTATTCTATTGTGGTTTGAGAGTATGGTTGATTTGATATTTATTTCATTGAGACTTACTTTATGGTAGAGCATGTGGTCAATCTTGGAGTATGTTCCATGTGCAGATAAGAAGAATGCATACTCTGTGGTTTGTGGGTTGAGTGTTTTCTAGACCTTCATTAGGTCTAGTTGGTCAAGTGTTGAGTTTAAGTTCAGAGTTTCTTTGTTAGTTTGCTGCCTTCATGACCTGTCTACTGCTGTCAGTTGGGGGTTGAAGACCCCTACCATTATTGTGTGGCTGTCTAAGTCTTTTAGCAGGCTTATAAATCTGGTTGCTCCAAAGTTGATGCATACATATTTATGAGAGTCAAGACTTCTTGTTGAATTGAACCCTTTATCATTACGTAATGGCCTTCTTTGTCTTTTTTTTACTGTTGTTGGCTTAAAGTATGTTTTATCAGATAGAAGAATAGTGACCCCTGCTTTTTTGTTTATTATTTAAAGGATGGGGCCTTCCTATGTTGTCCAGGCTTGTTTTGAAATCTTGGGCTCAAGTGATCTGCCTGCCTTGGCCTCCCAAAGTGCTGGGATTAGAGGTGTGAGCCACAGCACCTGGGCTGTGACCGCTGCTTTTATTTCTTCTCTGTTTGCATGGTAGATCTTTCTCCAACCCTGTACTTTGAGCCTGTGGGTGTCTTTACACGTAAGATGGGTTTCATGAACACAGCAGACTGATGAGCCTTGTATTTTTTTTTCAGGCTTAATTCACTTTATTTTTCTTGTATAAAAATCCTATGTTGTAGCCACAGCTGGAGCCTCAGTCCTCTGCATGGAGACTCTGGTGTGGGTCTTGAAGAAGTGCTCAGTGAATTCCTGATAGGGAGACATGGTGAATACAGTCTCCTTCCGGAGGTTGGGGGTCAGGTAGCTGTAGGTCTTAGAGATGGCATCAAAGGTGGCCTTGGAAAAGTTGCCCAGGGTGGCAGTGCAGCCCCTGGCTAAGGTGTAGCAGTCATTGATACCAGCCATCATGAGCAGCTTCTTGGGCACAGGGGCTGAGATGATGCCAATGTTCCTGGACTCAGGGATGAGGTGCACCAGCACAGAGCTGCAGCGGTCTGTCACCTTGCAAGGGACAGTGTGGGGCTTGCAGATCTTGTTACCCCTGTAGCCTCTGCACACAGGGACAATGGAGAGCTTGGCCAGGATGATGGCCCCGCAGATGGCAGTGGCCACCTCCTTGGAGCACTTAACACCCAGACCGATGTGGCCATTGTAGTCCCCAATGGCAACAAACACCTTGAACTTGGTGTGCTGGCCGACGTGGGTCTGCTTCTGCACCATCATAATCTTCAAATCCTTGTTCTTGAGAGAGGCCCCCAAGAAAAAGTCAATGATATCTGATTCTTTGATGGGCAGGGAGAAGAGGTAGATCTCCTCCAGGGACTTGATCTTCATGTCCTTGACTAGGAGGTCCAGCTCGGTGACGGGCATCCACTCATCCTCGGCCTTGCCTCAGTGAGCTCCGTGGCCTCAGCCCCAGCTCTGTCCATGGCTGTGACCACAGCCCAGATGCCACTGCCAAAACCTCCACGAAAGCCACTGTGGTTCCCCATCCCAGGGCCCCCGAGTCCTCCGGGCCCCCTCGCTCCACCAGCGTCATCTGCTATTTGGTGTTTTCTTGGATAAGAAGTGAGTCTTGTATTTTTATCAACCTTGCAGCTCTGTGTCTTTTAGGTCGTGCATTGAGACCATTAAAATTTAAGGTTAATATTGATAAGTGAGGCTTTGATCCTACCATGAGGTTGTTAGCTGGTTGCTTTGTAGTTTCTATTGTGTAGTTGCTTTATATGGTCTGCAGGCTATGTACTTAAGTGTGTTTTTGCGGTTACAGGTATCGTTCTTTCATTTCCATGTTTAGAACTCCCTTAAGGATCTCTCTTAAGGCTGGTCTAGTGGTAATGAATTCCCCTAGGACTTGTTTGTCTGGAAAATATTTTATTTATCTTTCACTTATAAACCTTTGTTGAGATATAGAATTCTTGGTTGGAATTTCTTTTCTTTAAGAATGCTGAAAATAGGCCCCCAGTCTCTCCTGGCTTGTAAGGTTTCTGGTGATAAGTCCTCTATTAGCCTGATGGGGTTCTCTTTGTACATGATCTGTCCTCTAGCAGATCTTTAAGATCTTTACCTAAGGAAAGATCTTAAGATCTTTGCCTAAGGAAAACCTCTAGCAGTCTTTAAGATTTTTTCTTTAGCGTTGACCTTGCTCAATCTGGTGACTACATGGTTTGTAGTCTACATGGCTTGATATTTGTTTTGCATAGTATCTCACAGGTATTCTCTGAATGTCTTGTATCTGGACATCTATCTTCCTAGCTAGATTAGGCATGTTACTTGAATTATTCTTTCAACTATATTTTCCAGGTTGTTTGTTTTTTTCCTTCTCTCTCAGGAATGCCAATAATTCATACATTTAGTCCTCTTACATAATCCCATATTTCATGAGGACTGCTCATTTTTAAAATTCTTCATATTTATTTTTGCCATATTGGGTTAGTTCAAAAGACCACTCTTCAATCTCTGAAATTCTTTCTTCTGCTTGGTTCAGTCTATTGATAAAGATTTCATTTGTATTTTGGAATTCTTTACGTGAGTTTTTCAATTCCAGAAGCTCTGATTGATTTCTTTTTAAGATGTTTATCTTTTTGTTCATTTCCTGGGTTGCTTTAGAAATTTCCTTTTGTTGATTTTCAACCTTGTCTTGGATCTGAATGAGCTTCCTTGCAATCCACGCTTTGAATTTTTATTTATTATTTCTGAGTTTCCATTTTGGCTAGGGACCATTGCTGGAGAGGTAGCTCAATCTTTTGGTGGTTTCACTACATTCAGGTTTTTTCATGGTGCTAGAATTCTTGTGCTGGTTGCTTCTCACCTGGAGACACTGGCACTTCTAATTTTTGTATTTTTTTTCATACAGGTAGGACTTTTCCTTTATCTTTCTTTCCTTATAATGTCATTACTATTATTCTCTTTCCCTTACGTGCTTTATGGGGTGTGACTGTGAAGAATGCTGAGGAGGGTCTTTCAGTTTTTCTTCTATAGCAGTATGCACTTCTTTCAACAGGTTTTATATTGGGCTGTGAAGTTTGTCCTACAAGCCTGTAGATAACAGCCAGCTGTGGTCAAAGTGGCTGGTATCTGTATTTAGAAGTGGAAGTTCTCTGTTGCCCAGGCAATGGGTTGATTCATAGAATACACATTGGTCTGAGGTCCCTGCTCAGCACTGTGGGGGTAGGAGCCATAAAGGGTGGGACCAGTTGGGCAGGTCTGCCTGGAGGTCCCCTGATGCAAGCACAAGCACCAGTATCAAGTGAGAATCCAGTGGGTGGCTACCAGGCACCCAGAAGTGTGTCTAAATGTGGAGTCAGGAAACCACCTTTGCTCCAAGTTCTGTGTTCCAGGTTCCTAATCCAGGAGAGTGGGTGCTTCAGATGCCTGCAGATCTTCCTGGGTGTGGAGCAGAGAGGGCCTTCCTGCACCAATATCTACGAACAGAAGGGGTTGTGCAACCCAGGTTGCCACACCAGGCAAGCAGGTATTCTAAATGCCTGGAGATTTGCCTGAGCATGGAGCAGAAAGGGTCTTACTATACCATGATCTATGTCCATAAATGGTGGGGCAGCTCAGGCTGCTGAACCAGATGACTGTATGCTCAGAATGTCTGGTGATCTGCCTGAGTGTGAACAGAGAGGGATTCCTTGCACCAAGATCTTTGGACAGTCTTGGTGGTCCTGGTGAGCAATGCCCCAAAAGTCTAGAGATCTTCTTGGGTGTGGAGCAGAGAGAGCCCCGCTGCACAAAGATCTCTGCACATGAGGGGTGGGGTGACTCTGGCTGCTGAACTAAGCAAGCAGGCGCTCTGAATGCCTGGAGATCTTCCTGGGCATGTAGCAGAGAGGGTCCCTCTGTACCAGTCTTTGCACAAGGAGGGTAGGTGGCTCAGGCTGCTGAACCAGGTGAATGAGCGCTCTGAATGCCTAGAAATCTGCTTGGGCATGGAGCACAGAGACCCTCTCTGTACCACCATATACATCAAGGAAGGGTGGTGTGGCTCAGACCACCGGTCCAGGCAAGCAGGTGTTCCAAATACCCAGATTTCTGCCTAGGAATGGAGCAGGGAGGGCTCTGTTGCACCACGATCTCAGGGGAGGAGGATGGGGCACTCAGCAATGGCACACACAGATCAGTTCCAGATTGCCAAGCTGGCCCTGGCTGCAAGTCTTGCTGCTCAGAAGAAACCGCAACTGTAGCAGCTCTCCTCCTGCCTGTGATGGGAGAGAGCACAATTCCAGAGACTACTGCTGAGACACTTTTTTACAGTTCTGGCTGTGGAGGCCCCCACCCCACTCCAGATAAGATGCTTCAATCTCTGGCACAAGACTAAAGTGCCTCTGTAGCCATGGTGCTAGGGCACCAAAGCATGGCTGACTTTGTATGCACCCAGATTTAAAATGGCATCCTACTCTCATCCAGGGTCTGAGAAAACTTCTGCCACTTTTCCTGGTGTCTTTCCTTCACAGTTTCTCCAAGACTCTCCCTAAGCTAACTCCAGGGATTAGGAGAAGCAAAGTGCTCTCTCTTGGCCTGGGTTGCTTGGATCTCCAGTGGAAAGGTAAGTCACAGAGGGAAACTCTCTGCCTCTCTCACATACTGGGGCTCTACTCACTTTTATCAACTGGATGCCATCACAGGGCTGTTTAAAACTGTCACAGCAATTTTGGCAGACTATATTATGTTTGTTTTTTATGTAATAATAAAAAAGAAATTACTACTTGTATTTTGTGTGTTTGCTTTAACTTTTTATAAATTTATTTTTTGGAGGTTTTTCTGTGTCTCTATTTCCTTCAGTTATGCTCTGATCTTAGTTATTTCTTGCCTTCTGCTAGCTTTTGAATGTGTTTGCTCTTGCTTCTCTAGTTCTTTTAATTGTGATGTTAGGGTGTCAGTTTTAGATCTTTCCTGCTTTCTCTTGTGGGCATGTAGTGCTATAAATTTCCCTCTACACACTGCTTTGAATGTGTCCCAAAGATTCTGGTATGTTGTGTCTTTGTTCTTGTTGGTTTCAAAGAACATCTTTATTTCTGCCTTCATTTCGTTATGTATCCAGTAGTCATTCAGGAGCAGGTTGTTCAGTTTCCATGATGAACATATTGGTACACGGTAGATCGAGTGGTGGGAAAAATCTTGATCCTTTGCCACAGATAGTTTAAAAAGTATAGCCAGCCTGGCTAGTCTGACTAGAACTTCTTGGCCTGAAAATAATAGCCTGAGCCAAAGACATGTTGAAAGAAATGTTTTCAATGGTGCAGCTAAAATTTGGAGGAGTATGTGTTAGTATTTGGGGAAATAAGTGTTCTGCTATCCATGGTACTGAACAATCATTTCTCACTAAGTCCTGGTTATTTCATCTAACCTTGGAATACTGGTTACTATGGACCAACATTTCTCAGAAATTCTCAATCAAGAGAAAGAAGAACCAATGGTGATATATATTTGAGAAATATGAGGAAAAGAGAAAAACTGATACAGGTAAAGAGGAATTATAGAGAGAGATTGCCAAAAAGAAAAAAAAAAAGGTGCTTTGCTAATTTATTTACTAAGATAATTTAGCCAACCTTAGCCCAAATGCCAAAAGAACAACAGATTTATATTCAATACAGTGCAAAGCAGCATCACTGTTGACATTAATAAATAAGTTATTTTTGAAAGAATGACAGATGAGATTGTCAAGCAGAGATTTTATGACTGATATCATGTCAGTTCAGTTACACAAAAATTTTTATACTTTTCCTTTGCTTTAGTTTTCAATACATATGAAAATTGTGTTTTGTGAAGCTATGCCAAATAGTATAAAATCATGACTTACGGGTCATCATTAAATTAATAATTTCACATACTTTTGAAAGATCTGTCATATTTTTGATAGCTACAATCACTCTTATCCTATTATAGTTGGGAAAGTCTATTACCCTATACCAGCCTCTTGCCCACACTTTATGAATATGAGAGATGCTTCATACATGATAGTGACTGAATAGGTTTGTCAGATCTTCTCTGCTAAGTTAGGGAAAAACAGGGGGCACTGGTGTCTTTAAAAATTATACCAATAAACCACCTTGAGAGGAGAAGGGTAGGAGTTAGGACTACGCCCTGCAGCAGAGATGCTAATGCTTCTTTGCAAAAGCACCTATTATTCTGAAATTGTCTGACTGTATCTGTGATTCTTGCAACCAAAAGGGCAAAATTATTATGGATATAGTATAATGTATTTAATCAAACTCCTATTATTGCATATTTAGGTTGTTCCACATTTTCTTTGTGATAATCAGTGATTCATTGAACATCCCTATAGCTAAATCTTTGCACACATTCAACAGCTCTTTTAAATTTCAAAGCACTTCACAGACATTCACTTTATTGAAATTTTAGTAGTTTTTGAGAAACATCAACCAAATCTGGCCAGCTTGTTGAAAAGCCTACCATAAATTAAATGATGTTTAAGTGGGTCTGTGTTTTATTTAACATAATAACACCTACATACATTGGAAAAAAATTCCCATGCATTTATGTGAATAACACTTTTGATGTCATCTGTGAAAAATGTTTAATGGCCAAGTGGATTTGTAAACTCCTGCTGAAAGCAATTTTCCCCTTTTCCAGGAAATACTGATCTTTACTACTTTACCATTCACCCTGGTAGAAAATAAAGAACTTACTTGTCCTTAGTCTTTACCTTTACTTATATGAGAAACATGCCACCCAAATGAGTTTTAGTATACTCTGTGGCTTGTGTATGAAAACCAAAGTGTTGAATAGAAACCTAAAAGTATTTTGAAATTTGATATGAAATTGAAAATTAGTGCATTTGAACTTAAGATATTACAGCTGAGTTTATGTTTGCTTTCAACTAAAAAGGCAAGTTTAAACATTGTTAAAAGTGTTATTCAGTAGTGCTAATATTTGGTAGAATTTATTTCTAGAAATATGGGATATAACTCTGCAAAGGGCATTTTACTGGACTACTCATTTTCAAGGGAACAACCTCTGTGTGTACTGAATAAAAAGAACCCAAGATATGCATATTAACAGGGAATTCAGTGCTGCATTGTGACCAAGAGACCACATATTCAGTGAAAGGACAGAAAATTTTGGAGGATTTTCAAACTTAAGGCACAGACCAACATTCTGTTTCAAAAACAAATGAACAAACAAAAACAAGCTGCTAACTACCAACGGCATTTTTCACAGAACTAGAAAAAAACTATTTTAAAATTCATATAGAATAAAAAAAGAGTCTGAATAGCCAAGGCAATCCTAAGCAAAAAGAACAAAGCTGGAGGCATCACGCTACCCAATTTCAAACTATACTGCAGGCTACAATAACCAAAGCAGCATGGTATTGGTACAAAAACAGATATGTAAACCAAAGGAACAGAATAGAGAGCCCAGAAATAACATCACACACCTACATCCATCTGATCTTCAACAAAGCTGACAAAAACAAGCAATGAGGAAAAGACTCCCTATTCAATAAATGGTGTTGGAATAACTGGCTAGCCATATGCAGAAGATTGAAACTGGACCCTTTCCTTCACTGTGTACAAAAATCAACTCAAGATGGATTAAAGACTTAAATGTAAAGCCTAAAACTGGCTGGGCATGGTGGCTGTCGCCTGTAATCCCAGCACTTTGGGAGGCCAAGGCGGGCGGATCATGAGGTCAGGAGATCAAGACCATCCTGGCTAACACGGTGAAACCCTGTCTCTACTAAAAAAATACAAATACAAAAAGTTAGCCGAGCATGGTGGCACACACTTGTAGTTCCAGCTACTCAGGAGGCTGAGGCAGGAGAATTGTTTGAACCCAGGAGGCAGAGGTTGCAGTGAGCTGAGATCGGCACCACTGCACTCCAGCCTGGGCGACAGAGTGAGACTCCACCTCAGAAAAAAAAAAAAAAAAAAAGCCCCAAACTGTAAAAACCCTGAAAGACAACCTAGGCAGTACCATCCTGGATATTGGAATAGGCAAAGATTTCATGGTGAAGACATCAAAAATAATTGTGACAAAAGCAAAAATTAACAATTGGGATCTAATTAAACTAAAGAGTGTCTGCACAGCAAAAACAATAACAACAACAACAACAACAAAAACAAACAAATGAAAACTATCAACAGAGTAAACTGACAACCTACAGAATGGGAGGAAAATTTTGCAAACTGTGTATCTGACAAAGATCTAATATCCAGCACCTATAAGGAACTTAAATTTACAAGCAAAAAATAAACAACCACATTAAAAACTGGGCAAAGAACATGAGCAAACACTTTTCTATAGAAGACATGCATTAGGCCAACAAGCATATGAAAAAAGCTCAGCATCACTGATTATTAGAGAAATGCAAATCAAAACCACAATGAGATGCCGTCTCACACCAGTCAGAAGGCTATGATTCAAAAGTCACAAAATAACAGATACTGGCAAGGTTGCGGAGAAAAGGGAATACTTATACATTGATGGTGGGGGTGTAAATTAATTCAATCATTGTGGAAGACACTGTGGCAATTCCTAAAACAGCTGAAAATAGAACTACCACTTGACTCCACAATCCCATTACTGGGTATATACCCAAAGGAATATAAATTGTTCTATCATGAAGACACATGCACATATATATTCATTGCAGCACTATTGACAGTAGCAAAGACATACAATCAACCTAAATGCCCATCAGCAGTAGACTGGATAAAGAAAATGCGTTATATATACATCATAGAATACTATGCAGCAGTAAAAAATAATGCAATCATGTCCTTTGCAGGGACATGCATGGAGCTGGAGGCCATTATCCTTAGCAAACTATTGCAGGAATGGAAAACCAAATACTGCATGTTCTCACTTACAAGTGGGGGCTAAATTATGAGAACACATGGACACATAGAGGGGAACAATGGACACTGGGCCCTACATCAGGGTGGTGGGTGAGAGGAGGAAGAGGATCAGGAAAAATAACAAATGGGTACTAGGATTATAATACCTGGATGATGAAATAATCTGTACAATAAACCCCCATGACATGAGTGTATTTATATAACCAACCTGCACACATACCCCTAAACTTAAATGCTAAAAAAGCAAAAACAAAAACAAAAAACAGCTGTTAAGCTCAGTCTCATAATGAGTATTAGTGTCCAAAAAAGGTTGATTGGCCATGGAATATTACTTAAGATTATTAACACCATGTTATAATATGCAGTATGAATATGGTATGAGACTAGACATGCTTATCTAGATTGGAAAAGCAGGTTCAAAAAAGAAATAATAAAATAAGAATCATAAACAGTTATCATCATAATCTATCGTTCTTTAATCTAGATTCCAAAATTTTGCAGTTTTTCTAATATTAATATTTTCCAAAGTAAAAGCCAAATGTAAGATAATCACTTTGAAGTTATCCAAATTTGTAGCAGTATAGAAAAATCATGAATTTCTTATGTTTTCATTTGCTTTGAAAATTGCATTCATAATTTGCTCTATCGAATAATAACAATTATTAGAATAATTGAAATTATAATGTTCTTTTAAAATAACAAGATCTGTCTTAGTTTGGCAATTTGGTTGCACACCTACTAAAATGTTTTAATTACAGAAGGAGATAATTGAATAGGGCTCCTTATGTGAAATTTTTGAAAAGTTGAAGTGAGAAAAAGATCAAATAATTCATATTTTGAAGGAAGATAAATAATTATATGGTATAGTTTTCCAAAAGGTATAATTTTTGAAGGCAAATTCTTCCCAAAGTGAGCAAAATAACTAGTTAATTGCTCCTGAGATGAAGAGGGATGACCCTCACTGTTCTCCTCTCTCAAACCTACGTCCATTCTTTCAGGGACTAAAGGCAAAGTTAGGGTGGGACACATGTTTGATTTTTAGAATCTAACATGGTGGTGTCCAGGCAAATGTCCCTGATGGAAATATCCACTTTTTTGGTTGAAGACCAACTGATTGTTCCTGGGACAAGCCCCTATGCTACCCTTGCTTTAGGACAACAAATGGTAACCATTCTGTCCCCTGAGTGACTAGAAGTTCAAAAATTGATTACACATTTTTTTATTGAGGTCAATATCAAAATATTGAATACAGTTTTTAAGCAATAATTACTATTTCCATATATTCTATAAAAATTCTGTCTTTAACAAAGTCAAGTCTTCTTTAGCATTATTTCTGAATTCAGCTTCAGAGTGCTCCAAATATTTTAATTCATTCATTCATTCATTTACTTTTAATTGACAAAATTGTATATATTTATACCGTACAACATAATTTTTTGATATATGTGTATATTGTGGAATGGTTAAATCAAGCTAATTAACATTGCATTACCTCACACACTTTTTGTGTGTGTGGTGGGAACACTTAGGATCTACTCTTAGAAATTTTTCAAGTGTATAATATATTGTTACTAAGCATCCATGATGTACAATAGATCTCTTGAACTTATTCCTCCTGCCAAACTGAAATTTTGTATTCTTTGACGGACATCTCCCCAAGTGGTTCAAATATTGATGCATAACAAAGATACACAGACACAGCCACCACCATCATGACTACCACCATCTTTAAGAGATACTTGTCACATCTTATCTTTGCAGTAACATTTCAGAACCCTTCTGTACTCTCAATTTTTTCTTTCAGCCCTCCTCTTCCTTGACTTAAGGAAGGAAGTCAAGTCAAGTCAAGGAGGAATTTGCCTGTTTAGTGCTTTAGAATCCCTCGGCTTCTATCATAGTACAAACTCCCAACAGATCCCTACCTTCTCACCCACCCTCCTCAGTCTCCATTGCTGCCTTCTGCCACCCTTCTTCTGCCTGCCTTTTAGATTCAAGTCCCAGATTCTTGTTTTTTCTCATCTCTCTGCCTGCTATCTCTGTAGGGACTCCTCTCTGAAACTGTGATTTAGTTACCAACTACCTATGTGCAAAAACCTCTCAAATCTGTATCTCTAGGCTTGCTATTTTCTCGGTGTTCCAGATTTGCATGTTTAACTTCCTATCTGAAATGCCTACTTGAACGTCAGAAAGGCACCGCAAACTCAAGGCTCTTAAATCAAACCAAAAATCAACATCTTTCCTCTAATTGGTAGTTGATATTTCTCTGTTTCAGAAAATAAATGGTCCACCACCCATCCATTTGTACAATCTGGAAATGTGGGAATCACCTTCAACTCCTCTCTTACCTTCACTCTTTCGTATCTAAATTATCATCAGGTTCTATTGTTTTTAATCTCTTGAATATCTCTTGATTCTGTCCACATTGCTCTCTCTCCCACCTTGCCTGAACTCCTAGCATAGTCTCCTCTTACACTCATCCAGTTGTTTTCTACATTGCATTCAGAACATTTTTCAATGTATAAAACAGGTCATGTTGCTCTCTGCCTCTAACCCTTTAATGACACAAATAACTGTATGTGGCCTGCATTTGATTCTACATTATTTTAACCTTGAGAACCTTTCTAGTCTCATTTTCTCCTGTTTTCCTCCTTGTTTGCTGTACTCCAGCCATAAAGAACTTTCAGTTTCTTAACTGGATTATTATTCTTTTCCCTGTGACATTTGTGCATATGCTGCCTTCTTTGATATTCCTACTCTAGCCTCTCCTTTGCATATTCCCATTCATCCTGTGGATTTGAACACATGTATCATGCCCTCAGGAAAGCCTTCTTAGATCATCATCATCCTGCCCTGGCTTGGCAAAGTCCTTCCGTGACACATTCTCAGAACATGTGATAATTTCCCTCTTAACAGTCTCTTAGCTTTTATTAATATTCAAATATGTTTCCTTATGTTTTGAATCCCCACTTTTCCCATTAGCCTAAAACTCCATTAGCACAGAGACCAAGTGTGTTGTTCTCAACATTTCTATCTCAAGCCCCAGCACAGTGCTTCGTGCATGGTAAGCACTCACGGATGTCTTTGGAATGGATGAGCTTCAAGAGATTCTACAAACACTGCCCTGTTCAAACGGTGTGGCAAATACTCTTCATTGTTTTCTTCGTTGTCTTCAATATCCAATTTCTACAATAATTATGATTTTTAGTAGGTACAGGAATGCTGAGAAGTAATTAGCAGCTTTTGTATTTATTAGTTTTCCTTGTAGCTAGATATGGTTATGTGACCAGTTCCTAGACACTGGGATGCAGGAAGAAAGTAAAACTTTTAGAAAGTGTTCCTAGAGGAAAGGAGTGCACTTTTTTGGCAATCATCTTCTCCTTCCTGCTGGCTGGAATGTGAATGGAAATGCTGAAATTCCAGCATTTGTCTTAGACCACGGGATGACCCTGAACATGGAATTCCTGCATGGAGAGGCTGCAAGACAGAATGAACTCAAGTTCCTGACACCAAGGAGCACCATTCCAGGCTTGGATGACCGCTTACATTATGTAGGCAAGATATAAATTCTATCTTATTTGAAACAGTAATATTTTGTGTTTTCTGTCACTTTAAGTTAAACCTAAATCTAATCATAATTTTCCATCTTTAGATTTCTTGATTATAAAAAAATCCTTTTTTATTAAATAATTTTAACTTACAGAAAAGTTGCAAGCACAATACAAAGTACTTTGGGGTACTCTTATATATGATCCCCTTATAAGAAACTGAATTATGTCACAGTAAAGCTCTATACTTTCAATTTTGACCACTAGTCTTTCCTAATTTTAATATCAAAATAAGAACATGTATTCTCCTCCCACAAATGAAAAATAACACCATGCATGACCTCTATGCTTTGCCTTGCTTTTTGCAGACAATTGTGAACAGACAACGAGAGTGCTAAGAATCCTTATGTTATTTCAGGTATCAAACACCCTTGCAACCAAATTATTTGTCGTAATGGCTCTGAATGAAGTTCTGAAAACAGTGATGCTGTTGTCTTTGAATTTTACCTCATCCTTTGCCAAAGCACTTAAAAGTACCACCCAGATGAGCACTTGCTTTTGCAATCATGAGAGTGCCCCTGCTTTTCTGGTTCTTCCTGCTTGCATAACAAGAAAAGGAAAACCAGACCCACACATTTCTCTCTCCTAGTCAGGGAAGAAGCCTGCTGCAAAACCAGCCTTTCATAACAATTGTTAAAACCACTGTAGTTACCTACATTGATAAACCGATACTTCATTTATAAATATTAATAACATAAGAATGGAAATCAAGTTTCACCAGATATTTGAGGAAAATCAACAAATATGCTTATGTAAAAGGAGAAAGTTGATCAGTCTTAGAGGAAACCATGATAATGCTAAAACAGAAAAAAACTCAAAAGTCATAAAGCAAGAACAAATTGCTATGAAAAAGAAATAACCTAAGATCAAGAAAAAAAATTTTGAAATTAAAACCATGATAGCTAAACTTTAACATTTTAGTGAAGGTCTAATAATAAAATTATCAGACCTAATAAATTTATACATGTAAGGTTAAGATATTAAAAAGATTCTTAATTTAAAATTAAGAATATTATCACAAATTGTTTTATAAGTACATATCCATAATGAGACAATATAATTAAAATGTATAAACTTTGCAAAAGAAGAGATAAAATTATCAGTTTTCATAGATATGACTAAGAAAAATTCCCAAGAAAACTAATTAAAAAACCACTAGAATTAATAAAATAATTTAATATAGCAATTATATACAAGACAGACATGCAAACATTAATAGTTTTTCTATATATCAGCAAGATACAATTAGAAATTTTATTGGAATTTGCAATCTCATTAAAAGTAGAAATTTTTAATAAATTCATCAGGCATACATATTAAAATTAATGTGGGTGAAGATAAACTCCCAAAACATGAGGCATAAAAGACAAAAATATATACATTTAATAGAAAAGTTATGAGACATAGGGAATAGATGAAGAATTTCCAATATCTGTTTTTCCAGATAGAAAGAACAGGGAATAAAGAGAAAAAGGAATGGCCTAATTCTTTTTGTCTTATTCTAGCATGTGAGCATCTAAGAGCCTAAGACATACTACCAAATTATAAACAGCTTGTCCGGGAGTTAAATGTAAGACCACATCCAATATACACAATGGTTTTAAGAACCAGTTTTCTGACCTGCTACGCTGTGTCAAAGAAGTAATTGAAAAATATTGGTCTGATCTGAAAAAGGACTTTATTTTAAAATATCCCTTTGACTGCCAAACAGTAACAAAAATAATTAATAATGATAATAATATATTAACAGTCAATACCCCATTAGGATTATCAGATTGAGCAAATAAAAATGCATACAGCTGGGAAATAGTTTTTATTTGTTATTTATCTGAACTTTAATTTAACTGAGTGTCTGGTATTTTCTCTGGAAAACTTAACTCCAAATCTATACACATTTAGGTGAAATTTGGGTAAAATCTTTGAATTTCAAGAATGAAGATAATTTTTAAAACCAAGGAAGGTAGCACAATGGAATAACTCTCAGATTGGCCTCAGCCTTCCCTGAAACACAAGATGCTAGAAAGTTCTGAGACAAAAGATTGAGAACCTAAAGCAGCGAAAGTGTCATTTAAATGTGAGAATGGAATAACTAGTCTAGGAATAAAAATCAAACTACTGTGTAAGAACAATCTAACTGGTGAAATATACAAAGAATTTCAATTAAAACCAGGAACTAGAAAATTAAGAATATTATCACGAATAGTTTTCATTATAAGTACATATCCACAATGAGACAATATAATTAAAAAGTGTAAACATTGCAAAAGAAGAGATAAAGCTAACAATTTTCACGGATATGACTAAGAAAAATTCCAAGATAACTAATTGAAAAACTACTAGAATTAATAAGATAATTTAATATAGCAATTATATACATGAAAGACATGCAAACATTAATAGTTTTTCTGTATATCAGCAGGATCCAATTAAAAATTTTAATGGAATTTGAAATCTCATTAAAAGTGGAAAACAATGATAAAATACTTAGAAATAAGCTTACCAAACATTGTGTAAGACTTAAGAAAAAAACTAAAAATGTAGTGAAATACAAGAAAGACCTTAATAAATGAAAAGACACCCTATATTCTAGTATGAAAAAGTTAATTATTTTGACAATATCAGTTTTCTTCAAATTAATTTTATAAGTATATTGCATCCCAAGTCAATATTTAATCTACTCCACCAAAACAAACCAACTTTATAAAATGTAAGACACTAATTGTATATATTTATTTGGAGGAATTTATAAATAAATGAGAACAGTGACAAGTATATTTTAAAAAGGGAACACTTAAACATCAATTTCAATGCTAAAAAGTAACAGTAATTAGAGCAATGTATGGTATTAGTGAAGGAATGAACAAATTGAACAGTGAAATATAATAAAAAAGTTACAAAAAATGCATGAATCTATTTTGCAATAATTTATCATTTCAAATAAATGAGAGAAACAGTGGTTACTGCAATAAATAATGTAACATTTGAGAAGGTTTCTAACTCAAATCATGCACAAGAATACATTGCAGATTGATTAAAGTTCTAAACCCAAAAGTCACAGAAGTATAAAATTATAAGAATGTCTAGGAGGTTATTTTATAATCTGAGCTGGGCAAGGCCTTGTTTAATAAGATATAAAATACAGGTATCATAAAGGAACAGAAGACAAATTTGAAAGAAAGCAGCTTAGTGGAGGCTCAAAGCAGGGCTTTGTAGCATTCCCTGGCCTCACACCTACCACAGTAAGGCCTTGGGAAGTTATGTGACCTTCAAGATGTAGCTCAGTTTTCTTACCTGTAACATAGGCATGTTAATACCTTCCCCATAGGATTGTTATGAAGATTAAATGTGTTAACATTTGTAAAAAAACATTAGAATAAAACTTGGTACATAATAAGTATTTGTTAGCTAAACTTATAAAATAAACCTTGTGTATGGGGTAAAATCATAGACAAAATAACAAAACTAGCAAAGTACCGTGGGAGTATGAGCACAACAAAAATGACAAAGGATGACTACTCATGTTTGTAAAGAGCTTCTACAAGTCAAAATGCAAACAACAACAAATATGTGAAAGGTGTAAACAGGTAAATCAAAGATCACTGAAATCCAAGAGGCAGTCTGACTGTAGTCTCTGACCATCGGGAAAACACAAATTTAAATAGCGGTGAAATAACTGCAGCTTTAAGAAGAAAGCACTTGATGCCTGAGGAAGCCATCTCTTTCTCCCAGATGAGATGGGAGCCATCCTCACAATCTGACTTCACGACCTGCACAGTTGGGTCCAACTAACTTTCACCATTTTCACTTGGGCCACGTTGACCTGTCAATCAGTCCTTAAACACTCTACATACTTGCTGAAAATCAACTGATGTCTCCTCTGCTTGAGATGGCCTGCTCCCCTTTCTTCATCTGGGAATATTCTCTTGCATTTTTAAGACTCAGCTCAGATGTTTTTCTTCTGGGATACCTTCATAACCTTATCAGAAGAGATAAGGTGACCCTCTTTCATGCACCCATTATTTGTTTGTGTATACATCAGCTGTGGAACTCACCATCTCCTGATTCGTTTAATCATTCTATGTGCATGTCTCCCAAAACATTGTAAGCTCCTAAACGATCCAGGCCATCACTAGTTTATTTCTCTAGGACTGGCACATAGCAGAGACTTAATAAATCTTTGTAAATAAAGAGTGAATATTTATTTAAAAATTCTTCCTGTTTTATTTTCATGGATAACTACAAATTGATTCCATGGTAGTTAATAGATCCATTCCTACCTAAAATATGATCAACATAACATTTTCAAATATTAAAGGAAAATGGAATACCAATCAAATGCTGTTTAAAAATTTCCATCTTTTTACTCCAGTGGAAAAGCCTCTTCAAAAAACTTGTCAAATATGTGAATTTTATGTCCATAAATATATAATTTAAAATAGAATACACTCTATGTAAATAAATAAGAATAGATTTCACTGAAAAGATAATACTTATGCTACACTTCATATTCTTGCAACATTTATTTGAGAATATTCAGTTATAACTTAAAATGCCAGAAGATGCTGATAATTGGAAATGCTGTCCAGCAAAGTCAGGGATGCTTCTCCTTGCAGGCTGCTTGTCCTATTAGCCTGACATATTTTAAAAGGCTAACGAATTTTATTTTGATGACCAGACTCTCCTCTAACTTGTGCCCTTAAATTCTTGGCTGGAGAAACAATGAAAGTTAAAGGACAGGATGGAGCTACAATAAGTTCTCCCCATTGCATCATCTCTCATCATCAGTATTCATGGCATGGACTCTGAGTCATCTAAGTGGAGTAGGGAAGTAATTAGGATATTGACAGGCAAAAGCGATGGCTAGGAATGAACCTGTGATTATCCTATTACTTGTGTTTCTCAGCATCATGTTGAAAGAAAAGAAGGAAGTCTAAAACCAAACCTGAAATGTCATTGCACAAATGTAAAAACAAAAAAATTTCTAGGTTCTCCAAATTATGTTATGGATGTGAATAAATCAAAATGTTGGCATTCATCTTAAAGCTTAAGTAATTAGTAACATTGGGTTTATATAAAGAATGGTGACTAATATCTGATTATCACAAAATATGTAAGTGCATAGAACTTTCTAGCTTTTTTTTTTCAAACTGGTCTAATATTGTTTTAACACTGTAACCCACCTCAATTTACACTTCTATGAGAAATAAACTATAATTAAATATGGAAAATATTTATGATTACAAACCATCTTATATTTTACCAGTTTATTTCTTCCATCTTAACACTTTGTAAAACATACATTTAAAAGATAATTAATGGTCTAATTTCACAAGATCGGTAAATTGTAAAAACTCCAAGAAACCTCAGAGAGTCTTTCCCCAGCCATCTTGTTTTATAGAAGAGGAATCTGAAGACCAGGAAGGGCAAGGAATTTATGGGAGGTTTGCAGCAATTAGTGAGAAGTAGGTCAGGGCTCAGTGCTCCTCTCTTGCATCCTGGGGGACTTTCCACCAGTTGGCCCTGACTTCTTCCCAGTTTTTGCTTCAATTTCTCTAAAGTGCTTCTCTCCTGGAATGTAAAATATTTTCTCTTTCTCACTTTCTCCTCAAAAAGTTAAACAAACACATAAATTCCCTTTGCATATCAACATGATCATAACTTTTTAAAATTTAGGGAGAGAGGATGTACAATGGAATACATACATAGAAATTGATAGATGTGACAATCTCATTATTATCTGGAGGAGAAATGGTCTTTGGTTTATGTGACATGGGTCTCACATCTTTAATCCATTTCTTCTGCTAAAGTACTCAGTGCTTTGTGCTTCCTTTGATAAATCACTAAATATTTACCCTTTTCAAAATATTTAATATCTTATTGCCCAGCTTCTTTATTATAGCAAACATTTCCTAAATATGCAAAGGACATTGGAATTAGCCACTAATAAGATGAGCCTGAAAACCTGGGCTCACGTTTCTACATGGTCGCTTTGTAGCATGTGGTTTATACAAGTCCCCTATCTATCTAAACCCTAATTTCCTCTGTGAAAAATGAGAACCCTACTATCTGGAGGAATAGAAAAAATGTATTTTGTCCGAACTTTATCCCGTGGCCTTTTCTAACATCAAAACTGCCAAATAATTGGCAGTTATTGGGTTCTACCTACTATATAAAACATTAGGCCCAAAGTTGGCACTCAATTATGGAGAATTTTTATAACTCTTTTTCCAAGTTTTTGTGATTTTATTAATCATAAAGTCATTTTTGTACCAAGCCATCATTTTAATATTTATGTAGTGGTTACCATGTGTAAGCTCTTACAATTGCCTCAAATGCCCTGAAACAATTAGTAAAAACAAACAAACAAAAAACAAGAAAACCTGGTTAAAACCCTTTCGTACAATTATGATGTCTTCTTTCCCTTTGCAATCACATTTGGCAGAGGTAAGAATGAATTACAGTCAAAAAATTGTAAATCTTAAATCCTCAGTTTAGCAAAATCCAATCCTACTCCCTGGGGCAAGTTATTTTGGAATTGCTGCAAAGTTTCATTTAGCAATTCCATGGCAGAGGAAGTATCTTCAATGAAATCATTCTTTTTTTTTTCTTTAAATGGGCGAGCTTCATATTTGTTTTATTTCATTGTTCTCTTATAACTAGATAATAAATAAAATTTTAAAAATTCTTTTCATGTATCAGGTATTGTTCTAAGCATGTCATGCCTATGAGATAGGTGCTAATCCTGTCACACTTTAAAAATGAAGAACTGAAGCAGAGAAAGCAAGTAACTTGCCCAAGATCACACAGCTAGTTAAAGCCACTCCAGAATTTAACAATATGATGTTTAAACTTTGCAAACTCTTCTGCTTCACACTAGGTGTCACAGGGCTTTAAAAATAAGGTTCCTTTAATAATGGTAAATGATATCATAAATTATTGGAAATGAGAAATAGACACAGACTCCAAAATAAACAATCTGATACCATTGTGATACAGAATAATACACTCTTTTATTTTTGCTTTCTTCTTCTCTACCTGACCAGTCAATGAAGTAAAAACCTGCTGGCAAATTAAACTTGGCTATGCATAGGTTTCTGAGACACCTCTCTAGGATCACAGCATTTGGTACTTACTGCTTATTCAGGCACTAGTTGTACTATGCCTATTCTAAGGTCAACATTTGTTTAATGTCTTATTTTGTTATGTGAGCCCTTCCTATTCCCTCTCTCCTTAACTCTCTCCCTTCTCTCTTTTTTACTTCCCTCTCTCTCTTTAAAAAGTACATTTATTGCACTACTACCGTGTTCTAGCCAGTGAATTACAGCTTAAATGAATTAAATATCACAACCACTGGTTTCAAGGATTTACAGCCCAGAAGGAAAGATAGGAAAATAAGTAAGTTAAATGAAATATCCTATTTAGACGTATTTGCAAGATAGGGATGTAAAAGGAACTGTGGTTCTATGTAGAAAGTCATCATTGTTTAGAGAAGCATTTAAAGGGAAACTGATGATAATGTCTGGAATTTGCTTTAAAATACTACATTAATGAAAAATAGACCAAAGAGAAATAGATAAATAAACAATAATGGCAAAATTTGATAATTGCTAAAGCTGGGTGTTCAGTATATGCATACCACTGTCTCTAATTTTGCATATATTTGAAATTTTTTATTAAAGTGTTTAAAAAGTACATCATCAGCAGCAGCACAGTTAACATTTATTGCATACTTAGTATGTGGTAGACACTAAGTGCTTTTTC
The DNA here is from genome assembly GCF_000001405.40 of Homo sapiens. NCBI lineage: Eukaryota > Metazoa > Chordata > Mammalia > Primates > Hominidae > Homo > Homo sapiens. The sequence goes on along the minus strand of NC_000012.12, from coordinate 15,420,879 downwards.
TGTGCTAACTCATTCAACTCTTACAAACGCCCCGTGAGGTAGAAACTATTATTGTACCCATTTTGCAGGTAAGAAAACTGACCCAGAAGGGAGGGCCCATTAACTTGACAAATTCACAGAACAATAAGTACTGAAAGATAGGCAGTATGATGTCAAGTTTTACTCATTTAGCCACCATGTTATATTGTCTCTCCAGTGTAGTTATAATAACATGTGATATAATGATAGTTATTTACTACTGTCAGACATGGTGCTAAATAATTTACATATAGTATTTCGTCTAATCACTGCAAAAATAAGAGGACTTAAGCTTAAGGGGCCATTCAATGGTGGCATGAGTTGGTCAGGAAATGTGGTAAGACGGGAAGGAACAGGTGCCTGAGTTGAGTTTCCACAATTGGAATGGCTGTGTTTCAGGGTGAAAAAGGTGTGGTCTCATTCCAGGCAGTGGGAGAATCTTGGTAAAATGCACGCAGGTGAGATGCATTCAGACACTGGCGGTAGCAATGGTGGAGGATTAGGTATGAAGTGGCTGGCATGAGAGTGGAACCAGATTGAATAAGCAGGCAGAACCTGGATTTGGAAGTTCTCATGACATGCTAAGGAATTAGGGCTCTGCCCCATAAGTTATGAAAGAGGCAGTAGCAGACTTAAATTTTAAAAAGGCACCCAGGGAATCCTGAAGAGTACAATTCAGAGGGGACACTCTTTTTTTTTTTTTTTTTTTTTTTCTGAGTCGGAGTCTCGCTCTTTCGCCCAGGCTAGAGTGCAGTGGTGCGATCTCCGCTCACTGCAAGCTCCGCCTCCCGGTTTCACACCGTTCTCCTGCCTCAGCCTCCCGAGTAGCTGGGACTATGGGCGCCCGCCACCGCGCCCAGCTAATTTTTTGTATTTTTAGTAGAGACGGGGTTTCACCGTGTCAGCCACGATTGTCTCGATCTCCTGACCTCGTGATCCACCCACCTCAGCCTCCCAAAGTGCTGGGATTACAGGCGTGAGCCACTGCACCCGGCCCAGAGGGGACACTCTTATATGCAACTAATTCAATTGGTTTGTTGAATGGATGTTTTGAATGTACATCTAGTAATCTCGACAAATTCTGTCTAATGTTGGATTACCTCTATTTTCTCTGGGAAAAAAAAAACACCAAAGAACTAGCTTTGACGTATTCTTCTGCTGTATCTCGTGTACACAGTGCCTACTGAAATGTTATGCTCTCGAAGGGCATCAACAAGTAAATGCGGTGCATAAATTAATTTTCTTGCTGTAGTCTGTTTATTAATTAGAAGAAAAGTTCCCTGTAGGTCAGACTTGGAGGACATCATTATCTTGTGGCCTGGATGGCTTGAAATTCACCTGAACTGTTAGAAAACATGATTTTGTTTTAACTTCAGTTAAGTATTTAGCTATACTTCTTATGCGTAATGAAATTTTTTTCCCAAGAACCTTGGAAAAGAAGGGAAGCAATCTGAATTGCTTCATCTTCTGGCTTGCACTCTTTTCTGACAGTTTATAGATGTTATTTCTAATGGGCAGCTTTTCTGTTACACTGACCTTTCTCCAAAACTCCTGAGTCTGAAAAATTAGATCACATCAATTAGCCCCCCTCCCCCGCCCCCAAAATGCTCCTATCGTTACTGGAGCATCTTAAAAAGGATAAATGGACTTGTCGGCACAAATGCAGGAAAAGGTGGCTTATTTCAATAAGCGCATGAATATCTGCTAAAATTTGTAGCTGATTTGTGCCTATTCACTGTATGCTTCGAGTTCACCTTTGTTCTTTCCAAATCGCACCTATTTTTATCTTCTGTGTACTGTAACTTGAAAGACTGATCTAGCATTTAATATGCGTTAGTAATGCTCTAAATTTTACATTGTAGAAAATGTGTCATCTGTATGTGAAATCTTACTCTTGAAGCTTTAAAAAAGTGTCACAATTTTTCTACTTTTATTTAAATGTTTAATTTTTATGTGTGTAGAGGAAACAGGCAAGGAAGGACTTTAGTATTGCTTTTGTTATGAATATCATTTAATAAAAGAGGCAAGTTTGGAAGCACATTAGGCTTAGGGGAAAAAAAAGATGTTAAAGTAAGAATCTGGTCCATCCATAATTCTTAACACTTCCTCCCAGTACTCCATTGCCTCAGCCTTTGGCTGACGTATGGCACACTCATTCCTTGAAATGCCATATGTATTCCTACCTCCTACATTCTGTGCATTCCACAAAATTCCATGTTCTCCTTGCCAGGAATCCCCTTTTCTCTATGATGCTGATGTGGGTCCCATTTTTCCTTCAAATTCTAGATTAATGTTCATTTTCCTCATAAAACCTTCCTTGTCTTTTCTAGTTCTTGTGTGATTGTTCTCTTCTGCTGAAGCCTCTTTAGGTAAAATCAACAGTATCTATACCTCAGGAGCTTTAGAAATCCAAGCCAGAAGAAACAACTACAACAACAGGTAAACAATGAGAGTTGAGCTAGGCACTTCATTCACTCAACAGACACTGAAGGCCATCTCTGTGCCAGGTACTGGGAATCTAGCTGTGAACCCCAGAGAAATTATGGAGTTAACAAAGCAGTTAATCTATAGCCATAATTAATTTGTGCTCTAATATGTAGGGCCTGTTGTGATTAACCACATTCACACTGCAGCAAGTAGAGCAGCCTTCTGCATTTAATCACTTTGCCTGTGCTATTCAAAGTTCTTGTCCACAAGGAGGTAACAAGCTATGCTTGAGTAGAAATCAACATGCTACTTCCTTCATTGAAAAAGTTTTACTAAGAAAAAAATAGCAGCTGAAATTAAGAGTGTGCCTAGTGATGTAGGTGATTTACATTTTGGCACAAGCTTCTTATGTCATCATGCATATTCTACCAAAGTTGCTATATTATGACAGACAAGTAACAAACAATTTGCAGATGGGTAGCCAGTTTTCTGACTTCACTTAGTATTACATTGCTTTAGGCCACACTCCCAGCACTGTTGAGAGATATCATCTGTAAAGACTCAGATGACAAAGGCTCTAATTTGAGTGCATGCATAAAGGAAGACTAAATCCTAGTATTAAAGGCCCTGGCGAATCTCAGTTCAGGGTAGACACAAAGGAAAATTTAGGACAGACCAACACTGAGATCATTCCTTTAGTCACACTGGTTAAGCCGTGCCGTCAGTTCTTTTCTAAGAAGGAACTGGAGTGTGATCAATACTTAATGCGTACTCATTAGAGTAGCTTCTTAAACATAATGCGTGTACTGATTTTCTTGGGGACCTTGTTAAAAATGCAGATTCTGATTTAGTAAGTCTGGGGTGGGCCCCAGTTTCTACATTTCTAGTAAGCTTCTAGGTGATTTCAATGCTGATGGTCGAGGAGTCACACTGAGAAGCAAGGTTTTGTTAAATTTGATTCAATCATTCTCAATATACTCTTTTGCTATTTTCATAAAGACATGAATTAAAGACCATCTATCCAATTATTGTTTTCAAGCTGTTTGTGTTCAGAGTTATTAAAAGTTCACAAGTAGTATGTGTGGTATTCACTTTTATTTGTCTTGATACCTTATACAGACGGTTCCTGACTTACAATGGTTCTACTTATGCTTTTGTGACTTTATGATGGGCTTATCAGGGTATTAAATGTATTTTTTGACTTATGATGGGTTTATCAGGCTGTATGTCCATTATAAGCTGAGTAGCGTCTGTATTTGCACAGGTAGTATTGTTTTTTAACCATGTGCCGGGCACCTTTGCATGTAGTTGGACTGTGTAGGAGTAAAGGAGAGGATCATTCCTAGGAAGTTGTTTAGATAGTTCCACGAATCATGGGAGGGTAGAATCCTCTCAGGAAGGCACAAATAATGTCATGTGAATAATACTAAGATAATCTATCAATTACATCTAATCAATATGATTGTGTATAGACCGAACCTTAATGTAAAACTTATATCCAGGCACTTTTCCACTTCTCCCCATACAGTATATTGATTTTCTATTATTACTATTTGTCTCTGGCCAACCACTGACACAAAGGCATATTCATAAGGGTAATGAAGGGAAGGCCTGGGATCCCAAGTGTAGTTGTTTATAGCTTAGAGAAAAAAAACTGCACAACTTCACTTAGAGAAAGAGAGGAGCATGTTGGTGGGGAAAAAAAAAAAAAAAGAAGGAAGTGGCAAAACCACTGATAGGATACAAGAAACTGCTCAGTTCTTAACAGAGGGCTGTCAGTAAAGACCCTGGGAAACTGAATTAAGAGAGAGGAACCGGCTGGGCGCGGTGGCTCATGCCTGTAATCCCAGCACTTTGGGAGGCCGAGGCAGGCAGATCATGAGGTCAGGAGATCGAGACCATCCTGGCTAACATGGTGAAACCCCGTCTCTACTAAAAATATAAAAAATTAGCCAGGCATGGTGGTGGGCGCCTGTAGTCCCAGCTACTCGGGAGGCTGAGGCAGGAGAATGGTGTGAACCCAGGAGTCAGACCTTGCAGTGAGCCGAGATTGTGCCACTGCACTCCAGCCTGGGCGACAGAGCGAGACTCTGTCTCAAAAAAAAAAAAGAAAGAGAGAGAGAGAGAGAAAGAGGAACCAAGATTTAGTTTGACCATTAATCATGACATGTGGGAAACATTAGGCTTGAAACTCATGATTCATTCGTTCATTCAACACGACAAGGGCATAGTATTGGGAAAGGTTCCAAAGTCTTAAATCTGTGCCTTTCAGTACTGCTCAACAAAATTTATTTAATGAATATGAGCTAGACACTCTCCTAGGTGCAGAAGAGGCAAGAATGAATAAGAAATAGTTCCTGGCCTCAAGTGGTGCAGACAGACAAATAAATTAGAGATTAAAATATAAGTGCTATTTGTCCCATTCTAAGTTATCTAACCCCTGAATTTAAATGAGAGACTTTATTGGAATTCTGATTTTAAGAAAGTCCTTTATCTTGTTAGGCAAACAAGGTTTATCCTTGCGATTGTTACCTGTTGATTATAATTTTGGCATTCTGTAGCAAAAAGGACATGTTTGCTCTCTTCTTCCTGACATCCTTTTAATAGTTCAGGCTGGTTGTCATTACTTAGATACTTCAAACTAAACACTTCTCGTTTTTCAAAGAATGATAAAAAGACATGCAGCTAATTTTTACCAGGCTATTTTACTTATACAATCAATGGAGTGTGTAATAAATTCATTTCACATAGGCCGGGCACAGTGGCTCACGCCTGTAATCCCAGCACTTTGGGAGGCCAGGGTGGGCGGATCACAAGGTCGGGAGATCGAGACCATCCTGGCTAACATGAGTGAAACCCCGTCTCTACTAAAAATACAAAAAATTAGCCGGGTGTGGTGGCAGGTGCCTGTAGTCCCAGCTACTCGGGAGGCTGAGGCAGGAGAATGGCGTGAACCTGGGAGGCGGAGCTTGCAGTGAGCCAAGACTGCACCACTGCACTCCAGCCTGGGCGACAGAGCGAGACTCCATCTCAAAAAAAAAAAAAAAATTCATTTCACCTAACAAATCCCTGATTTATGTAAGGAAAAGTGGAGAGAGGAACAATTTGAAATAGCGAATATTATTTACCTTTTCTTATGTGAGCTGCTGATAAGCTGATTAGCTGAGACATAGCAAAGAGGCTGTTTAGGGCTTCTTTTTTTGGGGGGGAGGTAGCTGGACGGGCCAGGAAAAAAGAGAATTTAGGTTATTTATGGATTTTCCAAAATCTTTTGGTGTTCTCATGTGACGCGTGAATTGGCAAGCCATCTCTGTCCCATCTCTCAGTGTTCTTCCTTAGCCCCTCCACCTTTGCTATGCCAGCTCTTTCCCATTTCCCTGGTTAGAACGTCCCATGCATGAAATACTTTCCACATCAATTGGTGGAGTTCATTTTTGAGCTTATTCTTGAAGAGGTTCATAGACGGTATTGTTCTCACATTCTCCATGGTGTCATAGGTTTAAACAACCATTAGGTGGATTTAGAGCAATTTAGTATTCAAAATCAAGAACAGATTTGGGAATGGTACTTTTCTAAGAGACTCTATTAGGTGATTAAATTCCCGTTTCCAAGAAAAAAATCACATCCATTTCTTCCTTCATTGTGCTTTTTAAAATAAACAATTAGTCTATACTTTCTTGGTTCTCTTACAAGTATTCAGATGATCAGGTTTCTGGCCAAGGTAAGTGTGAAGGAGAGAAGGTATTCTAAAAGATAACTTATGAATGTGATTGAAGCAGCTGAATAAATTAAAATTTAAAATAAATACTGTCAGAAAGATGAGTCACACCATAATGGCTCTTAGAAAGATACTCAACAGAAAGGGCACACCTCTATAAAACAAACAGAAGTGCTCAATTTACCAGGATAAAATAAAATAACTTCTATGCACAGCTTTAAGCTAGGGCAAGGGAGAAAAAAGGAGAAAAGAAAAAAAGACGTTTAGTGCCACTGCACCTAGCTAGATTCTGATTGACTAATAAACATTTGTGGAGGACCTGCTAGATGAGGTGTCCTGTTCTGGGATCTTGAATGCTTCTGGAATGCTTTGCTACTCAAGATGTGGTCTGCAGAACAGCAGTGTTAGTATCACCCAGAAACTTGTAATACATAAATCGAAATCTGCATTTTAACAAGACCCCTTAAATGTTATGAACGTTGTTCATATGTGATTCAAAGTTGAAGAACACTCCTCTAACGCAAACAGGAGACCTTTCTAAACGTATGTCGTGACATGTTAAATTACTTCTGGGTATCAGTATTTTAACAAGGTTCTTACGGTTAGACAAGTTAGTCAAATATTGAACCGGATAAATATCTGCACAAAGGCAGATAAGCTGAAGATCAATAGTTTCCTTTCTAGTTACTTCGCAATTTATGATTTGTACTTAGGGAAATGGAAATATTTATTTAGCATATTGACACTTAAACTTCAGTTTTCAATATATTACTGGTTCCTAAATCAGAAATTTTAAAACTTGTTTTTTTTAGCTGAGGAATGCTTTGCTCAAATGAAATATTTTCACCCCTTAAAAAAGTCTCAATCTTTTATTTTTATTTATTTATTTATTTGTTTTTATTGAGATAGAGTCTTGGTCTGTTGCCCAGGCTGGAGCGCCGTAGCACGATCTTGGCTCGCTGCAACCTCCGCCTCTCAGGCTCAAGTAATTCTCCTGCCTCAGTCTCCCAAGTAGCTGGGACTACAGGTGTGCGCTACCATGCCTGGCTAATTTTCGTATTTTTAGTAGAGACAGGGTTTTATCATCTTTGCTAGGCTGGTCTTGAGCTCCTGACTTCAAATGGTCCACCTACCTTGGCCACCTGAAGTGCTGGGATTACAGGAGTGAGCCACCGTGCCTGGCCTCCATCTTTTAAAATATCTTAAAATCTTTTTTTGATCTTAAAGTGTGATTTAAAAATCTATGAATGTATTCTTATTTAAAGCATATAATCATTCACTACATAAATCACACCCAATCATTAATTGTATCAAGAATCTTTAATCAGGCCAGGTTCAAGCCTATAATCCCAGCGCTTTGAGAAACCCAGGTGGGTGGGTTCATTTGAGGCCAGGAGTTTGAGACCAGCCTGAGCAACATGGTGAAACCCCATATCTATAAAAAATACACACAAAAAAATTAGCTGGGCGTGGTGGCAGGCGCCTGTAGTCCCAGCTGCTTGGGAGGCTGAGGCACAAGAATTGCTTGAACCTGGGGGGCAGAGGTTGCAGTGAGCCAAGATGGTGCCACTGCATTCCAGCCTGGGTGACAGAGCGAGACCCTGTCTCAAAAAAACAAAAACAAGGCCGGGCATGGTGGCTCACGCCTGTGATCCCAACACTTTGGGAGGCTGAGGCGGGTGGATCACCTCAGGTCAGGAGGTCGAGACCAGCCTGGCCAACATGGGGAAACCCCATCTCTACTAAAAATACAAAAATTAGCTGGGCATGGTGTGCATGCCTGTAATCCTGTCTACTTGGGAGGCTGAGGCAGGAGAATAACTTGAACCCGGGAGGTGAAGTTTGTAGTGAGACGAGATTGCGTCACTGCACTCCAGCCTTGGAGACAGAGTGAGAGTCCATCTCAAAAAACAAAAACAAAAACAAAAACAAAACAACAACAACAAAAAGCCTCTATACACTGGAATGTTTTAAAAAATAAATACTAAATGTGTTTTATAAAATGTTGTACTGCTTTCACTAATTAATGGCTAGCATTTGAAAGTGTAAATCTTTCTGCAGAATGTAAAGATCATCAAATATTCATTTATAAGAAGATACAAAATAAAATGTTATCCAGAACAATTACTAGATTTGTTTATTAGAGTTACCCTCATGTAATGACTCAACTAGTTATACAGAGGATGACAAAAAAATGAGAAGTTGCAGAAATGTTAATTAAGGGTTTTCTTTATTTCAACAGCAGCAAAAGCTAAACTTAAAATGTCCTAAAAACAGGAAAAATATGTTTGGTAACTTATCCAATGACCCCATGATAGCCTTTCACACAGTGAAGCATTTTATTTTACAGCATTTTAAGGGCCAGACATATAACTGTTAATAAAAAAGAATTTTATTTGTCTTGAAACACATAAAATATTGCAGCTGACATCGTACATTGGTTTAAGGACTTACAAAGTATTGAAAAATGTCTAATTTCTAAAAATTGGTTTTCAAAAGGAGGAGTAGCCCTTAGGGCAGGAAATAATGACATTGTAAGGCATTTTTTCAAATGCTTTTCTTCCCAGAAAATTTGGCATTTCCAGATTAAAGATTCATAGTTTCAACTGCGTGTGAATGATCCCAAGGACATTTTGTAATTTCGCTGACACAGGGTCTGAAGAGAGCTGCGTGAGGGTGTCTGCTGAGTAAAACAATGAACAGGGTGGTAAATGATCTTGGTAGATGACTGGACATGCCTCTCTCAATGAGGCTTGATGGCTCTCTTTTCTCTTATTCAGTGGTAATCATTTAGAATGTTTTCAGACTGTCTGATGCATGCTGCTGGGCTAATATAACTTATTTTGCCATCACTGTGATAGGGCTAGGCTAAGTCAAGTGAAATGATGCCTTGAGTCTTCGTAGCAAATAACCAATGTGAGGATTAAACTCTTGAAAAATGGAATAACATGACACCACTTTCTAAGTAGGTTGTATTTCTGTCGCCCAATTTAAACATCATGGAAGTATTTAGTTTTGTCCTTTAGACTCTCCATCTTAAATATCAAATAAGTCCGGCAAGATCTGAGATGAAGCTTCAATGTGCTAAGCAGCATGGTAAAGCTTTGGAGTGGTAGTGAGACGTATGACAGCATTCTGTATCACAGCTACGAATACACAGCTACTGTTGATTATGTTGAGATCTTACAGACCCACTACTTTGCTTTCAGCTTCTCTAGAGGCAGTCTCACCTTTTCTGTTCCCATTCTAAGCAAAAGGCATATGTCCAGGAAGAACAAAGAATGTGGATTCTTTAAATAAGTAAAAAATGGGACTGCTCTTTCTGAAGAAAACTTTCTTTGGTCAGCGGAAAAAGAACTGCATGTAACTCCCTATTTTTTATTTTCACATAAAATAATAGCCTAAGTTTTTTGTGTAGACAATGGAAGCAAACATGGAGAAAAACAGGCAAATACAACTTTGACCATATATAGTTGCCTGAATAGAACAATTTAGAGAGCAGTGGGATAAAAATCTGGATAATTAATTTACTCTGGAAGTAAAGATACATGTTAAATTATCAAACATTCTCTTAATTTTTTCAGTTAAGTAATTTTAAAACTTACTGACTGACCTAAGGAGCATTCATTATCTTTAAGATACAGCTCAAACTTCTTTTTCATAATAATCAACTTCATACTTCTCATAGCTTCCTCAGATTTTACTTCATTTAGTGAGCTAACATTGCTTCATTATCAAAAACATTGCATAATTGTCCATGTGTTTTCTTTAGGAAGTTAATTGTCTAGCATCCTGATTACAGAAAATTAGTAGGTCAGGGACATATAATTTCTATGTGCCAAGATTTAAACTATTATTGTTTCAATTTTATTGTCAAATATAAGGAGCTGTATTGGATGTAGAAGTCAGTAAGTCACTCCTTCAATAAGGACACTGTGGTTTCCTCATCCTAAGCTATCTTAAATTTCAATCTCAAATTTAGGATTTGAGACTGACTAAAGCATTCTCTGTCACAATGCTTACATTTTCATTAGGATGCAAATTTTACTAATCCATATTTTTAAAGAAATTTATTATCACATATTGGCTCACATGATTATGGAGGCTAAGAAATCCCAGAATCTGCTGTCTGCAATCTGGACATGCAGGAAGGTCAAGTGAAGTTTAAAGGCCTGAAAGCTAGAGGGTCAATGGTGTAGATTCCAGGCTAAATCTCAAGGCCTGAGAACCAGAAGCATCAAAGGCAGAAGAAGATAGATGTCCCAACCCAAGTAGTCCAGCAGAGAGCAGGTGAACCCAGCATTCTTCTGTCTTTTTGCTCTATTCGAGCCCTCAATGGATTGAATCATGCCCATCCATATTGGAGTATGCCACCTGCTTTACTTGGTCCATCAATTCCAATACTTATCTCTCCTGGAAACATCCTCACAGGCACTCCTAGAAACAATATTTAATCAGGTATCTGAGCATCCATGGCCAAGTCAAGTTGACATATAAAATTAACTATGACATGCACGTTTCATAAATTGTGTTTATTCATTTGATACTTCTTGTGTCATTTCATGCAAACATTTTTTCTTGCATTTATAAAACTTTTTATTCCTGCTTTCTGTTTGTCTGTCTCTCTTTTTTTCATTTTTCTTTAACTAATAACTCTTTGTTATACCTTAATCAGGCAGGAATCATTACCATGAGGCTCTCCTACTCCCTTGCCCTAAGGTTGTTAAATCTAGAGGTCCCTACTGGGAGGGTAACACGGTGACATAGTTTGCATCTGTGTTCCCATCCAAATCATATATCCCCACTCATATTGAAATGTAATCCCCAATGCTGGAGATAGCGCCTGGTGCGAGGTGATTGGGTCATGGGGGTAGATTTCTCATGAAGGGTTTAGCACCCTCCCCCTTGGTACTGTCCTTGAGATAGTGAGTGAGTTCTTGTGAGATCTGGTCATTTAAAAGTGTGTAGCACCTTCTCCTTGCACTCACTTGCACCTGCTCTCGCCAAGTGACATGTAAGCTTCTGCTTCCCCTTCTACCATGATTGTAAAAGCTTCCCAAGGCCTCCCCAGAAGCAGATGACAGTGCCCTACTTCCTGTACAATCTACAGAACCAGGAACCCATTAAAGTTCTTTTCTTTATGAATTATCCAGTATCAGGCATTTCTTTATAGCAATGTAAGAATAGCCTAATAGACAGGGAGAGAAACAGCTTGTTATATATAAGACGATGGAAGAATACGTCCTGTGGGTTGTCACTACTTTAAAACTCCAGTCTACTGCTTGTAGAAGAATTGATGTTGCATTGACAAATGAAAGCAAATTTTATCTTGGCTTATGCTGTTTTCTAAGTGTCAGGAAAAACTTCCACATAAACCCACGTTTCTCAGCAGACGGGACCAACATATGATGGTCTATGTAGACTGGCAATACCTTTGAGCCTCTTTTTTTGTCAGGTATCTCAAAGTTGCAACACCTTGGGTAAAATAAATTGGCACAGTGAGAGACAGCTACACTGTTTTGACGCAGCATAATATTTGTTGGCTGACTTCCATCAAATTCTTCTCTTCTTAGATTCCGATGAAAGTTTTAACTTAGATCATCTGACTTAGTTATTACTATAAAATAATATATTATTTTAAACATAATAATTATAGGATAATACAGAAATCCACCTTATTCAAGAAAGTGAAGAAATGGAAATATAATTATTCTCAACTTTTATTGAGCATCTACTAGTCAGTAGGCACTCTGTTAAGTACTAGAGATACAAAGTGGCATTATTTATTATTCATTATCTCTTGAGGTTTATAATCTAGTTGGAGAGATTGGACAAATGTTTATATCTATACTTCATTTTACGGTTAAAGATACCGAGGCTAAGAGAAGCTAACGGTGTTATATATCACTTTTAAAATGGGAAATAAGACATATTTCCACACCTCAGAGATAATGTTTGTGAAAACATTGACACAGAAACTTTGACTTCTGGCAGGGCACGGTGGCTCACGCCTGTAATCCCAGCACTTTGGGAGGGCAAGGCGGGCAGATCACTTGAGGTCAGGAGTTCAAGACCAGCCTGGCCAACATGGTGAAACCCTGTCTCTACTAAAAATACAAAAATTAGCCAAGCGTGGTGGTGGGCGCCTGTAGTCCCAGCTACTCAGGAGGCTGAAGCAGAAGGATGACTTGAACCCAGGAGGCGGAGTTTGCAGTGAGGGAGATCATGCCACTGCACACCAGCCTGGGCGACAAAGTGAGACTCTGTCTCAAACAACAACAACAACAACAACGAAAACAAAAACTTTGACTTCCCTTGAGGTTAAAAAACTTTCTCAACACGACATAAAGAAAGAAGGTAAAGTAACACTATGGCCAGTTTATCAAAACAGGATATGATTGATCTTATTTGGGGAGAGATACTTGATAATGCAGCCTTCCATAGAGTATAAAGGAAAAATGACTGAATTTATCTTTCTTTTTCCAATGTGGCATAATAAAAAAAAAGAACAGGTGATTCTAGTAGAGACCAATAATGACTAACATCTTTAAAAATCACCCACCCCCACAGAGAAGCATCCAGGCATATCTGAAGGAGGGAAAGATTCATATAGTAGATATAAAATATACATTCTTTCTTAGAACAATAGTATCTCAATCCTAGAGACTGAATTGGATGATAACAGAAGAGAATACTTAAGACAATAATCTTGGGCTAGAGTCTAGGATTTTAAGGAGATCAAATCAGTCCTTATCATCAAATCCCTCATCCCATCCCATCAGTGCCTACTTCTCTCTCATCATTTAATTTCCTCATCTTGTAGGAGCAGTCAACTTTGAAATTGCTAGGAAGGTAAAGTGAATGAGCTTGATAAATAAACAATTCGTTTCAAGTCTCTCACACAAAGATCAGAGAAAAATTTGAAGAAATAGTCATCTGTATGCTTTTCCTTTCTAGTTTTCATTTTCCCCTTCTTTTTAAAAATTTTATATTGCTCAATTTTCAGAATAATGAAGAAGAAGAGGAGTAAAAATGTTTTGGGTTATTTTAGAGAAAAGTTAGAAACCCTAGCTGTAATTGCAGGTTGGATGTTGGTTGTGGGTTATATAGTACATAAGCTGGTTACACAATACACACATAGCTTTTATTCTCTAGTTGTTCTGCTGCTTTGGCACTCCAAGTAGATGGTAAAGTACCTGAAGGAAGAAATACATCTTCTGATTTTTCTGTTTCTCTCACAGTACCCAGAATTGCCCCAAGACTAATATTTTGAAGTGTCTTCAGAATTAGACACTGCACTAGGTTTTACGGATTTATTCAATACTTTCAGATCTGGTGATCAAATGAATTGGGGGTGGGGGGAACCTGGTAGTTTTTTGTTTATGCACAAAATGAATTTCAATGAGCCTTCAGATAAACTGAATTTCACATAGCAGCCACACCAGGGTCCAGACTGACACTTGTCCTTAGACTTTTCTAAATAATGCTGAGTTAACAAAAGCACTAGATTGGAGGTCAGAATATAATTTTGCCATTAACTGAGAGATGAAGCTTATCTTCAGGTAAACAACGAGGGGTCCAGAGCCCTGCAGTGGAGGAACAGCAGCATTCTCATTTCTGTGATCCAAAAGCTCAAGGAAATCACTGAGATTGTGACTGAATTAAATATTGCAAAGAACAAATGACAGAAACACACTTTATGTACCAAACCATGGACTACTTCCATGTCTTTGTTTTAGCTCCTATTTTCATCAGCATTATACTATTTAATCGCTAAGTCTATGCTACTTTAGTGATGAGATAAACCAATCTGGAAAGACAAAATGTTCTTCTGTTTCACTTCGTATTGACCCAAAATTGTTCTCGTATTGTTGTTTTTTAGTTTATCTTGTTATGTAAAATGAAAACTGACAGAAAGTTAACAAAATGTTATAAGGATCCTTTCTGAGCCTCATCATTTATCTGACATTTTGTGCTGTTTCCCTCTATAAGCACAATTCTACCAGGGCACTTTGCATTTATAGCATTTATTTTTTACTGTGACTATTTCAAGCCCTTGAGAAGAAAGTCATAATTGTATTTAATCGCATATTATGGCATTATTGCCTGTTCAACTAAGGAGGTCCATTAGAGAAAAAAATGCATATAATCAGCCTAATCAGAAATTGAATAAATAAAGGGGCTATAACACCAAAACAAGGATAAAAATCACTATGGAAATTAATTTTTTAAATGACAGTATTTCAAGATGACTATTGTATGTAAGACTGTAAGAAAAATTGATGCTGATCAAAGCATGTTCTTGCTGGGGATCATGATTGATTTGGCTGCTCCAGAAACACGAATTTCATTTAAAGTTTCATGGCTCTTTATATCTTTTCTGGGCTTACAGAAATCATTTATCTCTGCATGTATCCCTACATGTGTTATGCAATTTATTTTAACAATATCCCTGTGCAATGGCCGCATACACAGAAGTGGCCAGCAGAAGATAGATTGCATGTGTAATTGTGGTAATTACAAATCAAATCATCCTCTGAGATAGTGAAGTATGGTTATAAGAATACAACAATGGACTCTGATGACTCCTGAATTCTGGTCCCAACATTGTCACTGACTTCTTGTGGGATGGTAGGCCAAAGACAACTTGACCAAACCACAGATTAATATAAAATAATTTAGTTAAAGAATAAAAAATTAAATTTAATGACTTTAATAACTTAATCAAAAATAGCATTTCCTTTAGCAATAGCACAAAAATATTTAAATGTGCACTTGATTCCACAATTGAAAATATTGTATTACAACTCTCTCCCACTTCTTTGTCACTGTACCTCATGTCTTTCTCCCTTGGTTCTGCTTCATTGGTAACTGTATTGGTCCATCACTCTCGATGAAATGGAGCAGTTTATTATTAACTCATCTTCTAGTATTAAATAAGCTTGTGGTTCAGTATGTAATAATTAACTGACTTCTAATAAATTAAAAATGATAAACAGTCATTTTAAAGTCCTTCATTCTCTTAACGGCCAATACTTTGTACAGTCAGATGGGAATAAAGATGGTCCTAGATAATGACTTAAAATTTTTTGTGCAAAGAGTAATATTGTTATCTTCTCCCCTCATGGATTCTAGGTTAGAAAATATTTTTGTCTACCTAATAGGTAATTAGAAAATAATGCCTTTTCCCATTTGTATTAACCAAAGGCATATGGAACTATGAGTTCTGATTAGAACTCATATCAATTAGAGTTTCTGATCAATTAGAGTTTCTGATTAATATGAGATACACTGTCACCACACTGAAATGATAAAAGTTTGGTCCAAAGCTCAGAAACATAAAAGTTTCAGTTGGCTGGCACAAACTTAATGCAGGCAAATAAGCAATTTCCATTAGAAACCATCAAGATAGGCTTTCTAAAACTCAGGATCCCTGGATCCCTTTTGTTAGATGATATTCATGACATATTCATGTGAATATGACAATAAAGCAATGAAACTTATTTCCTCCCTTAAACATATGCATAGAAATATAGATTTACTTAACTATCTGCTATGGACTAAATGTTTATGTCACCCCAAATTCATATGTTGAAGCCTTAATCCCCCATGTGATGATATTTGGAGGTGGAGCTTTTGGAAGGTAATTAGGAAATGAAGGTGAA
Organism: Homo sapiens; assembly: GCF_000001405.40. Taxonomy (NCBI): domain Eukaryota; kingdom Metazoa; phylum Chordata; class Mammalia; order Primates; family Hominidae; genus Homo; species Homo sapiens. Next base: position 15,405,051 of record NC_000012.12, on the reverse strand, counting down.
ACCCTCATGCATGGGATTAGCACCTTTATAAGAAGAGACATGAGAGAGATGATCTCTCTCTGCACATGTGAGACACAGCAAGGAGGCATCCATCTTCAAATCAGGAAGACAGCCCTCACCAAGAACCAAACTGGCCAGCACCTTGATCTTGGACTTTCCAGCCTCTAAAACTGTGAGAAACCAATTTCTGCCACTTAGTCTATGGTATTTTTGGAATAGAAGCTCAAATTGACTAAGACAACTATCTGTTGCCAAATGTTGAGATAAGGTGCTTCTCCAACTGTATGGAAGTCAGTTGACACATAGAGTGAAAAGAATATGCATTTTAGAGTTAGACAGATTCTACCAAACATGAGTCATTTGTAAGGTTTTTTTTCTCTTAGTCTCAGATTATTCACTGATGAAGTATGATTAATAACTTCCACTGGAAAAACACTGAACAGCCTTCATGCCGTAAAAGGAGAGCATTGGGTACCCAAAGAAATCACAACATATTGAAAGCCAAAGAGCAAAGTGGAGACATTTTTAATACACAAGTTGATTATAATATTATTCCTCTGATTATACAAATAACACAAATAAATAAAAAAATTCCCAACAGAAAACTAGGCAAAGTACAGTATGTGAAATTGCCTGACAAATTATGTATAGCCAATAAACATATTTAAATGTCCAATGCCATGAGTAATCACAGAGGCAAATTAAAATAATAACATGCCATTTTCCTCTCATAAAAATTAGCAAAGACTTTAAGAAATATAGTTCTGGACATAGTGAGAGATGGATTTTGTTATTTAGTCAAATACTATTTATTTTATGTACCAAACAACCAAACACTCTTTTTTTTTTTTTTTTTTTTTTTTGAGATGGGGTCTTGCTTTGTTGCCCAGGCTAGAGTGCAGTGGCGAGATCTCGGCTCACTGCAAGCTCCATCTCCCAGGCATTCTCCTGCCTCAGCCTCCTGAGTAGCTGGGACTACAGGCACCCGCCACCACGCCCGGCTATTTTTTTGTATTTTTAGTAGAGACGGGGTTTCACCGTGTTAGCCAGGATGGTCTCGATCTCCTGACCTCTGATCTGCCCGCCTTGGCCTCCCAAAGTGCTGGAATTACAGGTGTGAGCCACAGTGCCTGGCCCTAAACACTCTTTTAAGGAATTGGTATAAAATAAATAATAAGACCATGGGATCTCTGTACTCATGAAACTCACATTCTGGTGTGTGTGTGTGTGTCTATTCTATGTTCGGTGATTAGGTGGGGAGTCAAGCAATAATCAGGTAAACAAAATAAAAAATTATAAATTGAGCTAAGTACCATGAAGGAAATGAACAAGGGACACTGGTAAGAAGTGATTGTAGGGCAGTAAATGGACTTCCCTTTAAATAGGGAAGCCAAGTAGGGCCACACCAAACAGGGGATAATTAAGCTGAAATTGGAGAAATGAGAAGTATTTTTTGTTTGTATGTTTTTGAGACGGAGTCTCGCTCTCTCACCCAGGCTGGAGTGCAGTGGCGCCATCTTGGCTCACTGCAACCTCCGCCTGCCGGGTTCACGCCATTCTCCTGACTCAGCCTCCAGAGTATCTGGGACTACAGGTGTGTGCCACCACGCCCGGCTAATTTTTGTATTTTTACTAGAGACGGAGTTTCACCATGTTGGCCAGGCTGGTCTCGAACTCCTGACCTCAGGTGATCCATCCGCCTCGGCCTCCCAAAGTGTTGGAATTACAGGTGTGAGCCATCGCACCTGGCCAAGAAGTATTTTTATTGAGAGTCTGAAGAGTTGTCCAGGCAGAAGACACACCAGTAGAAAAAGAACTGCCAGAAATGCCGATGAAGCTGGAGTGTGATGTCAAAGGGTAGTGTGGCAAGGTGGCAACAAGCCAGATAGGAAGAGACCACGCCATTCAGGGACTTATATATCATAGTAAGGGGTTTGAATTTTATTCTTAGTGAAGTCAAATCAGATATAAACTCTCAGATGAATAAGAAATCAAATGTTTATGGTACATATGGAATATAACACAATTTACCAATCAAATAAAACTAAAAAGCTCAAGATTTAAATTGTCAGCATTGCCTTAACATGGCAGATGATCTTTGCTGACTCTACAGTGCATTTGGTGGGTGTATTTTTGTACTGACTGTGACAGTACAGGTTCTTTTTAGTTTTATGTAGTTATGTTGACGTTAATCTTCTTATTTTAAAACTATCCTTTACTTAGCTTATCATTTATATGATACTTGGTTTGAGTCCACTATTCTCTTATTATTCTCTACTATATTAAATAGTTAGAATAACTAAAGCATTATAGTACTGCTTGGTGTCAGTGAAATAACAAACATAAAGGCAAATGACAACATTTGTCATTTGTCACCCTGATTATGTAGAATTTATAAAATTTGAACAATATATATTGTTATCAAATAGAAACATAACGTTTAACAATTTACATAGAGAATTCTTAGGCTCCTGAGTGTATGTCCATGGACCCCAGATGGGAAGCACTGATCTAAGACATAGTATTGTGGATTGTTCCTTCAGAAGGTCTTATAATCATCAGAATTTTGTAGTTGAGGATTCCACTAGGCAGAAGCAAACAGATTTTACAAAAATCTTATACCTTGAGGAGGAATTCCTATTGGGTTTTCTTTTTTTTTTTTCTTGAAATGGAGTCTTGCTCTGTCTCCAGCCTGGAGTACAGTGGCATGATCTCTGCTCACTGCAATCTCTGCCTCCCAGGTTCAAGGGATTCTCCTGCCTCAACCTCCCCAGTAGCTGGGACTACAGGCACACACCACCATGCCCAGCTAATTTTTGTATTTTTAATAGAGATGAGGTTTCACCATGTTGACCAAGATGGTCTCGATCTCCTGGCCTCATGATCCGCCTGCCTCAGCCTCCCAAAGTGCTGGGATTACAGGCATGAGCCACTGTGCCCGGCTTCCTATTGGGTTTTCTTATCACTCTTGCTAAACCTTCTAAATTAAGTCCCAAAGCCTCCTTTCATGCCCTACATTAAAGCAGAATTTAGTTAAACGAATACCAAATCCCCATCTGGGCACCAAAATAATCCTGACAATTCTTCTACTTCATATTGAAATAAAATGTTAGACCATTTCTGCGTTTAAGAGGCATGACCTATAGTTAGGATTCAATGAAATGATGAGATGCAATTTATACTCTAACAAATTTTAATTAATTTTTAATTAAACATAGAAAATTGAATGTTCAGGCAAAATACAAAATTATAGTCAGCAAGAAGAACAAGATGTGCAATCAATCTTACTTTTTAATCAACTCTGTAGACTGTGTCTAAGCCAGACCAGCCATGTGAGCCAGTCTAATGAAATTGACCTATGAAATATGGTGTAGTTCATATGAATAAACAATTTTTAATATACTGTGAATTCTCAGTTATTTGTCTGTAGGATGTCTACTCCATATGTTGTGGATAGCAAATTTGTCATTCTTGGTTGTGTTTAATCAAACTATCAGTAGACTTTGTAAGCTGAAAGAATGCAAACTTATGTTATCATTAGCCTAATCTATCCATGCTATGCACATCCTATGAACAGGTATATTTTAGACAAAGAGGTAGGGCTTTTATCTATATCACAACTACTGTTCATTGTTATTCAGTCTTCTTTTCCTCAAATATTTCTTGTTTTCCATCTGAGATAGCCAGTAGTACAGCTGTCAATTAAAATATGGCTTTTCCTTGCAGTCACTTATAGTTGCATATGGGGAGATGACTAGTTTTTAGCAGTGATTCGTAAGTGGAAGTGTCTTGCACATGTCTAAGCTGGAGTATTTAACTTCTGGCTAAAACCCTGGGGAGTCATTTAACTACTGGTTAAATCTCTGAATAGTTTTCTCTCTCTTCTGTCATGACTGGCAATATTTGAGATAATGTCTGTACCACTGGCCCATGTTTCTGAATGACTGTGGCAAGATAGGAAGCATTCCCAGTCAACCTGATGGGCATATAGGAAGCATTCCCAGTCAACCTGATGGGCATATAGAATGACTTACAAAACAAAAAAGCGAAAACACTTCATTGCTTTAAGCCACTAAAATGTTAAGATTCTTTGTTTCCCTATCATTACCCAAGCTATTTTTGCTGAAATATACCATAAGCAACAATTCGTGCTAGGTGCTAGGGGATGCATCAGTGAATAAGACAGAAATAGTCACAGACTATATGTAACTTATATTTTAGTGAGGATACTTAGTGTTACTCACTAGAATGGAAGATACATGAAGGTAGGAGTTTTGGTATATTTTGTTCATGGCTATATTTTGTGACTAGAAAAGTACCCAGTGTAAAATAGGTGCTCATTTACAAGAATCTGTTGAACAAATGAATAAGAAACTGAATAAGCTAATTAAAATATTGGTACTTTGCACAATGGAAATGTATAGAATATGATGAAAGCCTGTCATGATGCAAGGTGCCTCAGTTGGAGGAGTTGGAGACTGTGTCTTTGTCAGAGAGTAGCTTTTGTGGAGTAGGAATGAACTAGGTAAGGATGGCAGTGGGGAAAGGAGAGCATGTTCTAGGCCAACGGAATGGCATGCAGAGCCACTGACATGGGAATGACACAGGCATGAAGAAGAAATGACGGTGAGATTGACTAAAGGCAGGGAACAATAGGCACAGCGGTACAAGGTGCAGCAGGTGAGGCTGCTGGGGGTTTCATCACACAGGGTTTTGTAGGTCTTGTTTAGGACTTCAGGCTTTAGCCTAAGAAAATGGGGCACATTGGCACAGTGGCTCACACCTGTAATCTCAGCACGTTGGGAGGCCAAGGCGGGTGGATCACCTGAGGTCAGGAGTTCAAGAATAGCCATGGCCAACATGGTGAAACCCTGTCTCTACTAAAAATACAAAACTAGCTGGGCGTGGTGGCGCATGTCTGTAATCCCAGCTACTCAGGAGGCTGAGGCAGGAGAATCGCTTGAACCCTCGAACCTGGCTCTTTTTTTTTTTTTTTTTTTGAGACAAGAGTCTTGCTCTGTCACCCAGGCTGGAGTGCACTAGTGCAATCTGGGCTCACTGCAACCTCCACCTCCTGGGTTCAAGCGATTCTCCTGCCTCAGCCTCCTGAGTAACTGGGATTACAGGTATGCGCCAACACGCCCGTCTAATTTTTGTATTTTTAGTAGAGATGAGGTTTCACCATGTTGGCCAGGTTGGTCTCGAACCCCTGACCTCAAGTGATCCACCTGTCTCAGCCTCCCAAAGTGCTGGGATTACAGGTGAGAGCCACTGTGCCGGGCCAAAGGTCTTTTGATTCTGAATGCAGTACAAATATTTCTGAAACACTTCTTACCTCTAAATAGTAAATAATACCTTGGTATGAAAGCTAAGCAATATGTTTTTCTATGACACAAGATATGAAAAATAAGTGATAATCTTTATACATGAAACAAAATTATTCATTAATTAACGATTATATGTCAGGTACTGTAGGTGCAGTAGTAAATGAAAACAGAAATGGCCCCTGCCTTCAAAGTGCTTCTAGATTAGTGGGACAAAGTCTGGATCTATGAGAAGCCAGATTTTATTATGTGAGGCCCTTGGTACTGCATGCTAGTGGGCTTCAGAGCTGGACTGCCTGGATTCAACTCCTAGCTCCAACAATTACTTTTTTACTTTACCTGGGGCAAGTAATTTAGCTTTTCTGTGCCTCACTTTCTTTATGTGTGACAGAGCAATACCACCAGTACATACCTCTTAGGGTTTTTGTGAGAACTACATATGTTAATATATGTAAAAAGCTCAGAATAGTGCCTTGGCAGGGAATTTTATTGTGAGGGATTATTATTTTCTATAAAGGGAATTTGGAATGGAGTAGTGCTCAAAGTACCCCTGTGAAATATGCAATAGGAAATCAAAGCTTCTTTTTTCTTACTTGCATCTAAATGAAACACTATGTATTTAGTATTATGAGATCATTGAGAGGGGACAACTTGGAAGTCATTTGGGGCCAATTTCAACTAATTTGGAAATCCTGTCCGACCACCTTCTTGATAGGTGTTCATTCAGCCTTTTTGTTAATATGTGCAGAAATGTGGAGTTTACCCCTAACTATCCAATTCATTCCATTGTGGAGCAGCTCTGATGTTTAAAGAGCTCTTCTAGTGTTGAGCCGCACTCTAAAGAGAAAAAGTACTAAGAAAACTGGGTTTTGATCCTGAATTAATACACTCATGGTACAATGATTTGATATGCCCCAAATATGACAACCATCAAGTTGTACATAGTTACTTTCATTATGTGCATTATGTTGAAAATATTTAATTCATAAATATTCATTGAAGATCTACTTGAATCAGGCGCAAAATAAAAAAAAAAAGAGTTTCTGTAAAATATTACATTCATATGGTGTTGAAACCGAACAGATATTCCAGGGATTTAGCTAAATTTACCAGATGCCTACTTAGGCATTTAGGCAAGTTAAGTTTCATTTGATTCTCAAAACACTCTGTGGTAGGCGTTATTGTTCATATAGTAAAAATGAACTTCCTAAAAGCCAAGATTCGGAGAGTTGTTTTTTTTTTTTTTGGAAAAAGTATAGCTATAGCTAGCATATAAATAGTAGCCCTGGAATTGGAACACGTCTGTTTTCTCCACTGCGCTCAGAAGGTCAAAGACAAAACATAACGAGAGAAAGTAAAAATGCACATGGGAACAAGACTTTCTTCAGGGTGCCAAAGAACTATGATTTAAAAACACTAAACCAAAACAAAAATTGGTGGGGAGTTATATTAAGAGATTGTTTCGAACATTCAAACAATATTGTGCTGCTGTGAACAACCGCTTTTACCGACACAATGAGCAGCCTATTTATGTGCTCCTAATGATGTTGTTAGCATTTGAAGTGGCTCCCATTCACTTAAATCAGACCCATCACGACCACTTTAGATTTCTCCTTTTCGCTCTCATATTTATCTTCACATTAAAGATGGGAGCAGCACTGTGTTGGGAGCAACAATTAACCCTTGCCTCGCCTCATGCCCCTGTTTTGGGGACACTGGTTTTGACTTGGGGTTTATTCCTTTGACTCTTAAATTATTCAGGGTAACTACAAACTGGGGTGGTTTGTAGATGGGTCAAGGCAGATGGTAATCCATTGCTATAATAATGCATATCCCCAACTTCCATAAGGCCTACCTTAAAAAGATTTAAGTCCTTAAGCAGGTATGGTTTTGGTGATGTTGGTCAAAGAGTATTCAGAGACTTATTTATGCATTTATCTATATCTCCCTACACCTAAACACATAGAACTGATAGAATGTAAGATCCACAAAGGCTGAAACTTTTTCTGTTTTCTTCCTAGCCCCTAAAATACTAGGTGCTCAATAATGGTTGGTTGATGGATACATGAACCAGGACCAAAGCCACAAACCCTATGCCTTGTGGGTCATTGAGACTTCCACGGGCCAGCACTGAGGGTTGTGGATGTCCATATTCTCAGTTGGAGGTAAAATGAACCTGTGAAATCCAATTTCAGGCAAGTGTGGCTGGCTTGGAGAACAGTGAATAACTGAAGCCCATTCAAGACAATCAAACTGAAGTAAGTCTTCATTCTCTCTGTCAGTCCAAAGTAGGGGCTTTTCAATCAGAAAGATCTGGATCTGAATCTAACTTCTCGGTTGTATTGTCTATAAAATGAGTTAATGATATTAATCTTTTAGGGTTATTGCAAGGAGTCAGAAATATATGTGAAAGCATATTTCACAGTGGCAGGCACATAGTTGTTTCTTAATGAAAGCTTATTTCTGTTCTTCGCTTGCATAAATAAAACACAGTTGTTAGAAATATAAATATTATCTGTTACTTAGATCTTGGTGGCTAAGGAAAGCAAATATAATTAGAAATAAATGTAGTCTTTGGGTTATAAATTTTTATGATATGCCAGTGGCTAAAATATTATATGATTTCAATGTATTACAGGAACTTTCTATTGAGGACAATTATCTAATGGTCTTAGAATTTAGTGGCGCATTATAAGAAAAGAAAAAAAATTCCAACTCATGCTAAAGCTAAGCTTCTGGGTGTCAAAAAATGGTGAAGCTCCCTGAGATTGACTTAATTATATCAGCCATAGAACTTAGCCACTTCCTGAAAGAGCAGTTTCTAAAAATACTTTGATATATGTGGTCTTTCTACAATTCCATTTTTTGTTAGACTTCCCATGGGAAGGCAAAAGATTAAGTCCATTTTTATTGTAAATGCTCAAAGGGAAAGACTATATTAAGAGGAGTAAATGGCCTAATAAAAATGCTTCCTTGACTTCCATTTTATTTTCTTCCTCTATAGAATCATAAAAGTCCATACAGTGTTGAAGAGCGAGCCTATGTTAGATGAAAAACTTAATAGAGAATGAGCCTGTAGGTGCCTGATGTGGCTCTATGAAGTGCTGTTACTAGATTCCTTGTTCAATGAAGAATTCCCTTTTGATTTTTCCTAAACATACATTAATATCACATCAATTTAAGAATAATATTTTGGATTCACATGTTTTATAGTTAATACTTTACTATAAAAGAGGGCTGAGTTAGAGCAATTTTTTTTCAATAACTCCAATTTAATTTTTTTTGTAATTTAGTAACTTTTAAGGCTATAGCATTTCTTAAGAAATTTATGTTTTTATCAGTTAATGATACATGCCTAATAATTATTTTCCAACATTTAAAAGAAAATGTTTTATTATATTTAAAGACACAAGTGCAACACAATTGAGTTCAGCACTTGTCACTAAACCTTAATTTTCACATGCAAACACAAATATATATGCCCAAATATGTTCATTTATACCTGAACCTACGTATTTCTGTATGAATTCACACACATCTTCACAACACACATCACATATATTCAGATTTATTTCTATGAGAACACATTCAGAGTCACTCTATGAATAAAAAGCAATAAAGGAAATTAACTTCTATAGAATATGGGATCTTCTAAAAACAGTGTACTACACACACAGATGTATGCTTGTGCACACTGGTGATCTGTGTTCACAGTGGTAAATGCATTCATCAGAAATTAGACACCTACTTTCATTTATAACCTTAATAATCCCAAAGGCCTGATTATTTGGAAACAACCATACACTTTGTCTGAGGTTCATTGCTTAATCAATCTTTTCTGGCACACCAGAATATCCCATTTTGCAATACAAGAGTTTCCATCATCAGTGTGTGTGTGTGTGTGTGTGTGTGTGTGTGATCTTTAATTGTCCAGTGCTGTCATATATTAAGGAACAATAAACTGAAATAGGCTGCTGTCTCCTCAAAAGCAATAATAATTCAAATTTGAACAGCTTCAATTTAGGCCAGGTAATTGTGACTATTCCTTTCTTCTCTCATGCTGTAGTCTAGAATTTAATAGTTTTGCAAAATTTACTACATTAAGCCACCAGCAATAAGAAAATAAAATTAAGATATAGGACATGAAAACAGCCAATATAAGAGACCAATGATTCTAATACAAGAAAGAGACTATAGGAAGATTTTTTTTTTATCATTAACATTCTTCTAATTAGAAGAATGGAGACTTTTGGGATAAAGAAGAATCTCTGTGAACTCTCTTATATTTTGACTTATGTTTGTGATCTGATTAAGACATATTAATACCATCCCAATCCTAAACAACAGCAGCAGGAACAACCACAAAAACCTTGCTTTGTTTCTTCCTCCTCTTCAAGCCATCATCCCCTCACCCTTCCTCTTTCCAAGGGCCAAATTACTGAAATATTTAAACTCGATTGCCTACATTTCCTCAGTTTCCAGACACTTCTCACCCTGCCGTGATCCTACATCTGCTCCTGCTCTTCTGCTTCAACTGCTCTAGCAAAGGAAAATAATGTCTTCCTGTTTTCCACAACTATTTGCCTCATTTCATTCTTTATCCCATTGTGATACTCAGTGGTATTTCACATTGGTGAGCACTTCTTTCTCTTTAAAATATTTTCTTTCCTAGGTTTGTTGCATATTACTCTCATTCATTCTCTGTTCTGATCTCTCTTCCTCTGTCCCTTTTGCTGAGTGTTTTTCTTTGCCGCCTTTTTAAATAGTAGTGTTACTAGAGTTCTCATCTGTTCTGTTAGGTGGGATTTCTTTCATTCCTGTGTTGTCTTCAGTTGATAAGTAGAGTTTGGGTTGAAGTCTATCTCAAATAAATCTTACAGAAACTAGACAAGCCCTGTAGTTAATTCCCTAGGTACCTAAATATATAATTTGGATAAATATACTCTATAGACGGAAGAACCTTACACTGACTACCTGATTATGAAGCAGCAGCCATTATATTTGGAAAGGCCAAGTAAAATCTCCTTAATCTGCATCCCCACCTTGTCCCATTTCAGCAAAGATGGTAATCAGAAATCGTACTGCATGGCAAAAGGAATTTCAGAGGTTAACACAGCTATTAAATACTTAAGACTTGCATAAGTTATTAGTCCCCTCATAACACTAATTAATTCTTGTTCAGCCTATGAATAAAACCAATAGATCGGGGCATATGACAATGAACTCTAAAAAGTAACTAAATGATTATACAAATTACAAGTTGAAGGTAGTATCTTTTCAAGAATGGATCAACTCAGCCTCTGGCACTTGGTATGCCGCTGCTTGGCACTACTGGTTTGGTGGATGTGATCCCTCAGTCCCTCTCAGTAAGAGAAATAAAGCAGATTACTCTTACACAGATGAAGAATAATATACATTTATTGCTTTATCTCAGAGCTATGTTAAATCTCCTGCTTTCTGTCACTAAACAGTCTTTGGGACTTTCATCATTTTAATATTCTGAAACACATCCTGTTGGCTCACTATGTTGGCTGTGGTTTGAGTGTTTGTGCCCTCTGAAACTCATATTGAAACATAATCTCCAATGTAACAGTATTGGGAGGTGGGGCTTTTAAGAGATGATTGGGTCATCAGGGCTCTGGCCTCATGAATGTATTAGTCCATTCATGGCTTAATATATTAATGAATTAATAGATCATTGGGTTATCACAGGAGTTGGTTGGTTGTCACAAGAGCGGATCTGTTATAAAAAGCCAGATAGGCCCTCTTTCTTAAGCCTCCTTGCCATGTGATGCCCTGCATAGCCTCTGGGCTCTGCAGAGTCCCCCTTCACCTGCAAGAAGGCCTTCACAAGATGGGATCTCTTGATATTGGACTTCCTAGCTTCTAAAATTGTAAGAAATAGATTTCTTTTCTTCATATATAACCCAGTCCCAGGTATTCAGTCATAGCAACAGAAAGCTGACTAAGACAGTGACATAAATGGTAATTTGACATGATTAGGAAGAACTGGGTAGGATTTTAGATGTCCTGGCAAGTTGCCTGTATGTTGCAGAAGACAAACTTAAACAGAAGACTCTCAGAAAAAAAAAAAAAAAATCCTAGTGTACTAGAGCAAGGCCATTCATTCTATAACAGAGAATTATGGAACATTTGAAAAATAATTCCTGACCTGACATGATACTGAATTCTGGTAGAGGCTGCATGCACAATCTTGGAACACAAATTGACTATGGGACTGAGCTGGATATTATCGAATCTACTATGTCATAAAGTTGAGCAGGAAGAGCAATGATCCATTATGAATGTGCTATTCAATATTGGGCCTGAGAAGTTCCAGAAGATGTAGTAAATTATACAAACAGGTGGGAAAACTCCTAAGGTATCTGTGAGGTACCAGTCTCTTACCCACCACTCATAGCTATGGCATCATTTGCTTCCCTGTGACTAAATGACAAAGGAATCAGAAATTTGAGCCTGATTCATAGACATGTTGGTGTGATTTTTTTTTTCATGTTAGTTTTACTGGTTAATCATTACACTATAGGTTCATCCAAGGATGGCTCCAAGAAAACATGTGGAAGGCAGAACTTCAAAGATAACAATAGGGAGTTCGCTCTGCATGCAAGAAAACATGATCTGAGTTTTGGGCTTCTGGGCAGTTAATGGTTTGGCTAGTTGGTTAAGACTCCAAAGAAAGACAATTAGAAATAAACAACAAAATCATAGAAAGATACATGCAATTGGATCTATGAAAGTGACCACAAAGTGTTCATTTGTGTCTCATTTTAATGCCCATCAGGGAGCATCTACCTCACAAGAGGCACTCATTAACCAGATACATAAGATTTGTCCTGTGGATGTCAGCAAGCCTCTTCCTTTAACAACCCCAGTGCTAGCAGGATGGGGCCATGAACAGAGTGACTACAATAATAGGGAGATATCTATGCAGGTTCTACAGCAGGGCTCCCCTTCTTTTTTCTTCTTTTTTTTTTTTTTTTTTTTTTGAGACAGGGTCTCACTCTGTCACCCAAGCTGGAGTGCAGTGGCTCCATCTTAGCACATGGAAACCTCCGCCTCCGAGGTTCAAGCAATTCTCCCACCTCAGCCTCCCAAGTAGCTGGGATTACAGGTGTGCGCCACTATGCCCGGCTAATTTTTGTATTTTTAGTAGAGATGGAGTTTCACCATATTGGTCAGTCTGGTCTCGAACTCTTCATCTCAAATCATCCACCCATCTTGGCCTCCCAAAGTGCTGGGATTATAGGGATGAGCCACCATGCCTGGCCTGGGCTCCCCTTCTTTAAAGCTTATCTAACTACTGCCAACTAGCCAGCACACAAAATGATGCTAAGCCCTCATTGTAACACCATTCTTCAAGAATATGGCTATAGCCAGTTGGTGGCAGGTTGATTATATTAGACTCAGTTTCCCTGGAGGAGCAGAAATTAATCCTCTCATGAATTGACACCTTCTCATACGGATTTGCCTTTTCTTCCTCTGGGGTCACTGCTAATATCATTATTGTCCTAGGGCTTATAAGACATCTGATACATATATTTGTATGGTTTCTTACACTAAATTTTCTCAGTCTAGGAGACTAGTTTTATGATACAGAAGACTGAAGAATGGGCATATAAACACACAGCCCACTTGTCTGTCTATATCTCATCATTTAGAACCAGAATAATTGAATGGTTACTAGAGGCCCCAGTGAAGACAAAAACTTGGGTATAATACCTTATGGGTTGGGTTGCTGTTCTCTTGGATGTGATACATGCACTCAGTCGATGGCTGTTATATGGTGCTGTCTGGAGTAGCTAAAATACATTGGTCCCAGAACCAAGGGGCAAAAGTAGAATTGGCTCATCTCACTATCATTCCCAGTGACCCACTTGTGAAATCTGTGCTCCCCATCCCCACAAACAGGTTTTGCAGGATTCATGGTGTTAATTTCTAGAAAGAGATTGTTTTGACCAGAAGACAAAGTGGAACCTTTACTCTGTCTCACTTTAAGTTGAAACTACAGCTACCACTTGGTCACTTTAGGCTGCCCATGCCATTGCGGTAGCCAAGGTGAGTAATGACTATTCTAAGAGAGGGACTGACCCTAATTTCTACGAAGTGCTAGGATTGGTGAGATGCAATGGGGACATGAAGGAGTGTGTGTGGAATCGCAGTGTTCATGAGGGGTGAATATCTGTGTTTCCAGGTCTAGGGAAAATGTGAGTGGACAAATATAACAAATGCAGCTCAACTAAGAGCTGGGATCTCTCAAGTGTAAAAGTCTGGGTCCAACTAGCAAAGAACCCTAGGCCAGCCAAAGTGTTACAAATGGTGAGGGAAATGAATAGAATAAACAGTAAAGAAGGGAGATTATAAATATGAATTATGACCTTGAAATTGGCTGCAATAGTGAAGACTGGAATTTGTTCCAATAATAACTGGTACTAAACCTTTTCAGAGATTGTGACTTAAATGAACTTGAAGGGGAACTCTATGATTGCTTGCACTTTATAAAAGGCATTTTGGATCTGAATGGTGCAAGGGATGGGCTGTGTTATAGACTGAATGTTTACATCCTCCCACAGTTCCTTGTTGAACTCTAGCCCCCAATGTAATGGTATTGGAACTGGGGCCTTTAGAAGGTACTTTAGATAAGGTCATAAGGGTAGGGTTTTCGTTGATGGAATTAGTGTCCTCATAAGAAGAGACTGGATAGCTTACTCTCATTTTATCCCACCATGTGAGTATATAGCAAGAAGACAGCTGTCTGAAAACCAGCAAAAGGACCCTTACCAGGAACTGAATGGTCTGGCACCTTGACCTTGGACTTCCCAGACTTCATGCTTGTGAGAAATAAATTGCTGTTGTTTAAATCACTCAGTCTATGGCATTTTGTTATAGTAGCCTGAGCAGACTAAGACAGGGTATATTGGCCATTTCTTATCCTCTCAGACCATCTCTTACCCAGCCACTGCTGTGCTAATAAGTTCCAATAAATGTTTCAATTAGCTTTGCCCCAGTCCAGCCTTATGGTATCTCACTTTGGGCCTAGACCATATAATTCTTATTTTCTGCCACGAGACTTCTCTGGTACCATGGTGTGGGATACCCATGTGATATGGTTTGGCTGTGTCTCCACCCAAATCTTATCTTGAATTGTAGCTCCCATAATTCCCGCGTGTTGTGGGAGGGACCCACTGGGAGGTGGCAGGTCTTTCCCATGCTATTCTCGTGATAGTGAATAAGCCTCATGAGATCTGATGGTTTTATAAAGGGGACTTTCCCTGCACAAGCTGTCTTCTCTTCTCTGCCGCCATTTGAGATGTGCCTTTCACCTTCCTCCATGATTGTGAAGCCTCCCCGGCCACACAGAATTGTGAGTTTATTAAATTTCTTTTTCCTTATAAATTATCCAGTCTCTGGTATGTCTTTATCAGCAGCATGAAAACAGACTAATACACCATGGGACCACATTTGGCCTTCATTCATGCACAAGCAGAAGTGCATTACTTAAATTCCAACCTTAAGTAATGGGGATGGGGACCAATGGATAAATGCTTTCCCCTGTTGTCCCTAAGCTATTAGTTCTCAAACTTATTTCATAAGGCTCCCCAGAAAATCCTGTGAGATTGAGCAACACTTGCTCTTGGGGAAGCTCATCAATAGCATGATTTGAATTTTTTTTTCTCCTTCCCTGGTCAAAACTGCTGCCTCTCATGTATGTTCTCTATAATTATATTCTCAAATAAACTAACTTTATATAAGACTTGGTCTCTTGTTCTGCTTTGGTGTGGGATCTAGATTAAAACAAGGCTTGAAAAAGTTTTTTAAGGAAACTTTCATTTGGAGACTCTAGAAACATGAAGTGAAGGATCAAATAAGTCCAATTTTCTTCTCAATTTCTTGAGCCAGGGTAACTAACTGATTGTGTTAATAAGAAACAGGCAATGTTGGAAGGAAACCTACATTCGTTGGGTAGATTAAAATTTAACCTCAGATGTGGAGTTAAACACAAATTCTATCCAGAAGGTGTTTGGCATTAGAAGTCTAGATTTAAGGTGAAAGGATGGGATTGGGTGATAGATGAAGCTGTGAGAAATAATGAGCTTATCACATTAAATGGATAACAGCAATTTACTCTATTGACAGCAATATGTGGGGAACATGGTTAGACAAAATCTCTTTATTAATAGACTGAGCCCCCTGAATACAAAGAGAGAAAAGTTATCCTGGATGTCATTCTTCACTTTCACATTCAGTGTACTATTCACTCTGAGAATTCTTATTACCTGGCTATTTAAAGATTCCCTGGAGAGGCCAGGTGTGGTGTCTCTCGCCTGTAATCCCAGCATTTTGGGAGCCTGAGACGGGCGGATCATGAGGTAAGGAGATCGAGACCATCCTGGCTAACACAGTGAAACCCCGTCTCTACTAAAAATACAAAAACAAAATTAGCCAGGCATGGTGGCGGGCGCCTGTAGTCCCAGCTACTCGGGAGGCTGAGGCAGGAGAATGGCGTGAACCTGGGAGGCAGAGCTTGCAGTGAGCCGAGATCGCGCCACTGCACTCCAGCCTGGGTGACAGAGTGAGACTCTGTCTCAAAAAAAAAAAAAAAAATTCTTTATTTATTTTCGAGACAGGGTCTTGCTCTGTCATCCAGTCTGGAGTGCACTGGCACAATCACGTTGGAAAAAAAAATACCATCAAAATAGATAAAAAGACAGAGAAAATAAAACCTTTTTCCTTGATCAGTCAGTGAGAGTAAGGAAAGAGGTCAATAAGAGTAGATTTTTTTTTTCTAGAATGGAGAAAAAATGAACACTTTATGCGGATTTCATTTAAAAAAAACCAGATATCACATGTGGTTATTAAACATGAAACTCTTCCAGCTAGCTATGGCAACAATTTCAGAGAACAAAATTATTTTAAGGAGCTTTGCTGTTAACACTTACGGAGGATGTGCTCACTAGAAAAGATTTTCTTTTTACGCCTCTGAAACTAATCAGATAGAGCATTTTAGAATAACACACTGAAATTGTCACTAGATTTACATTAAAATTGGACATGCTGTTATCTATCCTCCTAAAATAAAAAATACCCACATGGTGTATCTATTAATCACCACTTAATGTTGAATATTAATGCATGAACTTTTTCCAATTAAAGGTCTATTCTGCTCAGACACTAGTGCCTTATCATTTTAGGTGTTTCATTATTCTCTTGGCATTCGGTAATGGCAGGACTCTCTAGCTATTAACAAAGGCTTTTCAAATCTTATAATTTCAGCACAGTTTAAAACACGGGAAGAAAAAAGCTTCAGTGCAGTTTCAATTAAAAAAACAGAATTGTACAGTAAAACTCAGGGTGGGTGAGTGGCTATCTCTTCTATATTATCTAAAAGAAGTATATAAAATTTATATGCAATAATCATTCTGCAATTTACATTTTTTCCTTGATTTTTTTTTGGTAAAATTTAAAACTTTCTAGGGTAATCCGTATGTTATATTCTAACACGATGGAAATTAATCATCCTTTCACCAGGATGACAAACCTGCACATTGCTTTTTATGGTTAAAAAATATTTTGTGCTTGCAAGGAAAAAAAATCCACTATCTTTTTTTTAGTATTCCCTGAGGCCTTCTGCATTGGCTCGGCTGGAGGTTGTTCTATAATGAGCATTGTTTATAACTAGGTGGATCTCTTTTTACTTTCCTTATAGGGTGTCACAATTCACATAAATCAAACCATGAGATCAGAAGAATAATTAGCCTTGGAGATGTACTGCTCTAGTCTCTATAAGAACCAAGAAAAACCCTTTGAATTCCAGCATGACAATAGTAACACAGAAACTGTTCTTCTAAGGCTGGTGTCATTGGGAAGATACACTTTTGAGTTTGAAGACCACTCTTTTAACATTCTTGTGGTCTGTTACATATTAAAATATTAATGTTTCTATCATGATTCCTCTGATTTAAATAACTTGCACTCATTTGTTTTTTAATTCATTTATTCAGCAGAAATATATAGTACCAGGTTATGTTTTAGACACTGGGGTACTCAGATGGCATGGTCCTGACAAAAGTGAATTTACAGTCTAGTGGGAGAGACAAGTAGAGATATGAAGAAAGTACTAAGGGGACATAGAGGAAAAACCATTAAATGCTGCTGAAGACATCAAGGAGGACTTCACTGAGGGGTTGACCTATGAAGGGGGAAGTAGATTTCACCAAGTGGGTGAGAACAGCTTATAGGCAAAGAAAGCATGAGGAATGGCATTGTGTTCTTGAACAACTGATTGTCTGGGAAATTAGAAGTTCTGTGGAGTAAGGAGATCCCTTACCCACCCCCCTCCCCAACCCCGGGCTTTTAAAAAATAGCATGTTAAAGAGTTTGGACTTTTAACAATAACTATTTTTATTGGACAAGGCTAAAGACCAAATTTGTTTTGGAGGTTAGGGTGTATGTTTGGAAATGAGGTCTGGAGGCAGGGTTCAGGAGATTCTGATCACTGAGTAAATGAATTTCAATGATCCCTGCAAGCAATGAAGTGGGGTGGCATGATGGAAGCAGTGTTTTTCTTGATACGTGTGCACACATGGAATAATTTTTCTTGAGGTTGCTCATGTTATTTTAATTCTGAAACAGATTTGGCTTGCAAGGTTTTTGTATGCAATATAATCTGAAAATAGAGAAGCTTCCTGACAGATACTTAAGCCAGTCTCCAATCTTCATCTCACAAGAATCTAATATCAGATGTCACTAATAAGTGGTGACCTAAAATAAATGGCAAAGAAGGCATAGCTATTTCTGCAAGCAGTTTTGGAGAAACAAGAGCCTTGGGTCTAGAAACTTGACTGTTGGAGAGGAAGGTGGGAAGATATAGACGAGTGCCTGACAAAGCCAATTAACTATTGAGCATCATTATCATGAGCAGAACTAAGCATATGACCTGTGTGTGAATTCCACAATTCTGATAAAAAAATTACTCTCATGTAGGCTATCTGCTGTGGGACAGAACTCTGAGAATTCTTAGAGCAAAAGAATATTTTTTCACCTTTATATGGAAAACCTATATTATACAGTGCATCTTCAATCCAATATGCATATATAGGCTTAACCATATGAAATTGCCTATATGTGACTGTTTTTGCCATACAACATGGCAATTTCATATAGTTCAACATGATACACACATGCATACATATAAGGTAATATATATATCAATAAATATACTTCAGGTTATCAGATATATGTATATGTATATGCATATTTGTTTATATTTATTTCATAATCTTTTTGTCAGTTGTATTCTACTGGTTAACTGCTCCATTTAATATTATTCATTAAAATTTCTCAGAAGTAGAAGTTATTTTTTGTTCTTTTTCAAATATGAGTGATCAGTTTTGGTAGCCTCTTTATTTCTTCTTTATTTAAATACAACATCTATTCATTTATTCTTATTTTAATTATGCATCTGATAAGGCAAATATCTGAAATCTCATGCAACTGGTTATGTTCCTTGTTGTTTCTGTAGACTCCAGCACTTTGAGGCTTGTTTCCTTATTTTTTTGTGTGTCTTTGAGCTTGAGTTCATATTTGTGAGTTCTGGATGACTTGAGTGGGGGATATATCTCTTTGGGTGCTAGAAAGATCTAGATTCATCACAAACAAAATATTCTCTGCAGCTTTGTGAACTCTACTGTTAGTGTGATTTCTGGCTCCATAACCCTAAATATGACTTAGTTTACATTTACAAAATCTCAAGGAAATATTATTTTTAAACCTCCACCCAGAACCAAGGCTGAGAAATATACCTTTATCTCTATATCTCTTTTTTAATCTATCTATCATCTATCTATCTATCTAGCATCTGTCCTTCTTCTTCTTCTTTTTTTTTTTTTTTTTTTTTTGAGATGGAGTCTTGCTCTGTCACCCAGGCTGGAGTGCAGTAGTGCGATCTCTGCTCACTGCAACCTCCACCTCCCAGGTTCAAGGGATTCACCTGCCTCAGCCTCCTGAGTAGCTGGGACAACAGGCACATGCCACCATGGCTGACTACTTTTTGTATTTTTAGTAGAGATGGGGTTTCACCATGTTAGCCAGGATGGTCTCGATCTCCTGACCTCAGATCTGCCCACCTTGGCCTCCCAAAGTGCTGGGATTACAGGTGTGAGCCAACATGCCCGGCTGCATCTATCCTTCTATACTCTTTATCACTGCAGGTCATGTTTTCTTGTAAGTCACTCTCTCCTAACCTCCTTCCTCTCCAAGGCCAAGTGTATACCTTTCTGGGTCCCAGCTGTGTATGACTTGATCTCCAGTCCGATTTCCTGCTTTGTGCTGGCATCAAACTCCAGGTGTCTGAATCCGTAGTTGCCCTCAAGTTGTGAGGAAGCATCAACGTTATACTTCTCCTTGGTACCCTGCTCTTGCCTTTTCCTCTGCTCCCTGGACTTCCCTTATTGTCTTCAGCTCATTCATTCATTTTAAAGGTTACATTTAACACACTTTGTATCTGGAGGATTCTGGGTGATTTAATTGCTTGAAATAAAATGAATTTCAAGTTACAATAAATATTTTCAGCCCTGTAAATTGTTGAATTGACTAAATGGATTATTGTATGGAAATCAGCCATAAATTTTCTGGTAAAAATAATTTAATCTAACTTATTCAATTTAAGGTTATGACACTATGTTTAGGCTCAGATAATCCTGTGTGCATACATTTGCTGGTTCACAAATGTAACAATTTTGAAAAGCATCACTAACTACAGTTTTCTTATCTGAAAATGACAAGGATATAATGCTTTCAGCGTTCATTAATATTTTCTACTTGTCATAGGTCTTGCTTTTAAGATCAGAAAATTTTACTCTATACAAGAAAAACTCACAATTTTTTGCACGCAGAAATATTTTAATTGTAGCATTCACAAAAATAAAAAGGTTTTAAACCACTCAAATTCTTTATTGTATTAACATTTCTATGGATTTGTTTTCTGTGATATGCAAATGCTGTGGACTAAATTGTGTTCCTCTCAAATTCATATGTTGAAGCCCTAACCCCCAATGTAACGGCATTTGGAGACAGGACTTTAAGGAGATAATTAAAGTCAAAAGGGTTATAAAGTGGAGGGTTCCTAATTTGATAAAATTGGTGGCCTTATAAGAAAAGGAAGAGAGAGAGAAGTCTCTATCTCTGCCATGTGAGAATTCAGAGAGAAGGTGGCTGACTACCAGCTAGGATGAGAGCTCTGGCTAGCAATCAAATCAGCCAGAACCTCGATCTTAGCTTTTCCATCCTCCAGAACTATGAGAAAACACATTTCTGTTGTTTAAGCCACCCAGTCTATGGTATTTTGTTATGGCAGTTCAAACTAACTAAGACAGTGACCTAATTAACAAAATTGTAATACACATAAAAATTTATAATAATCCAGCAATCCCACTACTAGGTACATATTCAAAGGAATTGAAATCAGCATTGTAAATCAAAAATAAAATTCTAGCTCCCTGGCCCCCAACCAACTGAATGGACCTCCTCCCCCTTGGCCAAGAGGATCCCAAAGAAAACTTAAAATCTAGTTCAGGCCATGACTGGAAGGGAAGTCTTACATGCCTTATTATACTCTCCTATCTTTTGTGTTTAGGGACAACTGACTAGCATTAATATTAAAATAGAGATCATAAGACTGAAAAACAGACTCTGTGTGGAAATAAGATGCCCAATTCTACCCTGACTTTGGCATAGCATCACATGACAGCAGACTCTGAAGGAAATCAAAGTATTTTACCCCAAAATAGATTTCTTTGACGTATTTTGAAGTGATTTTGCAAAGCCATCTCTTGTAGGGGAAATTTACATTCTATAGAGCATCTCTTTCCCTTATTAGGTCTTTTCCAGAGAGTCTGACACCTTTTAAGATCTAATAAGAGATATTTACCAGCAAACCTTAACTCTTTGAACTAATTGCCACTCGGAAAATCTTTGAATCCACCTATGACCTGGAAGCTCTTGCTTTGAGATGTCCCACTTTTCTAGGCCAAAACAATGCATGTTTTGCATATGTTGATTTATGTCTTTGCCTGTAGCTTCTGTGCCCCTAACATGTTTAAAATTAAGGTGTAACCCAATCACCTTGGGCACATGTTCTCAAGATGTCCCGAGGCTGTATCATAAGCCCTGGTTCTCATATTTGGCTTAGAATCAACCTCTTCAAATATTTTACAGCATTGTTTTTTATCATCAACATTAAGTCATTTATGTTGATAAAAAAGCCAACGCTGTAAAATTCCCATGTTCCCTGCAGCATTAGTCATGATAGCCAAGAAAGGGGAACAGAGTGCATCCATCAATAGACAAATAGATTTTTTAAAACATGGTATATATATGCAATGGAATACTATTTGGTCTTAAAAAAGAAGAAAGTTCTGCCATTTGTGACAACATGGATAGATATGGAGGACTTTATTTTTAGTGAAGTAAGCCAGGTACAGATAAACAATTACTATGTGATCACACTTACATGTGGAATCAAAAAGAAGTCAAACTCAGAAGTAGAGCAGAGTAGTGGTTCCCAGGTGCTGTGGGATATGGTTGGAGTGGACAAGGAAAGGGGAGATGTTGGTCAAAGAACACGAAGCTTCAGTTAGGCAGGAGGAATAAGATCTGCTGATCTATTGCACAGTGTGGTGATTATTGTTAATAATATTGTATTGTATATTTTAAAATTGCTAAAAGAGTGAATTTTAATGTTCTCACCACAAAGAAATGATAAGTGTGTGCAGTGATGAATGCATTAAATAGCCTGATTTGACTATTCTACAATGTATATGTGTATCAAACCATAACGCTGTACCCCATAAATATGTACAATTATTTGTCAATTAAAAATACAATTCTAAAAAGACTTATAATAAAAGCCAGAAGTTGTACTTAGTTGCAACATCTTAAAAAATCTGGTTTTCATAGGTTTTTGTAAGTGATTATAATCAAGCTTCTTTATACTGCCTTTAACTCCCAAACAGAACAAGAATACATTGATTCAAAAGACTTCCTGTCACTTGACAAATGAATATATTGCCTTTTGTTTTAAAGGAGAGTGAATCAGATAATTCTCTGTGCCTGCCCCATTCTTTCAGCCTCACCTGTCTTGGAGGGCCCTGTTACTGCGGTGTGACCAGCATGGGCTCTGAGAAGTCGAGATGGACAATTCTGACAGAAATTCTGTCTCCACAGCCTGTGCTTTGAAATTCTTCCCTCCTGTTCCAGGGCCTCCCTGTTGGTATTGAGATGTCAGATTCCAGGGATCTCAGAATCCAGGCACTTGCCACCTGGAAGTGTGGGGAAGTTAATGTCCCTCGAGGTGAATCTTTGAACTTAAGGAGATGGGAACTAGCAGATCAATCCTTCTGTTTATTTCCCCAAATGGATTGCCCTGAGATGCAGTGATTCATCTAGGCTTTAGCTTAAGATTGTCAAAAATGTCTGCAGTTTGCTTGGTACCAAGATGCGTCAGGCTTTGCAATCCCATATATATAAATATAAATATATATATATATATATTTCTCACTTTTTGGATGCCATCTCTCTTTTTCCTTCCTCCTACTTCCCTGAAATTATACTCTTGAATAAAATAATGGCCAATAAGCTTTTATCTTGGTCTCTGTTTGCTAGAGAATCTGGGCTCAGAATGAAGATTATAAAAATAATAAGAAATATTGTTAGATGTTTCTAATTTATTTTGCTCAGATAATCTTCCACAAAAGGCTATTATTGTTAGGTATATCTCTATTTTAGAGATGGGGGAATTTTAAACTCAGAGTTTAAAAATTGCTTAAATTTAGAAAGTCACCAAACTTTCATTAAATACGGAAAAACATTTTTCCAGCTAAAACTTTGAAGGTGAAACATAAACACTGCTTGAGAGGTCTTTTCCACTTAGAGGAAGAAAAGGGAGCAGGGAATTAAACACATTAAATCTACTATTGCCATTAACAAAAGCAAGTACATATGTTAGCAAATTTTCCATGGGAGCTGCGAAAGGGAGAAAACACTCAAAGAAAATATGTGCCAGTAAACATGACCCCTTTCCCTTTCCACCATAAAGCTGCTGCAGGGTGTCATTAAGAGATTATTGTTGTCTTCTTAATTTTTTTTAAAGCAACAGTTGAGGTTTGGAAGGGACAGGGGATTAATGATGAGAAGTAGGAACTGATACATAGCTTTAGAAATGTCATTTGCCCATTGTTGGCTGAAAAAACACGGCACATTCAGCATTCATGGCTTTATCACTGCTGTACTAGGGATATAGAAAACAACCATGGAGATACGCTTCTGGTCGGGATTATGTGACTTAAATTGCTCTGAGTAGGACATTGAGAGAAACCATTATTAAGCCCCAATATCAATGCTTAATAGCAAGAATTTAAAACATATCCTATCTATCCCACATTCAAATAATATTAATGCAACTGAAAATGCAAAAACTGAAGAATAAACTTTGCGATGTAGATAAAACAAGAATCTTAAAAATTGTATTCTGAGAATATTTAGCTAATATAAACTGTAAGGATACACGATTAATTAATTGTAGAAACTAGATGACTTTTATTTTCAAAGATAAATCTCATGAAAGAACAGTATTCAGCCTGCGATGTACTGTCTAGTATGGTATCAGCCTATGATGTACTAGGTTATTATATTGTAAGAACTTTATTATGCTATGTCTTCAAAACTACAAATTAGTCTTTCAGTGATTATATTCTTTTATACTGCTATTCTATATAGTATGTCTCCTTCTTTAAAAAATCCATTCACAGCGGTAAAATCCTATCAAATATTATTGAATGTTCTTTCTAAGACCAGTGATTGAAACTCATTCAAATGAAAGTATATTTTGGTCTAAGTTTCTTTAGCATACAATTAATACAATGAAAAGTCAATAAAAAAGCTTTAAATTTTTAGTGCAAGAAAAAATTTGATAGTGCAGTAGAGGTTACGTATTTGCTTAGTTCTATTGGTGACATTTATGTTTCTATGGTTTTCTACTTAATCACCTCATCAGATTCCAAACCAAATTGAGATATAAAGCCCTGTGGGCCACTAGCAAAATTCCACCTTTAGATGAATTTTTCTGAACAAGCAAATGTAGCCTGGTTTTAATTTTAATTAGAATGATCCAAATACCATTTAATTTGGCCCAATATGTCTTTTAAAATTACATAAGTTGTTATTCTTTGAGTCTATTTCATTGTGCTTGTTCATCTGACTTCTCTCTCTCTTTTCGTGCAGTTTCCCTATCCACCTTTTCTTCTTCTCCTTGCCTCATTTAGTTATCTTTCCCCTCCATTGGCAAAAACATAAAATTTATATATAATCTTTGGTTTGTTGTATTTATTGAATTCCCTATTCGTAATTTAAGAATTGTCCCTGACTATTATTTTTCTCTTGAGTGTATGGCCCCTGATGGAAGGAATGAAGGAAATTAATATTCATTAGGGATCTAAAGTGTGCCATTACTTAATACATTCTCTCAAAACCCCTGTGATGTATTATTTCCTCCATTTTTAAGTGAAAATTCCAGGATCTGAGAACATTCAAGTAACTTGTTTAAGGCCAAGTGATTATTAGGTGATATGCTGGAGTTTGATACTCAATACATTACATGTTATTCTAGATGATAATATTCTCATGGAAGCAATAAACATAAAAACTAGCACTTCATTTCTTCATTGGCTTAAAAAAATTAAAACCAGTTGTTTTAAGATATAATCCACATTACATGAAATTTATTCATTTTAAGTGCACAATTACTTTAAATGACATACTAAAGTGGATTTTAGGATATTACCTGGGTTGTGCAACCACCACTACAACCTAATTTTAGAATATTTTCATCACCCCAAAAAGAAACCTTACCTACATTACCAGTCATCCCCCATTTCTTTCAGCCTCTCAGATCTAGGCAACCATTAATTTATTTTTGGTTTGTATAAATTTGCCTATTTCATATAAATTGAATTATATAACATAAGTACTTTTGTGATTGGCATCCTTGACACATTGTATTTTCAAGGTTGATACATGTTGAGCATGCATCAGTAATTCATTTTTTATTGCCAAATGATATTCCATTATATATACCAAATCATATTTGTCTCTCCATTCATCTTTTTTTTTTTTTTTTTTTTTTGAGATGGAGCTTTTCTCTGTCACCTAGGCTGGAGTGCAATGGCACGATCTGGGCTCACTGCAATCTCCACCTCCTGTGTTCAAGCCGTTCTCCTGCTTCAGCTTCCCTAGCAGCTGGAATTACAGGTGTGCGCCCCCATGCCCAGGTAATTTTTTTTTTTTTTTTGTATTTTTAGTAGAGACAGGGGTTTCACCATGTTGGCAAGGCTGGTCTTGAACTCCTGACCTAAGGTGATCCACTCATCTCTGCCTCCAAAGTGCTGGGATTACAGGCATGAGCCAGCGCACCTGGTCCTCTCCATTCATCTTTGATTGGTCCCGATTTTGACCATTTTGAAAAATATGCTGTGAATATTCTGTACAATTTTTGTGTGGGTCATATGATTTTATTTCTTTTGAATAGAGATAATGCCAGACTATTTTCTGAAGTGGCCATACTATTTTACCTTCTCACCAGCAATGTATGAGGGTTCTAAATTCTCTACTTTATTACCAGGGCTTTTAATTGTCTATTTTTCTTTATCATAGCTGTCCCCAGTGGGTATAAAGTTGTATCTCATTGTAATTTTGATTTGCATTTCTCCACTGACAAATGCTTTTGAGTATCTTTTTATTTGCTTATTAATAATTTATATCTTCTTTCGAAAAATGTCTATCAAAATCCATTGTCTACGGTTGTCTTTTTGTTACTGAGTTATTAAGTCTTTTACATATTCAAGATACAGATTCTTTCTCAGATATATGATTTGTGCATATTTTCTCCCCTTCTGTAGCTTCTTACTCTTGTAGTATCTTTATTTGGTTTTGGTATTATGGTATTACTGGCTTCATGGAATGATTTAGAAAGTGTTCTCTTAGCTTCTATTTTTCAGAAGTGTGTGTGTAAAGTGTGTAGAACTGGTTTTATTTCTCCCATAAATGTTTGGTAGAATTCATCATAAAGCCATTGGGCCTGGAAATTTTTAATTACTGGAATATCTTAAATTACTAATTTAATTGTTTTACTTGCTATAGGTCTATTCAGTTTCCATTATTGTTTAGTTACCTTCGGTATTTTGTGTTTTTCTAGAAATTTATCGGTTTCATCTAAGTTATCCACTTTGTTGGTATGGGGTTGTTAATAGTGTATTTTCTTATAAGAATATAATAGTGTATTTTCTTTTAAGAATATATACTATAATAGTGTATTTTCTTATCCTTGCTTTTATAAGGACAATAGGGCTGTCTCCTTTTTCATTCCTGATTTCAGTAATCTGAGTATGCTCTATTTCTTGGTCAGTCTAGCTTCAGTTTATACATTTTGTTGATCTTTTCAAAAAAACCAAGTTTGGTTTCTTTGATTTTTCTCTGTTTTTTTAATTCTCCATTTCATTTACATTTACTCTAACTTTTGAAATAATTTCCTTCTTTTTGCTTGCTTTAGGTTTAGTTTGCTCTCCTTTTTCTAGGTTCTTAAGGTGGAAGATTAGGCTATTGTTTTAAGATCTTTGTTTTGTAATAATAGACATTCACAGATGTAAATTTCTCTCTAAGCACTATTTTAGCTATATCTTGTAAGTTTTAGTATGTTACATTCTCATTTTCATTCATTTCAAAGTATTTTAAAATTTCACTTGTTATTTATCCTTTGACCCATTGGTTATTTAGAAGTGTGTTTTTTAATTTTCACATATTTGTGAATTCCACAAATTTCCCTCTGTTATTGGTTTCCGATTTTATTTTCTTGTGGTCAGAGAACATATTTTGTATGATTTAAATTCTTTTAAGTTTACTGAGGCTTGTCTAATGACTTAGCATATTGTCTATCTTGTAAAATAGTCTGTGTCTACCTGAGAAAAATGTGTATTCTGCTGTCATTGAATGGAGTATCTTATAGATGTTTAAGGCTGGTTGGTGTAGTGTTGCTCAAGTCTTCTAGTTCCTTGTTGACCTTTTGCTTAGGTGTTCTATCTATTTTTGATAGTGAGATACTGAATTCTCCAACTATAATTTTTAAATTATTTATATTTTTCCTTTAATTCTCACAGTTTTTAATTTTGGTTACTGTTTGTATAGTGTATTTTTCATCTTTTCTACTTTCAACCTATTTATTTCTTTGAATCTAAAATGTGTCTCTTGTAGACAGTGTAGAGTTGAATCACTTTTAAAATCTTTTCTGACATCATTTGCCTTTTTATTAGAGAGTTTAAGGTGGGATTTACATTTGCCATTATAGTAGCTCTTCTCTACAGTTTTTATGTCTTTGTTTCTATATGCTTCCAAAACTACTCTCTTTTGTATTCAGTAGATATTTTCTAGTGTACCGTTTTAATTATTTTGTTGTTTCTTTTACTATAATTTTTTAGCTATTTTCTTAGTGGTTGCTCTGGAACTATACTTAACAACTTAATTTAAAATAATCTAGTTCATATTAACGCTAAGTTAATAATATACTGAGACTTTACTCCAGTATAGCTCTACTCTCTCCCCATCTCTTTGTATTATTATTTTCATAGAAATTACATCTTTGTACATTATAAACCCATCAACACAGTTTAACAATTGCTGCAACTGTCTTTTAAATCATATGAAAGAAGAAAAGAGTTACATAAAATTACAGTTAAACTTTTTCTATTTACCTATTACACTGGACTAAATGTTTGTGTCTTCTTAACATTTATATATTGAAATACCCCCAATGTGATAGAATTAGGGTGTGGGGCTTTTGGGAGGTGATTAGGTTATGAGAGTGGAGCCCACATTAATGGTATTAATGCCTTTATTTAAAAGAACCCTAGACAACTCTCTGACCCCATTCTGTCATGTAAGGACACAGCAAGAAGATAGCTGTCTATAAACTAGTAAGTGGGACCCTACCAGATGCTGAACCTGTTGGCACCTTGATCTTGGAATTCCCAGACTCCAGAACTGTGAGAAACAAATACTTGTTGTTTAAGCCACCCAGTTTGTGGTATTTTTATTATAGCATTCTGAATGAACTAAGACTACTGTATACTTATCTTTCTGGAGGCTCTGTATTTCATCACGTGAATCTGAGCTACTGTCTAGTGTATTTTCATTTCAGTTTGAAAATCTCCCTT
This sequence comes from Homo sapiens, assembly GCF_000001405.40. Classification (NCBI taxonomy): domain Eukaryota; kingdom Metazoa; phylum Chordata; class Mammalia; order Primates; family Hominidae; genus Homo; species Homo sapiens. The sequence continues at coordinate 15,376,451 of NC_000012.12, read as the reverse complement.
TAGTAAATCTTGCAGGGAAGATTTGCTAGTAACAAATTCTCTCAGTTTCTGTTTACCTGAAAATATCTCAATCTCTCCTTCATTTTTGAAAGATAGTTTTGCTGAATATAGAATTCTTGGTTGACAGTATTGTTCTTTCAACATATTGAATGTTAGTTCCACTGTATTTTTGCCTCCCTGATTTCTGATGAGAAATCAGCCATTAATCTCATTAAATTTTTTTTCAGGATGAGTCTTTTTTCTCTCTTGTTGATTACAACAGTTTTCCTTTGTCTTTTGACAGTCTGACTAGGTGTGGGTCTCCTTGACTTTATCTTATGTGTTTCATCAAATTTGGGGAGTTTATGGCTATGATTTTCTTCAAATATTTTTTCTGCCCTGTTCACTCCATTTTCTATTTCTGGAGCTCACATAATGTGTATGTTGATATGCTTGATGGTGTCCCACAGGTCCCTGAGACTGTATTCATTTGTCTTCATACATTTTTCTTTCTATTCTTCTGACTAGGTAATCTCAGTTGACCTGTCTTAAAGTTCACTAACCTTTCTTTCTTTTGATCTTTCTTTTGCCAACTCAAATATGCTGTTGAGTAAACTCAAATATTCTGTTTTAGTTATTATGCTTTAAAGCTCCAGAATATCTGTTTGTGTTTTTAAAATAATTTCTGTTTCCTTTTTTTTTTTTTTTTTTTGGTGGGGGACAGAGTCTTGCTCTGTTGCCCAGGCTGGAATGCAGTGGCATGATCTCAGCTCATTGCAACCTCTGCCTCCCAGGTTCAAGTGATTCTCCTACCTCAGCTTCCCAAGTAGCTGGGATTACAGGCACCCACCACCGTGCCTGGCTAATTTTTGTATTTTTAGTAAAGATGGGGTTTCACCATCTTGGCCAGGCTGGTCTCAAACTGCTGACCTCGTGATCCACCCACCTTGGCCTCCCAGAGTGCTGGGATTACAGGCGTGAGTCACAGCAACTGACCTAATTTCTGTTTCTTTACTGATAATCTTTATTGGGTGAATTATTGTCATACTGTCCTTTAATTCTTTGAAAAGGATTCCTGTTAGTTCTTTAAACACATTTATAATAGCTTAATTAAAGTCTGTCTAGTAAGTCTAAAATCTGGGTCCCCTCAGGTAACAGATTTTCTATTGACAATTTCTTTTCCCCTGTGTATGCACCACAATTTTTCTCTTAAAAATTGGACATTGCAAATCATAAAATGTGGCAAATCTGAAAGTCAGATGTTTTCCCCAGGGTTTGTTGTTGATTTTTGTTATTGTTGCTGTTTGTTGTTTAGAGATTTTCTAGGGCTAATTCTGTAAAGTCTGTACTTACTCTATTGGGCAACAACTGAAGTCTCTGATTAGCTAAGTGGTCAGCTAGTGATTGCTCAGATATTTTTTAGAATACTGTGAACCAGTAAGTCAACCCTTTGCCAAGAGGCTTTGTGTGTGTTGGGGAACTTCAGTAATGCTCAGGAAGTTTTAAATTCTGCCTTTGCCTTCACTTCCTCCTGGTACAGGGGCTCAACATCAGTCAGAGATGAGGGACTGGGGCACTCTTTGGTCTTTCTTCAGCATGCACACAGCCCTACTTATACATGTGGCTTCTAAATCCCTCACAATATGTCAGGGCTTTACAAAGACCTCTATGGATATCTCATTGGCAGGTCTTCCTTTTATGTTTTTGTTCAGGCTCTTGTTCACCCCAACTGGTACTGTGTCATCTGTGATGTTAAACAATTGCTGTTGTAATTGCTTTCAACAATGCCCTGCAGATAGGGCTTTTGGTTTCTGAATCAGGTCAAATAGTGACAATGCCCTGTGAATACAGCTTTTCCAGAGAGCTTCAAGACAGATTAAATAGTGGTGCTACTCTGGGGATGCTACTATTTGAGGAGTTCCAAAATTGGACTGCCCCCTCCAGTGCTCCAAGACTGTTGTTTTTTAAGGCTACTCAAAACTGGGGAGAGGGGCAAGGGTTTAAGGTCAAGTTAAAAAGCCATAAACTTTCTTGTTCTTACTCAAGTTCAGCAGTTTTTTTAATAAATAAAACACTCCTCAAATTGTTACATGTATTTGGCTAATTTTCAGAGTTCTGAAAAAGTTAATTTGAAAATTTTTTCAGTGTTTTCATGAAGAAGTGGATTTATGGAAATCCTCACTCTGAAGTCTCAGAAGTTTCAAGCCCCTTGACTGAATCTTAACTGTTATTTTTACCTTCCTTCTTTCCTTCCCAGTATTTCAGTGACCCAGTTTCCGTTTTAGAGAAGTTAAGTGCTTCCTATGGATATTACTCTTGCCTTGAAATTTTTCTGTGCCATTCTAAAACTAGGTAATAAATATGTTATGTTTAAACATTTTCAAAGCCGTTGTTAGCAAATGTCTGTACTAATCATCATGCTCTCTACTTATTAGGCATGTTCATTCCTTTTCTTAAACCAATTGTTCTTTGAATTTTTGAGGTGACCGAGTCTTGAAAAAATATGATGAACTTACCTCCAAGATAGAGACCCATACCACGCAAAATATACATTTGTGAGTACAAAATGACCCATTTTAAAATAAGGTCATAGGCCCAAATCCCAAACAAGCCTCTGGAACACAGGTTATGAATTCCTGTCTTAGAATTTTGTATTACATTTTTTGATAATCTTTGTTCTTATATATTCTACCATCTTTGTATCTGAGAAAATGTATCCTTGCTAGTAAACAAGAAGGATGAAGTCAATATTTATTGAGTGTTCATTGTCAATTTCTATGTTATATAAAATGATTTGCACATAGTAGGTGTTTAATAATTATATTTTGAATAAATGCTACTCAAAATATATTCCTTCAGCTTTCCTGTTTCCTCAGCTTTTGCCAGTTAAACACTTCCGTCCATAAAAAACTGGAATAGCTTGATGATATCTTACATTCAAGAAACAGCAGAGTGGGTGGGGAGGAAAGATGAAAAAGTACTGGTGAAATTAATAATAGATTCATATAGACTTCTGAAAACTTAAGAAATCTCTCCATCTCCACCACACCTAGGATCTGCTTCTTCAAAAAATCTTTCAGTATGAAACTCCATAAAACAACTGACGAAGATTTGTTCTCAGGGCCTTCAGTTATGATGCCAATCTTAGCACCCAAATTGCTTTGTTTTCCTGTCCTATAGTATGCTGCTCACAAGACAATTTGCTGTCACCATCATGCTAGCATTAATGGTACAGAGCAGCAAAGCCTACAATCAACTTGGTGATCTCATATTTATGTTTGTTTCTGTAAAGCCCCTATACCACTTTACCTAGCATTTTAGTTATGGCTCTAAATATGGTAACAGCATCTCATCGGTACTGTAATTACTTCTACTTTAATTTTTCCATGTATTTTCACTTGATTCCATGTAAAACATCTGGAAACACTAATTGCTGCCTGTCCTATAAACTTACACTCCAATTTGCCCTTGTGACAGTCATGCCGTTGACTGACTCAGAACCAACTTCCAATTAATCAACTGACAAAAATAGATGGTCCACCTGCCTACACCAGTTTTAGTCCAAATCCAGCACAAAATAATATCCTCTGCAGCATTGCCTACATAAATTATGGACACTGACTAAGATAGTCTATTTATTCTCAGTCTACTATAGGGGAAAAATGAGTATGATTATCACATTTCATAATAATAATTATTTAGCTTATTTTTAGTGGTAGATTCAATTCACAGGCCAATAGAGAGTGTCCTGTGTATCCTCATGTACCTCCACTCCACCCACAACAATTTACTAATATAGGCAATGTCTTGCGTGGTATTTCACTTGCAGGCAGTTAACTTTACTTTACTGTTTTGGCTGCATTCCAATCTGTGTAATTACACTGTCCTCCCACTTAAAGAAAAAATCCCACAAAATCATAGTGGTTTTAATTAGAGAAGTTATTCTTTCACTCCTTTCTGAAACAAGAAACTATCAAATTGCATTTTCGCTGCCACATATTAGCTGTGGGCAAACAAGAGGGACTGGGTTTTGAAAATAAGTGAGTCTCCTAATTAGCTTCATAATGGACTTTAGGGATCTTTTTGATGAAAGGAATTATGGAATTAGAGAGAGATACCATATAAGTGGTTCCTGCTATAGACAGTAAAGAGGAAAGCTCTTTCTAGCTTATTCTCCTCAGGCACCAAGATTCATGGTAATCAAATATCTCAAGTTTTGAACTGCACCCCTACATGCTAAGAGGGCAGAAAATATTTTCAGGGTATATAAATGATTCATTAGGGGTATATACAATCACTAATATGCCACAAACGCTTGACACATATAAGAATTCTTGACCCACATTTTCTTTTAGAGAAGTTCACAATTTAAAGAATTTTGCAAAGTAAAATTGCCTTCAAAGACAATTTCAATTTGCAAAATATAAGTGTATTAGTTTGGTTTTACACTGCTAGAAATAACTGCCTGAGACTGGGCAATTTATATAGGAAAGAGGTTTAGTTGACTCACAGTTCAGCATGACTGGAGAGGCCTCAGGAAACTTACGATCACAGCAGAAGGTGAAGTGGAAATAAGGCACCTTCTTCACAAGGCGGCCAGGAGGAGAAGTGCCGAGTGAAGGGGGAAGAGCCCCTTATAAAACCATCAGATTTCATGAGAACTCATTCACTGTCAGAACAGCATGGGGGAAACCACCCCCATGATTCAATTACCTCCACCTGGTCTCTCTCTTAACACATGGGGATTATGGGGATTACAATTCAAGATGAGATTTGGGTGGGGAACAAAGCCTAATTATATTAATAAGAAATAAAAAAGATTGTATATACACGTAATAAAATCACAAACACACACACACATACAATATTATGTCAGCCTTAGTGAATGGGTAGGGCTGATCATCTTATTGTAATCAGTGCTTAAAATAACAATGTGAGCTTGCTGGGTGTGGTGGCTCATGCCTGTAATCCCAGCATTTTGGGAGGCCGAGGCAGGTGGATCACCTGAGGTCAGGAGTTCAAGACCAACCTGGCCAAGATAGTGAAACCCCGTTGCTACTAAAAATACAAAATATTAGCCTGGCGTGGTGGCGGGTGCCTGTAATCTCAGTTACTCAGGAGGCTGAAGCAGAGAATTGCTTGAACCCAGGAAGCAGAGGTTGCAATGAGCCGAGATTGCACCACTGCACTCCAGCCTGGGCGACAGAGCGAGACTCGGTCTAAAAAAAAAAAAAATAGTGAGCTTGAGGTTATGTTCTTTATTTAACATTAGAAGAATATTTGCTGGTTATAAAGTACTACAAGTTTTACAAGATATCATCTTTTCTAATTGTAAATACAATACTTGCTTATTGTGGAAAACTTGGAAAATCATTAACTCACTAACTAGAAAAAGCTGATCTGAATAGTTTGCTGAAGATCCAGATTATAACTTGCATTATAGTATTACATAATCCATTTTTTTTGTTTAGCAATACATTATGTACATTATCCATGTTGTTGGATATTTTATGCAGGGTTACTGTTCTGCTTTGCAAAGTATGAATATGCCATAACTTACAATCTCTGATTGTTGGAAATTTAAGCTGTTTTAGTCTTTTGATATCCTAAGTAGTGTTTCAATGAACTTTTTTTCATAGGTACAATTGCATTTGCTTTTAACAAAAGCTTTGTATTATCTTTGATTAGTTCTTCAGGTTAGATTCCTTAGTGGAATTATTAGATTAAATATATGCATATTTTCAAGGCTTTTGATTTTTAACAAATTGTTTGTGTTTTTTTATTGAAATATTCCTCTTCTCTATTGATTTGCAAAAATGTTTTATGGATTAAGAATATCAACAATACAAAAATTATGACACCTCTCATACATATATTACCATCGTCCCCTTGCCTGAATTGTTTTAGCCTTCCTAGATATTTATAATGAAATTTGACATACAGGAGATTAAAATTCTATGCCTTTAGACTTATGCTTTGAGAAGTTTTCTATATGCTATAATTAAATTAATATTCACACATAGTTCCTTTTAATTATTTTACAGTTTTAATTTGCAATTATGACTTTAATCACTTTGGAATTTATTTGGGGGTTACAGATTTGTTTTCACTGAATTGGTTATGACAGATGTGAAATTGGTATTAACAGCTGTATTTACTACCTTTTTTTGGTATATTTCACTGATTAATTCAGACATAAAGGAGGCTGGGATTTTAAGAATGCAGAGCAACAGGGAGGAAAGCATTATAATTTTTTCTTTAAAAATTCTAAAGGCACGTACTAGTTTCTGTGAATATCTAGAGTTCATACAAAGACTGTCTGCAAGAATTTTACTCAAAAACCTTCTGTTAAAATATGTGTCATATAATTGAGATAACATACACTTCCTTGAGGAGGAAACACATTTTTAAAATTTTTTTTGAGATGGAGTCTTGCTCTGTTGCCCAGGCTGGAGTGGAGTGGGGCGATCTCGTCTCACTGCAACCTCCACTTCCCGGGTTCAAGCAATTCTCCTGTCTCAGCCTCCTGAGTAGCTGGGACTACAGGTGCCTGCCACCACGCCTGGCTAAGTTTTGTATTTGTAGTAGAGATGGGGTTTCACTTTGTTGGTTAGGCTGGTCTTGCACTCCTGACCTCAGGTGATCCACCCTCCTTGGCCTCTCAAAGTGTTGGAATTACAGGCATGAGCCACCATGCCCAGCCAGAAATACGTTTTTTGTTGTTGATTGATATGCCTCAGTTTTCATTTTTAAGAATTTTCCGTATTCTAGGATATATAATCAATATATATGAAGGGAGAATTTAGAGGCTGAAAATCATTTTTAGTTCCATAAAAAGCTTGAGCATATGAGGAAAGAGACATGAGTTAATGCAATGACAAACTTGTAGTTTACGTTAGGTATCAAATTGAGAATCTAGTAATTCCAATTGCATATTTGAATTAATGGCCCATCAATTATTTTGAATTTAGGCAGACTTACAAAGAAAGTAAAATTGGATGGATTGTTTAGCTTAAACAAACCATGACGATATGACTGAGAAGGTTTCGCATCCTACCTGCTAGGTTCAGACTGAGCTCTGTACCTTTGATTGTTGATGCATCTGTAAGAGCAGGTGAATGAGAAACTGGTTGAAGACCCTAAGGTCAAGAGAAAAAAATGGCTGCTTTCCTTTCCTGCTTCACCTTTTAAGTTTAGAATTGCTTTTAATCATAGGGTATGTTTCCCTAAAACACACTAACTCAAAGAAATCGTTCCTTCTTGTTCCAGATTATGTGTCACTGACCCTATCCACTGGGGACGTTTTTTTTAAATTTTAGTTTTAGAAAACTGTATCGACTGAAGGTCCAATTAAAACTCCTTTCAAAACATTCAGCAGTCTCCCTCACACCCTCACGATGGTTAGAGAATTAATGAAGCAGCACATTGGCAAACTAAGCACCATCCATCTAACAGGCTTCCTCAGTGAGAGCAGGATTTGCCACCTCAGTGGTTCTCTGCCCTAAGATTTCACAGCCCCCACGGGAGTTGCTCATAGAATGAGAAGTTGTTATCTCTATGCTTTCCAGCCCCTGCAGCAAGCATCCTTTATTTTCAACTAAGGGACAACCCTCTATGTCATCTTAAAAATATAACAGGTCCACTTAAGCACTTCCAACAATTAAAGTTTCAGCCGTAAACAGGAATTATGTGATATAACATTCTCAATGTGAAATCTAATATAACAATTAAGGAGATATATTTTAAAAGAAACAAATATGATGGGCAGAGAATAAACAGTTTGGAGAAATTTATCTAGAGGATAAATCCAGAGCTCATGAATAAACTTCATATTTATCTATATTCTTAACATGGATTCATTCCTTTCAAATGCAACATTCATTCAACTCCATTTTTTGAGTTCTACTTGGGACTGTGAATGTTCTAACTGCTGTGGATGTAGCCATTCTGGGAACAGGAAAAAACCCTTGCCTACATTGTAGAAAGGAAGACAATCAATAAAAATCAATCAATCAATCAATTATGCAGTGATTCAGTGGCAAAAGTGCTAACAAGGAAAATAAATACAGGAATGGTGCTAGAAGTTGCTGCAGGTGATATGGAGATGGTTTAATTACACCTTTATATAAAGTGGCTAGACAAGGCTTCCTAATATTGAATTTGCGTCAATTGCCATATATGGTAAGGAAACAATATGGAGCATGGTGTGGTGGTGGTGAGGATGGGAATGCCAGATAGAGGGAAGAGCCAGGGCAAAGCCATGGGCCAGAGCAAGCCTGGCATGTTGGGGGAACAGCTAAAGGCTTGGCAGGAATGGAGTGAACCAGGTGTTAAGTAGGAGAACACGGAGGAGTCCAGACCCTGGCGAGTTTTGCAGCTTATTGTAGTGACATTTCCCCTGAATGGGAAGCGAAGCTACTAAACGGTTTTATTGAGAAATGTTTAGATGATTGATCCATGAATTGATTAAATGAGTAAAGTAAGCAGTCTTTATGGCCTCTTTAGTCACTCTGAGACCCAGAAAGGCATGAAGAGAAGGCACTATTGCCCAGGGCAGAGTAGAGCTATGACTCCCTTCACTCCAGGTGAGGCTTGGTGCAGGATGAAAGTTACGAGCATGGTGGTTATCCCAACAACAGCCCGTCAGGTCCATGGAGCAGTCTGTCCACTTCATTTCCTTTGGGGTGGGCATTGTGGGGTGTGACAGAAAGAGAGATGTCAAAGATGATTCACACTTTTTGACCTGATCAACTGGGAGGGTGGAGTTGTTACCAACTGAGATGGGGAAGACTACTGGAGAACAGGCTTGGCAAGAGAATTTGAGAAGCCCAGTTTCAGGTCTGTTACATTTGAGACATCTATTAGACATTTAAGTGGAGAACATAAGTATACAGTTGTATATGTGAATCTGGAGTTCCATGGGAAGCTCAGGTTGAAGATATTAATTTAGGAGTCTGAAAAAAATAGATATTACCCTCACTGTGGTCCCACTTTAGCCTTAGCTAAAGTCCATGACTCTACTAGCTAATTTGCTTTATTTATTCTTCTCAAGATTCTATTTTGCTGCATCTGAAATTTTGCTCACATTGTTCTGAAATCTTCTTCCCTCTTTTTTCCATTCATCAGGCTCATGCCAATTTTTAAACTCTTTCCTTTATGTAAGGGTTCCCTCAGTCATCCTAGACTGGGGATTTGTTTGTACCTTTTTGTAGTGCTTCTTATTATCTTGCACTGCTATTTGATTCTTGCTTCAGAAACGTTTGCCTATAAATTTTCTTACTTTGAAGGATGAGACTAAAGATTGTATGTATTTTCATCTTTCAGGAGCTTGGAACATTGCTTTGTCTAAAGTAGATGCTCAAAAATATGTATTAACTGTAGCTGTGATGACATTGTACTATACTTTAATAAATGATCATAACTTCCTTCTGTTTACTGCAATAGTGTTTATCTTGTTTGTGTTCCAGAGTTATTTTATTGTCTCCTTCATTAAATTTTGTTACTAATGAGTGACCTTTCATTTTTTTCCCTTGAGTACCTGTATTTTTTAATTGCAAAATCCTTGGTTGACTTGAAATAAATAGTTAATTGATTAATTAAAATAGTCAAATGACACTACCTGAATTCAGCATGTAGTCTTATACCTGATGTAGATTTGACATTTATTTGTTTATACCATCTCCTTCATCAGTTTATTGGTCACTGCATAGTTATTTACAGAACCTACACACAAACACACATTCCAACAGGTGAAGATGAAACATTTCAGCCAACAAACAATTATTTTTTCTCTAAGTATTAATAAAAACAAGTACACCTCAAACTCAAAAATAAGTATTAATATGGATTAGATATTATCTCAACTATACTACCCATTTCTTTTTAACAATATTTATTTACAGCTTTTGTCTAACTAAAATCTTCATTGAAATTCCTACAGGTATTTTACTAAATGTTGGTATGCATTAAGAAAAATGGAATTTGCAAGTTTGAACTATGCTTTTCAACAAGCAATCAAAACTTTAAATTTAGAATTCATTATTAAAAAGTGTCAAAGTTTAAACATTATGAATCAAAATCCTAACTTAGAATCTGCCATTACAATTTTCCCCCCCTCACTCAGCTAGGGCACCATATACCACTGGTAACTTAAGTATTAAATGTCATTGTAAAAGTTCAGAAAAAGACAAACAACAGCTTCTATAGTAAAGATTAGGCTAACAACTAGCAACCGAAAGTATTTCTACACTCTAATTAGATACAACTTATCTTCAGGGATACCATATGGAAATATCACAAGGAACAAAACAGAAAAACATGAATAAGTTTTTTTGTGATATTTGTCGCCTAGGAGCTGTGACTTCTGCTTTGAAGATGAGCATGACCTACTCATTATTATCTTGTGTTATATTGCACCTGGCTGGTTTTGGTCCTGCCAAGTTACTAAAGTCATTTTTCTGATGTACCTAATTGTGATATTCTACACTCTGTCAATTAGCTATAAATTACTTGAAGGCAGAAAATATGTTTGCTAGCAATGATTGCTCCAATCTCTAATGGGCCAGGATTCAGAATTAATATTATTCCTTACATATTTTTTATATTGCCTACCCAATAACAGCAAGCACTGCCCTTCATAGCCCTTTAGTGCAGGGATGGGTGTTCACTGACCCATCTTTAGACTCTGATTCTGCCTTTCTTTTATCACAAGCATGAACTTGCAAGAAAACTAATGGGGAGTGAAAAGGATTTTCCTTGTAGACAGAATGAAGAAAGAAGAACTAGTTTTTAAATACATTATGTCAGATAAATAAAAAGATGTTTTATATATCCAGAGAGGATTATCTATATCCATATCCAATATCCAGTAAAGTTTCTATAGCTAATGAAAAATTCAGACAATAGAGACTGGGCCTACATAAAACAAGTATTTCAATCTCTGTGTTGTAGGTTTAAATGATTCTAATGTTTCTTGGTCTTATCCTGTAATAAAAGGGAGTCATAAAATATACCCTTTATTGATTTTCTTTGCTACTACTGTGGAGATATATATATATATAAACATATATAGCCATTCCCCCAAAGGACCTAAACACATTTCAAACAGTAATATTCAAAAGAGTGAATGGTTTTTACTTTTTGAAAACAAAGTTTTCTATGCTTTTGTTTGAGTCTCACTTACATACATTGGACGATCATGTGGACTGGCCAAATATGGGAGAAAGAGGCAGGAAGGTAGGTGGAAGAAGTGGGAAGAGATCCAGACACCCAGAATGTAGGGTTCCTAAGGACCTCCACTGAATGGTCAGGGGATATGTCCAGCATAGCAAAATCAGTGTCATCAAAATTAGATTCCGCATTCTTGGCAAAAATTAGAAGAACATGGTCAAAGCTGGAGAAGTGATGCAGAAGGGGGACAAAGCCTAATTGTGAAAAGAAAAATGAGTCAAAATCAGAAGAAGAAACGATAAAGAATGAGTCAAACTAAAGAAAGCAAGAGATTTAGCAATCAACCCATTAAAAATGGCATTGTTTCTGGACCCAGGCCAGAAGTCTGACTGTAATGAACTGATATTAGAATAACAAAATTTGGTATATGAATTTCTTCAAGAAGCATGCTTGTGTTGTTCAATTAATGGGACCAGTGATTCCGGGATTCAGTGCTTTATAAATATGTACTACTCTCTTGCAGAACAAAATTATTTGATCTTTTCTAAATGTGTACAGGCCCTGCAAAATTCAGAGAAAGTTTTGGGGCAGGCATGTGTCACTGTTGCTATGACTTAAATCCTGCAAATCATCCCACCCCCTTTCTTGTCAAACAAGTTTAACTCCCCTGTGAGTTTAATTACAGTCAATAATCTGGATTGCTGGGCTGGTGTGTGGAATGCACATCTTTACTAATACAGAGGCTGCTTGTCACAGCGCTGCTCTGACCTGTCATGATATAGGAATAGAAAACTCTGCAATTACAATAAAGCAGACAGAAAGTTGATAAATGAGGTTTTGGATTACAGCATTTAGGAAACCACAAAAATCAATTACAGTAAATATTTCCAGAAAACCCACCTGACAGTCCTGTGAGAGTTTTTACTACAGTGATTTATTTGTAGAGAGAGAAGCCAAGAAAACCTGGGAAATTTACCAATTCTGTAATAATGAATATTCACAAAGATAATAATGACCTCTCTCCTTTACATGTGTTTAGAAGTTTAGTTTATTTTCTGGTAAATGTATCATGTTTCACTCTTTATGCTTTGAACTGAAGCCTCAAAATGTCTCGTACATCATATTCCTAGACTGAAGCCTCAAAATATTTTATACATCATATTCCTAGACCCTCTGTGATTTTTACATAGGTCCTATTTTCTTTCTCTATTACACAATGGTCAGTTGTTAATCTTTGTCAGAATTATGAAAGTAATCTAGATTTAACAAATGTGACATAAGTTAAATGGATAGTTCCACAACATAATTTCATTAAGCTACATCTTGTTTCACTTATTCATGTGTGGTATATATGCTAATTTTTAATATACATAATATTCTGATGCCAGCTAGTATCTAAGCTTTTACAAATTCTATAATAACAGAAACTGTTGGAGTTTTAGTACAACTAGTAAAAGGAAGATTATGTCAGCGTAGATCCTTTGATCTCTGCTTGAACAAATATTAAAATAACAGTGATAGCGTTTTTTTGCAAAGAGCTGTAAGTCCCTCGAATTCATATTATGTTGTATCAAACTAGGTTAGGTCTTCAATGATGAATGCTTTTACTTATGTACCATGTGCCACATTCTATTTTTTTTTTTAGTTAGATGAAACCACCAACTCATATTTAGCTTCTTATCAAATATAGCTTCTAAATTCTCTGGTGCTTAATTCAGTCTGTTGCCATTAAGTCCTATCTTCCCCACCCTGTATTTACTCACTTGGTTTCTTGGACTCAAGTATAGGACCTTACATTTATCCTTGATTACTTTCATCTTGTTTTCAGCTTATAGCTCTGGCCTATTAAAGTCTTTTTGAATTCAGATTCTGTCACCCAACATATTCATTATCTTTTAAATCTAAGCAAGTTGAAGGAGGTATGTTTAATTTGTAGCCCAGCCAGTGTTGCACAGCTGTTCTTCGAAAAATAGAGCATGATTAAACGTCATGTGGAGGAGAGGTAATTACTTTCTTTTGTCCCTGGAGAAGATGGTTTCAAAGTCTTGCAAAACTAAGGTATTGAGGAAGCTCAAAGAATTAATCTTCTAAATATTTACCTTCATTCCATATTCATTTCAAACCTTGTTCTATGTAGAAACTAAGCTCTGGTTTGTTTTGTTAAGAGAGTGCCAATTTTCCTCCCTAGACATACCCAAGGTCGGCACAGAAATTAAACTTCAGCCATCTTGAATTTACAGCTTATTTCTTCTTCATTTCCATCACATTTTGCAAGTGTTCCAAGATTAGTTTGAATTACTAAGTTTAAAAAGCTCAAGTAATAATAGAAAAAATATAATGTTTAAAAATATTTCAGCTGAAAATATTTTGGTGCACAAGTTTAGCTTTTCAAATTTGAAATTAGAAAGTTGTGGATCTATTAATCTGTAACAGCAAGAACACTTAACTTAGATTTACATTTCTTTAAAAAAAGGTTTCACACAATTTTATTAATACATTTGAATATGCATACTATAATATCGTTTTATTTTATTTTATTTATTTTGGAGCTTTACTGGATTTACACTACACTTCAAGCCACTTGGAGATTAGATCTTTTTTTTTGATGTGTGGGTTCATATTTTACTGGACCTATTTCATGTTCTTAATTCACTTTCTAATGAACTCAATAACTTCATAAACTCTACCATATAAGGAAGAGCATATAATAATAAGATACATTAACTGGAGAATATTTTCTGTAAATATTGTATCATATTTCCTATTTACTGTTTTCTCTATAAAGACCTGACATATTCAGAGTAAATCCAATACAAAACAATACTTAGATAAAATGTATTTAAAACATTAAGAAATAGATGAACTTGTAATAATGGAATTATATTGAACTTCTGAAAATCAAAGCAAATACAACACTTTTGGACAAAACCTGACATGTAGCTCTGATGTATTTGGCCAGGAATAACACGCAGGGACTCAACACCCAATTCCCTACTTATTTTCCAACCAGAGTTACACTTCAATTGCATTGCCTTCTCAGTAGTTGCTGGTGGCTTTTATAGTTCCTGGTGAATCCAGAGTCCTGAATGACTTTCAGTGATGCATGAGAAGCTTGAAGAATGGGATTCAATAGCAGTATGTGCTTCAGCAATGGCAACATCCCCTTAAATGCTGTTTATGGGTTAGTTTGTGCTAACCAGCAATGCAATACCGGAGGAGTTTGATATGAGAATGGAGAGAAGGAGGAGAATTTATTCTCCTCCACACAGAAATTTATTGTAGGTCCGATCTATGATTTGGACACTGTAGTTCATGTACAGTGTCTGTCTACAGTTAGTATTACTGTGCACAAAATTAGCCTGGAAAGCTGACAAGTCTAAACTAAGATATAAGACATTTCTCCATTTCCATTGCAAATAATTTAATTTATAACATGAATTAAAATCACATTAAATGAACTTTAAGGTTCTTGTACACAATAGTTTGATTTAATGTTGCATATTAGAGGCTAAATAGAAATTAAAATGCAGCATAACATTTGCATTGTAATAAAACTTTGCTGATTCTTTTTGTACATTTGCCAAACGTCCACATAACTAACTCAATTTTAAAATTCATTCATTCATTTAGTCATTCTGCTCTTCCGCAAACTAAACGCACTGCTGAATGTAGTAAGCACTTGGTAACATTTATTTGACAGATCAGGATATTGTTTTCTGTGGCCAATTCAAGGTTCATTAACAGAACACTGTTAATGACCCTTGGTCAAATAAGCCCTATTCTTCTATTGATACACTAGGTGTTGGATACATGTTCTGAATTTCTTTGTTTTTTCTTTTTCTTTCTTTTTTTTTTTTTTTTTTTTGAGACTGAGTCTCACTCTGTCGCCCAGGCTGGAGTGCAGTAGTGAAATCTCGGCTCACTGCAACCTTCGCCTCCCAGGTTCAAGCGATTCTCCTGTCTCAGCTTCCCGAGTAGTTGAGATTACAGGCATGAGCCACTACGCCAGGCTAATTTTTGTTGTATTTTTAGTAAAGATGGGTTTTCACCATGCTGGCCAGGCTGGTCTTGATCTCCTAACCTCGTGATCTGCCTGCCTTGGCCTCCCAAAGTGCTGGGATTACAGACGTGAGCCACCACGCCCGACCCATGTTCTGAATTTCTGCAGCAAGTGATTCTTGAGCTATTTATTAAATATTTATCATAATTTCTCTTATACTGGTATATGTTTCAATATATACAAATTTTCTCTTATATTTGTATATGTTTAAACATATACCTATATGTTTATAAGTTAAAACACACACACACTATGTGTGTGTATATATACGTGTGTATATATGTGTGTGTATATACACGTGTGTATATATGTGTGTGTATATACATGTGTGTATATATGTGTGTGTATATACACATGTGTATGTGTGTATATACACACATATATACACACACATATATACACACGTATATATATACACACACATATATACACACGTATATATACACACATATACACACATATATACACACGTATATATACACACATATACACACACATAGTGTGTGTGTTTTAACTTATAAACATATAGGTATATGTTTAAACACATATAAATATAAGAGAAAATTTGTATATTTGATTTAGTATCTCTATATGTATATATATACACACACACATATATATATAGAGAGAGAGAGAGAAAGAGAGATACTAAATCAATCACAGACTGTTTAAATTCAGGTGGCTCAAACCGTACTTGGGTGCTGAGTCCCTATGCATTATTCTTGGCTTTTTGTTGTTGTTCCTGCATGGCACTTGGGGACAGGACTTAGACCAGAAAATTTCACTATGTTTTATTGTCATGGATATTCATTATGATTATATTTTATTTTTATTCTTTTACAGCGGAGACAGAGTGTATCACTATATGCTTTGAAAATGTATTTTCTACTTATAATCAGAGATGTTAGATCATTAGTCTCAGGTCACTCTTCTTGTGTTCTTATATTTTCTGAACACCTACAATTTGTCAGACACAGCTTTAGGTGCTAAGAAGATAATAGTGAGCCACACTGATAAGCTCCTTTCCTGATGAAACTCATATTTTAATGTAAAAATGCAAGTAAGTAAAACAATTCCAGCTTGCGATACATTTTAAGAAGGGTAAAAACGTGATGCTGGGGAATTTGAAAAGCACAATAGAGGGAAGGGCCCACATTTGATGGTATAATTAGGAATAATCTCTGCGATAAGTTGATTTTTAAATGGTGGCTTGAAAGATAAAGAAAATAGAGCTAACCACTTGGGCTGAAGAACACTTGAGACATAGGAAAAGCAAAGGCTCTGGGTGAGGAAAATGCTTGGGGAATTTTAGGAACTATCTGAAGGTCCCTGTTGTTGGAACAAAGCTGAGTGGGCTGTTCAAGATAAGATTAGAAAGATAGAAAGACAAACTACATGAACTGAGAAGAAAGTCCTAGAGAGATGCTGAACACATAATTAACATTAAAAAACCAATTTTTCTTTAGTAAGTCAACAAAAACAAACTTGAAAAACATGACAGAAAAATAGATCCAATGGCCTGGTGCGGTGGCTCTTGCCTGTAATTCCAGCACTTTGGGAGGCCCAGGCAGGTGGATCACTTGATCCGCACACAAGAGTTTGTTCAAGACCAGCCTGGCCAATATGGTGAAACTCCATCTCTACTAAAAATACTAAATAAATAAATAAATAAAATTAGCTAGGCGTGGTGGTGGGTGCCTGTAGTTCCAGCTACTTGGGAGGCCAAGGTAGGAGAATCACTTGATCCCAGGAGATCACGCCACTGCACTCCAGCCCTGCCGACAGAGTGAGACTCCATCTCAAAAAAAAAAAAAAAAAAAAGGAAAGAGAAAGAAAAGTAGACCAATGCACAAGAGTAAACAAACCTTTATAATATCTGAAAATGAATCTAATAAGGGCATTAAAATCAATAAAACAATAATGAAAGGTATAAAACAATGTCTGAATAAATGGGGATATCATCTGTACTCATACATGGGTAAGAATCAATATTACTATAACTCTTAATTACCCCTCCTCCCCCAAATCTATAGTTTAAAATACAATTTGCATTTAGTGGTCTACAAAGTGAGGTACTCTTTTAGAAACAGCAGGTCTGATCATCTGGAAAATACAAGGTGATCTTGAATGTCACTTATATCAAACTTGCTTTTCAGCATAGCCCAGTTCCAACTGAGGTTTTATTTTACAGAATTAGACCAAATTCTGGATGCATGTAAAATTCAAGTTTGAGTGCACAATTATGTAAACTGTACATGCCTTGATCATTTTGGACTCATTCCATAAAATATAAAAAGCAGGAGGAAACAAAAGTGATGTAAAAATGCCAAGGATCTTTTGGAAGGTTCATGTACACTGTGCTTAGAATCCTTAGCAGATGTAACTAAAACTGAACAGAAGTTCTGACAGTGACAAACTTTCGATGTTGGCCTGGGATTTGTACCTGCCACTGACAACTTCTGTTCACATTTTATCAGCAACATCTGTTACATTAAATAACAGGTAAAACATACAATGAAGTGAGGCACAGAGCATACAATATCAACAGTTGGGAATGCTGGGTTTGTCTTCTATCTTTGCTTAAGCTACTGTGAGATCTTGGACACTTCATGTAACACAGAATTTCTTCATCTGTAAAACTTAGAAACTAGATTAGAGAGTCTCCAGGATCCAAAGCCTGACTGAACAGAGCTGGCTGTCTGCAGCAGGAAGAATATCAGGTCGTGGTTGAAGGTCTGCCTGAAATGCATAGAGACGTGGGGGAGTTAGGTAGGAGTAGGGATGGAATTGAATAGTTGTCTTCATCAAAATCCGGAAAATTAGGCTCAGGAATGCATAGATCATCTTTTTTATTATTATTATCATACTTTAAGTTTTAGGGTACATGTGCACAATGTGCAGGTTAGTTACATATGTATACATGTGCCATGCTGGTGTGCTGCACCCATTAACTCGTCATTTAGCATTAGGTATATCTCCTAATGCTATCCCTCCCCCCTCCCCCCACCCCATGACAGGCCCCAGAGTGTGATGTTCTCCTTCCTGTGTCCATGTGTTCTCATTGGTCAATTCCCACCTATGAGAACATGAGAGTGTTTGGTTTTTTGTCCTTGCGATAGTTTACTGAGAATGATGATTTCCAATTTCATCCATGTCCCTACAAAGGAAATGAACTCATCATTTTTTATGCCAGCATAGTATTCCATGGTGTATATGTGCCACATTTTCTTAATCCAGTCTATCATTGTTGGACATTTGGGTTGGTTCCAAGTCTTTGCTATTGTGAATAGTGACGCAATAAACATACGTGTGCATGTGTCTTTATAGCAGCATGATTTATAGTCCTTTGGGTATATACCCAGTAATGGGATGGCTGGGTCAAATGGTATTTCTAGTTCTAGATCCCTGAGGAATCACCACACTGACTTCCACAATGGTTGAACTAGTTTACAGTCCCACCAACAGTGTAAAAGTGTTCCTATTTCTCCACATCCTCTCCAGCACCTGTTGTTTCCTGACTTTTTAATGATTGCCATTCTAAGTGGTGTGAGATGGTATCTCACTGTGGTTTTGATTTGCATTTCTCTGATGGCCAGTGATGGTGAGCATTTTTTCATGTGTTTTTTGGCTGCATAAATGTCTTCTTTTGAGAAGTGTCTGTTCATGTCCTTTGCCCACTTTTTGATGGGGTTGTTTGTTTTTTTCTTGTAAATTTGTTTGAGTTCATTGTAGATTCTGGATATAACTAAACAATTTCTATGACTGTTCCACTTTCCTTTACACAGAGAAAACCCACAATGAACATCTGCTGATTTGAAAATATTTTCTTAAAGTTCATTTCTATTTCATTCAAACCATTCAGCATACTGAAATGAATCAGTCAAGTTATTGAACACATGACGTAGTGGGGCAAAGGGAGAATGAGTAGAATGAGTGGAAGAAGTCCCTTGAGCACAATCTGAAACAATCACCTGCAGCCATCAGTTGCTGGGAAATGACAGTAGCAGTCAGAATACTTTGGCATGCAGTAATTAGAGATGGAGAGGCATAATTTCAACTAACATGTTCTATTATTAGTGTATTTCAGCAGCAGAGCTGCTAAGAGAACAAAGGCAATAGTCTGTCTGCTTATACCGAATTACTTGAAGCAGCAGGACCTGTTTATACCCTGCTCTAAGCCAGTGTTCACACCACATGCATGGCACAAAACTGCTGTCACCAAGGTGACAGCCACCCCCACAGTGGCTGCGTGCAGGGATAGACAATAGAATGAAGGCAACAAGGCAGCTGAAAACAGCAATTATCTACAGCATTGACCGTGACCCCTTAAGCCTCCCTAGCCAATACCACACCCCCTACCTGTCTACCATAGCACAGAAAGGAGAAAAGATGTATAATAAAAAGGTGATTAAAAAATAGTTATAGAGGAGAAAAATAAAAAGAAAAGGAATAACATTTCTGAGCAATCACTATATTTAAAATTTAAACATTGATGATCCTATTTCATCCATATAAAGAAATGAACTGATTTTCAGAAAGGTTAAGTTCTCTGCTCAGAGTTACAATGAATATAAAATATGTTTGATGGAAAGCCCAATGAACATTCTGCTATACTATTCAGCCATTAAAGGTAGAAGAGAAAAGGGGAAGAAGAAGAGAACAATGTCCCAAATAATGAAGTGCTGCTCCATTTCTCTTTCATACTATGTCATAAGTATCAACACCTAGAGGGGAATGAACCCCAGGACTCAGAGCTACCCACCCCTCCATTTATAGGCATTACTATGTGTTATCAAAACAGAAAAATCAGCAAATATGAGATATTTTGTCTTCATTATTATTAGAGCATCTAGGGAAAAAAATCAGAATTGGGAGTGACTTCTTTGCACAGAATGGAGAGGAAAATTGGGAGAAATAATTTAATTCTTAAAGGTATCTCTAGAAAATTCACTTATGTAGAGCATTTCTTGCTCCAAGACAAAAATCACATGTATGAAGTATTATTGTATATAATGTTCAATATCAAATGGTTATTATGTGCCATGATTTCTCTAAATATGTTGCAGGATTATATTTAAATTTTCTTTGGCTGATTAAAATTCTGAAATTTAATTTTATTTTAGTTGCTAGTAACATCTATACAATTTGGACACCAAAAAATAAAAGGCTACTTATTAATTCAATGAGTCTCTGAGCAACATTTTTGCCCACAACAATCTCAGGCAACACTCCAGTCACAACTTACGCCTGTCATTTTCTGTAATTAAAAGTACACAGTCATATTTATGCATTCTGCCTCCTAGCAGCTGCAGTTAGATTAACTGTGAACAAAGAAAACATTTTGACACAGTTAATTATATGGCTGTTCTCCTTTGCTAGCAAATACCAGCTACCTCCTCAAACGAATAGATACTTTTTTGTTATTTTTCTTTTACACAATAATAGAAATAGCCATAAAAACTTTAGTTTATACTTACAAAGATGTTTAACCCTATCAATTTAGTTCAATAAACATTAAAACTGTCTGGAAACTTAATGAAGACACAGGAATATCACATTAAAATGGTTTGATTAAAGTGCTCTATTTTGGGGGGCAAAATTTCAAGCATTTCCTTTTCATTTCAGATGAGGAGAAAGAAATAGAATTTAGTTTCACCTCTGCAATAGATTAGATATTAAAGTTAATCTCCACATGTCTCATCTTGTGTGTGAAGGCCAACACTGCTTTTCAGGAAAGGCCTCACCAAGCATTGCATTTACATGCTGGAAGGGTTTTCTTCATAGTGGGAACTAAAATTGCCCAGCAAAACTGGGTTTTTCAGTGTAGAGAGGGAAAATTTGCAGCCAAGGCACCTGACTAAGGCCATGAAATGAACATGGCAATCAGTGGAAGAGGACACCCATGCTCTAGTTTATTACATGAAATCCCAAACAAACCTGGGACTAAGGAGGGAAAGGTCATTTCTGATCACTATTTTTAGTCCTTTGTAGGGGAAGATTTTGGGGAGTAAAAGAGCAATAACTGAGGAACAGATATTCAACCCAACCTTTAAGAGACCTGTGTCAGATAAGAGCATTGCAAAGACACATAGGGAAATGCCACCAATGTGAGCCGTAGTGGTCTTACTTTCTAAATTCATCTTAATCGGTGTGATTCTGTCTTCCTTTCTCTCTCTCTTCATCCTCCCTCTCCCAAATTCCTTTACTACTCAAAATTTCAAAAATAATAGAACAAAGAAGATAGGTATAAACCAGGGGAAAATGTATTGGGGGGAAATGCAGAATGGTGCTTGTAACTAAATGCACAGAGGATTTGGGTCTTTAGGGACCTTTTATAAAATACGGTAAAAATATACAACAGTGCACTGACATTTACTTAGTGGTTATTAGAATGAGCTTTGGAATCAAACTCATTTGCTTGGTTATTTCATAGCCCTAAGCCTTGTTTTTGTCATTTGTAAAACGGGGTTGTCTTTGTCTCACAAGGCTGTTGTGAGTATCCAGAAAGACCATGTATATACGGTGCTTATTATACCATATAACAAACCTTTTTTATATGGCTCCTTTTATTACATGCAGTAAGAAACAAATGCACACCTTAAAGTAGAAGAAAAACAAGCAGTCAAATAAATGCTTAGTGATTCTCTTAGATGAGTGAAGCTACTTAAATCTTAACATTTTTTAGATTTATGATGGAAAAGAGGTCTTTGAAAAGTTCATGGAAAATGCATTTATGAGAAAACTATAGATGGATTTCAAAAACTTTTTGCACCAAAATAAACTCTTACTAACTTATTATAATGTGTATAAATACAATCTAGTTTGAAGCACTAAGAAAGATAAGGCATCCATTTGAAAAGACCCCCTGTGAAAGCAACATGAATTCTGCTAAAATTAAGGCAAGAACAAACATCACATTTATGGTGAAGCTTCAGTGGAAGAACGGTGAAATCACTGATGCTTTATAAAAAGTTTATGGGGACAATGCCACAAAGAAATCAGTTTACAAATGGATGACTCATTTTAAGAAGGAATGAGACAATGTTTAAGATGCAGCCCATTGTGGCAGACCATCTACATCAATTTGTGTAGAAAAATTTAACCTTGTTAATGCCCTTTTTTAAAAAAAAATTTAGTGCCCTATTTGAGGAGGACCAACAGTTAACAGCACAAACAATAGCCAACACCATAGACATCTTAGTTTGTTCAGCTTACACAGCTCTGACTGAAAAAAATTGAACAAACTTTCCACTTGATGGATGCCAAAACCAGTGAGCCCAGATCAGCTGCAGACAAGAGCATAGCTTTTATGGAAACGAGTGGGATGAAGACCCTGAAGCATTCCTTTGAAGAATTGTAACCGGAGATGAAACATGGCTTTACTAGTATGATCCTGAAAACAAAGCAGAATCAAAGTAATGGCTACCAAGAGGTGGAAATGGTACAATCAAAGCAAAAGTGGACTAGTCAAAGGCAATGGTCATGGCAACAATTTTTTGGAATGCTCAGAGCATGTTGCTTGTTGACATACCAGATAGCCAAAGAACAATAGCATCTGCCTATTATGAGTGTTTTGAGAGTTAACCAAAGCCTTTGAGGAAAAATGCCCAGGAAAGCTTCATCATGACAATGCTTCTCCACCACAACAATGCTTCTGCTCATGCCTCTCATCAAACAAGGGCAATATTGTGAGAATATCAGTGGGAATTCGTTAGACATCCAACTTATCGTCCTGATTTGGCTCATTCTGACTTCTTTTTGTTTCTGAATGTTAAAAAAATCTGTAAAGGGTATCCATTGTTCCTCACTTAATAATGTAAAAAAAAAAACTGCATCAACATGGTTAAATTCTTAGGAGCCTCAGTTCTTTAGGGACAGACTAAATGGCTGGTATCATAATTTATAATAAGTGTCTTGAACTTGATGATATGTTGAAAAACAAGTTCATCTTTTTAATTTTTATCTTTAATTCCATTTGTCCTTGAACTTTTTGAAGTCCTCTTACGTGTGTGTGGTGGGTAGGGTGGGGTAGATGAGTGGGTAGGTGGGTGTAT
Source organism: Homo sapiens (assembly GCF_000001405.40). Taxonomy (NCBI): domain Eukaryota; kingdom Metazoa; phylum Chordata; class Mammalia; order Primates; family Hominidae; genus Homo; species Homo sapiens. The sequence continues at coordinate 15,353,189 of NC_000012.12, read as the reverse complement.
GTGTTTTCATGTGTGGTAAGGGGGACTTCTATGTCTAATGGATATTGTAACCTGCACATAAATGGGAGTTATAAGGTGAATGTCTGGAAAATCAGTTATTACATGTGAGGAAACACTCACTGGTAATGATGCAAGAAATCAGTCCCTGCTGAAGGCAATTTCTTCAACAATTAAATTAAATTCCTCAGGCAGTAGATAACTTATTCCTAAGACATATTTTCCGGATGATTAATGGGAATCTACTGCATGATATATTGACATATAAGACATGTATTTTCTGGGTAATTGATGGGAATGTACTGTACAATAAACTGTTAAGGTTTTGCATAGATTCATTGCTATGCCAAATAGATGTAACTAAAGGCTGTTTATGTAAGCTATTCTTCCAATTCGTGTGTATCAAGGCTGAATCACATTCTCCTAATTTTAGGATGGCCCACACATCCTAAATTGTGAAATCCAAATTTCACAATGGCAGAAGACCCATTTCCCTAGAACTTTCCCATTTCTTTCTTTCTTTCTTTTTTTTTTTTTTTTTTTGAGACAGAGTCTTGCTCTGTCGCCCAGGCTGGAGTGCAGTGGTGCGATCCCGGCTCACTGCAAGCTCGCCTCCCGAGTTCACACCATTCTCCTGCCTCAGCCTCCTGAGTAGCTGGGACTACAGGCGCCTGCCACCACACCCGGCTAATTCTTTGTATTTTTTAGTAGAGATGGGGTTTCACCGTGTTAGCCAAGATGGTCTAGATCTCCTGACCTCGTGATCCGCCCACCTTGGCCTCCCAAAGTACTGGGGTTACAGGCTTGAGCCACCACGCCTGGCTGAAAACCTTCCCATTTCTTTAAGTCTCTTCCTTTACACTTTCATTCTTGGTATTCACTTATTTGAAAATAGTGCCTTCCTGGCTACCAATTATGAACAGTTCCTGACTTTCTCTAAAAATGTCAATCAAATAATTTGGGCAGAACCGATGTAATGATGGCTGGTCAAGTGTAATGCACCTTGTAACACAGTCTGCCTGTCACTGGATCCATTACCAGAGCTACATGCTGGGCGCAGACTCCATCAGGGCACCACACTGGGCAACAGCCAAGAGTCAAGATAATGAGGTGCTTCCTCAAAGTGCATCCACAAAGAGGGTCCTCCACTGGCTTCCTCTTTCCCAACAGAGCAGAGACATGGAGACATTATGTGTTTGCATTGTCTAGTATAATCTTCCTGCCTATCTTCTTGGTGTGAAGAGCATCCACAGTTATTGCAAATCACATGTTTTTCCTGAGGTTATTTATTTAGGAAAGTTTCAGTATATACAAAGATGGTGAAATCTGAGTGTTTGCACGCAATAAAAAAATACATTTTGGCAGAGAAAATCTCTAGAGTGAATGAAGGAGCAATGTTTTTTTGTTAAATCCCTATAGGTTACCAGTTATTAGAGATTCAACTCCAACCAGTTTAAGAATAAAGGGATTAATTTTTTGTTCATAGTGGGAAAATTCAGTAAGGCATGGCTAGATCCAGGGATTTAAATATTATAAAAATGTTTTCTCCTCTACCTTCTTTACTTTCCTCCCTGTTGGCTTCATTACCTGCAGTTTTTCTCTAAGTGGTACAAAACTGGCCCCCAAAGCTAAAAGACTTTGTATCCTTTAATCTCCTGACCTCGGAAGGAGAGTCTGTTTCCCTGTTCCATATAATCTTTGAAATATCATATGCTGGTTGTCTCTCCTTGGTTAATAGGCCTTTTGTTTTCAAGAGGACTGGATACACTGATTGCCTAGCCTGACATGTACACTTACAGGGAGGCAGGAGTCTTGCTGACAGCCCCACTAAAATCACTTAAACTAGAGAAAGAGCAATTCCTATAAGAAGAATAAAAGTACATATTAATGACAGGTTTCAAATATTCTCTGGAATATGTCATCTGTAAATTAAATATTGGACTTAATAATTTTACGTGTGTAAAAGTTGTTTCATGGCATCTTTTGCTTTTATTTCAAGGACGACTGTGAAGCCAAGCTGTTAGTCGGCATCCTGGGAACGGCAGCACACTTACAGAAAACTATTTTGTCAAGTTTTTGAATCCAAAAACTTGTATGGTCTCTGTTTCTCCAAGTCCGCCATACAGTTGATTCTATGCAAGAAAAACCCATTGCTGCCAGTAGTTTCTCAAGTTTCCATTTTGTTTTTCAAGGCCAAGATAAAGAGGGGAGGGAAAAAAAAGAAAATAAATCAAGAACTCTTCTTCTAAAAGCACATGTGCTAAGAGATCCAGTTCTGAAGTTGTCATAGTGAGCAAAAGAATGCCAAGCCTTGCAGCTCAGTGGGCCAAATTCTGTTCTCAGCCACATGTCCGCAGCTTCCACTGATATCAATGGGAGTTGTGTGTATATGTGAACTGAGGACAGAAGTTGGCTGTGTATAAATAGCTCTGCAATGGTGAAAATCTCTTCTTGTGCATCTGGTACAACAGAGGTAGTCTTTTGCAGTTAGTGGCTGCTTCCCTTTCTAGTAAAGTAACCAGGCAGTTTCAAGAATTCCTGTATCAGAATATTTGATAGCAATTATTTTGTCTAGAAGATTTCAGTCAGGGGTACAGGGAGCAGTATTTGCCCTAAACTTCTCTCATTTTCCAATAGCAAATTCAAGACAGATTTAACAATCAGTTGCAACACCAGCCTTCACTGTTCCTTGGCTGAGCTGTCTATCTGCTAATTGACTGATTGATATGCAGCTAATTGGGGGGTAGGGTGGGAAGTCAGTATGCTCATTAAGCAGTTAAAAACAGTGTCTAAAGCAAAGTATTTACTTTCAGACTGGCTGTTAATGCAGCAGAGCTGTATGACATAGTAGGTCTTCCACGGGAACAAGGTTCTGACCTCATCAAGCAGGACACAGACAAAGCCCTTGGCACTGTCAGTTTGCCATTTTGCCAGCACCCCCAGTCTGGTAGTCAGCGTTGGTGTTAGGCTGAGCCATCTTTTCAGGGAGTCTCAGATGAAAGTTTCTTTCAGAGCACAGATAAGGATAGATTCTTTCACTATTCATTAGAAACAGGAGATTTCTCCAACATTTATATATGAAGGGTTCCAGACCATGAAAGTTACCTACAGGTAGATGATTTTCAAATCCTTCTCTTCAGTCCATGTCCCAATTCTAAATTCCAGACTGGCTTCTGGGCATCTCTACCTGGCTATCCAATACACACCTTAAATTCATCCGAAGCTTAACTTTTATTCCTGACTCAGAAAGTGTCTTCTACTTTGGTCCCTATCTTAGCTGGAACTCCTTTCCCCTAGAACTCAAATCCAAAAACTATCAGTAAGCTACAATTCCTCTCTTTCCCTTGTCCTACGTGTAATCAATAATAAGCTTAGTTAATTTTACCTATTAAATCTCTCTCTTTCTGTCTTCTTATATTGATTCCCTGTTCCTGCCATGGTAGAGTGAATTAAAGCACAGGCTTTAATGTGATTAACAACTGGGTTTGAATCCTACTTTTGTTAGCTTTTTGTGGGGTATTTCTTTTTTAAGGGCACATTTGTGTAAACTTTGGTTTCTTTGTGAGATGGAATGGCATCTGCTTTGCAGAGCTAACTAACAGAGACTAAATGGAATTATATATGTAAAGTGTTGTTATAGTTGCTGACACATAGCCAAGTTCCAATAAATGGGGGCTATTATAAAACAGAGACCTCATCCTTTCTTACTCAGCCTATGGTAGTAGTCTCTGCATACAGTGTTGCCCCTCTTCCATTCCCCATTTGCAGCTGGAGCAAACTTTCTAGATGCAAATTATTCCATATTATACATCCAAATACATTTTGTGGGACAAACAAGTCCTCATGTCACTCATTCTTCTATCACTCATCCATCTCCAATTGCACTCCTTCTTAGCTTAACATGGTACTAAATCGTACCCCCATCTAGCCAATTGGAAAACTAGTATTTATTACTTAAGGACCCATCTTAAAATGGTTTGTTCTCTGAAATTTTCCCTGATCCCACTCCAAATAGATTTAACACCTTCCTTAATTCCATCACTATTTCTTGAAGTATAAAACTTATATACATCTACTATAAGTTTTATTATACTGTATCGGTATTACTTGTTCCATAAATCTGTTTTGCAGGTCAGACTATTCTATGGTCTTTAAAAATGCCATAAAAAAGAGACATTAATTAAGAATAGCTCTTTATTGTTCTCTCCCAAGCATTTAGCCCAGTGCTGCATTAGTTTTCTACTGCTGCTCCAACAAATTTATACAAATATAATGACTTGAAACAGATGTATTATCCTACAATTCTATAGGTCAGAAGTCTGGCATGGGTCTCACTGGGCTAAAATCAAGGTGTCAGAAGAAGAGTTGTGTTCCTTTCTAGGGGCTCTATAATTTTTTTTTTTTTTTGAGACGGAGTCTCGCTGTCGCCCAGGGTGGAATGCAGTGGCGCGAGCTCGGCTCACGGCAGGCTCCGCCCCCCGGGGTTCACGTCATTCTCCTGCGTCAGCCTCCCGAGTATCTGGGACTACGGGCGCCCGCCACCACGCCCGGTTAATTTTTTTGTATTTTTAGTAGAGACGGGGTTTCACTGTGTTTTTAGTAGAGACGGGGTTTCACTGTGTTAGCCAGGATGGTCTCGATCTCCTGACCTCGTGATCCGCCCGCCTCGGCCTCCCAAAGTGCTGGGATTACAGGCGTCAGCCACCGCGCCCGGCCTATAATTTTTTTTTTTAACTCCTTCACTGTTGTTGGCAGAATTTAGTTTCTTCCTGTTACAAGGATTGAGGTCGCCATTTCCTTGCTGGTAGTCACCTGAGGACTGTTCCCAGATTCTAGAGACTGCCTGCATACCTTGGCTTATCACCTTCCACTGCCTGCATACCTTGGCTTATGCCCTTTCTCCTGCATCTTCCAAGCCAGCAATGGTAGGGTGAGTCTCTCTGTGGCCGTTTCCCTGACCTAGTCTTTTACCTTCCTCTTCTAGTTTTAAGGAACTAGGTGATTGGAGAGCCCAGCTAGAAATTCCAGAATAATCTTGCTGTTGTAAGGTCCTTAATCTTAATCCGATCAGCAAAGTCTCTTTTGTCATATAAGAAAACACATTTACAGCTTCCACAGTTACGGTTAGGGTTAGGGTATGGTCATCTTTTGGGATGCATTATTTTTCCTATCAGCAGAGCCTAGCATATTTTAGATGATCTATAAATAATGCTTGTTGAAAAAAAATGTATGCAGATGATATTAAGTATGTCTGTCTTTTAAGTATATTAGACTATGTTTAGGGCCATAGGTAAATTGTATAATCTGGTATTCTCATCTGATTTATTTGTCATAACTTTTCATAAGTGTTATTTTTTCTAGATCTCTGCCCTGCATGGGGCCATGCAAATGAATTGTAACTAAATAGACCAGATGAATTTTCTATGACCTCCAATTTATCATATATTATCAACATTAGTAAAGGCTACAGAAAACTACTAAGAGTCTCTGGTTCAGTCCTTTTTTGTTAATACTTGCAGAAAAATTTATCTTTTGTATACAAATACAAGCTCATACATTCATTCTAAAACTATCTGAGTGTCTGTATGTGCCAAGGTTTGTGAAACGTGGTAGGTAAAGAGTGGTGAATTAAACATGGTCCCTCCCTTAGAAGGCTTACAGAGTAACAGATAGGTAACTAAAAATTAATTACATCTGTAAGATAAGCAGGTGAGGAAAGAGTATATTTGGGGGTAAAATGATAATAGTGAATATAAGACAGTCTCTTTCTTTAAGGAGATCATATTTATTGCCTGGTTGGGAATATAAATATACAGGGAAATCTTGTCATAGCAGTGTAATTTAATTAATAATAGACATATCTTCAAGTTATAGTGATGTATTAAGAAGGAAAAGAATCAACTACACTTGAGTGAGGCTGGGATGGTTTCAAAGAATAGAAAACTGTTTTAAGTTGTGTCTTGATAAATAAACAGGACTTTTCCAGATAGCCAATTAAGGATGGAGTATGGAAGGTTTCTGAGGAGGAGGAAAAAACTGAGTACTCCTCCCATTTTTAAAGGAGAGGAGGTCAGGAATGCATTTGTGAATGGAGTATCATCTTAGCTGAGACCTGGAGGATGAGGAGCCACTTGTTGGGTTAAGGGGAGAGTGTAGAGTTAGGAATTTTCCAGGCAGAGAGAATGGTATATGCAAAGGATTAGAGGAAGGTGAGAATGAGTATCAAGTGTGAGGAACAGAGAAAAATTCAGAAAGATTACAGCATAAAAAGGTGAGGAATTGACAAGAGATGACACTAACAAAGTGATAATAAATCAGATCATGAAAGACTTTAAACCCCTGAAGAAGTGTGGGCATTATCTGAAGAACCATGAAAATCTATTTGTATGTTTTAAGCAGGGAAGTAAGATGACAGATTTTCATGTTACTCTATTCCATTATCCTTTAACTAACTGAGTTAGCTGTTGGTCTCCCTATCCTCATGACAGAACTAATCTTATTCTTTCCGTATCAAAAATTCCTCTTTCATTAATCATCACAATTTCTCTTTTTATCTACACCAAATAGACCATTCGGTATTCTTGAGAAACACTGGCTAATCTTCTAGTCGACAAAGTCACACCCAAGGAAAGCACCAAACTTCTCTGAGGTCAATATTATGTTGGATTGTGCAGAGCCTGTTCCATAAAGATCTTTATGTGCCCAACAAGCTGCAGACAACTTCTTGCAGCTCTGCATGTGGGAGAATAGGAAATGGAAACTGATATCCACATATAAAGATGATGCAGGTATACTGTCATCTGACCCAACCTGGGGATGCAATGGGAGAAATAAAATAACATATAAAGTAGCATTTTGAAAACTTAAGTAAAAAGATTTGAAATAAAGTTCCTGGAGGCAAACTTCTCTATGACATGGTTTGTTCTTACAGTGATAGTATATTTATGGTAGTCAGTTACTGCTAAATGAAAAGAAAAATTTAGCAGATAGTTGGATTTGATATGCAAAACATGAGGGTGAAGATATAAGCAGTTTATATGTTTGTCAGAGAATACAGACACAGTAAAGTCTAAAAGTCAAGAAAGAGAAGAAAAAATAACTTGGAAGCTAAAATTCACTCTATTTAAAGAAAGATGATCAAGGCACCAGAGAAATGAGACCTATCATATTAAGCAAAGTTTCTGATTTGGACTCTCTTCTTGAACACTAAATGACTGGAAGAATTTATAAAACTTATGAGAGAGGCTCAGAGGGGAAAAGTAGGGGAGGGAGTGGGGGAAGATATTGAGGTCAGATTTGATCTGTAAGCTAGGGGAAAAAAGATATTTTTTCAGGTCTTTTTCCTTCACAGTTTGTTCTTTAGTGCCTCTCTGACATTTGTAAAGGCAAAAGGAAGAATGAGTGGTCTTAAGAATCTCTTCCCAGACAGTATCTTTTATTATTATTATTATACTTTAAGTTCTGGGATACATGTGCAGAACATGCAGGTTTGTTACATAGGTATAAACGTGCCATGGTGGTTTGCTGCATCCATCAACCAATCATCAACATTAGGTATTTCTCCTAATGCTAACCCCCCACCCCCCGACAGGCCCCGGTGTGTGATGTTTCCCTCCTTGTGTCCATATGTTCTCATTGTTCCACTCCCACTTATGAACGCAAACATGTGGTGTTTGGTTTTCTGTTCTTGTGTCAGTTTGTTGAGAATGATGGTTTCCAGCTTCATCCATGTCCCTGCAAAGGACATGAATTCATCCTTTTTTATGGCTGCATAGTATACCATGGTGCATATGTGCCACATTTTCTTCATCCAGTCTATCATTGATGGGCATTTAGGTTGGTTCCAAGTCTTTGCTGTTGTGAGCAGTGCCACAATAAACACACGTGTGCATGTGTCTTTATAGTATCTTTTAAATATGTAGTGATACTATAAAATAATTGACACAGACAATTCAGTTTTGTATTGTATAGTATCAACTATCTGCATGCTAGGTTCAGGAAGACATGAACCACAGCTCAAAACTGTCATTGCTTTCTGACACTTTAAAGTATACATTCCAGTGATTTATGTATATGGAAAAGGAGAGGAAAAAAGAATGGAATCTCTCTGTAAAGTGTAAGTTATAAAAGAATAGGCCAGGGAGTAGTAAGGGAAACAGAGAATAAGAAAAGAGATTGTAGAAAGATAGGATGATAGGAGCTTGGTGGTGTATTCAGCTGGGATCACTTAATTCCTCTGAGCCATAGAATAATTTAGCACCCAGTGGAAATCATATCCCATTTCAACCTTGGGAAATGAAGTGGGTGACGATGAACTGGTTCGTAAGGCATGAGCTGTGGAGTTCTTCCCGAGCAGGAACATTGTATTAAAGCATTTCAGGATTTATCATGGAGGGATGGTGCCATGGAAGTGTGAGGTTGGTATGGTAGGCCATCTGGTGAGATGCAACTTGTCAATCTCCCAGATGGTTTGTGAAAAGAGAGAGACGACATTGAATTCAGATCAGCATATGAAAACAGCCATGAAATCACAAACTTACCCTTTTTCCCATACACTATTTTGAAAACTTCATTAAGTAAATTTTATATGAGTTTTATATAATCTGAGAGAACATATATAAAAGTTTTAACTTTCAATGTGGAGCAATATCAATAATGTATACCACATCTGCTTTCATCTCTTTAATAGAGGCAATATTAGTCTTAAGTGGCTGAGTTAGGAGGAAGATAGAGAGCTATTCTTTTCATTGACTTATTTGCATTTATCTGAGTTTTATGAGATTTCTGTATAGGGAGGTCTAGTAGAATTTGGCTATCCAGAATTATTTATTTGCAAAAGAGTGCTCTGAAAAGTCATGGCCATATTTGTGAAAGACATTTCACACTTAAAAAATGTATTTTAGAACCATTTGGATGATACCTACTATTAATTCTAAAAATGAATGTGATCACAGTGTGGCATATTTCCAGTGTTTCCATAATCCTGGGGCTTCAACATTAACAATGTTCAAGTGTGAGAATTGTGAAATGGTGCATAGTTCTCATTATTATTTCTTGTGTTCTTCAAGTGACAAAGCCGGTTTTTATATTTGCCTTCTTTTTAGTTAGAACCTGACAATGATTATGTAGACTCACATTAAAACTCTCGTTCAACGTAGGATATGTTTCTATAAAGAATGAAACTTTTCTTAAAAAGATTGTTTATTTATGGCCGGGCGCGGTGGCTCACGCCTGTAATCCCAGCACTTTGGGAGGCCGAGGCGGGCGGATCACGAGGTCAGGAGATCGAGACCATCCTGGCTCACACAGTGAAACCCCGTCTCTACTAAAAAATACAAAAAATTAGCTGGGCGTGGTGGCAGGCGCCTCTGGTCTGAGGCAGGAGAATGGCGCGAACCCGGGAGGCGGAGCTTCCAGTAAGCGGAGATGGCGCCACTGCACTCCAGCCTGGGCGACAGAGCGAGACTCCAGACTCTGTCTCAAAAAATATATATATATTTATTTTTGAGACAGGGTCTTGCTGTTTCATCTTGTCTGGAGTGCACTGGCACAATCATGTTCACTGCAACCCCGACTTCCTGTGCTCAAGCGATTCTCCCATCTCAGCCTCTGAAGTAGCTGGAACTACAGGTGCGAGCCACCATGCCCAGGTAATTTTGAAATTTTTTGTAGAGATAGGGGTCTCGCCATACTGCCCAAACTATTCTGGAATTCCTGGACTTAAGTGATCCTCCCGCCTTGGCCTCCCAAAATGCTGAGATTATAGACATGGACCACCGCGTCCAGCCTTTAAATTTTAATTTTAAATTCATATTAAATGGTTGCTTATTTAGGACATTTAACGTAAAATGCAAATGTTTGAGATAATTAGGACTTTCAATAATTTCTAATATTCCATCCACTGTGGAAATTAGAAATAAATACATGGAGCACAGTATCAAACAAAAATAAACTTTTTACCTTGTATCTATTTTCATATTCAATTAAGATTTCAAAACGTTTACAAGCAGAAGAAATTTAACACAGGCTTTAAAAAATTAGATTATATTTATGTTTTTCATCTTCCTGTATGCTATCCTGCATTTGATTATTTCACTGTCCACTAGTTTATTCAACTCAACTAGAAGATGGACAAGGCAAATGAGAGGAAGATAAAATTAGATAAGTAATTTTTGCTATTTTTAATGTGATGGGGTCGGGAGTGGAGATCCCAGCTTGTGCCTAAATGGACTTCACACACCTTCACACACAATTATTCTGGTACACATACCTGAATAGGTACACATACCTGAATAATTGGTGACACTGAAATTCCAGAAACCTATCGGCCCACAGCTGACAAACTGCAATGGGAAAACCAAACTAACAAAGAAAACCCCAAAGCAACAGCTTGACATACTAAGAAAGGCTTAGTTTTCAAGGCATGGGAAGATTTTGGGTACATCAAGGAAGGTGCTGGGATTGGCAGTGGTAGCACCTGGTCGAGCAGGGCAGATGTCTAACAGGAAAACTTCGAGGCTGGAAGGGCAGAGAACTAGGGTTCCACAGCAAAGCCCCACTGGGCACTGAGCAACACCTGTGAGGGCTCTTCATAGGAAAAAGGCTGATATTGGGTGTGTACTGGTTGAGCCAACTGCACTGTAATTGGAGTTATTACTATAAATATGTAATCACTTTTACCTACAGATAAGTGAAATCCAAGGAGACACTGAATGATTAGCACAGTATTTGGCACACAATTGATGCTCTATAAATGTTCATAGAAAGAAAGAATAAATTATGCTCAAATATAACATATGAAAGATGATTGGTGATCATAGACATAAAACACTGTACAAATAGAATGCTGGGTGGTATGGGTATGAAATTAGATAAACAACAATTTTTAATGAGAATGATCTGGTCAGTATATAAAAGACAGGGCTAACATAAAAATAGTTGCCATTAGACAGAAATTTTTATGACTTTTATATATTAAGTCATTCCAGACACATAATTAAGCTGTGACTTCAGGTGACAGAAAGTGCACTTGGGTATGGCAAACTTTAGTTTATAAAAAGAAAAAGAAAGTACTACCGTGTTAATTAAAGGCTTCCACGAAACACACTACACACATGCACAAATACACATAAATGTGGAAAAGAAAACATCTCTCTCCCAGAGTCAATGAAACAGGTGATGCAGACATTTTTAATAAGATAATATGTATTTAAATTGTGCTTTACAGTTTACAAAGTGCTTTCACAGATTAGCTCATTTAGACCTCACAGTAATCCTGCGAGGTAGAGGTGATTATGATTGTCATTTTTACAGAGAGGTGAAGTGACTAAGTGATTGCAGGCAGGTAATCTTTGCTTTATGCTGCTTTGCTCTATTGACAATGCTACGACCTTTTTGTTTTGTTTTGTTTTTAATCAGGTACTTGGTTTTCTCTTACCTGAGGCACATACTATATTTTATTTAATAGCTGTTAAAAAACCTCAGAAGATATGCACATTCAAGAATTCTTCCCAGCCAGCACTTTGTTTCAAGTGATGGAACTCTATAAAGGCAGTATGCCTTTAATAATAGTACAGCACATTTTGTCATAAGCAGTCTGTTCCTTCAAAAATTATCATGAAACAGATTGAGAGCTAAATATGAAATGCTGAGCTCTCCAGTTGAAGCAGAGACCTCATTTCATTCAGATCAACTCTAGACAGATAAGACAAGAAATGGCTGGAAAATTATTCTATTTTTTTCAGTCATGGCAGTACACTTCCCAGCTCAAGGTTGAGACAATTTACAGAGGAGGGGGTATGACATAGCCTGCTTAACTAATAACTTTCTCTGTGGGATATATACTAAAGAGACAATAGGCATATTCTGGGGTCTTCCTTTTGTAGAAGCATCATTAGCTTATAACTTTCAAATGCAAAGTTTAATATCTCATGGACAAACTAAAAAATAAAAAAGGAAAAATAACATATCCTTGGGCAAATGAATTAATCTCTTTAATTGTGTATTAAGAGTTAATGTTGTTCTTCCACAATTTTTTGCAGATACTCTAATAAATTAAATAAAAAGAAAAGAAAAACAAACAAAACCCTTACCTTAAGGTATGCTTTTTCTTTGCAAAACTAATTTCACTGAACAGTCAGATATGTAATAATAGGCCTCCTGGGGATGTAATTTTTTATGCAACTTGACATGCAAGTAATGAGTAATTAATTATGTCTTCTATTTACACTTTGTCAGATAAGAGTATTAAACAGAAGAGCTGAGAGGAACACAGAACACTACTATTAATCTGTTTAATTTGCAAATCTAATGTAATCAAAAGGAAGACATTAGTGTTAAAATTGTTGTTGTCTGGTGGTATCTTTCTTGGAGGGAAAGGCCAATCTGAGGTGTAAAAGTCTCATAAAGCCAGCAAGTCACAAAATCTCATACAGGCTTCTAAAGCCAGGGCATAAGTCTGCCATGGTGCTTCTAACGTTGACCATAAAAGCTCCAGATTTAAAAGAATTTAAAACACCAGTTCTCCCCATCAGCACGTAACATTACATTCAGCTCTGTGTAATTATCTTACAGAGTACAGAAGCATCAAATCTATTACACTGAAGAAGATAAAAAACAAAAGAATAAGCCTGACGTTTACGAATATATAGGAATCCACTGATATACAGACTTTTTTCTGGGAACATGTGCCTGACAGATTGACGGACAGAAAAAAGAAACCGCAAGAATGATTTTGGATGGGCAGGAATCAGCTGTCTCCAGGAGTGATCCCTACCCCATTTCTGTCCAAAAGGCAGTCCCAACCAAGGACTGATTCAGTCACCTGTGTCTCGAGATATTTCCGTAGTAAGAGGAAGAGGAAGAAGTGGTAGACCAATAAAGGGGAAATACAAGCCGTGTCATAGTTTTCACACAAAGTAGTATGGTATGTTACAGTGTGTGTAGAGTTCTGTGGTCAAATGGACCAAGGTTTCACTCCTAACTCCTTTAGTTTCTCCCTGAAACTCAGTTTGCCCATTACTGAAATGATTATAATATATAGGAGTGTATAAGGATTCGATGAGATAATGTACATAAAGTTCCTAGGAATGTCCCCAATAAACAGCAGTCACTCAGTCAATGGTAGGGATCATCAGTATCATCTCCATCATTATCAATAAGGCAGTGAGGCTTGGAAGAACTAAATCATTTAATTTCTGCTTCAGTTACCTACATTGATTAGTTCCTTTGGGACATATCTTATATACAAATGCAGATAGAACCTACATTGTTGAGTTGGTGGCATGGTTATGTACATAATGGTGAGGTTTAGATTCTCTACTTAGCTTTGGCTAGCAACATGTAGTTTTAAATAAAATACAAACATGTAGAAGAAATTCTACAAGTATGGGAGCATATATATATGAATTGTAATTACTACAGTAAACGATGGCAAATTTTTAGTCACATGCAGAGGATATAAATTTGAAAGTATGCTGACAGTTACAACTTGTCTCTGAAAAAATCCATTTATTTTTCATTTATCTCTAAGAGTGCATACCGATTAATGCATAAACAACATGATCCAGGGGAGTTTAAGTCTAGGGACTAATTTACTGAACTACCCAAGCAACAGAGGATTATTTTATCTAATTAAGACAGAGCACACGTATTTAGAATTAAGCATTTGCATTTAACAGCAAATTTGGAATTATAAAATCAATTAAAGCTAAAATGAGGTATGATAATTTTTTTCCTGCACACCACTGCTGAACTAAAGCTCATTTTAATGTTTCCCTTTGCAGCATTATTGAATAGATTATTATGAATAGAAGTTCATGGCTGGGCAAAACCACCTTTTCAACCTCATTTCCAACTACTCATCCTCCTCAGGACCTGAATCTGTCCCCACTGTTTTATTCAAGCCTCCTAAACATAACTTACATTTTCTCGTGTTTCTACTTCTGTTCTTCTCTTTCTCCAATGTGAAATGTTTTCCTTAACCTGCTCTTAACTGTTTAAACTCTATTGGACTTATATTAAATTTTTGTCTTCCTTCATGAAATCAGTGCTCCCTCCAGCCCAAGAGCTTTTTCCTTTATCTGAATGCAAGGACATTTATTTCAATACAGTTCTCTTTCTCATTCATTTATAAACTAATACGTTAATACTTCAAAGCTTCTATTATAGTATTAACTCATATATTGCCCTTTAGCTTCTTACATGTTTGTTATTTTCACTTGTATTACAGACTTCTTAGCAAAATAACTTTGTTTTGTACTCTTAAAATGAGGAACACAGTGCCTTCCTTACATGTTTACCTTAATACATGTTTGATGATTGACTGGTGGAAATATCTGAACATGTATTCATCTTCACATTAATACTTCATCCATTCTTTTCCTCTACTCCGCTCCTGTTTTACTCAAACCTTGTAAGCTTATCTTATACTTTCTATTTTGTTCAGACTTATTTATACCATTTCCAGATATGCTACTTAATAATTACTAAAAGAATGGAAGAATATTACTTTATCAATTAATATTTTGCCCTTACCTCTTACAGTGGTAATTTCCTTTTTTATCTGATTCTCTGAAGAGTCATTAAAATGTTGCCTTTAACAATGTTGTGGGAATTATGAAGGGGAATGCCTTAATGATTGGTCCTTTCAAGAACTTTCTAGATAAACCTGGTAAGAATATAGTCCAATATACAACGTGCTTCATAATAAATTTGAGTTTGCAGCTAATGGTGTTTTATTGAGGTCTTTGTGTATTTTGTGTATGTTCCTAGGTGCTTCAAATTTGCTTCGATAACTTACTTTCCCTGCAATTGTAGTTATTGTTTTTCTGAAACAGTCCCTGTAGGACAAAGACTATATCTATCCACTGTTAAAATACATAGCAGAGTGCCACACACACATACAAAAAACAAAACAAAGCAAGCTTTGAAAAACCTAATAAAGTTTTTAAAAACATTTTTCCTGGAGATAACTACAGATTTATACGAAGTTGCAAGGAAATATACAGGAAAGTTCCAGGTACTTTTGATCCTGCCTCCCCCAATGTTGATATCTTACATATTAAAACAAGAAAAATCCAAAAGGTGAAATTGATATTAGTACATCTCATAGAGCATATACAGATTTCACCAGTTACATATGTGCTCATTTGTGAGTGTATGTCCAGATCTTACAAATTTATCACATGTATAACTTTATGTAATTACCACCACAATCAAGATATATAACTGTTTCATTATTTCAAGGCTTCCTCATGTTAGCCCCTTTTAGCCACATGCAGCTATTCCCCATTCCCCTAATCCCTAGTCTTTGGCAACCATGAAACTTTCCTTCATCATAATGTTATATAATGGAATCATACAGAATGAGACCTTTTGAGATGGACTTTTTCCACTCAGCATTATTTTCCTGAAGTTCATTTAAGTGGCTATGTGTATCAATGGTTCATTCCTTTTCATTGCTGAATAATATTATATGGTATGGATGCACCACAGTTTTTAAACTTTTTACTTGTTGAAGGACATTTTGGTTATTCTCAGTTCTGGGCTAGTAGGAAGTTTCTAGGAATATGTGTGTACAGGTTTTAGTTTTTGATTTAAGATAATTGCAATTCCTTTTCTATGGTTAGTTCATCTTAGAGCAGAGATTTTCATGGATGAGTGAGATGGGCGAGGAACTAGTGACTGCATACTGCACAAAACGTGTTTGTTTGTGTTTTCAGGAAGAGGTAACCATCCATCACGGTTTTCCCAGAACAGGCTGATTTGCGTCTTCTGTCCTGGCATAAGGATCCCTTCACTCTCGGAAGTGTTCCGGTTGGTATGATAAATTACATAATCACTCTGATTCAGTTTACATAAGGATCCCAAGTATCACTATTATGCCTGCTTGGTTATGATGGAGTTGAATTTTAGTAAATTTGTAATTTTTCTAAGTGCCTGTGGAGTGACTCACTGGAGTCTGAGGAATGAGATCATCTTCCTGCAATGAATGATAGTCTTGCTGAAGTCTCTACTATTCCTGCTGGCTTCTTTTCTGCTATAAAATATTTCTTCCTACAAAACGTTTCTTCTTGAGTCAGTTTTATGGTTGAGGACACTGTCCAAGCTCATGCCTTAGCTCCACAACTGGAAAGGAAAATATTCTTTCACCTCCCCTGCCATTGCCAGTTTGAAAACAATTGTAGGACTAGGTTCTGATTGTTCTGGCTTAGATCACATGCCAATTCCAAAGACAGTGGTCAGCGAGGTGCAGTCCCCACATGGGCTTAGGTCAGGTGTTCACCTCTTGGCTGTTCATTCTGCCCAGAGCAGTGAGGTCAAGTAGGAGAATGGTATCCCAACTTCAGACTATGTGGATCAAAGAGGAAAAGAAATTTTCCTCCAAGATTAGCAAGATATTAGCAAGGCTGGGCGTAGGCTGACCTGGTGGGATGGCAGACTGGGCTGCTGGAGGAATAGTGATCTGTGCAGCCACTGTGATTTGTCTTCTATGAAGAGATCAGTACACTGCCAAATGCCATAGCTAGTAAAGAATACAGCCAGAATTCAATCCTATATCTTTTTTTTTAACCAGCATGCCTTTATTCTTAAGTTCCTTATGCACAGTGTTTAGTTGTGAAAAAATGGAAAATAAATGCCTGCCAATATAGCCTCTGAAGTTTTGCTATGTGTGTAATTCTTCAGTAGTTACACTAATGGTGGGCACATACATAGACAACAATCTCTTTGCTCAACAAATTCCTTTTCCCCACTTCATGGTTACAATCTGTATCTATGATCATCTACGTCTTTAACAATGCAAATACACTTGGGAATTGCATGCAATTGACCTTGACATATGGGTTAATGTCCTAAATTGCAGAAGAGTGAAAATGTTCAGGTCTTGAAAAAAATTATCACAATACCTTTAAGTGAAAAAAGCATGTATAGTAGGGAAGTTTTATACCTTTTTTTTTTTTAACATACACACTCAAATGCACAGATACAGGAAAAGATTTGGAAAGATATGTCTCCAGATGGTAGCTATTTTGGAATGCAGTGTTTAGGAATGATGATATTCTTTTTCTGCCTGTTGTATTTTATACATTTTCCGCTGTGAACATCTGTCAGTTTTCCAGTTCTTTGTATGTTATTACAGAATTCTCGTGCATGATGATGCACACCTGATTCAGGCTTAAAGATATCAAATTAAGAATACCTTACTTCAAAACCATAAGCAGCCATATAGTAAAGAGGCTAATTGAAGGCCTCAGTGTAGCAGCAAGAATTTCAATGGAAAGATTCTCATTAGTTTCTCAACTATCCTTCAGAAAAGAAAGATGTTACATCAATCTAGCAGTAGAAATGAACCAAGGTAATAGCATAGAGATGGAAAAAGGGTTTAAAGATGCAACTGTATTTTATTTGTTGCAAATAAATAAAATGTAAATCCAAGGAAGCAATCTGAGACACATTATAAGGGTGGCTCAGTTTTAGCAAATTTCGCTAATTAAAAAAAAATAACAAAACCTCATAAACTAAGTTTTTAGAATGAATTCCAAAGTATTTAGTTCTAAGTCCTTGTGATTATTTTAGCAAAGCTTTGTCAATACCACAATTTCCATATTACAAATCTCAAGTATCTAACCACTTTGAATAAGGCCTATAGTCAGTTCTAAAAGACTAATTAAAAAGTATAATTTAGTTAGGGAAAATTGCAGAGGAAATTCCCCCATGGCAATGCAGAATAAACTTGGGCACATCTCCTCACTATGTTTATATGTAAATAAGGCTATTACACCAATGCATTTCATAAAAACCTTTTTTTTCTATAATCCTTTAAGAGATGACCACATGACTCAATGTTTAATAATACATGGAGACAATATACCATTCCCTCGGTCTTTTACTATTTATCTTATTAATCAACTTAACATTCACGAACTTTAGAAGCCAATTTTTTTTCCTAGATAAAAATCTAAGAATTTTAAGTACATTCAAATGAGAAGATATTTCTTAAGGTGATGGTGTCAATATGTATTATTATAAGTGTGATGCTTATACTTTGTGGTATTTGGCAGTAACAACACTTCAATTTTTATAATTACACTTTAGTTATCAGCACAATATCAAAGTAAGTAGAAAGCTCATAGTAATTTTACTAGGATATCTATTTTATGGATCACCAACTTGACTAAAATTGGAAATTCCTGGCTTATCTCAGAGACAGGATGATGTGTGACAATTAGCTTAATTCTAGTGTAGCCACTCCAGAGACAGAAAGAGACTTGTGTAAATGTGTTTTCAAATGTTTCCAGAAATTTTGATTTGATATTGAGTAAAGAAGATTATTAATTTTAAGGAAAACAATTCATTAAAGAATTATTAATGCTATTTTTATACTCCAGAAGTGAGTCTCCTGATCATAAATTTATAAAGGCAGGAGCAAAAACTCCTTTCAGTCATGTATGTGAGAGTGTAAATAATTTGATCACAATTTTCCTTCTATTTTTGGCTTTGGATGATATATTGATTTGCCAACAAACAGAAACAAAATTAAAGTTGTAGAATAAAAATTACAGCTAACCCAAACTTCAGTACTTTTTCAGTACAGTTAATAGACTATGGATATAGATCAGTGCATTACAAGATTATGTAATACCTTTCAACTTACCAGAGAAATACTGAATTATTTAAGTAATAGCAGTTGTCTTAAGCATATATTTTGTATGTTAGTCACTTGAAAATCTGGACAATTCAGGTTTTTGGTCTATATGTACTAACACTTTATGTAGCACTCATGAATCAGCATGTTTAACTCACTGTCTGTGTTGCATAATAAAATATTTATCACCTAGTATTTCAACTGAGTATAAAAATTACCAGTTGTTTCTATAAGAAGTTACGTAATGGAATTTTATCCAGGAAAAGACAATCATTTTCAAAAAGTCATTTTTAAAATTTCCGTGAGGTATCTATGTGCATTTAAAAAAATAAACAATAAAATTTCCAAAAGTAAAGGAAATCATAAAAGTTTTAAGTTTTGAAGAAAAACAATAATTTATCATCAGAGCTTCAGTTAGTTGTGTGAGTTTCCAGAAATGCCTTTTGAGGTCTAGAGACAATCTGGTTATATGACGTGCATGGTGAGAGAAAAAAAGATTTACACATTAAGTTTCTATTTGACATTTTCAAACCGTAGAGCCAAGATAAAAACAAAGTTTTACATTTTAAAAACTTACTTTTTATAAGTAAGTAAATTATAGGCACAGTCAATGAATACGATGGAGAATAAATGATCAGAAAAGCTATGCTTTTGCTTCATTACACAAGGGAACCTATTTATGACTTGGGCACCCATCATTTGGTCCTCAGTGGTTTACTCTAACCTGATAAAATAAAGAGAAAAAAAAGGGTCAGGAACATTATCTTGATGTCTAAATGAGCTCATTTTCACCTGTGGTAATAAAACCTCTATTCCCTCCACCAGAGCAAAATGGCATCTCCAGGTCATCCTCCACCCTGGTGCCACTGCCTCCCCAGCCCGACTCAGTGGCGCCTGCCTGATAGACCCTCCCTCCTAGCTCATCTCACTGTGCAGCTTCTCTACTCCCTGTGCTTGCACACCTGCATCCTGCTATTCCTCTGTCTCGAGTCTGTCCCATACCTTCCATTTGACCTCCCTCACTCCATTTATTTATTCAACACTCATTCATTCACTCGTTCAACAAATGTTCACTGGACATTACCATAGGCCAGGCACTCTTCCAGGAGCTGAGGATACAACAGTGAACACAATGGACAAAGTCCTTGCTGTCATGAAACCTATAAATATTCCCATAGAGGAGCTAAGTTATCATAAAATATGCAATGTAATGTCATTTAGTGAATGATACATTCTCTGAAGAAAAAGAAGCTTAGGTAAGAGTGGTAAAATATTAGAGTGATAGGGATGATTTTAGATAGGCTGTTCAGAAAGAAGTGCTGAATAAAAATGTTTCTTGAGCAGAGATTGGAATAATATAAAATCTGCATGTATAGAATGCTTACTATGTGCCATGCATTTTTCTCACACTAGCATTCCCAACTCCTTACCATGGTTCATCGTGGAACACCCTCGGGAAGAATAAAAACTGTTTTCTACTCAATTTGTTATTGGGGCTATAAAAAAGAAAAAAATGGCAATAGGCAGAAAACTCAGGCTGGTGTAAATAGCTTAAAGTTGTGTGATGGAGGATGAGGACAGAACAGTGAGATGACAAGCTTCTCACATTTTATCTTTATAAGCCATCAGGTCTGTTGGCAAAGCAGTTATTCATAACATGCATGAGAGCAAGAGCAGTTACTATATAGTGCTCTACTAAAGTCAAACAGAGATGGAAGTAACATGTGAATGCTACAACCAGAAGTAGTTAATCTCAAGACCAAACCAAATCAACAAAACAACAAAACTGTTGTCTGAAGGTGGAATGGCTACTTTACAGCTGTTGGTAATGTCACCATTTATGATTAATTAGCAGTGATATTAGAGACAATATCTAAGCATCAGCTTAAATTTTGAACTAGATGGTCTTTGAAAAAATATGGCTTTATGATTCAATGATATATACTGAACAAAGTTGATTGGTCTGTTAAGCTATATATTAAGATAATTACATTGGAAAATGATGTTAAAATGTATGGTTCATTTTTTGATTCAAAACTCAAAGAAACATTTTACATGTACAATTACTGAAGCCAGAATTAGTACAGTCCATAAAGTAAGGAAGATATCTACGTATTTTCCTCCAAAAGCATTTTCCTGAACATCAGTGTTTTATAAGAAAGTTGGGATGATTGCTTTCCAAGCAAATTCTCCTGATTCTGAGATTTAAATTACAGTTGATCTTGCTGCTATGTTTTCTTTATCCTTAAGGTTACATTTATAATTTTTTAAACAAAGGAAAGATAAACAAAGCATCTATCATATAAGCATAAATATTGTTTCTTAGAGCATATTCATTATTCTCCTGAGGTCAGAAGTTCAAGACCAACCTGGCCAACATGGTGAAATTCTGTCTCTACTAAAAATACAAAAAATTAGCTGAGCAGGCTGGTGCATGCCTGTAATCGCAGCCACTTGGGAGGCTGAGGCAGGAGAATTGCTTGAACCTGGAAGGCAGAGGTTGCAGTGAGCCTAGATCATGTCACTGCATTCCAGCCTTGGTGGCAGAGCAACAAGACTCTGTCAAAAAAAAAAAAAAAAAAAAGAAAGAAAGAGAAACAAAAAGGATACTATAATCAAACAAGTTTGAAAATGTTATACATCATATTTCTCCTGTGGAAGATACAATACGTGTTAACATATTAAAAGTTCTAAGAAATTCTGGCACACAAAAACAAGTTAATACTAGTTTAAACAAAGTTAAACTAATAATTTCCCAAATTCATGTCACCACAAAGGTATTCATTTTTAATAACATTCAATACAAGAGTATTGCCAGCCTCTCCAGTGTACTGTGGAGCACATTTTGGGAAATGCTGCTCTGTACACATTTTTATTGCCCTACCTCTTTGACTTCACTTTGCCTATTTTTACTATTTTTCTCTTTAGTTTATTGTTATACATAACATTAATTGAGTGCTCACTGTATTCTAGGCACTGTTCCCAGTACTTTGTGGTCATTTTCTTATTTATTCCTGACAATAATTCTAAGACATATGTATAAGAGATGAACAAAAGGGAATCCAGAGAGGTGAAATAACTTTCCCAGCATCCTACTGCCAGTAAATAGCATAGTGGAGAATTGATATTGACTTCAGGTCTCTCTGATCTCACCTGGCACCTATGCTCTTATCAGATAAGGGGCTGCTTTTTTATTCTTCAATTCCCGGAAGCATTTATACCTCCCAGTCTCCAGAGAGTCCAATAGCCTACCTATTTCCTAATATAAAGATATTTTCCAGACCTTAGCTTATAGGGCCTCTCTGTTGCATTAGATGCTGTTTGCCAAGTCCTCCACTTGAAATTTCCTAGATCTTGGGTTTCCTTGATTTTGCTTTCCTTCTGTACCTCTCTGGCTGTGCCTTCAACTTCTTAAATTCCTTATTTGCCTGAAATTAACAATCGGTGCCTCTCAAGACCCCCTTCCGGCCCACTGCCCTTCACTCCCTTTCTCTCTGCTAGGGGATCCCATTCACATCTCCAGGCCTTCCATCTCCTCTACCCTTCAGACTCATATCAAGTACCTGTTTTTGTTTATTTATTTGTTTTCAACTGCTTCAAACTCAAAGGTCTACCACCAAACCTACCATGTCTTATATCAGTCATGGTCCCAGCAGGACACTCAAAAAGAAAATCCCAGAGAATGAAATGAAGGGATGGACTAGCCAAAGCGATCAAGGTTTGGAGCAGAAATAATGTATTAAGCATGGAGAAAACATACTTAGGGTCTAGAAGCAGGGAGAAGCTATTGCTCTCAAGGGATAAAGACAGAGAACTGTTTCAGGAATTTGGCCAGAACATCAGCCTTGTAAGAGGGGCTGACTATAGAACTGGAAGAGAGAATGAAGCCACTGCCTAATGGGGGCTGGCCAGGGTGGAGGCTAGGAGAATAAATGATTTGATTTCTCCCTCCTTCTAGCAGTAATCTTTGGCTAGTGCCTTCTATTGGCCAAACTCACTAGGAACCAAAGGGCAAGGGAACAGGAAGAAATGGTCCATAGAGGGACACTTCCTGGCACTGGGCACAGTGGAGAGGTGAGTTGATCTCAAGAGCAGACTATCCAGCACAGTTGATCTCGAGAGTAGACTGTCCAGCACACATGTTATCTTGAGACCGCTACTCTTCCAGGCAAGAGGGTTGGTTACCAAGAAATTACCCTACATCTTGCTCTCTCCAATTTCCCACATCTAATCAGTCTTGCCAATGTAGCTATTTTTCAACATTGCCACTCTTTGACTGTCTGTCACCCTAATGCCAGTGTTTGTCGTCTCTTAATTGGATAATTTCAACAACCTGCTACTAGTTTAATTCTTCCAGGCTGGCTCTACCTTTGGGATAGCCTTTCTTGCAGGCAAAGCGCTCTATCTGAAATGCAACTCTTATCTCACTAATGCCTTGATTAAACCCTTCGATAAGGCCTCTTCCCCTAGAGAATACAGAGATCCTTCTTTCTGGCTCAGCATGTAGAAGTCTCCCTGATCTGGCTCCTGTGGCTTCATTGCCTTTGATATATATCTGCATTTTCCTAAACTCTGCCATGCTTTTCACAACACTGGGCCTTTGCTCGTGCAGTTTTCTCTGCCTTTGTGTGTATATATTTAAACCTAACTCGTACCTATGCTTCAGGACTCAGCTCAGGAATCATCTTAAAATAAATAATTTCCCAAACCACTAAATAGTTAAGTGTCTCTCCTCTAGCAGCCCACATTTTCATCCGTAAAACAAAACACCATATTCTAATGACCATCATCTGTGTCCATGTTCCCAATATGCCACTGCCAGGGACTCAACTGAGTATTATCCACTTCTGTACCTATAATATCTAGTAAAATTCCTGGCACATATTAGATGCTTAATGGATGTTTGATTAACTAAATGGAATTGGGCAGTGAGTCTTTATTCTGGAATACAAAAGACAGTATTGAAGAAGAAAGGGAGCTTCTCAATCTTTCCATTTTGGCATTGGGGAAAGATTGGCCAGCCAAAAAATGTTTATAGGATGCTCTTTCAAGGAAACTAAAAGACAAGGAGTGGTTAATTATAATTAATGCCAGGATCCAAAAGCAGGAATACTAGAGTTTATCAAAATACAATATTGATTCAGAAAGTAAGTATAGGGAGGTGGGAATCAGGCTTCAGATAGGACCGAAGATACAAAGGGCACTGAAAATTCTTTTGAATTCTCTGACATCTGGTTTGTACATGCCAATCACAAATTCCTATGCGTGGAACCAAGAGAGAATCACAAGACACATATCAGCACAGCAGGCTCATAATTGGTCTCTGATACGGGTTAAAGGTAGAGAGAACCAGGGTCAGAAATTCCTCTGCACTTAATTTGGTCAATGGCGGGTAATAATGAAGGAACAGTATTGAGAGCATGGTAGAGTCATATGACGCCTTTCCTCACCCGTTATATAAATCACTGATATTAAAAACTTAGTAGGCAGAAAGAGGAAAATAAAACAAAGTCTCAGTTATCTGAAAACAGTAAAATGAAATAGCACAAAAAAGGGAAACATTCATCATTTAAATCTCATATAGATTACTATTAATATAATTCTGATCTTGCACCACTACTTGTAGATAAATTGCATTCCTATTCTTTTAATTTGCTAGTAAATATACCAAAAATCACATTTAAAAATAGGTTTATTTAGTTTAAATTTTCATTAAGATAGAAATAGTTTTGTTAGAAAAATGAACTGTGCAGCATTCCTATTTATAAAGAGTGAAAAACCAAATAGATAAAGAGTATTTGATAAGAAAATACATTTATTTGCATATAAATAGAATTGCAGTGTATTTGTTTTCATCAAATGTTCTTCATTTCATTCTCTAATTTCCCCTATATTCATTTTCTTACAGAAATTACCATTCATACTCATAATTTGCAATACCGCTCTCAAGCTTGAAGTCCTATTTCCATTTCTGATTCTCTGTTTCTGAAATATTTTTCCAAGCATATATCACTTTTCTCCCTTTCATCTCAATTTCCTGAAAAAAAGGAAAGAAAAAAACCTTTTATCAGGAAATCCCCGCAACCTTGTTTCAAACATCTTCTGTTTGTTTGGTGGTTTTAAAATATTCAGAAGAAAAAGGAGCTGGCCTTTAAGTAACTAGAATGTCTAAGGAAAGAAGAAATCTTTCATTCGGGAATTAGATGCTGAAAGACTTGCGAACGCTTTTCTGGCACAAGGCTAAGATATGATCTTACTCATAGAAATAAATTCAAAGGTACAATGTGCAGAGGAAAAAAAATCTAAGGATTGGTGTTCTGAAGACCTAGAACAAGCTTGGAAAAGGGAAACATTAGGAGTAATTGGTGATAGCAGATTACATGAGAGGTATTTAATTAAGGAGGTTATTCACATATACTTTTTTTTTTTTTTTGAGACAAGTTTCACTCTTGTCGCCCAGGCTGGAGTGCAATGGTGTGATCTTTGCTCACTGCAACCTCCGCCTTCTGGGTTCAAGCGATTCTCCTGCCTCAGCCTCCCGAGTAACTGGGATTACAGGTGCCTGCCACCACACCTGGCTGTTTTTTGTATTTTTAGTAGAGACGGGGTTTCACCATGTTTGCCAGGCTGGTATCGAATTCCTGACCTCAGGTGATCCACCTGCTTCAGGCTCCCAAAGTGCTGGGATTACAGGCGTGAGCCACCTCTTATTGGCTGATAGAAACCCTATGGGACCTGCTGGAGTCAACAGCACCAGGAGAGAAGGAACCCATTCACACTCATCCCAATCCATTCACACTCTTGCTCACTTTACTTGAGCCACATTAACCTTGTTTGGGTTCCTCAAATCAATGACACCAGCGCACAAAAAAAACTTACATATTTATTTGAGCAAAAAGAGCTGATATAATGGGTATTTAAGATGACTATAGAAGAGTTCTGTAAGAAATTGGGTTATACGACCTTGGATTAAACACTACCATAGGGATAACCAAGACCAGGGTGTAGAAAATACTTCATCTCTTAAGGGTGATGTCTGACAAAACATTAGGAGGATTTCTACTAGGAACACAGAAATCTTGGTCAGTTCTGGTTGGTTGTGGTCATAGCGGAGTGGTGATGTGGAAGAGGAGGCAAAAATATTACCTGTATATCTGGGTACTAGCTGAAATTGTAGGTCACCCATACAGGTTAAAAAAATCAATTTCCCCTAGTATGTCATTTGCTACTTTTTAATTAATAACATTAAACAGAGGTGAGGTAACATTAATGAATAAATGAGCAACTGAGAATATTACATTTCTGGGAAAAATAACTGATATTTTAATTTATGGTTTTAATAAGATTCTAATATAAGTGATTGGTAAAATTTTTACTATTTGAATGTAATGAGTGCATTGTAGTTATGATTATTTAACTCCCATAATGATAATTTTCCTATATTTTCCTTAAAGATGTGTTCACAAGTCAATATTACAATATTTCATAATTCTCAGTCAGAGCTTTTATATAATGCAGAAAATTTAAATCTGTTTATTAACCTTCTATTAAATTCCTAACACCACATACTAGCACCATGAAAGATAGAAATATTACAGTAGACATTCCTTTATTTCAAAAATATTTACAACATATTTGGAGTAATTAAATGAAAACATTAAGTGCTTTACAGTAAAGCTCATCACTGCACTGGGATATGTTTCTGAAAATGCAACATCACTGAAACTGTGTACGGAGAGGCATTAAATTAGGGGAAAATGAAAACTTGTGGTCATTGTTGTTAAGCCTTCTATTGTGCCACACTGCTACCAATTACAATGTTTTACTTAAGTGCATCAACTGTATCTGACATCAAACATTCTTTTACAACCCCTCAAGTTAGAATTATATTTATAAGGTTCAGGAGTAAATCTGCTTATACGTTTAAATACCTTTAAGTTGGATATTTAGATAGTAGAAATAGTGTTACATTTTAAAATAAAGTACAACTCATATTGTTTTTAATCAGTTATCCACATAAATGTGCATTTTCTTTTGGGCCAAAATGAGGCAGAGGTGTAATGTGAATTTTTCATTCCTTCACACAACGATAGTCTCTCACAAAACAAAGAACAAAAGGAAACATATGTTCACAGTGGGAAGGATTATTACTCGATCATCTGTAGAAGCATGGCCCAGGGAGCCTTTGCCAACCTACTGGGGATGTCACATGTAAAAAGGTTTCTCCAAAAGGTTGGCAATATGATTTATTAAAGGAGTCAGATGACATGGGAGTTAAGGGCAGCAAACTTCATTGTGATGGAAAGGATCTAAGCTGCTCCAGCAAAATGAAAGGATTATGGTTCACCTGCCAACACTGTGCAATTTATGGATGAAACCTCAACCACGAAAAGTGAAACTTCTTTGTGTGTGTGTATGGGGTTGCGAGGGGAGACATAGGAAAGGAAAGGCAGACAGACCGTGGAAAACAGATATTTCCCCTGGATAAGAGTAGAATGGCCAGTATCATAACACTCATGTATTATAGAATTAAATATAAACCTGTTTCAGAAAGTACAATATTAAGACCCTTTTTAAATTTGATATTCTTTGATGATATCTCTGGTAAAAGCAGAAATAGAAAGAAATAGAGAGAAGGGGTTAAAAAAGAAGGACACACGCCAAGCACTTGAGTTTAGGAATATATTCCAGCTGACTACTAAAAAGCAACATTTCAGGGAAGGCCAACTTCAAATTCCTATGATGTCATATTCCACGATTTGCACCTTAGTAGACAAAGTACTTATACTGAGTAAACTGATACAGGAAGACATTTTCTAGGAGGGCTTTAGTAAAGATAGGACAAGTGTAGGAAGTTACATTTCTTTCACTGGGAATTATGGGAAGACACACAACAGCGAGGCTCGCCAGATAAATACCTCACTTGCATTCATCCATAGAAGACTTTGAAATTAGTAGCCTTCAATATAATAACAGAGTTCCATTTTTTCTTCTATTTTATATACACCATCAATATTGATATAAAAATAAAAATTTTCATAACCAACATTGTGTTTAGGCAAGATAAATTATGCAGATATTAGCTTCATAATGTGCAGTGAATGATTTAGACAGTCTGAGATGCCCGATTATATGTGCTCATCACTGCTCCATGGATAAGGAACGATGGCACAAAGACCTTCTTGGCCAGTCACATTTAGTCTCCCTCAATGGAACTGATTATAGCCATTCATACACATTCAAACTTTCCTACTTTTCCACCACTGATATCCAGCTGCTTATTTTTGAGTTGTGGAAAATGTAAAGCTGTAAATTAAGCCTCATACTTGAATTTCTCTGTCTTATTTTCCTTCAGAATTTTCACTCTTATATAAAGGATACACATATGGAGTAGTGAAAAATGTATTAACTATAGTGAAAACTATGGAAATTATTTTGGCAAGGGAGAGTTGAGAGAATGTTTCATTTCTGACTCGGCACACGTGGAACATTTTGGATTTTATTATTGAGATACAGTTAGCAGTTTGGTATTTAATAATGAATTTTTTCTCATCCTCCAGTCACAACCTGCTTGAGTAGATCTGTTTTACTGGCACTTAATCAGGACCTTTAATTCAAAAATATCTCCAAATTATAAAGAGATTATACCATGTGCCCAACGCACCATGTAATATACTATCCTCTAAATGTAAGATATTACACTGTGTGCCCAATTTACCATTTTTTTTGAACAACTCTTGTCAACTGCAGCAAAATAGGATTAAATGAAATAACGTATGTAAAATGCCTAAAAAACCAGCACATAGAAGGTATTTAATATATACAGTTTTTTCTTCTTTCCTCTGATATAGTTTATATTCAGGTGACAAAAATATTACATTCACATAAAATAAAGGAAAATGATTTTTCTTACAAAATTATGTGTCCCACTACAATAATTATTATTTAAATGGCAAACTTTGCCAATGTATTTACTATGGAAGCAGTTTGCCATAATTTACATTTACCTGCAATGTTCAGGAATATACCTATTATGTGAAGCAGGCTGGACCTCTATGACAATCACTAACATTTTCATTACACCATCACTAACTGCATTTTCTCATTCCAATATCGAGTTTTAAGTCAAACAATGGCCACATTTATTTTATTTTAATTGCAAAACCTTACCCCCACTCCCAACCAAGTCATTCTCTTATTTCTGGAATTATCTCATTATGAAGAACTCACGCAAAAACCTGCAGTTGTGCTAAACGTTAGGTTTGGATCAGATGTCATACATATAACTCTTAGCTGTTGCTCGTAAAATGCATAGTGACTTGGTTTCTAATTTTTGGTTCATGACAATTATTGCATAGGTAAAATAGTTGTGACAGTTTGATAAATAGTTAGAAAACGACTAATAGACAACCTAATAAGTCTAATGCATTTATGATGTGTATGAAAGAACAACCTCCTACAGTAAAAACATATAACTGAGCTTATTATTTACCATACTTTAAAATTAATGATTATTGATAATTTAAGAAAAAATGTTAAAACATATTAAATATATTTTAAGGTCTTACTTAGGCATTCTGTTGCTGTTTCTCCCTGAATTTTTTTTATATTTTTCATTAAGATAAATGAAAATATGGAGTATTTAAAAGTAATGCTGTTCTTAATCCATTGGTCCTGTTCCATTATATTCTTTTTAGGCATTCATAATTAATGGTGCATATAAGCAAGAAGTGACTCTATAATAAGAAAACCTTTGGATCCATTAACCTGGCATCCATTTCTAGGGAAGGTATCACTGTGGTCCTGAAAGGATAGCTCCAAGTCACCTGTCGACATTCTTGAGTTTGCTTTGCGGAGAGAGGAAAAGACTAACAACAGAACTAAAGTAGATCCACTGAAGACATGAGTGATAGACAATCACTTCAGAACTTCACATCGCCGTCCAAGAAAACATCTAGCTGACATTTCTTCAAAAAAATTTATGTACAGTATAGTTGTCAAACTGATTTTTCAAAAGCAACTCCTTTGCTTTTCATTTTTCTCAAAGTAAAACCTCAGGGTAGCACATTCCAAAGAAGATACGAAAAAGTTTATTATTATATATTTTTCCACCATTAAATCTAGGGGTAATATCATCTGTAAATATAGTGGAGAAAGTCTGGAGACTTTTTAAAAGGAATTGTAAAGATGTTGATAGGAGTTGGGGAGAGGAATCCTTACCAAGCTCTCTACCTGACACTCCTTATTCAAAGAAAATTCTGCCCTAACGTAGCCCTGGCAGTCCATTTGTGTCCAGGGAGCTCAGTCCCCCTCCACTCTCCAGTGTATAATTCCAGCAGTAAGGAAAATTAAGACAAAGCATTCTGTGCGAGGGAGGGCGGAAAGGTTAAGCAGCGTTGGGGTGCAGTGGAAACCAGAAAAGAAAGTGACCTCATTTTGCCTGAGAAAGCACGATCCAACAAGCCCACCTTTGATGTGGATTTCAGCAGCGATAAAAGAGCACAAAGGGCGAAAGCCGGAGGGAGCAAACTTCCCTTATTCTTCCCCCCGCCCCCTACCTCTCAAGACCACCAGGAACACGCACACGCGAGGACAACAAAGCGTGCGCCCAGGCTGCACGGCAGGCGCTTCCCGCGGCTGGGCCATCGTGCCCTGGGGCGCGCCGCTCCCAACGGCAGAGCGAGGGCGCCGGAGCGCGGCTGCCGCCCGGACCGCTGGGAAAAAGGGGTGGAGGAGCTCCCCTACCTTGAACAGCACAAAGAGCCAGAGCAGAGGCAGGAGGCGGCGGGCGCCGTGTATCCCCGTGGGCAGGTGCCCCATCGCTGCGCGGACGGGGACTCGGGGGCACGGCTGCGCTAGCGGACTCCCCCGGCGGCGGCTCACAATGGCGAACTGGGGCTGCAGCCTCAGACCCTGGGCGCCGAGGTTGCTCCTGGCGAGCGCATGCTGCCTTTCCAGTCCCCCTGCGCCTGCTCCCTTTCCTCCTCTGCGCCCGGGGTCCTCCAAGAACGTGCCAGGCGCTGCTGTTCTTTAATGACTAAGGATGGAGAGGGTGGGGATTGGAGTGGGCGAGGCTCTGCCGCCGCCACCACCGCGGCTGCCAGAGGAGGCGCGGGGTCTGTGTGGTGAGCGAGAGGCGGGGACCCCGCGCCCAGCCCGCCGTAGTCCTCTGGCAGCAGGGACACTCTCACTCTGGCTGCCGACCCATAAAATGACAGCAGCCTCCCAACCCTCCACCAGGATCGGCCCGCTGCTTGCTACTGCTGGACAGCCCCCATTGCAGACTCCGCCTCAACCCCTCCCTCAATCTCTGGGTCTCAGGAGTTCTGAGGGGTTTCCCTGACCTCTCTTGAGCAATCCAGGCGCCAGATCCCAGTTCCCTCTCAATCTTCCTACATCTGTACTCAATTGCAGTTATAAAGGATCAATAACAGTTGGGTAGTTGTGACTGTAGAAATAGTGTGTAGTGTGAGTGTGTGAGTGTGTGTGATAGGAAGGGTATTTTCTCTCCTTCCCCACTGCTTCCATTATCTCCATCCCATTTCAACACTCTCACCGTCTCCGTCCCACACTCACCCAGGAACAAATAGCACAATTATGCACCTTTTCCATTTGAAATCCGCAGTTCTTGTACATTTCAGATTCTCTTTTGATACCAAAGTGTGTCGGGTCACCTGAAGCTGAATATAGAAGGGGGAAAAATCACAGTATTTTACATGTATGACCCTTGAACAACACGGGTTTGAACTGTTGGGTCCAGTTATATGCAGATTTTCTTCCACCTTTGCCAGCCTTGAGACAGCAAGACCAAACCCTCTTCCTCCTCCTCTGCCTGCTCAGCCTGAAAAGGATGACGTTAAAGACTTTTATGATAATTCACTTCCACTCAATGAATATAAATGTATTTTCTCCTCTTTATGGTTTTCTTAATAATATTTTCTGTTCTCTAGCGTACTTTATTGTAAGAATACAGTATACAATACATACAACACAAAATGTGTGTTAATCAACTGTTTATTATGTTATCAGTAAGGTTTCCGGTCAAGAGTAGGCTATTAGTAGTTAAGGTTTTGATGAGTTCAAAGTTATATGTGGATTTTCAACTACGTGATTCTCTGTGTTGTCCAAGTGTCAACGGTATGTACAGTTATATTTTTAAACAATTATCTGTGAATAATTTTACTGGGATGTTTTAGAATCACAAGCAACGACTTTCAAGCTGTGGGTCCCCAATCTACTACTTGTCTCCTTTTTTGTTATGTGTATTTTTTTAAAGATAAGTCTGTCGAAATCAACTCTGGTATGCACTGTTCAGATAGAAATCATTTCTTATTGTCATGTAAATTACCCTTGCTGTGCCCTGTCAGTATTGGAACTTATTTATACCTGAGACATGCTTGGGCAACAGGAGACAGGAAAGGCCACCCTGGTCATGAATGTAGGTGTTCAGGCATAGACTTTGTCAGTCACACAGCTAGGGAGTGGTGGCCTGAGAAAAGGATCCAGAGCTGTGTTTACTCAGCTTTTGCTGCATGAGCAATGGCCAAACACTAATCATTTGGTTGTTGTTTGTATGTGTCTTAAGGAAGCTTTAGATTGAATATGTTTACATAAGTGTGAATATGTATATATACACATGTGTACATGTACACATATGTGTACATGTACATATGTGTACACACATGTGTGTGCATGTACATATGTGTACACATATGTGTGTGCATGTACATATGTGTGTACACATATGTGTATGTGTGTACATAGATACATATGTGTATGCATACGTATATGTATATGTACGCATATGTATATGCATGGTACATATATGTATATATGTACCAAATTTCATATGCATGAAATATGTACCAAAATTCATATGCATGAAAATATAGAATGATGGTCTGAATTTTTGTGAGAATATTATCCTTGGTGTCTTCTTTTAGAAGCTTCTTTTGTTTTCACATTCC
The DNA here is from genome assembly GCF_000001405.40 of Homo sapiens. Taxonomy (NCBI): domain Eukaryota; kingdom Metazoa; phylum Chordata; class Mammalia; order Primates; family Hominidae; genus Homo; species Homo sapiens. Next base: position 15,320,579 of record NC_000012.12, on the reverse strand, counting down.
CATCACATGCTCTCTTCAGGTCCCTCATGTCCACTCATCATTGGTTTGGACATTTTCTTTCTTTTGAGAAAATGTTAACTGCTCCTCCCTCCCTCTGGGTTAGACTTACGGGCTATCTGAACATTTAATCCTTGGGATTGCACTTATAGGAACTTTGGTTTAATATGTTTTCTTTTTATTTTGACGCTCCTGAAGCAGCATTTTATTCCCACTCGCCCTCAGAAGTGGCTGTAAAGTGATCTAATCTCTAGAACATAAGATATATATAGGCCAAGGGCAACAATCACACTCACAGGATGCCAACAATTTCTCTTTGGAGTAGCATTTAATTTTAAAATGTGTCTGTGAATTATGGGTCTGTATGATGATATTCATTTGTGTGTATGCATATGTCTGTGTGTATACATGGATATAGCCTTGCCTGATGTGCGTAGGGCGTTTAAAGCAGTTCTGATCATAAATTAATCTTGTAAATGCTAAAAGAACTTTCACAATGAGGCTCCCTTTTAAATAATCATATTCTGCTGCGTCTTTCTGTTTTTCTCTTAGTCATACATCACAATTTGTTCAGCTCTTTCTGTCTTTGTGCATATATATATATATGTATATATATATATATATATATATATATTATGTGGACCACTTTGGAGGAACAATAACAGTAAACAGTAAGTAGTAAAGCATTAGTAATTGGCATTGTTGTTATTTTATTAGTAACATTGTGGTTAGATGGGCTGAAGACTGAAAGTATTATTTTATAATCACAGAAAATTTCCTCTCTAGAGAAAAGTATTTTACATTGCTATTGCTGGATAAAATACTTTCATTTGTTTTTATTGCACTTAAACCATAACAGTGTCCTAGAAGAGATTCTCATAAAGAATGTGAATGCTGTGTCATCCACAGTGTGGGGTTTTCAATTCATAGAGCATGTTTTGTGTTTCTTTGAGCTATTGACTGGTTTTTCAATACAATACTTCCAAAGTATGATAAATCTTATTATGCTATTTTCAAGACTCCAAATCAACAAAACAGCCAGGGGCAACATACAGTGCATATAGTAATTTATGTTTCACCAATTGCTTCTACATATTGGTCCAGATTTCATTATGACAACCACATTGTTAGGTAAAGAAGGCTGAGATCATTATCACCAACTGTTTTCCCCTAATGCTACTTTTCCTGGAGAAAAAATAAACACAGAAAAATAATAATATCTCTGACATGCCATAAAACAAGCATTGAAAAATAAGTTCTCACAAATTGAAATAAAGCTCTCTACTTCCTTTGAAAATTATAAAAAGGTGGTTAATGATCATGAAACTGGAAGGTCTTTTTAAAATCTATAGGAGGCTTAGTTTTTACCAAGAAAAGCGATCTTTTCCTAAATATGTAGAAATGTATCTTTGCCTACGTGGTTCACATCTATCTCTTCTATAGAAAAGCAAGCGCAGACACAGAGAAGCAGCTAGAATCCCTGTGAGAGGTTTAATGAGGAGTCAAATGGAACTCTTACGGTGCCCTTGCCAATGAAGCTCAATTCTGTCCTCCAGGGACAACCTCTAATGTAGTTGAGTGTGTTTAGTCCTGGCTTCCACTACTGAAATAGCCTACAAGGCTGTCAGCAGTTTCAGTATTAGATAATTGTATTTATGGGGGATGCTCAATGACAAATAATTTACTTTATATGGAATAGAAAGAAAAATTCAAGCAATTGTTCTCTAGACTCTATTCCATTGGAAAAGTAATAGCCATTCAGTTTGTTGTCCATATCTCACATGTTACAATTTTTATAGCATATGAACTGTAGATTATCTGTATTAAGCTCTTGGAAGAAAATGACCAGGAAGCATTTTGATTTTCTATTTATTTGAGCATTTGTTTTAATTTTTTCTCTTGATGAGCACTGGTTTCTCACCTAAATGATGTGTTGACAATTCATAAGTTTTGTGTCTTTCAAAATGAGAACGATTGACAGCCCTCAGGTGAATGGCATGTTCCAACTGCCAAGACTTATTACTCTTGCTGCACTTGAAAAACAGTGGAAATACGCTAAAGAAGGTCATTTTTGCTTTTACTTGGAGAGTCTTTTCCCATTATATTCCCCTCTCCCGCCGCAAAAGATTCCTATTAAGAGACCTATCTTACTTGTACTTGACTCTTACATGTCTTAAAGAAAATCAAATAAGAATATTGCATTACAAGATATGTCTTACAACACAAAATTATATACTTAAAGAAATAAGGAAACATACATAGAAAGTGTGAGCAGATATGCAGATATATATCACTGGACACAAATTACAGGCTATAGGATAAACAGCCCTACATTAGAAATGCAGATTGTCGTGTTTTTAGATATTATACCTTCATTCAGTCATATACTAGGATTCTGTTTGTTGCTAGCATTTCATTTAATTGCTCTAAAACTTTAATAAAAGGCATTAGCCTTAAGTTATATGATTTTATCTCATATTTTATTTATATGAAATGCCTTGACTAATGAACTTCTAAAATATTTTTTCTGAATGTTCCAGACATTGCTATCATTTACTAATTTAGCTTTTCTTCATAACTAGGTTTTTTGGCTAACTATAATTTAAAGTATTAGCATCACTGCACTGAGTGATTCACTTTAGCTTGGCATGAAAAGCAAGAATAGAACCTGAGTGTAATTTATAGCTAAAGCAAGACATAGTGTTTGCTAAGTGGAAATGGTATCTGCTGATGCTTCCTTCCCTTCCTTCTTTACTTCCCCTCAAATTAAAGGTGCAATGCAACATTTACAGTCAACTCAGTGTCACACATAGTGCCTACATATGTGCCACTTAAAAACAGCTACCAATATCTAATTATGAAAAATTTGGTGATGGTGATTTCAGGTGCTATGTAAAAACTATGAAAACATTAATCGCATATTTTGAAAATCCACTGCCTTAACTGCTAAGGGTTTTACCTCAGCAGTTATAGTACTATAGCAGGTATAACAACATTGCATTGACAATCATACTTCAAATCAATCACACCAAATCAATTTTATGCTGAAATTACAAAGCTAATGATATATTCAAATTTAACTGTGAGAGAAGGGGTAAAGAAGACCATACTCTGAAGAGATGAGGGGATGCCACTGATAGATTGATGTTATTACCTGTCTTAGCAGAGGGACATAGAAGAAAAAATTTAAAGAAGGCACAGTAATTCTAGAGAAAATGAAGTGCCCAAGGGAAAACTAAAACATCCTCCTCATCAAAACACAAAAAGAGAAGGCAAAACAGGAAAGTCACACATTTCTAGATACACTTGCTTAGTGTGAATATCTGTAAGAGAAGCAGTTTGGGAGTGGGGGTTATATGTAGAGATTTCACCTGTTTTGGTTAATAATTTGATAATGTGGAAAAATTATAAGAGTAAGCATTTAATGTATCTCAAGAGGATGATTTGAGTGAAATCTGATCAGGGATCAACATATGTGAAGCCTATGGCCATTCTCTGTTAACTCACTATCTCACTCTACAGTGACCACTTTCTGCCTTTTCTACTCATCTCAAAGCTTCAACCCTCTGCCCTGGAAAACTTTTCAGTGTTTTGGCTTCACCTTCTACCTTAGAGAGGAAACAGAGGTGACAACTTTTTTATCTTCCTTGACAGTAAACATAATTCCAACCCATATTCAATTCATTTCTGTCTTGTTGAGTACAAGGAATGGTCTCTCTCTCCCTCTCAACGACCATATAAAGAAAATTTTACCACCTATTTTCGGGAGCTCATTACTTCCAGCCTTTTCTGTGCTATTTTGATGGATTCCATCCTTTGGGTTTTTAACCATGTTCATAACTTTACAACTGAAGGAAAGAAAGTCTTCACTGGGCCCTGCTTGTCCTTGGCCGCAACCTTTTCTTTCTCTCTCTCTTTCACCACTGCCACCGTCCGTTCACAGCGATGATTTTTGAATGGTCGTGTATACTCTGTCTCCATATTTTTCAGCTTCTACTTGCTTTTCAAACCACTCTGTAGGGCTTCTGTTCCCATCATCTCCTGAGCACTGCTCTCACCAAAGTCCACTAGGAACCTCTTGGGAGAGTATGCTATGTTGGCTGTTCCCTCCTTCCTCAAGCATTCTCTTCTCCAACTTTCTGTAACCTTACACAACCCTGTTTTTTGGCTATATTTCTGACTGTCCTTTTTGTATCTCCCTTGCTTGTTCATTTTCCCCTTCCTGTCCATTTAATGTTGCAATTCTCAATTCTTAATCCTAGACTTTCCCTGTTTTCCTCTGAATTCTTGCCTTTGCCAATCTAATCATTGGCCACGTCTTCAATCCCTACCTATGCGGATGAACCACAGGGTTCTGTCAGCAGCCTTACTAAAACACTCTTTTGTATTTCACACCCACAAAGCTAACTGCATGCTTGAATCTCCTTGTGTTTCAAACTTCTCAAACTTAACAGGTCTGAAACTGAACTCAATAATTTCCATCAGAAACTCCTATCTCTATAAATTATACCAAGACCAAACCATCCACAAAAGCCAGAAACCCAGGTGTCATTCTTTATGCCTCTTTCTCCACCCACCCACCTCCAATAGCACCAAATCCAACGTGATTCAATGTCCTGTTCTCTTGCTTCTGAAATAGTTGTTGTGTCAATTCATTTCTCTCTATCCCACCCTACCTGTACTTTAGTTCAAATTACCTTTATCTTGCTGGAACTATTGCAGTACCTTCATGAATACCTATTTGCATGAGTCTAGTCTACTTCTATCCTCTCTGGCTTCCTCCACTTCAGCTTGGAGTACAACAAAAAAGTATTTCCAACTGCATCAAGGTAGAACCAGTTTTTGTAACTTCAATCTGATTAACCAGACTCTTTTACATAAAACTAATCAATGGTTTCCAAATGCTTCTAGGATAGTAGTAGGATTCCTTAGCTTGGGCCAGGTGTGATGGCTGATGGCTATAATCCCAGCACTTTGGGAGGCTGGGGCGGGTGGATCACCTGAAGTCAGGAGTTTGAGACCAGGCTGGCCAACATAGTGAAACCCCGTCTCTATTAAAATACAAAAATTAGCTGGGCATGGCGTCAGGCACCTGTAATCCCAGCTACTCAGGAGGCTGAGACAGGAGAATCGCTCAAACCTGGGAGGTAGAGGTTGCAGAGAGCCAAGATCTCGCCATTGCACACCAGCCTGGGTGACAAGAGTGAAAATCTGTCAAAAAAAAAAAAAAAAAAAAAGAATTCCTCTGGTCCACAGGCCCTAAACAATCTATCCCTTACTTGAATCTCAAATCTCTTGTGATATCTCCATCACCTTTGCTCTCTGAACTTCTAAAACTCATTCATACAATGCTCCCTCTTGATACTGTGATGTGTGCTATTCTCTCTGCCTGGAATTTTCCTCTCCCAAATGTAGTCCTATTTCTACTCAAACTTTATTTCCTCAGCCTACTTCTAGAGTTTAAACTTTCATAACCCACCTAGTCTATTTAGTATTTATATTTTGTTTTCTTCTTCATCACTGTGAATTCTAAAAGTTCAGGTACTTCGTGAGCAATTTCTCCTTACCACTTAAGTTAGTTCCAGAAAATAAGTAGCCACACAGAGAGTATAGGTTGAATGAATAAAGTAGAATAATTGCCAATGGTAATTGTGCCATCAAATATTGAAATATAAAATGTTTATTTTAATGTTTTGGTTTAATTGTCTAAGGTGAGATATTAAACTTTACCCTAGGTTCACGTCCACTTTTTGTAGGGAACAACAAATAAGAGACAACAAGGTAACAATATCTGCATATGATAGATCCTAGAGAACTGTGTGCAGAACAAAAGGTTGGTGAATGATCAAGGAGAGGAACACATAAGGGAAAGTCATTTTCATGAGGGTGATAATTTTACTCAAAATCCAGGCAATCTTTTAATTGTAATTGGGTAGACAAACCATAGTCCACACATCCAGCAGAATGTTACTCAGAAATAAAAGTAACTGAGCTACAGATAACATGCAACAATGTAAATGACTCTCAAAATGTTTTATGCTAAGTGAAGTCAGAAACAAAAAGTCACAATCTGTATGTACCCATTTATGAGTCACTTTAGAAATGGTAAAACTATGGAGAACAAAACCAGACCAATGGTTGCCAAGGACTAGGGGTGATGAAAGGGGCTGACTTAAAAGGCACACAGGACTTTTGGGGTGACGAAAATATTCTAAATCTTTATTTCATTGGCAGCTATATAACTTTATCGTTTGTCAAAACTCATCAAACGATGCTAAAAAGCATGAATTTTAATGCATTTTTTTAAAATTAAGATAATAAAAAATCAGAAAAACAAAATGAAAACTCCAAGCAAGAATTCAGTATAGGAGAGAGGTGGAGCAAGATGGTGGAATGGTAAGCTCCACCTGTCGCCCCCCACCACAAGTACACCAAGTTAACAACTAACAACTATCTACACAGAAAAAACACCTACATAAGAACCAAAAATCAGGTGAACTCTCAGAGTACCTGGTTTTCACTTCATATCACTGAAAGAGACACTGAAGAGATAGAAAACACAGTCTTGAATCTCCCATCATGACCCTGAGCAGCAGCAGCCTCATGCGGAGAGCATCTCTGGGTTCTGACAGAAGGAGAAGACAGCAATTTATGACTCATTGAACTCAGTGCTATCCTGTTAGAGCAGGAAGGAAAGCCAAACCAAACTCAGCTGATGTCCACACACAGAGGGAACATTTAAACCAGCGCTAGCCAGAGGGGAATCACCGATATCAGCAGTCCAAACCTGGACCACCAAGGGCCAAAGTGCTCTCAATCTCTACATAAACTGGAAAGGCAGTCTAGACCATAAGGATGGCAACTCTTAGGTGAGCTCTAGGGCTGAAGTAGGACCAGAGACAGTGGACTGGGGGAGACATGACATACTGAGACACCAGTTGGGGCAGGAAAAGAAGTGCTGGCATCACCCCTCCCCTAACCCATGGTGGCACAGCTCATGGCTCCAAAAGAGACCCCTTCCTTCTGCTTGAGGAGAGAAGAGGGAAGAGTGGGGAGGACTTGTCTTGCATCTTGGATATCAGCTCAACCACAGTAGGATAGGGCACCAAACACAGTCATGAGGTCGCCATTCCACGCCCTAGCTCCCAGATATTTCTAGACACACCCTGGGTCAGAGGGGACTTGCTGCCTTGAAGAAAAGGATCAAGTCCTGGCAGCATTCATTGTCTGCTAACTGAAGAGCCCTTGGGCTATGAATAACCAGCAGCAATACTCAGGTACTACATCAAGGGCCTTAGTGAGTCTCTGAGACTTGCTAGCTTCAGGTGAGACTCGGCACATTACCAGCTGTGGTGGCTGTGAAGCAACACTCCTTTTGCTTGAGAAAAGCAGAGGGAAAATAAAGGGGACTTTGTCTTGCATCTTAGGTAGCAACACAGCCACAGTGGAGTAGAACACAAAGCAGACTCTTGGGGTTTTCTATTCCAGGATTTGGCCCTTGGAAGACATTTCTGGACCTGTCCTGGGCCAGAGGAGAGCCTACTTCCCTGAAGGGTGAGTCTCAGGCCAGGCAGAATTCACTACAGTCTGACTTAAGAGACCTTGGGCCTTAAAGGAACATAGGCAGTAGTCTGGCAGTGCTCCTCACAGCCAGGGTGGCAGTGGCTATGGGTTGAGGTTCCACTGCTTTTGGAAAGCGGAGAGAAGAGTGGCAGGTATTGCATCTAGTGGTTTGTATGCCAGCTCAGCTGCAAAACAATAGACCACCAGGAAGACTTCTGAGATTTTGACTCCAGTCACTTCACCTGTAAAGATACATATAGACTGAAAATAAAGGGATTGAAGAATATATTTCATGACAATGAAACCAAAGAAGGACAGTAGTTGCTATACTTATATCAGACAAAATAGATTTCAAGACCAAAACTGTAAGAAGAGATAAAGATCACTATATAATGATAAAAGGGGTCAATTCCACAAGAGGATATAACAACTTGAAACATATATGCACCCAACACTGGAACACCCAGATATAAAAAGGAAGTATTATTAGCACTAAAGAGAAAGATAGGTTCAATACAATAATAGTTGGAGACTTCAAGACCCCATTTTCAGCACTGGATGATCTTCCAGACAGAAAGTCAACCACAAAACATCAGACTTAATCTGCATTACAAACCAAATAGATCTAATGGATATTTACAAAATATTTCATCCAAGGGCTGCAGAATAAACATTCTTTTCCTTCTCATGTGGATAATTCTCAAGGATAGACCATATGTTAGGCCACGAAACAATTCTTAAAACACTAAAAAACATTGAAATAATATCAAGCATCTTCTCTGACCACAAAAAAATAAATTAGAAATAAATAAGAGGAATTTTGGAAACTATATAAATACATAAAAATTAAACACTGTGCTCCTGAATGACCAGTGGATCAATGAAGAAATTAAGAAGGAAATTGAGAAACTTCTTGAAACAAATGATAATGGAAACAAAACATACCAAAACCTATGTGATACAGGAAAGGCAGTACTAAGAGGGAAGTTTATAGGTGCCTACATTGAAAAAGAGGAAAAACTTCAAATAAACAATATAATGATGCATCTTAAAGAGCTATGAAAGCAAGAGCAAACCAAACCCTAAATTGGTAGAAGAAAAGGAGTAATAAAGATCAGAGCAGAAATAAATGAAACAAAAAATTCAAAATACAAACAAAACAAAAAGTTGTTTTTTTGAAAAGTCAAACAATATTAACAAAACTTTAGTGAGGCTAAGTAAAAAGAGACAAGATCCAAATAAATAAAATCAGAAATGATTACAACAGATACTGCAGAAATTCAAAGGATCATTAGCTGCTATCATGAGCAACTGTATGCCAACAAATTGGAAAATCAAGAAGAAATGGAGAAATTGCTAGATACCTACAACCTTCCAAGATTGAACCAGAATGAAACCCAAAATATAGATCTACCCATAACAAGTAATGAGATTGAATGTATAATAGTCACCCAGTAAAGAAAAGCCCAGGACCTGATGGCTTTACTGCTGAATTCTACCACTTAAAGAGCAACTAATACAAATGCTACTCAAAACTATTCCCCAAAATAGAGGAGGACTGAATACTTCTAAACTCATTCTACAAGGCCAGTGTTACCCTGATATAGAAACTAGACAAAGACACATCAAAAAAATAAATAAAAAAGAAAGAAAGAGGATGAGAAAGAAAGAACTAGAAAGAAAGAGAAAGAAAGAAAGAAGAAAGAAAGAAAGAAAAAGAAAGGAAGGAAGGAAGGAAGAAAGAAAGAGAGAGAGAAAGAAAGAGAGGAAGGAAGGAAGGAAGGAAGGAAGGAAGGAAGGAGAAACTCATGTTTTTGGCCTGGTCAGAAATGATGAATTTGCCATCATTTGAAAATGAATGACACTTGGGGGGCTGAAATGGGAGGATCACTTGAACCCAGGAGTTTGAAGTTGCAGTTAAGTATGATTGTGCCACTCCATTCCAGCATGGGTGACAAAGTGAGATCCTCTCTACCAAAAAATTTTTTTGTTTTAAAAGGAAGAAAGAAGTAGTGCAGGTTTTGAGGAAATATTAGTTCAGATTGGACATGTTAATTTTGAGATATTTGTTAGACATCTAAACGATGATGCTGAATAGGAATTAGACAAATTATTCTGTAAATGAGGGGTTAGGTCTGGACTGGAGTAATATATTTAGGCATCTTCAATTTTTAAAATGACATTTAAAACTCTGAAACTGTCTGAGATCACTAAGGGAGAGTGTAGATACTGAAAAGAAGAAATCCGAAGACTGAGAATTAGTCTGATTTTCATTTTCTGGCTTTTCAGAATGCAGCAGTAGGCTCTCTAGAAACAGATGGAGGGGAAAATCTTCCTTCTCCCCCTCCATCAGAATGAAGACAAATTGTGCCACTATACATAAGCCTGTGGAGGGCTTCTCTTAAATAGCTATGATGGTATAATCTGTTTATAAACTAAGTATCATAGTCTAACTTAATGGAGCAATCCGAATACGTAAATGTAAGTAAGAATCCAACATAAAAATTTCTATGTGTATATATGATTTATTAAACATTTTGTCAATAGTATTTCAGTCTTATTTGGTTTAGTGTTTCTTTTATCATTACATAATCTTTGGTTACGCAAAGACTCTCACTGAATCATTTATTCTTTTATTCAGTAGGAACTTATTAAGTGTTTATTATGTGTTAAGTGTTTTTGGCTAAGTCCTATGGCTATAAACCTTGTTGGTTTTATTATGTTTCTATTCCTTATGTTTTGAAAAACTTTTCTTTGGATTTAGGTAGAAAGAAAGTGTGACTGTTGTTATTTTTAGAGAGTTGAAATTAGACATGCAAAATTCAAATATGCATGCATCTACTATTTTATAACTGTAGCAATATCGGCAAAATTTCATGTTCAGTAACTTTTTTATAAGAAAATGATTTTTTAAAATTCCAACTACTGATACATCCAAGGATATTATAAAGCAAAATGAGTTAAGTTACTTTGAATTTAAGAAACCAGTTAAATATTGGTGCCACGAGGGTCCTTCAGCAATGACCTTGAAGAGCTAAAGGATACCCTGGGAATCTCACTGCTAACTCTCAAAGCTACTAATTCTTGTATATCTCCACTGATCCACATCAACTACTGTTGTGCTGTTGATCCTAAATTAAATACACTGGCCTGTTCTTGGTATTAAAAACCTCTGTTGCTTTTGTTTACCTAACTATAAAGTCTTAGAGTTACTTATGGTCATTTTCCAGATGATAATAGCAAAGTTACGTAAACATTAAGAAAGAGCTACAGAAGATTTGTTTCTAGACTCTAGGGTTTTACAAATTAATAGACCCTGTGGATGATGATCCAAAAAAGTGATTCACTTGCTTTGGTAACATATGTCCCTTCTTAATCTTCCTTATGACCTTCGAAATTAAAATGGTAGAAAAACGAAGTTTACTCTAAATTATCATGTCACATGATATCAGTAACTGCAGAAACTAAGAGATTTACATTTTCAATTTTTATAAACAAAATACCCAAAGCCATTCAAAGTTCCTTATGAACCATGAAATTACCACCTGTTACTGAGTTGTGCAATGGAACTGGAGCATAAAGTAAAAGTAGAGGTCCATAGTAATGTGAAGTAGAACATTTTTCTACTTACAGATGTTCAAAGAAAAGCTCAAACATGTGCCAGGTCCTGAGAAAGTGGAAAAGATGTTCTGCTAAAAAAGAGTTAGTAACTTCATGGTTCTGGGCAATGGAGTTTAGAGAGTATTAATATAGGAAAATTCTGCTAAAGAAAATGTAAGTCAACCCCAAGCCAAAAAAAATTTAAATGTCATTACTTGCACTCAATGAGAAACACATATTTAGAAACGCTGAGAGATCAATAACTAAATGTCAAGCTTTCCATGAATTGTTCATGAAATTTGCATCTACCCACTGAACTGTGCAAAATAATGGATGTCCTGAAATTTGTTGGTCTGAATTTTTGTAATTCACAAACTTAGAGAATACATTAACTTTAAATGTGAATGTGTTAGTCCATTTTGCATTGCTAAATAAATACCTGAGGCTGGGTAATTTATAAAGAAAAGAGTTTTATTTTGGTGCACAGTTCTGCAGACTGTATAAGAAGCATAGTGCCAGAATATTCTTCTGGTGAGGGCCCCAGAAATCTTACAATTGTGGTGAGAGGTAAGGGTGGAGCGGGCATGTCACATGGTGAGAGACAGAGCAAGAGAAATGCCAGAATTTTTTAAACAACCAACTCTTGCATGAACTAATCAAGTGAGAACTCACTCATTACCTCGGGAAGGGCACCAAGCTATACAGGAGGGACCCACTACCAGAAGCCAAACACCTCCCACCAGGGCTCACTTCCAAAATTGAGGCATTTCAACATGAGATTTGCAAGGGCCAAATATCCAAACTTATCAATTAACAAACATAAATAAAGCCAAGAAAAGTTAAAATAAGACAATAACAGACAGTCAAGCATAATGTTTTCTAGGCTCATCCATGTTTTTGAGAATTGATCTCATAGAAGCTGAGAGTAGAATATTAGTTTCCAGAGACTGGGGAGAATAGAGGGGAAAGGGAGAGGGAGAGATATTGCTCAACAGGTACAATGTTATAGTTAGTAGGAATAAGTTCTGGTACTTTATTACACAGTGGGGTAACTATAGCTAACAATAATGCGTTATATATTTCAAATAGCTAGAAGAGAGGATTTTGAATGTCCTCATAACAAACAAATGATAAATGTTTAAGGTGTTGGATATACCAATTACTATGATTTGGTCATTATACAATGTGTATATATATATTGAAATGTCACCTTGTACCTCCAAAATATCTACAATTATCAGGTGTCAATGAAAAAAAGCAATCAAACATAAACTAAAAAGTTACTAAAATTAAACATAAAAATCACATAATGACAGCATGGCTTAAGAAGATGCAAGTTGAGGAGGAGCAAGATGGCAGAATAAAAGGCTCCAATGATCATCACCCCCTGCAAGGACACTGAGTTAGCAACTATCCACACAGAAAAAACACCTTCATGAGAACCAAAATTAGGTGAGCACTATATACCTGGTTTCCACTTCACATCCCTGAAAGATGCACTGAAGAGATAGAAAACACAGCCCTGAATCACCAGTGCAACCCCTCCTCCACCCCTGGAAGTGGCAGCATGGCATGGAAAGGAGAGCATATCTGGACACTAGGGCAGGGAGAGCAGAGCAATTGTGAGGCATTAAACGCAGTACCGTCCTGTTAGAGCAGAAAGGAAAACTGGACCAAACTCAGCTGATGCCTACCCACAGAGGAAGCATTTAAACCAGCCCTAGCCAGAGGAGCATCATGGATCCCAATGGTCAGAATTTGAGCACCTGCAAATCTTGCCACTGAAAACTATAGCACTCTGTGTCTCCAAGTAAACTTGAAAGGCAGTTTAGGCCATAAATACTGCAAATCTTAGGCAAGTACTAATGCTGAACCAGGCCCAGAGACAATGGACTGGTGGGGGTGTGGGGAGGTGGGGGGATGAGACACTAATTGGGGCAGCCAAGGGAGTGGTGGCATCACCCCTTCCCTAACCCCAGGAGCACAGCTCAGGGCTCCAAAAGAGCCATGAGCCATTATCCCTTCCTTCTGTTTGAGGAGAGGAAAGAAAAGAGTGAGAAGGACTTTGTTTTGCATCTTGGTTACCAGTGTAGCCATAGCAGGATAAGGCACCAAACACAGTCATGAGGCCCCTGTACAAGGCCCTAGCTCTCAGAGGACATTTCTAGACACACCCTGGGCCAGAAGTGAAACTGCTGCCTTGAAGAAAAGGACCTAGTCCTGCCAGCATTCATTATGGTGTAACCGAAGAGTCCTTGGGGCATGAACAACCAGCAGCAATACCTAGGTACTATGTTGAGGGCTTTGAGTGAGCCTCTGAGACTTGCTGGCTTCTGGTAGGATGTAGCACATTACAGGCTGTAGTGGCTACAGGGCAAAACTCCTTCTGTTTGAAAAAAGAAGAGGGGAAAGTAAAGGGAACTTTGTCTTGCACTTTCAGTACCACCACAGTCACAAAGGAGCAGAGCACCAAGTGGGCTCTTGGAGTCCTCACTTCCAGGATTTGACTCTTGGACAGCATTTCTGGGCCTGCCCTGGGCCAGAGGGGAACCCCGTGCCCTGAAGGGTGAGTTCTAGGCCAGGCAGCATTCAGAACAGGTTACTTAAGAAAACTTGGTCCTTAATGGAACATTGGCTAGTTGTCTAGCAGTATGCTTTGTGGCCTGGGGCAGTGGTGGCGGGCGAGGGGGTGGCTACAGAGTGAGATTCCTCTGCCTTTGGAAAGGGGTGGAAAGAGTGGGAAGTACTTCTTCTTGTGGTTTGAGTGCCAGTTCAGCCACAATACAATAGAACACTATGTAGACTTCTAAGGTTTTTGACTCTACTCCCTGACTTCCAGACACCTCTGGACCCACCTGGGGCCTGGGGTACCTTGCCACACTGAAGGGAAGGACACAGGCCTGCCTGGCTTTGCACTTGCTAATTGTAGAGTCCAAGGGTCTTCAGTGAACATAGGAAGTAGCCAGGGAGTGGTTTTGGCAGGCTTTAGGTGAGACCTAGCTATGTGCTGACTTCAGATCTGACCGAGCACAGTCATTGTGGAGGAGGCTACAGGGGTGATTGTGTCACTCTATTCCTAGCTTCAGGTGGCTCAAAACAGAGATAGAGACTCTGTGTGTTTGGGAGAAAGTAAGGGAAGAGAACATGAGTTTCTTCCTGGTAATCCAGAGAATTCTCTAAGATTTTGTCAAGGTGGTATCTCTGTGAATCTGAAAGAACCCCAATATTACTGAGCTTGGAGAGGCCACTCAAGTAGATACATCTTAGATCTCAACACCCAAGTCCTTTCAAATATGTTGAAAGCCTTCCCAAGAGAAACAGCTACAAATAAACCTAGACAGTGAAGACTATAATGAATATCTAACTCTTCAATGCCCAGATGCTGAGAAACATATACTAGCACCAACACCACCCAGGAAAACATGACCTTACCAAGTGAACTAAATAAAGCATCAGGGACTGATCCTGGAAAAACAGAGATATGTGACTGTTCAGAAAGGGAATGCAAAATAGCTGTGTTGAGGAAATCTAAAGAAATTCAGGATAACACAGAGAAGGAATTCAGAATTCTATTAGATAATTTAAACAAAGAAATTGAAACAGTGAAAAAGAATCAAGCTGAAATTCTGGAGCTGAAAAATGTAATTGGCATACTGAAAAGTGCATCACAGTCCTTTAATAAAACAACGGATCAAGTAGAAGAAAGACTCAGTGAGCTTGAAGATAAGCTATTTGAAAATACACAGTCAGAGGAGACAAAAGAAAAGATGATTAAAAAAAATGAAACATACCTACCATATCTAGAAAATAGCATCAAAGGAACAAATCTAAGAGTCATTGGCCTTAAGCAGGGGTTATAGAAAGAGATAGGGGTAGAAAGTTTATTCAAAGAGATAATATAACAGAGAACTTTTCAAACCTACAGAAGTATATCAATATCCAAGTACAACAGGATTATGGAATGCCAAGCCAAGCACATTTAACCCAAAGAAGACTACCTGAAAACATTTAATAACCAAACTCCCAATAGTCAAGGATAGAGAAAGGATTCTAAAAGCAGCAAGAGAAAAGAAACAAATAACACTCAATGGAGCACTAATATATCTGGCAACAGACTTTTTAGTAGAGACCTTACTGACCAGGAGAGAGTGGCATGATATATTTAAAGTGCTGAAGGACAAAAAAAACTTTTACCCTGGAATATTATATCCTGTAAAAAAATCCTTTAAACATGAAGAAGAAATTAAGACTTTCCCAGGCAAATAGAAGCTGAGGGATTTCATTAATATCAGACCTGTCCTATGAGAAACGCTAAAGAGAGTACTTCTGTCAAAAAACTGACATTAATGAGCAATAAATAATCACCTGAAGGTGCAAAACTTACCAGTAATAGTAAGCACACAGAAAAACACAAAATGTTATAACACCGTAACTGTGATGTACAAACTACATTATCCTAAGTAGAAAGACTAAATGATAAACCAATCAAAAATAATAACTACAAAAACTTCTCAAGACACAGACAGTGCAGTAAGATATACACAGAAACAACAAAAAATTAAAAAGCTTGTGGATGAAGTTAAGGCATGGAGTTTTCTTTCATTTGCTTTTTGCTTGTTTGTTAGTTTGGTTTGGCAAAGAGTGTCAAGTTGTTAACCAGTTAAAGTAATGGGTTATAAAATAGTACTTGCAAGCCTCATGGTAACCCCAGACCAATATCATATAGCGTAACACAAAAAATAAGCAGCAAAAAACTAAATCATATCCCTAGAGAAAATCACCTTCACTACAGGAAAACAGAAAGGAAAGAAGGAAGGAAGAGAAGATGACAAAACAACCAGAAAAAAAAATGGCAGGAGTAATTCCTTACATATCAGTAATAACATTGAATGTAAATGGACTAAACTTTCCAATCAAAAGACATAGACAGGCTGAATGAATAAAAAAAACAAGAACCAATAATCCGTTGCCTGCAAGAAACACACTTCACCTGTATAGACACAAATAGACTGAAAACAAATACATGAAAAAATATATTCCATGACAATGGAAACAAAAAAAGAGCAGGAGTCCAACAGGCCCCAGTGTGTGATGTCCCCCTTCCTGTGTCCAAGTGTTCTCATTGTTCAATTCCCACCTATGGGAGAGAACATGCGATGTTTGGTTTTTTGTCCTTGCGATAGTTTGCTGAGAATGATGGTTTCCAGCTTCATCCATGTCCCTACAAAGGACATGAACTCATCATTTTTTATGGCTGCATAGTATTCCATGATGTATATGTGCCATTTTATTCTACATACTTTTATAATGCTGAAAAAAATTATATTGATGGATGAATAAACTTACTAAACACATGGAAATATTGAGGATATAATTAGGAACACAATGAATACATTTGAAATTAAATAAAAAGATTAGCCTTATATAATATTTTTAGAATGTAATTTTTTTCAATTTTAGTTTTTTAGTTTTTATGGGTACATAGTAGTTATACATATTTATGTGATATGGGATATGTTGATACAGTCATATGATGTATAATAATCACATCAGGGTAAATGAGATATCCATCACCTGGAGCATTTATCCTTTGTTACAAATAATCCAACTATACCCTTTTAGTTATTGTAAAATGTAGAATTAAATTATTATTGATTATAGTCACCCTGTTGTATTGCCAAATATTGATCTATTCATTCTTTCTATGTTTTTGTACCCATTAATCACCAACTGTTCCTTTTACACTCCTTACTACCCTTCCCAGCCTCTGGTAACCATCCTTCTACTCTCTCTATGAGTTCAATTGTTTTAATTTTTAGCTCCCGTACATACATGAAAACATGTGACTTTATGTCTTTCTGTGCCTGACTTATTTCACTTAACAAAAAGACCTCCAGTTCCATCCATGTTATAAATGACAAAATCTCATTCCTCTTTATGGCTGAATACTACTCCATTGTGTATACATACCTGACACTTAGGTTGCTTCAAAATCTTAGCTATTGTGAATAGTGCTGCAATAAACCTGGGAGGGCAGATAGTTCTTCAATACACTGATTTTCTTTCTTTTGGGTATATACCTAGCAGTAAAATTGCTGGATTTTATAGTAATTCTGCTTTGAGGTTTTTTTTGAGAAAACTCCAAACTCCTCTCAATAGTGGTTGTACTAATTTACATTCCCACCAAGAGTGTATGAGGGTTCCCTTTTCTCCACATCGTCACCAGCATTTGTTACTGCCTGTCTTTTGGTTATAAGCCATTTTAAACTGGGATGACATAATATCTCAATGTAGTTTTGATTTGCATTTCTCTGATGATCAGTTAGGTTAAGCACTTTTTCATATACCTGTTTGCCATTTGTATGTCTTTTTTTAATTATACTTCAAGTTTTAGGGTACATGTGCACAACGTGCAGGTTAGTTACACATGTATACCTGTGCCACGTTGGTGGGCTGCACCCATTAGCTCGTCATTTAACGTTAGGTATATCTCCTAATGCTATCCCTCCCCACTCCTTAAGAAATGCCTATTCGTATCCTTTGCCCATTTTAAAAATCGGATTATTCGATTTTTTCTATAGAGTTTTTTGAGCTCCTTATATATTCTGGTTATTAATCCCTTGTCAGGTGGATAGTTTGCAGATATTTTCTCCCATTCTGTGGATTGTCTCTTCATTTTGTTGATTGTATCCTTTGCTGTGCAGAAGCTTTTTAACTTGATGTGATCCCATTAGTCCATGTTTGCTTTGGTTGCCTGTGCTTGTAGAATATTATTCAATAAATCTTTGCCCAATCCGATGTCCTAGCGAGTTGCTCCAATGTTTTCTTTTAGCAGTTTCATAGCTTGGTCTTAGATTTGTCTTTAATCCATTTTGATTTGATTTTTGTGTACGGCGAGAGATAGTGGTCTAGTTTTATCCTTTTACATATGGATATCCAGTTTACCCAGCACCATTTATTAAAGAGACTTTCCTTTCCTCAATGTATGTTGTTGGAAACTTTTTCAAAAAAGACTTCACTGTAGATGCATGGATTTGTTTCTGGGTTTTTCTATTTTGTTCCATGGGTCTATGTGTCTGTTTTTATGCCAGTACTATGTTTTTTTAGGTAATTATAGCTCTGTAGTATAATGTGAAGTCAGATAATGTCAGTTCTCTAGTTTTGTTACTTTTGTTCAGAATTGCTTTTTCTGTTCTGGGTCTTTTGCAGTTCTATATTAATTTTAGGAGGCTTTTCTTGTATTCCTGTAAAGAATGTCACTGATATTTTGATAGGTATTACAAGGAATATGTAGATGGATTTGGGTTGTATGGGCATTTTAACAATATTGATTCTTCCAATTCATGAACATGGAATATCTTTCCATTTTTTGTGCCCTCTTCAATTAGTTTTATCAGTGTTTTATAGTTTTCATTGTAAAAATCTTTCACTTCTTTGGTTCAATTAATTTCTATGTATTTAATTTTATTCATAGCTTTTTAAAATGGGGTTACTCTCTTGATTTCTTCTTCAGATTGTTCGCTGTTGGCATATGGGAGTGTTACTGATTTTTGTATGTGGATTTTGTATCCTGAAACTGTACTGAATTTGCTTATCAGTTCCAATATTTTTTAAGGAAAATAGGTTGTTTAGGTTTTTTCAAATATAAAATCATATCATCTTCAAACAAGAATAATTTGATTTCTTCCTTTTCAGTTTCGATGCCCTTTATATCTCTCATGTCTG
Source organism: Homo sapiens (assembly GCF_000001405.40). Taxonomy (NCBI): domain Eukaryota; kingdom Metazoa; phylum Chordata; class Mammalia; order Primates; family Hominidae; genus Homo; species Homo sapiens. The sequence goes on along the minus strand of NC_000012.12, from coordinate 15,301,694 downwards.
ACTGCTCTAGCTAGGACTTCCAGTACTACATTAAATAATAGTCATGACAGTGGGCATCTTTGTCGTATTACAGATCTTAGAGGAAAGGCTTTCAGTTTTCCCCCATCCAGTATGACATTAGCTGTGGGTCTGTCATATATGCCTTTTATTGTGTTGAGGTATGTTCCTTCTAACCCCAGTTTCTTGAGGGTTTTTCTCATGAAGGAATATTGAATTTTATCAAATGCAATTTCAGTATCAATTGAAATGATCATATGGTTTTTATTCTTCATTCTGTTTATATGATGTGCCACATTGACTGATTTTCATATGTTGAAACATCCTTGCATCCCTTAGATAAATCTCACTTCGTCATATTGAATAATCTTTTTAATGTGCTGTTGAATTTTGTTTGCTAGTATTTGGTTGAGGTTGCTTGCATCAATGTTCGTCAGGAATATTGGAGTGTAGTTCGTTTTTTTTTTCAATGCCTTTATGACTGGTTTTGGTATATGAGTAATACCGGCCTTATAAAATGAGTTTAAAAGAATTCCCTCCTCTTCTATTTATAGGATGATATGGTTTGGCTCTGTGTCCCCACCCATATCTCACCTCGAATTGTAATCCCCATAATCGCCACATAGGCAGGACCAGGTGGAGGTAATTGGATCATGGGGGTGGTTCTCCCATTGCTGTTCTCATGGCAGTGAGTGAGTTCTTGTGAGATCTGATGGTTTTATAAGCATCTGGCATTTCCCCTATTTGCACTCATTCTCTCTCCTGCCACCCTGTGAAGAAGTGCCTACTGTCATAATTCTAAGTTTCCCGGGGCCTTCCCAGTCAATCAGAACTGTGAGTATTAAACCCCTCTCCCTTATAAGTTATCCAGTCTCAGATATTTCCTTATAGCAACATGAGAATGGACAAATACAGTAAATTGATACCATGAAGAGTGGGATGCTATTATAAAGATACCCGAAAATGTTGAAGTGACTTTGGAACTGGGTAACAGGCAGAAGTTGGAACAGTTTGGAGGACTCAGAAGAAGACAGGAAAATATGGGAAAGTTTGGAAACTCCTAGAGACTTATTGAATGGCTTTAACCAAAATGCTGATAGTGATATGGACAATGAAGTCCAGGCTGAGGTGGTCTCAGGAGACAAGAAACTTGCTGGGGACTGGAGTAAATGTCATTCTTGCTATGCTTTAGCAAAGAGACTGGAGGCTTTTTTCCCCTGCCCTAGAGATCTGTGGAACTTTGAACTTAAGAGAGATGATTTAGAATATCTGGTGGGAGAAATTTCTAAGAAGCAAAGCTTAGAAATTCAAGAGGTGACAGAGCATAAAAGTTTAGAAAACTTGCAGCCTGACAATGCAGTAGAAAACAAAAATCCCATTTTCTGGGGAGAAATTCAAGCTGGCTGCAGAAATTTGGATAAGTAAGAGGAGTCAAATACCAATCACCAAGACAGTGGGGAAAATGTCTTCAGAGCATGTCAGAGACCTTCACAGCAGCCCCTCCCGTTACAGGCCTGGAGGCCTAGGAGGGAAAAATGGTTTTCTGGGATGCCCTCTCCCCTGTTGTGTACAGCCTCAGAGCTTGGCGCTCTGTGCCCCAGCTGCTCCAGCCATGGCTAAACAGGGCCAAGGTACAGCTCAGGCTGTTGCTTCAGAGGGTGCAAGCCTCAAGCCTTGGCAGCTTTCATGTGGTGTTGGTCCTACAGGTGCACAGAGGACAAGAATTGAGGTTTGGGATCCTCTGCCTAGATTTCAGATGATGTATGGAAACACCTGGAAGTCCAGGCTGAACTCTTCTGCAAGGGCAGAGCCCCTTGTGGAGAACCTCTGATAGGGAAGTGTGGAAGGGAAATGTGGGGTTGGAGCCTTCACATGGAGTCCCCACAGGGGCACTGCCTAGTGGAGCTGTGAGATGAGAGCCACCATCCTCCTGACCCCAGAAAGCCAGATCTACCAACAGCTTGTACTGTGTGCCTGGAAAATCAGCAGACACTCAACACTAGCCAGTGAAAGCAGCCAGGAGTGGGGCTGTACCTTGAAAAGCCACAGGGGTGGAGGTGCCCAAGGCTGGGGATGGGCCACCTTTTGCATCAGCATGACCTGGATGTGAGACATGGAGTCAAAAGAATTTTAAGGTTTAATAACTGCCTTATTAAATCTCACACTTGCTGCCTTATTAAATTGTGCTACTTGCCTGTAGCCCCTTTATTTTGGCCCATTTCTTCCACTTGGAATGGGAGCATTTACCCAATGCCTGTTTCCCCATTGTATCTAGGAAGTACCTAGCTTGCTTTTGATTTTACAGGCTCATAGGCAGAAGGGACTTCCCTTGTTTCAGATGAACTTTGGACTGTGAACTTTTGAGTTAGTGCTGAAATTAAGAATTTGGGAGACTGTTGGGAAGGCATGATTTGTTTTGAACTGTGAAAAGACATGAGATTTGGGAGGGTCCAGGGTGGAATTATATGGTTTGACTCTGTGTCCCCACGCAAATCTCACCTTGAATTGTAATCTCTGTAATCCCTACATATCAATGGTGGGACCTGGTGGAGGTAATTGGACCATGGAGGCAGTTACCTCCATGCTCTCCTCATGATAGTAAGTTCTCATGAGAGCTGATGGTTTTATAAGTGTCTGGCATTTCCTCTGCTTGCATTCACTCTCTCTCCTGCCGCCCTGTAAAGAAGTGCCTTCCGTTATAATTGTGAAGTTTTCTGAGGCCTCCCAGCCACATAAAAATGCAAGTCAATGAAACCTCTTTCTTTTGTAAGTTACTCAGTCTTGGATATTTTCTTGTATCAATGTGAGAATGGATTAATACATAGAAATAGTTTGAGTAGGGTTGGTATTAGTACTTCTTTAAATGATTGGTAGAATTCAGCAGTGAAGCCATAGGATTCTGGGGTATTCTTTACTGGGAGACTTTTTATTACAGCTTCAATCTCATTAATTATTATTGATCTGTTCAGGTTTTTTATTTCTTCCTGGTTCAATCATGGGAGGCTGTATGTGTCTAAGAACTTATTCTTTTCTTCTAGATTTTCCAATTTATTGGCATATAGTTGTTCATAATAGCCTACAATGGTCCTTTGAATTTCTGTGGTATCAGTTGTAATGTTTCCTTTTTCAGCTGTGATTTTAATTATTTGTGCCTTCTCTATTTTTGTTGTTATTCTGGCTAAAGGTTTGTGAATTTTTTTTTATTTTTTCAAAAAAAACAAGTTTTATCTCACTAATCTTTGGTATTGTTTTTATTTCAATTTCACTTATTTCTGCTCTAATATTTATTATTTCTTTGCTTCTACTAACTTTGGGTCCAGTTTGCTCTTGCTTTTCTAGTTCCTTAATATACATTGATAGGTTGTTTATTTCAAGTTTTTCTTTTTTAGATGCAGGCACTTGTAGCTATAAACCTCTCTTATTACAGTTTTTGCTCTGTCCCATAGGTTTTGGTATGTTCTGTTTCCTTATCATTTGTTTCAATAAATTTTTCAATTTCCTTCCTCATCTCTTCATTGACTTACTAGACATTCAGGAGAATATTGTTTTCTTTCTAAGTATTTATATAGTTTCCAGAATTCCTCTTGTTATTGATCTATACTTGTATTCAATTGTGGCCAGAGAAAATGTTTCAATTTTTTGAAAGCTTTGAGACTTGTTTTGTGGCCTAACATATCATCCATTCTTTAGAATGATCCATTTGCTGAGAAGAATGTGTATTCTGCAGTTGTTGAATGAAATGTTCTGTAAATATGTATGATGTTCATTTGCTCTATAGTGCAGATTAAGTCCAATGTTTCTTTGCTTATTTTCTGTTTGGAAGATCTGACCAATGCAGAAAGTGGGGTGCTGAAGTCTCCAGCTATTATTATATTGGGGTCTATCTCTCTCTTTAACCTTAACAAGATTTGCTTTATATATCTGAGTACCTCAGTGTTGGGTGCATAAATATTTAAAGTTGTTATATCCTCTTGCTGAATTGACCCCTTTGTCATAAAATGAACTTGTCTTTTTTAATAGCTTTTATCTTAAATTCTATTTTATCTGATAGAAGTGTAGCTACTCCTGTTCTTTCTTGATTTCCATCAGCATGGAATATCTTTTTATATCCCTTCATTTTCAATCTAAGTGTGTCTCTATTGGTGAAGTGTGTTTCTTGTAGATAATGGTTTGTTGGCTCTTGCTTTTTATAATCCATTCAACCTGTTTGTGTCTTTTGATTGGAGAGTTTATTCCATTGGCATTCAATGTTACTATTGATAAGTAAAAACTTGCTCCTTCCATTTTTGTTAGTTTTTTGCTTGGTTTTTGATCTCCTCCTCCTTTCCTTCCTTCTTGTCTTTTTTTTTAGTGAAGGTAATTTTCTCTTGTGGCTTGTTTTAATTTATTGCTTTTAATTTTTTGTGTATTCATTGTATGTTTTTCAATTTGGGGTTACCACAAGGCTTGCAAATACTATCCTATAACCCATTATTTTAAACTGACCACAACTTAACACTGATTGCATAAAAAAACAACAAGCAAGCAAAAAGAAAACTAAAGAAAACTCTACACTTTAATTTCATCCTCTTGCTTTTAAACTTTTTGTCTTTTCAATTTAAACCTTAATGTACTGTGTCTTGAAAAGTTGTAGTTATTTTTTATCATTTCATTTTTTCATCTTTCTACTGAAGGTATCAGGAGTCTATATACCAAAATTACAGTGTTATAATATTCTGTTTTTCTGTGTACTGACTATTGCCAATGAGTTTTGAACCTTCACTTGATTTCATATTGCTCATTAATGTTCTTTTCTTTCAGTTTGAAGAACTCCCTTTAGCATTTCTCATAGGAGAGGTCTGGTGTTGATGAAATCTCTCAGCTTTTGTTTATCTGGGAAAGTCTTTATTTCTCCTTCATGTTTGGAGGATATTTTTGCCAGATGTACTATTCCAGAGTAAAGTTTTATTTTTTTTCCTTCAGCACTTTAAATATGTCATGCAAATCTCATCTGGCCTATAAAGTTTCCACTAAAAAGTCTGCTGCCAGGTGTATTGGAGCTCCGCTTTATGTTACTTGTTTCTTTTTTCTCGCTGCTTTTCGACTCCTTTACTTATCCTTGACCTTTAGGAGTTTGATTATTAAATGCCTTGAGTTAATCTTCTTTGGGTTAAATATTCTTGGTTTTCTATAACCTTCTTGTACTCAAATATTGGTCTTCTATAACTTTTTTGCATTAAATATCTTTCTCTATGTTGGTGAAGTTATCTGTTATTATCCTTTTGAATAAACTTTCTACCTAGATCTTTCTACCTCCTCTTGAAAACCAATAATTCTTAGATTTCTCCTTTTAAGGCTATTTTCTAGATCGTGTAGGCATGATGTATTCTTCAGTAGGTCACTTCCATTTTTCAGCTCCAAAATTTCTACTTGATTCTTTTTAATTATTTCAATTTCTTTGTTAAATTTATCTGTTAGAATTCTGAATCCCTTCTTTATGTTACCTTGAATTTCTTTAAGTTTTCTCAGAATAGCTTGTATTAGTTAATTCTCAAGCCAGTATAAATAACTACCTGAGACTGGGTAATTTATAAAGAAAAGAGATTTCATTGACTCAGAGTCCCTCGGGCTGTACAGGAAGTATGGCTCTGGAGGCCTCAGGAAACTTACGATTATGATGGAAAGTGAAGGGGAAACTGGCACATCCTACATGGCCTGCAGGAGGAAGAGAGAGAGAAAGGGGAGGGGCTACACACTTTCAAATGACCAGATCTCATGAGAACTCTATCATGAGAAGAGAAAGAGGGAAGTCTGTACCCATGATTCAGTCACCTTCCAGCAAGCCCTTTATCCAACACTGGGAATGACAATTTGACATGAGATTTAGGTGGGAATACAGAGCTAAATGTTGTCACAGCTATTTTGAATTATCTGTGTGGAAGGTAACATATGTTTGTCTCTCCAGAATTTGTTTCTGATTTCTTATTTAGTTTGTTTGGTGAGGTCATGTTTTCCTGGATCGTCTTGATGCTTGTGATTGTTAGTTGGTGTCTGGCCATTGAAGAGTTCAGTATTTTATTATAGTCTTTTCAGTCTGAACTTTTTTGTAACTGTTCTTCTTTGGAAGGCTTTCCAGGTATTCAAAAGGACTTGGGTGTTGGAATTTAAGTTTTTGTTCACTACAGTTGTATCTGCATTAGGGGGTACTCCAAGTCCAGTAATGCTGCGGTTCTTACCAATTGGCAGAGGTATCACCCTGGTGATCTTGGATAAGATCTGGAAGAATTCTCTGGATTACCAGGAAGAGACTTTTGCACTCTTCCTTTACTTTTTCCCAAACAAACCTAGTCTCTCTCTGTGATGAACACCCAGAGCTGGGGGATGGGTGACACATCACTCCTGTGGCCACCAGCACTGGAACTGTCCTGGATCAAACCTGAAGTCAGCGCATGCCAGAGTCAAACCCATGTCCCATGGTGAGTACTGCATAAGTACTGCTGCTGATTTTCAGGGACCAAGGGCTCTTTAGTCATCAGGTGGTAATAAATCCTGCAGGATTGGGTCCTTCCTTGCAAGGGAGCAAGTGTCCAGAAATGTCATCCAGGAGCTAGGGCCTGGAATGTGGGTCTTATGACTCTGTCCCGTGCCCTCTCCTACCGTGGCTGAGCTGGTATCCAATTTGCAAGACAAAGTCCTCTTTACTCTTCTTTCTGTTATCCTCAAGTTGAAGAAACTGGTCTCTTTTGGAGCTGTGAATCATGCCCTGATGTTGGGGAATGGTGATGCAAAAACTCCCTTAGCTTCCTCTGCTGGTGTCTCATTAGGGCTCATGCCCACCAAGTCCACTGGCTCCAAGCACAGCACAGCACTAGTGCTTGCATAGGAGTTGCAGTCACTGTGGCCTAGACAGTCTTTCAAGTTTATTTAGAACTCCAGAGCACTTTAGCCTGTGGTGGTGAGGCTTGACAAAACTCTAGTACTGGCTGATGAGATGGGTGATTTCCCTCTGGCTAGGGCTAATCTAAATGCTCCCCCCATGGGCATTGACTGAGTTCCAACCAGTGTTTGCAGCACTGAGTTCTAATGCAAGGACCCACAATTGCTGCACTTTCTCCCCTAAGTGCACACATTCCCTCTGTGTGCCACACGGCTGCTGCCAGGGAGTGGGGAGGGGTGGCATTGGCAATTCAAGACTGTCTTTCCTACCCTCTTCAGGGCCTCTTCCAGTGATATGAAGTTAAATCTAGGTACTTCAATCACTTGTCTGATTTTTGGTGCTTATGAAGGTGCTTTTTTAATGAAGATATTAACAGCTGTTAAATTCGGTATTCCTGTGGGGAGGATGATCAGTGGTGGCTTCTATTCAGCCATCTTGCTCTGCTTCCCATTTTATATAACATTTTATCAAAATAAACATCAGTAAGAAAAAGTCCCTTGATCTTGCTATACATTAAGAACAATGTTGTTCATATCTCGGTTGGCAAAATTCCACTTCAGCAGCTATGACAAAATACAGGCGTCAGAATTACTATGAATTTTAGTGTTGCAAATAAGGCATTCTTAGTCTATGTTTTGAAAAATAATCAATATTATTGTAGCATATTACATTAGAATAGTGATAGATTAGAAAATATATTATTCTGTATAATATCTAACACATTTAATTCTTGGCCAATCCTTTGGAATAAATTTCTTCTGGAGCAGTATTATTAATTATGTCCGTATCAGTCATTTGTGCTGCTTAGTATTCTGTAGTGAGCTAGTGAACCTCATTGAAGGAGGTTCACTTTCCCTCGGGATTATAAATTTCATTAGAAACTAACAGCAATTAAGCTACGTCTGAGAGAAGTTAGTGACATCTGTATTGAAATAATGGATCCAGTAAGATATCTCCCTTAACCTACCATGGTTAAGCAGAGAGAAGGATGATGAGGAAACAAGAACTGTGTTTTGGCTGTTTCCTTCCACACATACATATCCAATTCTATACATAATTTGATGCTGTAATATATAAGAGTAAAATGCCTTTTTATATTTCTGATTCAAGCAAGCACATGTTTTCACTATATGGCATTTTGTGTGTGCGTGTGTGTGTTATTAGTTTTTCTGCTATTCTAAATTGGAGGACTTGATAATTTATTTCATCACAAAGGGAGTCATTTATTTATATCTACTCTCAAATTATATCAGAGAGAATTTAAAATACTTTGGCATCTCCATATTTTATATGAAATGTTTCTAAATTAATAAGAGTTCAGATTATTGGTGCTGATGACTGAAAGCACACATGATTTTGGAAACAAGTTAAATGTAGACAAGGCTTATCTTTAAATGTAAATAAAGAAATAACTACTTAAATATCATTCTGCAGTATTCTAGTCAGGATATTAAAATGAGGTCAGTTTTATTAGCGGGTGATGTATCATACTCTTGTGCTTTAGAATACTTGGGTCCTGTGAAGCTTGAGTTTAAAAAATTCTATTTTGAATCCTCTAGAAAGCAATTAATGTCAAATTCCTAAGTCACCTTAATAATAGAGCAAAGGAGAGTGACCATCCTAGGCCCTTTGCATGGTGACAGCCTGGAACTGTGTGTTAGTGAGGGAGAAATGACTTCACCAAATGACATTGAGCAACTTTAGAGGCAAAGGTGGATATACAGCCTTAAGGCTTACACAGTTTGGGAAGGCTTTTTTAAGAAAAAGAATACAAAACTGAAAATACAATATTACATGTAAAAGCAAATATTTCTTTTGAATGAGGAAAAAAATCACAATAAATTAAACAAATGTTAATAAATACCACAAACAATATAAAAAATCCAGAAAAATAACCTATATTTGTATCTGACATATCTTTATTGTAATTTTTCCTACACTTTTTAGTGCATACTCTGGTTGCCTCTTTATTTGAAAACAATGTAGCAATACCATTTTCAATTAAAGAACATAAGTATTGTGAGTCTTGAAATTAGATTTTAAAAGCATTCCATACATCGTCCGTTGGTTGGGTGATGGCACATATCATATCCAAAAGGACAGCAACCCATATTTAAGGAATTGCATGCCAGCTGGTACCATAATGAGTTCTCAACAGACCATTCTACTGCTTGGTTTTTCTGGGTGATAAGATACGTGAAACATCAGTGAATTGTGAGTAGAGCTCATTGCTGCACTTTCTAGGCAATAAAGGTATCCCAGTTGGATGTGATGTTGAATGAGATATCACAACAATGAAGATGGTTTTCTGTAAGTCTACAAATGGTTACTGGATAGAAACCCTGCAGACAGAAAAGACATTTCCATATCCAGAACAGCTGCATACTATGAGCCAGATGCTGTGCTAATTTTCTGTAATAAAGATACCATATTCTGAGCTACATCTGTGATTAGGATTACCTCTGATTATGTTGTCAATAACCCACTGTCATTCTCCCAGAACGTGTTGGCCTCTGCACCAGCCAAATGGGCAAGTTAAATGGTAAAAACTCTACCCAGAGATGTTCAGTTCTTAGATGGTAGCACTGATCTCTTTAATACAGCTAAGGACATGGTGTTGGTTTTGACTTACTGCTTTGGTGAAGGGGTTGGACAGGGGTTTGATTGGAGGAACTTTCACTTGATCATTCATATCATAATAGCAATGAATCAGGGAACCAACCTAAAGTTTCTGTCTTTTACCAATGACAATAGCTACTCGCCCCCACTGACCCCTTACTGTGGAGGATACCTTCCAAGGCCCACACTATATACCTGAAACCATGGATAGTTCCAAACCCCATATACAGTCATGTTCTGCATGACAATATTTTGGTTAATGAGGGACCACATATATGACGCAGTCCTATAGGACTGTAATGGTCAGCTACATTGCAAATTTCCTACCGCCTGGTATTTGCTACACTGTACTTTTTATTGCTACTTTAGAGTGTATTCCTTCTCCTTATTAAAAACTGAAGTTAATTGTAAAACAGCCTCAGGCAGTTCCTTCAGGAGTATTCGTCTGGGAGGCATTGCTGTCATAGGAAATGACAGTCCATGAGTGCTGTTGCCCCTGAGGACCTTCCAATGGGACAAGATGTGGAGTTAGAAGACAGTGATGATGATCCTGACCCTGTGTGGGCTTAGGCTAATATGTGTACTTGAGTCTGAATTTTCAACAACAATAAAAAATTAAATACAGAAAAAACTGTATAGAAAAAGCATATAGAGGAAGAAAATATTTTTTATAGTTGTACAATGTGTTTGTGTTTTAAGCTAAATATTATTACAAGAGTCAAAAGTTAAAATTTAAAAAGTATATAAAGTAGAAAACATTGCAGTAACTAAGGATAATTTATTATTGAAGAAAATTTTTTCATAAATTTAATGTAGGTTAAGTGTCCAGTGTTTATCAAGTCTACATTATTGTACAATAATGTCCTAGGCCTTCACATTCACTCACCACTCTCTCACTTGCTCATCCTGAGCAACTTTCAGTCCTGAAACCTTCATTTATAGTAAGTGCCCTATACAGGGGTACCATTTATATATAGATAGATTTTTTGAGACAGGGTCTCAGTCTGTCACCCAGGCTGGAGTGCAGTAGCATGATCTCGGCTCACTGCAACCTCTGCCTCCTGGGTTCAAGTTATTCTCATGCCTCAGCCTCCCAAGTAGTCAGGATTACAGGTGCACGCCACCATGCCTGGCTCCTTTTTTTTTTTTTTTTTGTATTTTTGGTAGAGACAGGGTTTCACCATGTTGGCCAGGCTGGTCTTGAACTCCTGACCTCAAATGATCCGCCTACCTGGGCCTCTCAAAGTGTTGGAATTACAGGTGTGAGCCACCTCGCCCAGCCTCCATTTTTGTATTTTGTACCATATTTTTACTGTACCTTTTCTATGTTTAGATGTATTTTGATACACAAATACCATTGTGATACAGTTGCCTACAATATTCAGTACAGTGACAAGCTGTACAGGTTTGCAGTCTACGAGCAATAGGCTATACTACATAGCCTAGGTGTGTAGTAGGCTATATTATCTAGGTTTCTGTAAGTACTTTGTGGTGTTCACAAAACTACAAAATCACATAATGATGCATTTCTTAGAACATGTCCCTATTGTTTTCACTCAAGAGAAATGAAGGTATATGTCCATTCAAAAACTTGTACATGAATGTTCATATCAGTTTAATTTGTAATAGCCCACAAACTGGAATCAATCGAAATATTCATCAACAGGTGAATGGATAAACAAATCATGGCATATTTATGTAGTGGAATTCTATTTAGCATTGAACTATTGATAGAAGCAATAACGTGAATGAATCTTAAAATGATTATGCTGACTGAAAGAAACTATACACAAAATGGTATGTACTGTATGATTCCATTTATAGAAAATTCTAGAAAACGCAAACAAACGTATAATAACGGAAAGTAGATCAGTGGTTGCCTTAGTATTAAGCAGGAGGGACCGGAATGAGCGTTTACAAAGGGATACATGGTAACTTTAAAATATGATGTGTATTTTCATTATCTTGATTATAGTGATGGTTTCATGGGTATGTACATTTGTCAAAATATTACACTGTGCATTTTAAATATGCACACTTTATGCATATTAACTGTACTCCAATAAATATATTTGAAACATTTCCATCTTTTAATTTATTATTATTATTTTTCTTTTTCAACTTTTATTTTAGATTCAGGGGATATATATACAAGTTTGTTACCTGAATATATTACATGATGCTGACTCCAAACTTTGGAGTTTATTCTCAGTACCCATCACCCAAGTACTGAGAATAAAAAGAAATATTTAAACAAAACTAAATTTAAACCTAGACTTTGACTCACTACATCAGAAAATGTTAAAATTAAGATTTTAATTTTAATGAGCCTTCAGAAAGGGTTTACAGCTTCTCAGCTAGTTTTCACTCCTCAGTTCACAAGCTTTAAATTTCTCAAATAAAGTGGAGAACACGTTTTACAGCCAGTCCCAAGCCTTCCCTAAAGAGACCTATGGCCATTAACTAGAGCAGCTGTAAAATGGGAACAGGAAAATGTCCAGGGCTCCCAGGAATTATTAGATACTGACTGGATAGACATTAATACTTGGAGACTCATAATGACACATCAGTACGATTATCAGAGTGGAAGTTTATGAAGGACAAGATCTAATGGAACAGATTGACCTTGGCCAAATCTATCTCACAGTTGGTCTAATGAGACTGAGACCTATTCTATAGCTATTTCTGCAGAACCAGAATGATTAGGAAAGAAATATACAGTAGTTACCTCTTATTGTGGTTTTGCCTTCTGTGGCTTCAGTTACCCACAGTCAACCACAGTCCAAAAATAGATGAGTACTGTATAATAAGATGTTGTGTGTGTGTGTGTGTGTGTGTGTGTGTGTGTATGTGTGTGACAGAGAGAGAGATTGAGATATGACAGTAACAATTTTTATTACAATGTATTATAATTTTCACTTTATTATTTATTATTGCTAACCTCTTACTGTACCTAAATTATAAATTTAATTTTACCATAGGTATTTATTTGCCATCCATTTATCTTATTTGGTAAACTGTCTGTTCAAACCTTTTCCCCCTTTTTTGTTTAAGTTGTTAATTTTCTTATTATTTGTTCCAAGAGTTATTTATATATTTAGATAAAATTTCTTTATCCTATGCAATTTGCAAATATTTTAATCCACTCTATTTCTTTTTGTTCATTCTCTTAACAGTGTCTTTCAAATAATAGAAAGTGTTTATTTTAATGTAGTTCAAGTTGTCATTTTTTTAAATCTTTGAATCATGTTTTTGGTGTTGAATCAAAAAAATCTTTGCCTTACCCTAGGTCAAAAAGATTTTCTCACATGTTTTCTTCCAGCAGTTAGTCTGTGATCCATTTTGAGTTAATTTTTGTATATAAAGTATGGATTAACGTTCTGTTTTTAAAAAATAGGAACATTTTTTCAGCATTATTTTCTGAAAAAAAAACTTTGTCCAATAAATTGCTTTTGCACTTTTGTGAAAAATAAGTTGTCCTTATATGCATGAGTTTATTTCTGAACTTTGTACAGGTCCCACAAATCTATTTGTCAATTTTGAGGTTAATAATATGCTATCTTGATTACTGCAGCTTTACAAGTTTTGAAAACTGGTAGTACTAGTCCTCCAACTTTGTTCTTTTTAAAGGTTGCTTTGCTGTTCTAAGTCTCCCCCATTTTCCTATGAACTTGAGAATCAGCTTGTTAATTTCTATAAAAGCCTGCTGCAGTTTGATTGAGACTGCCTTGAATCTGTAAATTAACTTGGGAAAGGATTGAAATCTTGACAATATTGACTCTTCCAATACATAAACACTGTTAAGAATTTAAAAAATAATTTTTGGATTTTTTTGCACCTATGCTCCTGAAGGATATTGTAATATAGTTTATTTTCTTGTAATGTCATTGTGTGGTTATGGTATCAGAGTAACTTTGTTATAGCACAATTTGCGATGAAGTTCCATTTATATTCTGAAGGAGTTTGTATAGAATTGGTATTATATCTTTCTTAAATGTTTGCATGAATCTACCAGTGAAGCCATCCAGGCCTATAATTTTCTTATTTGGAAGCCTTGTAATTAAAATTCTAATCTCTTTTATAGGTATAGGTCTATGCAAGGTATCTATTTTTCCTTGAATGAACTTATTATTATTTTAATTTCTCTTTTATTTCTGATATGATAATTTGTGTCTTCTTCTTTTTCCTGATCGGTTTGGCTAGATGTTTATAAATATTGTTGATCTTCAGAATAAACCAACTTTAGGTTTTATTGATTTTACCTATTGTTTTTCCATTTAAAAAATTGATTTCTGCTCAAGCCTTTATTATTTCTTTTCTTTTGCTTTGGGTTTAATTTGATCTTTTAGTTTCTTAAAGCAGGAGCTGAGTTCATTTATTTGGTTTTTGTTCTTTTTAAATATAGGTGTTTAGTGCTATAAAGTTTTCCCTTGTTATTGGTTGAGATCAAGATTTCTCGATAGAGGTACTATTGACATTTTGGGGCTAGATACTGCTTTATTATGGGGAGCTATCCTGTGCATTGTAGGAGGTTTAGCAGAATCTCTGATTCCTTCCTACTAGATGCCAGTAGCATCTCTCCTCTTCCCCACCATTATGACAATCAAAATGTCTATAGACATTACTAAATGTCCCCTGAAAGCAAGTGGGCAAAATTACCCAAGCCGAGAATCACTGATTTAGGTGCATCTCATGAATGTTGGTATATTGTGTTTTCATTTATGTTTAGCTCAAAATACTTTATAATTTCTGCCTTTGATTTTTTTCTTGATCCATGGGCTTATTTACAAACATTTGAGTACTTTTCCAGAGATCTTCCTGTTCTGTTATTAGTTTTTTTATTTAAGTCATTGTGCCCAGAGAAAGTATTTTTTCTGACCTAAATCTTTTTAACTTTATCAAAGGTTAGGCCCAAAATATGGTCTATTGTAGTAAATATTCCTTGTGCACTTGAAAATAAAGTGTATTCTGTTGCTGTTAGGTGGAATATCATATAGACGTCAAATAGGTCAAGTTGGTTGGTAGTGTTATTCAAGTCTTCTATATACTTATGTTGTCTATAGTTCTAGTAGCTATTGAGAAAGTGGTGTTGACGTCTCAAACAATAATTATAGATATGTCTATTTCTCCTAACAATTTTATCAATCTTTTTTCATGTATACAAAGCTCTGTTATTAGGGATACAAAAACTTAGGATTGTTATGTTCTCTGGGTAGATTGAGCTTTTTACAATTGTGAAATGACTCTATCCATGTTAATATTTGCTCTGAAACATATTCTGCCTGATACTAGCATAGCCATGCCCATCTCTTTGGATTAGTGTACGCATGGTATATCTTTTCCTATCCTTTTACTTTTAACCTACTCTGTCTTTATTTTTGAAGTGTTTCTCACAGAAAACATACAGATAGGTTTTGCTTTTTTTTTTATCAAACCTGTCAATCTTCACATTTTAATGGGTATTTACATAAATCCAATTTAATAAGATTATTAATATGGTTGGGTTTAAATGTATGATCTTATTTTATCTTTGGTTTATCTGTTCTTTGTTTCCATTTTATCCCTTTCTTATCTTCCTTTGGATAAATCATAAATTTCTATAATTTGAGTTTATCTACTTTTTGACTTATTAGCTATAATTCTTTTTGTATTACTTTACTGGTTGGTTTAAGGTTTATAGTATACATCTTTATCTTATCACAGTCCTTTTTTCTGATAACATCATACTACTTCATGTATAGTATAAGAAACTTATAGTAGCAGTATACTTTCATTTTTCTTTTCCCATCCTTGTGTTACATATTTTATTTGTACATATTTTATTACCAGTACATTGTAATTATTTTTGTTTAAATAGTCTATTACTCTTTAAGGACATGTAAATAATAAGGAAACAATCTTATAGATTTCCCTGCATAGGTACCATTTCCAGTGCTCTTCGTATCTTTGTGTAGACCCACATTTCCATCTGCTGTAATTTTAATTCTTCCTAAAGGACTTTCTTGAATATTTATTAAAGTTTAAGTAGTTGTAGATAAATTCTTTAAATTTTTATGTGTTAAAAAGTCTTTATTTTGTCTTCATTTTCAAATATATTTTATCTGGGTATAAAATTTGGCTGGTAGTATTTTTCTTTCAGTACTTTAAAGATTTCACTCCATTTATTTCTCACTTAATTGTTTCTAATGAGAAATCTACCATTATGCTGATTCTTGTTGTTTTGTACCTAACATGTCTCACTTCTCAGGCTGCTTTTAGAATTTTCTATTTATCATTGGTTTTGAGCAGTTTGCACATGATGTATTTTGGTGTGATTTTCTTCATATCTCTCAACATATACTTAGTATTTATTGAGATTATTGGATCCGTGCATTTATATTATATATTTCTTCAGATTTGGAAGAAAAACTTATCCATATTTCATCTTATATTTCTTCTCCTCCCTCCCATCTCCTTTGAGGACTCCAATTACATGACTATTAGGCTTCTTGAAATTGTTCCACAGAGCAGTGATGCTTTTTTCCTTTTCTAATCTGTTTCATTTCAGGAAGTTTCTATTACTATGTCTTTAAATTCAGTAATATTTTTTCAGCAATATCTAATCTGTTGTTTCTCCTATCTAGTTTAGTTTTCACTATGGGTATTATTGCTTCCATTTCCAAGGACTTTACTTGGGTCTTTTAAAAAGTATCTTTCATGTTTCTACTTAACTTTTCAACATATGGAATACAGTTATAATAAATGTTAGATGTTGTCTGCTAACTAAAACTTCTGACGGTTCTGGATCAGCTTCACTAAATTGATTTTTGTCTTTTGCATGGATTGCAACCTGCTTCTTTAGGTGTTAAGTAATTTTTGAATGGGCATCAGAAATGATAAACTTTACATTATTGGGTAGTGTATATTTTGTGTTGTGACATATATTCTTGAATTTAGTTCTGTGATACAGTTAAGTTAGTGCAAAACAGCTCATCCTGTTGAGACAGTTTTTGATTTGGCAGGTGGAACCTGAGCACACTAATTATTCACCTTCCTGAGGCAAGACTCTTTTTGAGTCCTCTAACAAATGCACTGGTATTTATGAAGTTTTCCAGGCTGGCTGGTGGAAACTAGCACTGTTCCCAGTCCTGTATGAGCACTGGCTGTTGTTCTCTCTAATCCTTTCAGGTGGTTCTTCCCTGGAACTGGGTAATTTCCTCACATACATGCACTAATGAGCATTCTACTTATCGCTTGAGGATGTATCCTCTGCAGGTCTTTGGGGTCCTCTCACTTTGTAGCTTTCTCTTTTCTGCTACTCTGCTTTGCAAAGTCTAGCCACCTTGGATTTTATGGACTCTCAGCTTATTCCCTCAATTCAGGGAGTTCACTTGACTCTGTCCATGTTTCCCCTCCTTAAGTTGCTGCCTGGAATTTCTCTGAAGGCAGTAAGCTGGAATCCACTGAGGCTTATCTTATTTGTTTCCCATTTGTCATGGATCACTGTTTTTTGTTGCCTGATGTCCAATGTCATGAAAATCTTGGTTTTATTTATTTTCTCTGGTTTTTCCCCCCATTTCAAGTAGGATGGTAAATCTGTTTTCCATTAGTCCATTTTTGGAAGAAGTGGAAGTTTCTCATTTCTGTTCATTTTAGAAATTGATTGTAATGGCTATCATATCTTTTAAAATATCCTCAAATATTTAGAGAACTAAATAAATGAAGTACAGAGTTGTCTATGCTTATTGTATTATGATACTGATTTTTATATTCCACCCATCAATTACACAAAGGTTTTCGTTAAAATTCAGTTATTGTATTTCTATTTTCCCTGATGTTGATCACTCTTGAAAATAAGTAGTAATATGTTGTATTTCTATTTTTAAAAATATTCAAAATCCATCAAAACTATTTGGGATATTTTTGATATAGGTTAAATAATAAATTTATGGCTGTATTTTTAAGCATGCAGATATGAGAGTTTTCGTAAGTGACATGATTTTCAGCAACAAAATCACATAGTGATCCAAACATTAGCTGATAGCAGTTCTCAAATATATTTTGCATGACAAGTCCCTTTAAAAACAGGTAGGTTCTGATTTGCATTTCTCTGATGGCCAGTGATGATGAGCATTTTTTCATGTGTTTTTTGGCTGCATAAATGTCTTCTTTTGAGAAGTGTCTGTTCATGTCCTTCACCCACTTTTTGATGGGGTTGTTTGTTTTTTTCTTGTAAATTTGTTTGAGTTCATTGTAGATTCTGGATATTAGCCCTTTGTCAGATGAGTAGGTTGCGAAAATTTTCTCCCAATTTGCAGGTTGCCTGTTCACTCTGATGGTAGTTTCTTTTGCTGTGCAGAAGCTCTTTAGTTTAATTAGATCCCATTTGTCAGTTTTGTCTTTTGTTGCCATTGCTTTTGGTGTTTTGGACATGAAGTCCTTGCCCATGCCTATGTCCTGAATGGTAATGCCTAGGTTTTCTTCTAGGGTTTTTATGGTTTTAGGTCTAACGTTTAAATCTTTAATCCATCTTGAATTGATTTTTGTATAAGGTGTAAGGAAGGGATCCAGTTTCAGCTTTCTACATACCATCTCACACCAGTTAGAATGGCAATCATTAAAAAAGTCAGGAAACAACAGGTGCTGGAGAGGATGTGGAGAAATAGGAACACTTTTACACTGTTGGTGGGACTGTAAACTAGTTCAACCATTGTGGAAGTCAGTGTGGCGATTCCTCAGGGATCTAGAACTAGAAATACCATTTGACCCAGCCATCCCATTACTGGGTATATACCCAAATGACTATAAATCATGCTGCTATAAAGACACATGCACACGTATGTTTGTTGCGGCATTATTCACAATAGCAAAGACTTGGAACCAACCCAGATGTCCAACAATGATAGACTGGATTAAGAAAATGTGGCACATATACACCATGGAATACTATGCAGCCATAAAAAATGATGAGTTCATGTCCTTTGTAGGGACATGGATGAAATTGGAAATCATCGTTCTCAGTAAACTATCGCAAGAACAAAAAACCAAACACTGCATATTCTCACTCATAGGTGGGAATTGAACAATGAGATCACATGGACACAGGAAGGGGAATATCACACTCTGGGGACTGTGGTGGGGTGGGGGGAGGGGGGAGGGATAGCATTGGGAGATATACCTAATGCTAGATGACGAGTTAGTGGGTGCAGCGCACCAGCATGGCACATGTATACATATGTAACTAACCTGCACAATGTGCACATGTACCCTAAAACTTAAAGTATAATAAAAAAAAAACAAAAAAAAAACAGGTAGGTTCTCACTCTTTGTTAAAAAAAACTCACCTTTACCTTGAAGGAATAGATTATATATTTATTTTGAGAAATATATCTTCTGGGTAGCACATTACTGAAAATCACTAGTTCTCCCTGAACAGGTCAGCAAATTGGGCTTAATGCAGCTTGAAACATCACTGGAAAAAAATTGTAAATGTTTGTGTGCGTTCTCTGGATGCTCAGATCCCAAACGTCTCACTAATCATGATGGCTCCACATTATCATTTGCAAACATTTCAAAGCAGCAAACACACCTAGCATGAGATTCAAACAGCCTGGATAATTTCAAATCATTTTGGCTTACTTCCTGTCTTATCTAATTACATCCTCATTGTTTTCAACCTTTTGATGTGCTTATAAAGAGATCAAATTAGAAATGGAAGTTTCTGCCAATTTTTCTTTGTCTGTGAATTATTGGTATTATGTTTAGTCCATGTTTTTTGCAAGATGGCATGAAGTCTATGGCATGAAGCCAGCACTGACCCCTCCTCTATACTTAGAATTTCTGCCTTTCTCCCAGCATGCCTTGGTGACCATATGTGACACTTGCTTCTTTTCCATATGAATACATTAGGACACCAGTATAAATCCATATATGATGTGTTAGAAAAGCTTACTTTCTTATTTTTTAAATTTAAAATATATAATTAAAAGTTCTTATATTTTGGTCCACATTCCACCATGGAGAGAGGATTGGCTTGGCTTTAAGGTATAATGTCTCTTGTTGATACACTCAGCTAAATTAGAGAGCTACAAGAAAGGACAGAATTAGACTCCTAAGGCTATAGCTATTGAGTAATGGAAGCAGACAGATCACTCAGGCAACTACTGTCACAATAACGAGCCTTTAAGAAGAAAACCTTCTGAGAATGAAGGGACATATAGGGATTGCACTTAAAAAAATTAAACTCATGTAACTACTACTGGAATATATAACCAAATCTCTTGTAAAAGAAAACTCCTTGCCAGTTAAAGAATAAGACCAAATTGATGTACTTTCCTGCATCAGAGAAATCCTATACCCAGTACCAGGAAATTCTATGCACAGATATATTAATCGATACATTAATGGAGCTGAAGTTCTGCTGTCAGCAGATCTTGTCATTCAATGAAGCATGTCCAGGTGGATAAAAACATGAAGAATTACTTTCTAAAGAACAGGTTTTAGTTTTGGAAAGAATTTTATGACAGTTAAGTAGGTTTTTTTAATACCAAGCTTGCACTCATTTCCCTGATTTAGAGGTGCAATGTTTCTGTAGTGTCTAATTTTAAACTTGTCCTGTCAGGTTTGAAATGTATGATTTTGGCAACCTTTGCAACTGTGCAAAGCATGTATTTCAAGATACTGTGGTCTTTAGGCTTCTACTTCCTCAGTACTAGATTGTTCCCAAAAGAATGTATGAAGGATGAATGGATCAGAAAAGACATTACGCTGGAGATGAGAATCAAAATCCTGACTCTAAAGTATTTTGTTGACAGTTGGCTTTTTACCTTCCACATTGAAATACTCTTTGTGAGGGTCATGCGGTTTAACTCATTGCTACAACTTGGAGGAAAATGTGCAATGTCAAGCATTCCTGTATGGTCCAAAACCTGCCATAATGGCTGCCAATGGCTCTTCCTTTTCTGAAAGGAGTATCTGAGTTTCATGATGTCAGATAATCATCCTTGCAATAGGAAATTCAAGTTTCTGGAAGCTCCTCTTTCCTTGCAAGTCACTGTCAATTCAATCATTGAGTAAAGTGTTCCTGTGTGACAGGAGCAGATTAGCAGATGATCCCAGAAAAATCTAAGCACTGAAGATAGAATGCTAAGGATTTTTTAATTATTTCTTTATTTTAAAAAATTGATACTTCTTTCCTCTTTTTACGTCATGTTTCACTCATCCCCCTTAGAACTATTGGCAAGATCATGGGCTAAGAGAAAATTTAAAAGTATTTATTGAATTTAGAAACATCAGCAAGAATTTATTCTACCTTCAATATGAGATAGCTCTGTAGCAGTACTATAAAGTAGAATAACAGATTTTACAAACCATGCTTTTCATTTTATGATGTTTTTAAAGATGTGGTTCATGTACATATAATTCATGGTGAAAGATGGAATAATTTTAAGTTATACATAGATTAATGCCCATATGTAAATGTATATACACACATTATTTCACTGTGTAATTGGTAAATCTCATTAGTGCCTCAAAATCAGGGTTGCAGAATTATGATTTTTTTAGGGTAAGGCTAGTTTTTTGAAAAAGGAGTTAGTTTGAAAACTACTTACAAACAACTGTTAGGTAAATAGCTGTATAAGCAATATGCAAATATGGGAAAATAATGTAGGCAGTGTGTATGAATAGCTGAGATTGGGGAAACTGCATTGTATTGCTCTGGTGGCGTGTGTTTACTATAAGGTCTTTGCTGACAAGGATTTTACATGCTGTTTTAGGCCAGGGTTCTGAGAAGCAGAGCCTGAGGCAGGGATTTTTGTCCAGGTGAATTACTGAGGGAACACTTTCAGGACAAAGCTATAGGGGAGGAAGGGAAGCAAGATAGGGCAAGATAAGCTAGGTAAATCAAGGTTTTAGGAGAATATTAGCTTCAGACTGATCCCCCAAGGAATTTTGATGTTTAAATGCAATAAAAAGTTTGCGTTGCCCATGGGTGAGGTGGCTGAACTGTTGTAACCTCACTTCAGTCTGCCACAGGCCATAGGACACTTGTGGGATTAGTACAATTTTTCCAGTCATGTCCTGGTAAGGTGGCAATCCTCTGGAACAGTCACAGCGACTGGTTGATGAGTGCACTGGCCTGGTAAGGGAATCTGGACAGGACACCAGGAGTGTCTGCAATGCAATTTTAGGAGAAAAAAAATACTCAAAAGAATAGTAAACACCCCAAATACACTGAGATCGCCAACTGTTAGCTCTTAATTCAGGAGGACTTTGGAGCCAACTAGCAACAATGATATGTCATTTGTGGGAATTCCTGGCAGCAATCCTTAGGGTCATCTTAACCCTCTCCATGATGTTTTCACGTTTTCTATGCCAGCCTTCCTGGGCCTGATGCATCAGGTGACATTCACTGTGTAGTAACCTGCTGGAGGTCGGAGACTGGCCTTATCTGATGGATACCTGCCCTGGGTGTTCCATGTATGTGGTCCTACTAGCTTTATGCACTCTCAATTCCATAGAGCCATCACAAAAAAGAAATATTTCCTCTTCCTTAGATAGTATATCAGACAGAGATTAAATGTACATAATCAGTTAGTTGTGGCAGGCACTTAGAGGAGAGAAAGATTAGGTTTCAATTTGTGGGAGACATGGCTTCCGGCAATGGCTGGCCCACTACAGGGCATGCCAATTCATTGCAGTTGACCACATATTTCCGCCTAATATCTTGTGAACACAAACCGGATGCATCTGATTAAGTGCTCCCAGCTCTGGCTGTAATAAGTGGCTCGCTGGCAGTGTGCCTCCTTCCAGCTATTCTGGGAGCTGGGCTTGGAGCTGCTGAGATTTGGCATGCGCACCTCAGAGGCTTCCTCAGCTGGGCCAGGTGCCTGGCAGCACTCCTCTTCATTATTTTATTCTGTCTCCTTGTAGCTTCTCCCCACAACCCCACTTTTCCCTCTAAGCCATGCCTTGCTCAGCAGACCTTGCCTCGCTTTGTTCCCCATGGACTCTACATATCTTCTTTTGGCCTGGCTGCCTGATTTGGAGCAGTGCAGAGAGCCCCAAGCCAGGATCAGCTGGAGCGCCACTTGCAGTGAGCACGTTTATTAAATTTGGTCAACGACAGCCAGTTCAGGTCCCTGGCAAGCAAGCCTGTACAAAGTATTTCCTGTTGGAGATGATGATAGATGGTTTAGTGATTAACAACACAGACTCTAGAGCCAGACTCACGCATTTTGGCAATGTCACTTATTGGCTATGTTGCCTTGAGCAATTTACTGACTTTCCCATGACTCAGAAAGATCATCTATAAAATGGGAATAATAATAGTATCTCCTTCATAGGGTTGCTATGAGGATTAAATGAGTTGTTGCATATAAATGAGTATGAATAGGTCCTGGCACATAGAAAAATGCTGATGAAATATTAGCAACTTTTATTAGCATTATTTATATAGCTAATGTAATTTTTATTATTTAAGTATCTCACTTCTTCTAAGCAACTGAAGGTCTCTAATATTGTAGCTGAGGAATTCTCATTATAACTCTGTGTTATTATGTTCTATCTTGTCAATAACAAAATTGCAGCACAAAGAAATTGACCTTGTCTCACATTAAAGTACTAATTTTATTCAGTAATTTAAAAAAATGAGTTTGACTTATTTCTAATAAGTTGGAAAGATACACAAAATATATAATTGAGGAGCAACTGAAAATCAGAAAACAATATGCATGATATGATCATATGATTCCATTTCATGTTAAAAACATTTCTATATGTAATAATGTATGCGGTTATAGTCATATAGACATTATAATGTGGAGAAAATTATTAATCTTTATGATAACTGGCACAGAAATTATTTTTAGGAAGGGATCATCTTTGCTGAAAAGAAGCTTTGAAAAGACCCTTGTACATCAGAAAAGTGCCTCAGCCTGAGGGCTGAAGTTCAAGGGGAAGGAGGCAGAGGCTCAGTATTATAAAGGAGGGCAGTGGGCAGGTTCAAGGCTCGGTGCAGTGTTAGGGAAGGTCAAAGAGAAGCAAATTCCCAACTGGTGGTGGTGGTGAAGGAAGACTTAGAAAAGAATTGCCATAGGGTGAAGAAGACTTCAGCAAATTCTGCATCACTCCTAATGCTCTGTGGAGTGAATTTCCTTTGTGTAGAGTGTAGAAAAATGCTACCATCAGCTTCCAGGTTGGAAAGGGGAAAAGATGGGGTTCATCTGGAGATGGCCAGCATCTGAGTTACAGGTACAGGTACATGGACATGCATATATGAGGATATACACACACAGAGGCACAGACACACACACACATACACAGACACAGACACACACACACGGACACACACACACACGCATCAGTCAAAACTAGGAGACCACAACCCAGCCTGCTGTGTGGTTACATGAACAGGAGTATGGGATTGTACTGTGTAAAGAGGGTTCATAGTTTAAACTCTCTGTCTCTCTCTCTTTCTCCTTATCATGAGGAGCATGTATATATGTTTATATAAAAAGGCAAACAGTGTGTTTCCATGCCTCTTGGTGGAATGCAGCATAGGGCCTCTATCAATCTAGCTCAGGATTTCTGAGGCCAGGAATCCATCACCGTTGCCTTTACTGCAGGTATGAGTGCCGGGGAGGAGCTGGGCTTCTGGGATCAAAGTGTGTCTGTTTAGCTATTCAGCACGGAGGGCCCTGCTCTCCGTATATTTTTTGCTAACTTTCTTAAATGGTCCAACAGGGAAGAAGAACAACTGACATTATATAATGAACAATTCTATTCCAGGCACACTCCCTTATGTTTTCACCTTTATCATCCTTATTAGCTCCCCTAGTTAGTTATTGCAGGATCCATTTTACAGATGAAGGAATTGAAGCTTAGAAAGATTTAGCTAATCGCTCAAGGTCATACAACGAGCCAGTCCTGAAATCTCTGATGAAACTCAAGTACTTTTTGTTGTTGTTTCTAATTCCAGTCCCAACTTCCTCCCACCAAATGGGGTCCCAACCTTCCTACGAATAAATGTTCAACCCCCAACTCCCCAGGAGCACCCAGTTTCTAACTTTTTATCTGATCTCATGGCCCCCTATTACTCCTTGTTGATAACCCCTGCAGGGCGCCCTCTTCATTCTTCACATGGTTTGTAATTCTGCCAATTCCTTTTCCAATCGCTCTGTAGTTTTCTTTTGTTTTAGTCTAGTTATCATATGGAATTTTTCTTTTTCTCAGTCTTTTCAAGAAATGTTCTAATGGACTGGCTCTTTCAGGGTAGAATATTTTTTCCCCTTTTTCCATTCCTTGAGACACAATTGCTTAATAAATACCGGATGGACAAATGAATGAACGAATGAATGGATATGTTAGAGCTGTATCACAGTCTGGGGTTTTCTGACAGGCTGTACCCTACTGGACACTTCTTTGTCCCTCTTTTTTTTTTTTTAACTCAAAGTGAAAACATTCTCTTTTCCCCCACAACCTTTTCCTTTATTTCCACCTTCAAAGTTTGCTTCCCTTCCTTTCTCCGCACGTGGTCCTGTGGAACTCCCAGAAGCTGTGTGTCCACAGTAGCAGCAAGACTTGCTCCTTCTGAGAAAGGCTTAGCAAAGGAAAACAGAGTCCAGGTGGTTCCCAGGCCTCATCCAGTGAGATAGATGAGAGGCCCATTAACAAAACTAGAACCTTTTCCATAGCTTTAGCATTTGTGGATGCCAGTTATATTATGTGAATCGCTGACTCTTGGTATTTTAAAACTATAAAACATAAGTCCTTGAACCATATTCGTATTTCATTTATGAGAGTATGAAGTCTCTTGAGAAGAGAGTGTCACGCTTAAATCACTACCATCCATTAATCCTGATGGGAAGAGGAGGCCATTATCTGTGGGAATGTGCCGAAATCCTGCCATCTTGTGGCCAACTGAAATATGACATTTGTTAGTTTTTAAAATTCTGACACTGAGCGAAGAACCGCCAAGTTGCCAGGAATTCCTTGCTTTAGAATCAGTCTTCTTCATGCACTGGGGAAAAACTGACCTTCCTTCCAGCTCATCTCTTTGGTGCTTAGCATCTTCTCTTCTGGAAAAAAAAAATTTTCATTTTTTCCCAAAAGTTATTTCATCCGGTGGAAGGTTGGATTGTTAATCCATGCAGCCAAATGACTGCTACTAGAAAGGATGTGCTAGGTTTTCTATTGGATATTTTGATGTCTTTGAATTTTAGGAAGCAAAACCAATCAATCAATATCTCACGTGTGCTTTCCTTCACTTTTCTCCCGTTGCCTGACTGCGCAGATATCAGTCAGGATCCCAACAAGCCTTTAGTAGACATGAGGGTAAATGAAAGAAAAATAGGCCAGGTGTGTAATCCTAGCAATTTGGGAGGCTGAGGCAGGTGGATCACTTGAGGTCAGGAGTTCAAGACCGAACAGCCTGGCCAACGTGGTGAAACCCTGTCTGTACTAAAAATACAAAAATTGGCTGGGTGTAGTCCCAGCTACTCAGAAGGCTGAGGTAGGAGAATCGCTTGAACCCAGGAGAGGGAGGTTGCAGTGAGCTGAGATTGTACTACTGCACTCCAGCGTGAGTGACAGAGTGAGATCCTGTCAAAAAAAAAAAAAAAAAAAAAAAGGAAAATAAGTGATAAGATGGTGATTCCTCCATGAGACTGTGAAAGACCTATATGAAACTCCACTAGGATCTCAGTAGATGTGAAAGGCAGGCTTAATGAGGATCTCACTGACTACTTTAATTACATTTATCCTAGTAATGCCCAAAGAAGGAGGAGGAATCTGAAAAGCCACTGCCACACACAGGTCCTGCAAATGTAGAAACTGAAGTCATGTGGGAACTACTGATTTAAGGTCCCTGCCATTACACAGATAGTACAGAGACCCTGTAAAAACAATGGGTTTGGTACACATTTATCATAATTTGATTAGAAATTTTGGTCACCGACACTGCTGTCCTAAAAGTTCAGTTATTATTAATTTTTAAATATTGCAGTTGAATAAAAATGAGCTTTTTGTTCTGCTAGTTTTTAAAGCAACCCTAAGCACAGTCAGAGGAATACAAGTATTTCTAGATGTTTCAAATTATTAACAATTATTCATTCCTTCTTTCTATGCTAATAAAAACCAAACTCCTAAGGGCAATCATAGAGACTATGAATTGTTCTGGGGAAACTCGTTGTCTTTTTTGCAGTCATGACACTCAGAGGTAAAGTAAAATAGGATGTGGGTGAAATGTTTTCTGTGTGCAGGATCATTTTTAATGGTAAGGAGTAGGACTGCTGGTACAGGTTGTACTTTGTAGTAATGACTCATTCTTATAAATCATAGTTCTGTAAACACTTGAGTTGATGTGAAACTTTTCATAAAGCAAGTTTTATGAAATTAGAAGGCGTATGCCTTGGTTACTTCTGAAATAAAGTCCTGAGGCTCCTATGTCATGAGCCCTGGTGTGCTGATGTAGATTCCTGGGCCTCTGCCAGTCCTATCAGATCAGACAATCTGGAAATGTGGCCCTGGACTGCGTTTTTGACAGTCAGGTCAGGTGATTCTTGTGCGCACCAATATTTGAAAACCATT
Source organism: Homo sapiens (assembly GCF_000001405.40). Taxonomy (NCBI): domain Eukaryota; kingdom Metazoa; phylum Chordata; class Mammalia; order Primates; family Hominidae; genus Homo; species Homo sapiens. The sequence continues at coordinate 15,274,594 of NC_000012.12, read as the reverse complement.
GTTCTGGAGTTCTCAACTTAGCAGAGATCTTTTAAAAATGACGCCTAGTTCCACCCCCGTGAGGTTCTGAATTAATTGGTCTGGTGTGTGGTGTGGGCATCTGGAATTTTAAAAGCTCCTCAGGTGATGGTAATGTGCAACCAAGTTTAACAACCAGTGCTCTAGGACAGGGATTGGCATTTCTTTCTTTTTTTTTTTTTAAAACAAAAGGGCTAGATAGTAGATTTTTTGGCTTTGTATGTAGGCTTTGCAGTTCCTGCAAAGAGAAAAGGAGAATGTTTCCACCAGTGAATACACACCTTCCCCAGGAACAAGCATGGAATTTGAACACAAAAATTTAACTTAAATTTTTTTTGCACAAATATGAAAAAAATTCTCTGCCTCCACATTAAAAGTTCACTGTTGTGAAGGTCAGTGATTTATGGCGCACACCCTGTTCTTCAGCTGTTTGGATTAGAAACTGGACTACACAACACCCTTTTCAGTTTCAGTTCACTTTAACCTAGGTCAAAGCTGTGTGGTGACTCCCGGCAGATTAAAGTTTGAGGGACTAATGTGTGGGTTCCCAAGTAAGTGCCCAGAGACTGTGGAGATTTAGATGGGGCCCATCTTACAACTGCTTTCACTTTCACACAATGGGAGATGAGAAATTAAATACGCTTTCATCAAAATGGACTAAATTTGACCCTCCCCACACCATTGCTTTGAATTGGGTTAAATCACTTATCATCTCTGAGACTCAGTTTCCTCAAATGTGAAACAATAACATGTCTCAGGATCTTTGGGAGCATTCCAGGGGATCAAGAAGATACAGGGCTGAGTTCATGGTTCACATCGATAAATATTGGCTTCCTTCCTCGGCCTCCGTTAGTTTTTCAGAGAAATGAAACTTTGTTTCCTGGTGCGTGCCTAGTGATAAATATATTCTTTATACAAATTTTTAAATTCTGCAATGCTGTAAAGAGACCATCATGCCCACAAGTAACCAGCTTTAGTGAATGAGCTGACTTAACAGGCACAACCTGAACACAGTCTTATGTTTTTCTTCCAACTACTACCTTCGGGTTTGCTCTGTCTTATTTGTCTTCATCCCTTAATGTATCTTGGTGATTCCACAGTTTTCCAGTCCCTTTTAGGTATTATAAGAATATTACGGCCGGGCGCGGTGGCTCACACCTGTAATCCCAACACTTTGGGAGGCCGAGGTGGGTGGATCACGAGGTCAGGAGATCGAGACCATCCTGGCTAACACAGTGAAACCCCGTCTCTACTAAAAATACAAAAAATTAGCGGGGCGTGGTGGCGGGCGCCTGTAGTCCCAGCTACTCGGGAGGCTGAGGCAGGAGAATGGCGTGAACCCGAGAGGCGGAGCTTGCAGTGAGCCAAGATCACGACACTGCACTCCAGCCTGAGTGACAGAGCGAGACTCCGTCTCAAAAAAAAAAAAATATATATATATATATATATTTTTTATATATATAACTAGTTATATATATAGTAGTTATATATTACTATATAAAATTACTAGTTATATGTAATATATACATATATTTTATATATATGCGTTTATATGTATATATATATTTTATGTATATATAAAATTAGTAATTTTTAGGTATTAAAATGCCTCGTCAAATAAAAATAAGACTTTTATCTCCCCTTTAGTTCAAAGCTTTTCTCCTTCTCTCAGCTTAGCCCTACTCATGGCCTGGGGACATGGAGTGGGGAAGGGAATGTGATCAGGGCCACACCTAGCACAAAGGACACCTGAGGATCTTCGGCTCCCAGTTAGGTGGGACAAGAGGGGAATTGGCTGGATTTCAGCAGCTGCTTGGGCCCCCTCACCAGACTCCTTTGTACAGGATGGATGCAGCTGAACGGGATGATGTTTCTGGAAGCTTTTGCTTGTTATTTGTGCCAGCTTTTTCACTTCTATTTCCCCGAATTTTATTTTGCTTCTGTTTCCAGACTGTCCAATAAGAGGCTTGTAGTCTTCTGAACATGGTGATTGGTTTAGGGACTAGTCACATGATTCCGTTAGGGCCAATCAGAACTAATTCTGGGATTTATATTGAAGCACCTTTAAAGATATACTCCTTTTTTTTTTTTCTCCTGCTGTGGTTGCTCAGAAGATGAAGCTACTGCCAATCATTTTGCTACCACAAACAGATACCCTGAAAATAAGATCAGCGCAAATAAAAAGCAGAACTAAGAGAGGAAGAGAGTCTTGACAATATCATATCAATACTCAGATTTATACATGTAGAAGCTAAGCCTCCTTATACTTCCTGATAATATTAGTTCTGGTTAGCACAACTTTCATGGTAGCATTCACTATCATGGAATGGTATTTTATATGGTAAATGTTTGTGTAGATGAGTGTTATATATACTCATCTAATCCTGACAACCACTCTGTTAGGTGTGTATTAATATCTTCCATTCTATAGATGAGAAATGGAGTAATAAGGAGGACACCAAAGTTTGTTCCAAGTCACATAGGTAGTAAGTAGCAGAGCCACGATGAAAACAGAAGTCTCAAGCTATGCTCCTGACCTGACATCATATTGGAGGATTTAACTTGGCTCTACCAATGTTGTTTTGAGTGCACACAGACACAGGACTTAGGAGAGAGATCAGAACTCAATGCAGAGCTGAAGCACTGAGAAAGCTAAAAGCAAAGTCACTCTGGGATAACAGGCAAAGTAAGAACTTGGCATTTTTCAGGTCTATTGGAGAAGGCGAAACCTTATAAAAGTATTGATGACAAAATCTAGAAGCAATTACAATTTTACATACTGAGAATCTTTTACAAATCGTGATAAAGGTTTTGGTACAAGAAAATGGGGTTGCAACACGAACTGGATCAGAACAGCATAGAAAATCTGGAGAAAATTCAATATCACTTTTAAAGCACAGGAAAAAACCCAAATGCAGATTGGCCAGTAACTAACTGAGACATTTTGTCTGCTATCTTATATTTTTACTTGTTCCGGATTTTATATATATATGTGTGCGTGTGTGTGTGTGTGCAGACACATATGTACACACACGTCTGTATAAAATATATATGTGAAAAAAATGCATATATGTATATATGTATAAATATATATATGTTCACACACACACATATATATAGAAAGAGTGAGGTTATGAAGTAAATTGCTCATATATACTATATATTGTATATGAACAATTTGTATATGTATATATACTAAATAAATGACTATAACTCTTATTCCATAATAGGGGTTTGATCTTTGGTCTTTCTCAATATATCACTAACTGGATGTTAGGAAATCCCAAGTTAATGAAATCCTTCTGGTATTGCTATCAAAAGACTGGATTGTTTATTCCTTGCCTGACTTTTGCAGCCTAATTTAAATACTTAATATAAACAATATTGACAGCTAATGGAATGCAATTTCAACAGTTTCTATCATTCTTTAGTAGAAGGGTGTAGGAATGAATTAATTTCCTATCACTGCCACAACGCATTACCACACATCTAGTGGCAAAGAAACAACACAGATGTATTAACTTGCAGTTCTCTAGATTAGGAGTTTGACATGGGTCTCACTGGGTGATATGGTTTGGATCTGTGTCCTCATCAATATCTCATGTTCGATTGCAATCTCCAGTGTTGGAGGTGGAGCCTGGTGGGAGGTGATTGGATCATGGGGGCAGTTTCTCATGAATGGGTTGGTACCATCCCCTCCATGAACCTCCCTGCAACTCTCTTCCTCCTGCTCTAGCCATGTGAGACATGCCTGCTTCCCCTTCGCCTTCCACCATCATTGTTAGTTTCCTGAGACCTCCCCAGAAGTGGAGCAGATGCTGTTACGCTTCCTGTACAGCCTGCAGAAACATGAGCCACTTAAACCTCTTGTTTTCATAAATTACCTAGTCTCAGGCATTTCTTTATAGCAGTGCAATAACGGACTAACATATTGGGCTAAAATCAAAGTGCCCTCAGGGCAGTGTTTCTTTCTGAGAATTATTAGGAAGAATCTGTTTTCTGGCCTTTTCCAGTTTTTAGAGGCTGCCCTCTTCACTCCTGGCCCTCTTTCTCCATCTGCAAAGCCAGCAAAGTCAGGCTGAGCTTCTTCTCATGCTACCACCTCTGGTGCTCTCTCCTGATTCTCTCTTCCACTTTTAAAGATCCTCATGATTACATTGGGCCCACCTCAATAAGCCAGGCTAAACTTTCTATTTTAAGGTCAGCTGATTAGCAACTATAATTTTATCAGCAACCTTAGCCTGACTTTGCTATGTGATATAGCATATTCACACATTCTAGGGGTTAGAATGAGGAAACAAAACATCATAGGTGTTTTTACATTCTGTATTTGCATGAGCTTCAAATACATGAAAATTATGCAGATCAGCTTCTTTATTGTGAATCTAGTTAATATTGTTTACATTTTTAAAAGACTAGTATATAAGATTCCTTAAAATGGTACATTTGATATCAGGTATCCTGGGATCAAATAAAATATTTCTATTATTTTTTATTCATTATTATTTCTATTATTCTACTACTATTATTATTACCTATTATTTCTACCTCAACTCATCCAGTATTAATTATCTTTTAAAAAAATTATAATTTCTTTTAATGAGTTGAACATTGTGATTCATTAATGATATGTTTATTTAACAGTAGGACATGTTTGTGGAAGATGATGTTTGTGTATGTAGTACTTGAATAAATTTTCTCACATGACACATAACATTTGATAAATTAGGAAATAGAATACAGTAGAAAAGATGACTAAATGATGTTATTTTGTAAAAATCGTAGACTTGACCGTTTTCTTTTATAAGCGTCTAATCATTCTCATGCAAAAGAAGAGAAATTCCATTATCCTATCTCTTATTCTAGCTAGAAAGTATACAACAGTGTGACTTCCAGCATAAAACAGATGAAGAAAATAATTGTTGACCAAATACACAAAGATGAAAGGAACATTAAATCTATAAAATCAATTTATTTGTACATTATGCTCAATATTCTTTTTTGCTCATCTATTTAATTCCATATGTATTCATTGAACACAAGGCAAGGCCCTCTTTAGTAATGAGGCACTATTGAGAAAACAGCTCCCAGGCAATAAAAGAGGTGGACATATATAAATGATGCTGATATGAACCAGCTGTGATAAATAGTATGACAGAAGTGGAAATCTTACTAGTGCACAAGCTGCATGAAGGCAGAGGTTTTACTAAACCCAAAGCTAAGAAATATACTCAATGATATGAATAGAATGTGCTATGGGAATATAAACAAGAAAACACAAAATGCCATGAGACAGCAGAGAGAAAAAAGGCTTAGACACCACGATTTTGGAAAGTTTCACACATTCAGAATTTAAGAAAAAATTGAGAATTGAAATGGGTTTCATGCTCCACCCTTGACTTCTAAAAATGTTATTATCCCTCTCTGACACTAGGTGGCACTACAGATGCAGGCATGGGCAGAAACACGTGAAAGATTTGTGCCTACCTACTTATGATGGGATTCTTCTGCCTCCTGCTGCACTTTGCCTGGGGTAGCCAGACTACAGGAAGACAAATGCTGAAAGGAATAATATCAGTGGGGATTTTGTTCAGGAACAGGAATTCTATCCCAAACTTGGATTTTAATCAATATTCCTTTGATTAAAGGTACAATTTTTAAATTAAAAATTTTCAAGACTTTAAGTTTGAATTATAAATCTTATTTTATTTTTACATTTAGTAACTTTGAAAAAATGCTTTTCTGAATTTGATATGTGAGATCAAATTCTTTTTCAAACAACACCATTTTATGTATTTAATAAAATTGCCTTGGATATGTTAAACTACAATGACAACTTTAATACATCTGTATTATCTCAAATGTTTAATTGACTAAGATATATACAGATTTTATTTTAAACACTCAAATACAGATCTAACAACATCTTGCTAAGTACTGAAATTGTAGAAATTGTAAATCAAGTAAATCAGACTTACAAACATAGTAGATCAAATTCTTCTAAGCATTTCCCAATGGCTTGAGGCCCAGACCACACACACAACACATCATGATTCCCTCCCTACTAACTAGACTAAACTGGAAATGATGCTATAGGCTCTTTTGTATGGTCACATTTTTTGTTTCCAGTGAACAGGGGCTTTCTAAAACTCAGTCTTTTCCTCTGAAATTAACTGCTTAATTTTATGTTTGCAATGCTGTGCCTTTCTCCTAGGTAACCTGTCCCTGACATTCAAAGGGGATTTTCCCAGCACTTTGGGAGGCCGAGGCGGGCGGATTGCCTGAGCTCAGGAGTTCGAGCCCAGCCTGGGCAACATGGTGATACTAAAATACAAAAAAAACCCAAAAAATTAGCAGGGTGTGGCACCTGTAATCCCAGCTACTCGGGAGGCTGAGGTAGGAGAATTGCTTGAACCCAGGAGGCGGAGATTGCGGTGAGCCGAGATCATGCCACTGCACTCCAGCCTGGGTGACATAGCAAGACTCTATCTCCATTAAAAAAAAAAAAAGGAGGGGGGTGATTTTCAGGTCCTGGTGCTTATAATCCCTTTTCTATAATTATTGTGTTATCTCTTCATATAGGCCTAGTGTGTGGTGATGGAATTTAGAACTCCTTCCTTAGGTTGGTTACATCCCTTTTTACTTTCATTGTATATGTGCCTCACTCATCCACACTTTACGGACGTTTAATTAATACAAGCCTATAACTTCCCTTTTATCCTAGAGCAAGGGAAGCAAAACTGTGTCTCAAATAGACTTCCCAGCACTGGACACCAGAGTCAAGAGGCACAGGTTTGAGCCTTTGATCAAAATGGTGCCAGACATCCAAGTCTCAGCAGTTGATCCTGAAATATGGTGAACTCTTCCAGCTTTGAACTCACTTCTGCTTTCACATGTTGTCTGCCCACCATGACCAAAAGTATCAGACATTTTTGTCTGGTACCAACAGCATCAGAGACTATCAGAGATCATATTCACTCAACCCTGTAATTCTACACAGAAGGGATCTGTGGTTTCTCTGTTGACCTGGTGGGCAGTGGTGGAGTTAGGACTAGAACTCAAGTATTATTTTCTTTCTCTGCAACTCCACTTGTATGAGATGCTGGTTTATAGGGACAACTTTTGTCTTATGTAGTTATAGAATATTAAAGAGTCATTTTGTCTAATCCACTTATTACGTAAAAGAAGAATCAATTGCCCCAAGAAGAATCAATTGGCATAGCTAGTGACCTTAGGGAATGACTTGATTTTGTGAGCTTTAATGATAGCTGCTATTTATTGAAAAAGTACCATGTACTAGAAATGTAACTGCTGTTTTCCATGTATAGCAATAATATTGTGAAAAAGGTATTATTGACTAATTAACAGATTAAGTAATTGAGACAAAAAGTTAGTTAACTTCTTTAAGGTAAGAAAAGAGATGAGGAGTCCAGGCGCGGTGCCTCCCACCTGTAATCTCAGCACTCTGGGAGGCTGAGGCGGGTGGATCATCTGAGGTCAGGAGTTCAAGACCAGCCTGGCTAACATGGTGAAACCCTCTCTCTACTAAAAATACAAAAATTAGTCAGGTGTGATGGTGCACAGCGCCTGTAATCCCAGCTACTCGGGAGGCCAAGGCAGGCAAATTGCTTGAACCCAGGAGGCAGAGGCTGCAGTGAACCCAGCATGCCACTCCAGCCTGGGTGACAGAGCAAGACTCTGGGGAATAAAGATGAGGAATTAAACTAGCGTTAACTCTTCTGAACTTGAAAGCCTCTCTATTATTAGCATTTTTGTTTAGTTTTAGTTTAGCTGGATTTTTTAAAAATATAGGACTTATCAGGAGTTTATTACCAAATTGTTATGGAAGTTATTTATAATCTCTTATCTAGGTAGTTTACTGATTTTTAAGTCAAATTTCAATTGACTGTCTGATATGGTTTGGCTCTGTGTGTCCCAACCCAATTCTTCATGTTGAATTGTAATCCCCATGTGTTGGAGGAGGAGCTTGGTGGGAGGTGATTGGATCATGGCGGGGGGGCCTCCCCCTTGCTGTTTTTGTGATAGAGTTCTCATGTGATCTAGTTGTTTAAAAGTGTGTAGCACTTCCCGCTTCACTCTCTCTGTCTCTTGCTGCCATATGAAGATGTGCCTGCTTCCCCTTCGCTTGCAGCTGTGATTGTAAGTTTCCTGAGGCCTCCCCAGCCATGCCTTCTGTATAGCCTGTGAAACTGTGAGTCAGTTAAACCTCTTTTTTTTTAATAAATTACCCAGTTTTGGGTAGTTCTTTATAGCAGCATGAGAATGGGCTAATAAACTGTCGTTCAATAATTTATATGACATAGGCCCCTGGATGGGGTCCTACAACAATGGCTTCTATTTATCTACAAGTAGACAGAGTGAGAAATAATTTTTATGTTCTAAGATTTCTGGAATACATCTTAGGATGTAGCCTCTGCATCTAATGGCATGTGGTGTAGGAGTCCATAGATAGGTAATCCTGGGCTGATGCAAGTGTTCAGCAATGCTTATTGGGATTTGGGTTTGGTCCAAGTTCTGCTCCACAATCCATGATATGTTTGCTTTAGTCCCCATGCTTGCTGCATCACACCTGCCAACATCTCCACAACATTCTGTACAAGCAGAAAAGATCCCTTTGTGTCAAGAAAGCAAAAGTTTTCCAAGCAGCCCTACCCAGCAGACTTCCACTTTTGTCTCTCCCCACTTCCATAGAGGCTCCTTAAGTTACTAGGGGGAAGAGAATTATGAGGAAGGGTTGGCTCAGGCATCACACAGAAGATTTTGGATTACCAAAAACCTCTGAAATTTAGAAAAAAAAAAGAGTGATCCTGAGGTAAAAATGCAATGATAAATTCCGAAAAGTATAATCCCATTTATATCCTTATCACTTCAGCAGAACCAGGAAATAGTTGCAGGCCTGCCCTCTCTAGAGCACTATGCCAAGTTGAGTGAGAGGCCAACTCCACAGAAGAGGGATAGTCTATAATCTGTCTCACAGAGGGATTCGTTCTTGAGGATGCATACTTTCACATGACAGTTTTTTAGAAGTAAATCAAGGTAACCACTGACATACTCATTCGCACTAAGTTGAATGTAGAAAATTTCTTCCTCAAGTTTTAGAGCAGACCTCATTTATGCACATTTTTGTATGAAAAAATATATACCTTAAAAGTATATAAAAAAGAAAAAGTATAATTGCACAAGCATGTCAAACAACGACTGGCACAAGGGGAGCAGATACTACTAATTCCTTACCAAATATCTATCTTCTTCTTTTTTCTTAAACAGAATCTTGTCATTGTTGCTGTTTTTACTCTTCTGGACTGTGCATTTAGAGGTAGGCAAGTGACAAATTTCTACCTAAAGATTGAAGCCATTGGGTGGGACTTCCCCAAATAGAAAACAAAGATTAGAATTTTTAAATTGTGAAATATAACTAGAGAAAAACAAATAATGTGCTGATTTGGTTTAACAAATAATCATAAAGCAAACACTTATGTAACCATCTGTATCATATTTTAAAAATTTTGTTTGTGATGGTCATCCGTATTGTTGTGCGTAGCTTTACTTTTTTTTCATTGCTGCAAGAAATACAGTTGGCCTTCAGTATTCATGAGACATTGGTTTCAGGACTGCCCATGGATAACAAAATCAGCACATACTCAAGTCTCACAGTTGGCCCTGCAGATATGAAAAGTTATACCTCCCTATATAAGGGTTTCACATTCTGTGAATATTGTACAGTATTTTTGATCCACGTGTGGATGTGGAACCTGCCCATACAGAGGTCCTACCGTTTTTACTGAAAAATAAAATTCCTATGTAAGTGGACCCATGCAGTTCAAACCTGTGTTGTTCAAGGATCAACTGTATACACTGATCTATTTATTTACTTTGCTATTGATAGATTTAGTTTGTTTCTCATTTAGCTTCTAATTACACGTTTGTGTATGTATCCTGGGTGACTAGAAATCATTATACACACTGATTAGTCACTAGGATATACACCTGACAGTAGAATTTCTGAATTAAGAAATAATGTATACATTTAACTTACCAGATGATATCAAGTTGTTCCAAACTGTTTGGAAAGTGGTTGTCAAAAGTAGTAGATGACAGGATAGTTCTATTGCTCTACATCCTCACCATTCATTGATATTTTTGTACTATTGCCAATCTGATCGGCGTGCAGAAATAGATTATTATTATTTTGATTTTTCTAATTACTAGCTTGGTCACATTTTCTTAGGTTAATTAACCATAAATTAGTTTGCTTGGGCTGCTGTAACAAAGACCACAAACTGGGTGGCTTAAACAGACACTTATTGTCTCACAGTTCTGGAGGCTGGAAGTCTGGGGCGCTAGCAGTGTTGGTTCCTTCTGTGGGTTGTGAGAATCTCTTCTGTGCCTCTTGCCTTGCTCCTGGTGGTTTGTTGGAAATCTTTTGTGCTTCTTGGTTTACAGATGCACCAGCCCAATCTCTGCCATGATGTCCACACGGCAATCTCCCTGTTGGTGTGTCTCTGTCCATATTTCCTCTTTTTATAAGGCAATGATCATATTGAGTTAGGAGCTCAGCTTACTTCAGTGTGATCTTGTCTTAACTAATTACGTAAGCAACAATCCTATTTGTAAATTTTATTGCATTCTGCAGTATTGGGGGCTAGCACTTCACTATGTGAATTTTTGAGAGACACAGTTTAATGCATTACAGGTTGCCTGGATCTCATCTTTTGTAAGGAAACCATTAAAGCCTTATTTACTCATTTTCTTTTAGGTGGTGGTGTATTTATTCTTGATTTGTAAGATTTCGCTGGTATACCAGATCTTTTTTCAAGATATATGTGTTGCAATCATAACCTCTCTTTCTATGGCTTATCTTTTCACTCTCATTAATATTGTTTTTATGAATGGGTTTTAAAAATTTGAATGTGTTTGAATTTTTTGATTTTTCCTTTTTACTTAGTGACTTTTGTATATTGTTTAAGAAATATTCTCCTACTCTACTTCATGGAGATATTTTCTTATCTCCTAAAGTTTTATAGATTTGTCTTTCACTTTCAGGCTCTTCATCTATCTGGAAATACCATTTAAATTTTTTTTTCAAGTGGTCATTTCACTGTCCCAGTTCTATTTGTTGAAGCTTGCCAATTACCCATTGGCACATTATGGTGTCTCTGTCATTTTGTGTCCATATATGTGAAGGCCTGTATTTGAACTCCTGATCTGTGTCACTAGTCTATGCTCCTTATCTCTGTGCTAAAAAAAAAAACACTGTCTTAATTACCATAGCTTCAAGCAAATTCTATTATCTGATAGATGACTTTTTTGTCTAATATGTCTTCTTCAAGAGGATCTTGCCTGTTCTTATCTCTTCTCATTTTTATGAGAATCTTATGAAATTTATAGATTAATTTTGATAAAATTTACATCTGAAAAATATTTTTTCCCATAAACATGGCATATCTTCCTTTTACTTTTGGTCTTTTTAATATTCTTCAATAAAATCATAATTTTCTCTATGGAGATTTTCACATATTTTATGAATTCCTAATATTTTTAGATTGTTTAATGCTATTGTAAGTGATACTTTTTTCCTAGTTATTTGTTTCTGTTAATAGAAATACAATTGATATATGTATATTTAGGTTGTATCCAGATACTCTACTAAATCCTTTTGTTAATTTAAAAATCTATTTAGATTATTCTAGATTTCTATGTTTACAATCACATTACCTATGAATCGTGAAAGTGTTGTATTCCCTTTCAAATTATTTATATCCAGTTTTCCCAAAACTACTTATCAAACAGACTATCCTTTTCATGTTGTATACTCTTGGGCCATTATCAAAGATGAGTTGACTGTTATCTTAGTCCATTTGTGCTGCTACAAGAGAATACTACAGACTGGGTAATCTATAAAGAATAGAAATTTATTTCTCACAGTTGTAGAGGCTGACAAGTCCAAGATTAAGGTACCAGGAGGTTTTGGTTATCTGGTGATGTCTATATTCCCTGCAAAAGAGAAACTTATGACTTCACATGGCAAAAATCCAAAAGGCAAGCTGCTGAATGCTGCATGAAATCTCTTTTATGAAGACTTTAGTCTCATTTATGTGGAAGGAGCCCTCATGGTGTATTCTTCTTTTAAAGGCCCAACCTCTTAATGCCATCATATTGACAACATCTGAATTTTCGAGATTACACAAACCGTAACAACTGCATTTGTGTGTGTTTGTTTCTGGGTTCCCTATTCTGTTCCATTGGTTCATGTGTTTGTTTTTATGCCATTAACAAACTGTTTTGATTACTACACATTGTAATATGGTTAGAAATCAGGAAGGACGAGGCCTCCAGCTTTGTTCTTCTTAGTCAAGAGTATGTTGTCTATTTAGGGTCTTTTGTAATTTCATAAGAATCTTAGGGTTGTTTTTGCAATTTCTGTGAAAATTCCTACAGGAATTTTGATAAGGATTTCACTGACTCTGTGGATTGCTTTATGTAGTATAGATATTTTAACAGTGCTAACCTTCCAATCCATGAGCATGAGATATCTCTCCATTTACTTGTGTCTTCTTCAATTTCTTTCATCAATGTCTTAGAGTTTTATTGTACAGATCTTTTACCTCCTTGGTTAAATTTATTCCTAAGTATTGTATTTGTTTTGATGCTATTCTAAATTGGGCTGTTTTCTTATTTTTTGGAATAGCTTGTCATCACCATATAGAAATACAATTGATTTTTATATATTGATTTTTATATCTTGCTACTTTACTGAATTTATTTATTAGTTCTAACAGTTTTGGGGGGAATCTTTAGAGTTTTCTATACATAAGATTATGTCATCTGCACCCAGACAATTTAACTTATTTCTTTCTGATTTGGATGTATTTTATTTTGTTTTCTTGATTGATTACTTTGGCTAGGACTTTGAATACTATTTTAAATGGTAGTGGTAAGAATGGGCACTTTCGTTTACTCCTGATCTTAGAGGAAAAGCTTTCAGATGTTCACCGTTAAGTATGTTGTTAGCTGTGAGCTTGTCATATATGGCCTTTAGTATGTTGAGATATATTTATTCTATCCTTAAGTTATTATCATGAAAGAGTGTTGAATTTTGTCAAATACATTTTCTGCATCTGTTGAGATGATAATATGAGTTTTATCCTTTATTTTATTAATGTGGTGTACCACATTTATCGATTATGTTGGACAATTCTGGCATCCCAGAAATAACTCCCACTGCATCATGGCGAATGATCCTTTTAATGTGCTGTTGGATTCATTTGCTAATATTGAGGATTTTTGCATCTATGATTATCAGGGATATCGGTCTGTAAATTTCTTTTCTTGTAGTGTCCTTTTCTGGCTTTGGTCTCAGGGTAATGCTGACCTTATAAAATGAGTTTGGATTTTTAAAAAATTTTGAAAAGGATTGGCACCAGTTCTTTTTAGAATATTTGGTAGAATTCAGCTGTGCAGCTATCATGTCCTGAACTTTTACTTGGGCATCTTTGTTATATTTTTATTAATTTTTTTCAAAGAATCAGGTTTTAGTTCTATTCTTTTTGTGTTTTACATTCCATTGAATTCTGCTCTTAATTTTACTGTTTCCGTTTGCGTGCTTTGAGTTTAATTTGTTCCGCTTTTTTTTATGGTTTCTTAAAATCTTATAATATTGTTTCAGAAACGTCATTGTTTTTAAAAATTGGCATTTAATGTTACATAAATGTCAATTTAAGCACTGTTTTAGGTGTGTTCCATATGTTGTGTTTTCTTTTTCATTCAGTGCAAAATATTTTTAAGTTTCTATTGCTATTTGCTCTTTGACCTATGGGCTATTTTAGAGTGTGTTATTTAGTTCCAAATATTTGAGCATTTCCAGATTTCTTTCTGTTATTTATTTTTATTTTAATTCCATTTGGTGAGATAGCATATGTTGCCTGATTTCAATTGCTCAAAATTTGTTGATGTTTCTTTATAGCTGAGAACACAGTGTATTTTGGCAAAAATTTCATGTGCATATGCAAATATGTATTTAGTTCATGTTGTATAGTGTATTCAAAATATTAATTAGGTCAAGTTGTTGATAGTGTTATCCAGGTTTTCTTTTTTTTCTTTTTCTTTTTTTTTTGGAAACAGAGTCTTGCTCTGTCACCCAGGCTGGAGTGCAATGGCACGATCTTGGCTCACTACAACCTCTGCCTCCCTTGTTCAAGTGATTCTCCTGCTTCAGCCTCCAGAATAGCTGGGATATTACAGGTGCCTGCCAACATGCCCAGCTAATTTTGGTATTCTTAGTAGAGATGGGGTTTCACCAAATTGGCTAGGCTGGTCTCGAACTCCTGACCTCAGGTGATCCACTCACCTCAGCCTCCCAAAATGGTGGGATTACAGGCGTGAGCCACCGCGCCCAGCCTATGTTGTCCAGGTTTTCTATATCCTTACTGATTCCCATTTACTTATTCAGTTACTGAAATAGGAGTATTGAGATGTCCAATACAATTGTAGATTTTTCTATTTCTCTTTGCAGGTCTACCAGTTTTTGCTTCATGCATTCTGAAATTGCGTGGTTTGATGCATATACATATAGAATTTTTAGACCTAATTGATTACTTGATTCTTTTATTATTATATAATACCTCTTTTTTGCTCTGGAACTATTTGTTTTGAAGTCTGCTTTGTCTGATATAAGTAGTGATTATAGCTTTCCTGAGTTAATGCTTTCATACTATAATTATTTCCCATCCTTTAACTTTAAATCTCTACACATCTTTATAATTAAATAGGATTTCTTGTAGACAGCCAGTGGTTGGAATTTTTTAACCAATCTCTCAATGTCTGCCATTTGATTTGAGTGTTTAGACATTTACATTTTATATAATTCTTAATATAATTGTATTTGTATTTACTAATTCATGAGTGTATTCTATTTGAACACATCCAAGTTCATTCACCTTTCTTCTTTTTTTGGCTTTCTTTTGGATTAATTGAATATTTTTAAAAATAGCTTTACTTAAGTTTTACTATTGGTTTATTAGTTGTATATGTTTTAGTACTTTCTTTATAGATTACAATAGAAACCATTAACTTACCATGTTTACCTTTAAATATTTACCACCTCATTTAAAGTGGGCAAGAACTTTACAATCATATACTTTCAAGTTTTTCCCCCTTCTTCTTTACATGATTGTTGTCATGCAATTTATTCTGAACAGGATTATTGGATGAAAAACTTAGTTTTATATGTTTTAAACCTATGATTTTTACTTTAGACATTCAATTATCTTTTAATTATGAAAAATTAGATTAAAACATCTATCTTATTATCCTCATTTTTATCATTTCGTGCACTCTTTATTTCTTTGTGTGGATCCAAGCTTTGATCTGGTCTCACACTCCTTATACCTGAAAGTCTATTATTACAATTTTTTAAAACATACAGTTCTACTAGCAGTCAATTCTCTTGTTTGTTTTTCTGAAAACACGTTTATTTCATCTTTTGACATTTGTATCTCTCATTTTTAAAAATATGTTCGCTGGGTATAGAATTTGGGGTTGACAATATTTTACAGATAACACTTTGACTTCTGGTGCATGATACAGTCATATAGTACAGTATAGGGTAACATAATGTAGTATAATATAGTTTCTAATGAGAATCCTGCTATAATTCTTGTTGTCATTTTTGTGTATTTTGTTTATAACATTTCTTTTTCTTTCCTCTGTCTGCCTCTAGGATTTTTTCTTTAGCTTTGGTTTTTAGCAGTTTGACTGTAATGTATCTACTTTTTAGAATTATCATGTTGATATTTTCTCAGCTTCTGGACCCATGGTTTGATATCTTCCACTATTTTTGGTACATTTTGGCAATTATATTTTCACATAATCTTCTGCTCTGTTCTGTCTCCTCCAAGATCAGCAAGTTTATATATGTCAGGCTGACAAATATCCTACAGCTTTTGGATGTCCTTTTCTGTTGTTTCCCCTTCTCCACTCTATTTTCTCCTTGTGTTTCAGTTTTGGTAACTTTTATTGAATTATTTTCATGTTCACTCATTATTTCTTCTGCTCTTTCAAGACTATTGATAGGCTACATAAAAGAATTATTCACCTCTGATATCATGGTTTTTTAAAAAAATTCCAAGTCATTTTACTTGACACTTTCTTATAGCTTTCATCTCCCTGCTGAATATTAGAAAGGGACATTATATTGGTGTCTGAAACCTATTATTGGAGTTGCTGAAATCTTGAACAACATTGCATGGTATCCTGCTACTTTGAGAGAAAGTTTTAAAGCCAAAATGAAAAAAAAAATTACCCATGGAACTCCAGAGAACAAATTAACTTTCATTTGTTAATAAAATAAAATTTCATTTTATGTTAAATTAATTTTAACATAAAATGAAAAATGGCATACAGGAGTATTAGAAATATAGCTTCTGCCTTGTTTAAATATAACAATATTAAAGCGTTACATAAGAATACAGGAATCTCTTCCTGTGCTCTGGGATAAAAGGGTTCTCCACTCCTGCCCTAGAGGCTGAGCTTTTTGGCAACATAGGAGGGAAGAATCCAGGGAAGTGGGTGATGATTTGTGTTTGACTCCAGAAGCATCCAATCACCTTCTCACATATGCACTACTAAGCATGGGGCTCTTGCCAATTTCTTCGCTTTTCTCCAGTCTTATAAGTACCCAGTAAAGAACCATGAAAGAGATTGTGAATGTATATAAATTCCTCTTTGTCTGGGTCCCCCAGTTATTAATAATTGATATGCTAGCTAGAATCAGCTTCATAAATAATTCCAGGCACAAACAATCAAAACCTACTTCAATCAATGTAAAAGTGTCCACTTTAAAAGCCACTAACTTCTCTTATCTCACAAAGATTTTTCCCTAGAATGGAAAATTATTAAGGCTAGTTTTACATTCAGGTTCAGTAATAAGGATACTCATTTTTTCACTCATTTAAAAATTATTTATTGTCTGTTTATTTCATACCAGGCATTTTTCTCATTGCTTTGGATAAAAAAAGTACCAAAACATATAGACACGCATTTTGTTTTCAAGGAAAAATCATTCTAATGTGCAGAAAGACAATAAAAAAGTAATTTCCCAAGATATAAAATGATAGAGATATAGATACATATGTTAGAAGGTATATCTATATACAGTGCACTGTATCCTTGAAATGTTATTTCCTCAATATAGACAATGTTTTAAGGAAGATAATTTGTGAATTCTGTCAAATGCTGCTGATTAGTTAAGTAGGATGAGAACTGAGAATTGGACAGTGTTCTGATTTAGCAATGTAGAGGGGATTGGAGAGAAGATTTAGAAGAAAAAGGAGAAGAGGGATTAAATCATGAAAATAAAGCCTGCTTTAGGGAAGTCTTGAGAAAAAAAATGAAGCAGATAAACAATATTTTATGACCACAGAATGTTCAGCAATTTGAACAGTAATTTCCCAGTTGTTGTTTCCTTTGAAACTATCCATGAGACGGAAGCAATGATTTCCCATTTCAAAATTAGGAAATTGAAACTCAATACTATTATGCAACTATCAGATGCCAGAGCTGGAAACAGAATCCAGTTCTGACGTCCAGTCCAAGCCATTCTAGATTGCACAATGGAGACGTAACCCACAATGAAAATAAATTCTGCCTGCTTAATTGTTCTGCTTGGGGCCACGCTCAGCTGAGTTCATTGTGCAGCTTAGTCCACTAGCTGATGTTTTGCAGGTTGGTAAAATAATTTGTTTATTCTGCTGCAGGAATCCTGTGGGTGTTCAATATGTGTTAATTTATTTGACTAAGTCTCAGAGGAGAGTTGTAAATCCCAGCATGTTTCTTTATTGAAGAATATAACCACAATTCACACATAATCACTATAATCACATATTTATTCCTCAAAGTAAGATCCCTTTGATGTTCTCAGTGACAATTGGGGACCTTATTTCAGTTGACGCTTGTAATGTAGAATCATCCAAAGGGCCATTATTGTTCCAATTAGCATATAAGTTTAATTTAATATTTATACCAGTTAGAAGAAATTTTTCAAGTACATTTTATTCTTCCCTGGCCCTTGGAATTTCATTTTTGGACAAAACTAGTTAAGTCCAAATTAATGGCCATCAGATATATGGAAAGGATATTTTGTCAGAGAGAGATATATAAATATGTACTTACATTCTTATGCTGTAAACAAGGCATTTATGAGAGTTCATCAGACCACCAAGTGAAATTGTTGGCTGTGTCTTTGTGTTGCTACACTCCAGTACAGAGGAAGAAAGCGATGTGTTTCTGGAATGGAGGGTCAGTAACAGCAAATAATGTTTTAAAATGAGAAATGATAATGCTATAGAAAAATAGAGGAATAATCCTCCAATCAGACACATACATGCGCATGCACCTGCACACACACACACACACACACACACACACACACGCACGCACTACTTGCTACTAAATAGAGGAAATGGAGAATTGGAGAGACATACATGTTGAGGACCTGCTACAACCCTGTAGGTTTCCATTTGCTGAGACGTGAGAAACTTGTGTCTTAAAATATTGAACAGGCTGACGTAGGCTTGCACTCCACCTCAGAGAATTAAGGTAGCAACTGTTTTAGATGGAATTGCACTATGAGAGCTGAAAACAAAGAACTCTCTTTAGTTTCTAATTAGATAGAGAGCCAAGATCATGAGTATTAGAATTCTGCCTGCCCACAAGAGGGGCTCTGGAGCAAAAGACTCCAACCTAGACTCTGAAAAACACAAAAAAGGACGTATGAAGACCGATTGTTTCCTGGTAGCAGTGCCACTTTCAGGATACTAGAGGTTGGTTGTGGAGTTGGAAATAGTGTGTTTCCAATTTTGAACACTTCGCAGAGCTTTCCAGAGTCCTTTCTGTATTGTTGTGATTTTGCTTCTGGAGCTGTGGAGCTTGTAAAGTCACACTCGTTCTACAGAGCAGCCCAGTGTTTTGCCTTTGTTCATGATGTATGTGATGATGGCTTACCTTACCCTTTTCCAGATGGGATCCTGGATGTCATTCTCCTTGTCTTTGTGCTCTCTTCTATTCATCCTAACAGGATGCAAGGTGTTGTAAACCTACTGTCCAAGTTACTGAAACCTGGGGGAATGCTGTTATTTTGAGACTATGGAAGATATAAGAGTCAGCTTCGTTTTAAAAAGGGACATTGTTTATCTGAAAATTTTTATGTTCGAGGAGATGGTACCAGAGCATATTTCTTTACAAAAGGGGAAGTCCACAGTATGTTCTGCAAAGCCAGTTTAGATGAAAAGCAAAATCCGGTTGATTGCCACTTACGAGTTAATAGGAAAAAACAAGTAAAAATGCACCGAGTGTGGGTTCAAGGCAAATTCCAGAAACCATTGCACCAGACTCAGAATAGTTCCAATATGGTATCTACACTCCTTTCTCAAGGCTGAACTTTGTAACATGTTAAGGTACAAAGCCAGAGGACTGTGCTATTCAAGGACTACTGTAAGGTTTTCGTTTCTCAAAAGACAATGAGAAAAAAAGAAGAGAATTTGTATTTCTTGCTGTTTTGTCATAGGTGAGCTCCTTTGTGCATTTTAAGCACATGTAAGTGATTCAGCACAGTATGCCTTTTTCTGCGCTTTGAAAACTTGATATGCCTAAGCTTGTTTGAATTTATTACATCTAACCATTTTGCTTGTTCCTTGAATTTTATAAGCATTCAATTAAACTGGTATTATGTCAGGTAATTTTGAGAAAACGTAACTTGACATTTTTTGCAAGTAAAAAAATTATTTATTTGTTTAGGCTTAGTAAGCCAGTTCCCAAACACGCACACACACAGACACACACAGACACACACACACACACACACAGACACACACACACACAAAGGGAGGAATTCCTGACCATAATGAAGCTCAAAACCCTCAAAGGGGAGACTAATATTTGCTTAAAAGGATTGTTAACTTCCACATGTAATCTACAGAAATAAAGTTTTTGATGATTATATAATCATACACATATAAACATATATCATGATTGTGTATTTTTTGTATGTGTATCTCTTTACATTAATGATACTTGTAGAGTGGTCAGAGTAAGAAATATCACATTTCTTCATTTCATAAAATCAATTTAAATCCAAACCTAAGCTCCTATGCCACCAGTCTCTCTCACAAAATCCTCAGTGTTCCTCTAGGATTGTGCAAAGGTCCTGGAGTTTTATGCAAAGCAAATATTTTAGGAGGCACTTCCAGTGTGGGATTCATGCTGGTCCCTTTCAGATGCCTGTTGTTTCTAAGTCCTCATAATCCTTTGATGTTCAGGATGCCTGGAGCTCTGGTGCTCCTTTGCAGACTGGTCTTTGTTGGTGCTAAAAGTCAGCTGCCCAAACTCTCTCCTTCACCCCCAGGGCACTGCTAGAAGCAGAGTGAGTTTGCATTGCTCTTGCCTACCAAATTCCATCCTTTTCTCACCCTGTTGCTAGGTTCTTTTTTTTCTCTCTGTCTTTTTCTGTCCACAAAGATCTTCTCCTTTTCCTCTCCACATCGTGGAAGCATATAATAATTTCTTTAATGAGTCTAGGCTTTTATAAGACACAAACGATTGGCTTCATACAGTTTCTACCATACATCAGTTCAATTACAAACTACCAGCTTGGGTGGAAGTGGAAGAAGATAAACAGCCACGGTTGCAAAGGAGAGAAAGAGAGAGTATTGCATGTCCAGTATGTTAAACGGTCCAGAAATCCTTGTGAGGACAGGAGAAACAAATGGGCTAACCCGTAGGTTAGTCTAGGCTCTCTCTGACAATAATATTTGACCTGAAGTTTGGGTATTTTTATGAATCTCCTAACAATAACATTTACCTTAACTTTAACTTGGGGAGAAGGAGAAAAGGAAGAATTCTGGGGAGATCACAAGCGAGCACAGAAGGAGTGGAAAGGTTGCAGAAAGTTGGTGTGTTCAGTTACTTGCTACTGAAATTCCAGGCAGCAGCTGCTGCTGCTATGGAAATGAGATTGGAAAACTTGCTTGGATCTCTTCTTTAGCAATGCCCTTTCAGGTGGTAAATAGTAAGGAGCAAGGAGGTTGTACAGAAAACGGAAAACATTGTAAAATTGGAGGACTAGGAGATAAAGAATGTTCCAGCTTCTCTAAATCTTGTGAAAAAAAAAATTGCGAGCTGTCTTTCTGTGTAGCTTTCCTCTTTGTCCTCACAGTTTTCTTCTTCCTTTTCTTCTTCTTTGTTCTCCTCCTCCTCTGAAACACAGACACATAGACACAGACACAGACATACAGACACACACACACACACACACACAATCTCTCTTTGCCATTATCTTTCCTGTTGCACTGTTAGCTTCCTCTAGTTTCCCTCATTTCTAGGATCTTTTAACTGCATTAGGTATTTGTAGTTTTTGTTGATACATAATAGATGTACATATTTTGGGGATACATGTGATAACTTCATACAGTAATATAATTTGTAAATATCAAATCAGGGTAATTGAGATATCCATCATTTTAAATATTCATCTTTTCTTTATGCTAGAACATTCAGATTATTCTCTTTTAGTTATTTTGAAATGTACAGTAGATTAATATTGACTATAATCATCCTACTGATCTATTGAACACTTGGTCTTATTTTTTCTATCAAACCATATAATTATACCCATTAATCAACATCTCCTCATGGACCCCCAAACTTCCTGGCCTCTGGTAACCACCATTTCATTCTCTATCTTCATGAGATCCATTTTTTAAGCTCCCACATACGAGTGAGAACATGTGATATTTGTCTTTCTATGTCTGGCTTATTTCACTTAACATAATGACCTCCAGTTTTATCCATGTTGCTGCAGTGTATTTGTCTGTTCCCATGCTGCTATGAAGAAATATCCAAGACTGGGTAATTTATAAAGAGAAGAGGTTTATTAAATTGACTCACAGTATGCATGGCTGGGAAGTCCTCAGGAAACTAACAATCATGGTCTTCACAGGGTGACAGGAGAGAGAATGCCAGGTGAAAGGGGAAGCCCCTTATAAAACCATCAGATCTCATGAGAACTCACTAACCATCATGAGAATAGCATAGGGAAAACCAATCTCATGATTCAATTATCTCCACCTGGTCCTGCCCTTGACATGTGGGAATTATTACAATTCAAGGTGAGATTGTGTTGGGGACTCAGAATGAAACCATATCAGACAAGATCTCATTTTTTGTGGTTGAATAACATTCCATTTTTTATAAATATCACATTTTCTTCATCCATTCATCCATTGATGGACACTTAATTTGATTCCATATCTTTGCTACTGCAAATAGTGCTGCAATAAATATAGGAGTACAGATATCTCTTTGATATACTGATTTCCTTTCTTTGGGGTGTATACCTAGGGGTTATTGTGGGATAACTGGCTCATTTGGTGGGATTGCTGGCTCATATGGTAGTTCTATTTTCAGCTTTTTGAGAAACTTTCATACTGTTCTCCATAATGACTGTACTAATGTATGTTCTCACCAACAGTGTACAAGGGTTCCTCTGACTCCCCATCCTTTCCAGCATCCATTATGCCCAGTCTTTTTGATACAAGCCATTTTAACTGAAATGAGGGAATATGATAGTTTTTATTTGTATTTCTCTGATGATTAATAATGTTGAGCATTTTTGAAATATACTTGTTGGCCATTAGTATGTCTTCTTTTGAGAAATGTTTGTTCAGATCTTTTGCCCATTTTAAAATCTGATTGTTTTTTGCTATTGAATTGTTTGAGCACATTATATATTCTTGTTATTAATCTCTTGTTAAATGGATGGTTTGCAAATATTTTATACCATTCTGTTGGTTATCTCTTCACTTTGTTGTTTTTTGGTTATTTGTTTTATATTGTTGTTTGTTTTTTTGCTGTGCAGAAGCTTTTTAGCTTGATGTAATCCCATTTGTCTACTTTTTGCTTTGGTTGCCTGTGCTTTTGAAGGCTTACACAAAATATCTTTGCCAAGAACAATATCCTGGAGAGTTTTCCTGATGTTTTCTTATAGTAGCGTCAGAGTTTTAGGTCTCAGATTTAAGTCTTTAACCTATTTTGACTTTTAGGTATGGTAAGAGATAGGGACCCAGTTTCATTCTTCTGCATATGGTTATCTAGTTTTCCCAGAACGATTTATTGAAAAGACTGCCTTTCCTCATTGTATGTTCTTGGCACCTTTGTTAAAGATGAGTTGGCTGTAAATGTGGGGATTTATATCTGGGTTCTCTATTTGGTTCCATTGGTCATGTGTCTGTTTCTATGCCATGTTGTTTTGGTTACTATAGATTTGCAGTAGATTTTGAAGTCAATTAGTCCTTGAGCTTTGTTCTTCTTGCTCAGGATAGGTTTGGCCATTTGAGGTCTTTTGTGGTTCGCTATAAGTTTTAGGATTTTTTTTTCTATTTATTTGAAGAATGTTACTGGTACTTTGATAGAGATTGCATTGAATCTGTAAATTGCTTTGG
The DNA here is from genome assembly GCF_000001405.40 of Homo sapiens. Classification (NCBI taxonomy): domain Eukaryota; kingdom Metazoa; phylum Chordata; class Mammalia; order Primates; family Hominidae; genus Homo; species Homo sapiens. The sequence continues at coordinate 15,251,063 of NC_000012.12, read as the reverse complement.
GTAGAATTGTCATTTTAACAATAACAGTTCTTCCAATCCATGAGCATGGAATATATTTCCATTTTTGTGTCCTCTTTAATTTCTTTTATCAGAGTTTTATAGTTTTTCTTGAATAGGTCTTTTACTCTGATTAGATTGATTCCTAGATATTTAATATTTTTGTACCTATTGGAACTAGGATGGCTTTCTTGATTTCTTTTTCAGCTTATGTGCCATTGGCATATATAAATGCTACTAATTTTTGTATGTTGATTTTGTATCCTGAAACTTTACTGAATTAATTTGTTTTTATAATTTTTTGGTGGAATCTTTAGGCTTTTCTAAGTATAAAATCTTGTTGTCTGTAAACAAGGCTAATTTGACTTCTTCCTTTTCAGTTTGGATGCCCTTTATTGCTTTGTCTTGCCTAACTGCTTTGGCCAGGACTTCCAGTGTTATACTGAATAAAAGTAGTAAAAGTGGGCATTTTTGTCTTGTTCCAACCCTTAAAGAAAACCTTCAATTTTTTCTCATTCAATAAAATGTGGGTTTGTCATATATGGCCTTTGTTATTTCGAGATGTGTTCCTTCTATATAGTTTGATGAGGATTTTTATCATAAAGAGATGTTAATTTGATCAATGCTTTATTAGAATTTATTGAAATGTTTATATGCTTTTTGTTCTGGTTATTTTAATGTGATGTATCACATTTATTGATTTGCATAAGTTGAACTATCCTTGCATCCCTGGGACAAATTCTACCTGGTCATAGTGAGTGACTTTTTTTTTTAGTATGTGTTGATTTTGATTTGTTAGAATTTTGTTGAGAATTTTGTATATATGTTCATCAGTGATACTGGCCTATAGGCTTCTTTTATCATTGTGTCCTTGTCTTGTTTTGGTATCAGTGTAATTCTGGTATGGTGCAGTGAGTTTGGATGTATTCCTTCCTCTTCCATTTTTTTTTTTTTTTTTGAAGAGTTTGAGAGGGATTGGCATCTTCTTTAAATGTTTAGTAGAATTCAGTAGTGAAGCCCTCAGGTCCTGGGCTATGTACTACAGCTTCCATCTTATTATTAATTATTGGTTTGTTAGGTTTCTTATTTCTTCATGGTTCAATCTTGGTAGGTTGTGTATATATAGGAATTTATCACTTTCTTCTAGGTTTTCCAATTTCTTCGCATATAGTTGTTTATAATAGCCTCTAATGTATAGTTAGTCTCTTCTTTGAATTCCTAAGTTGTCTATAGCTATGCTTCCTTTTTTGTTTCTAATGTTATTTATTTGGGTGTTCTCTCTTTTGTTGTTAGTCTAGCTAAACTTTTGTCAATTTCAATTATCTTCTCAAAAAACCTTGGCCAGATCTGGTGGCTCACGCCTATAATACCAGCACTTTGGGAGCCAAGGCAGGAGGATCACCTGAGGTCAGGAGTTTGAGACCAGTCTGGCCAACATGGTGAAACCACATCTCTACTAAAAAATACAAAAAATTAGCCAGGTGTGGTGGCAGGCACCTGTAATCCCAGCTACTCAGGAGGCTGAGGCAGGAGAATCACTTGAACCCAGGAGGCGGAGGTTGCAGTGAGCTGAGGTCATGCTGTTACACTTCAGCCTGGGCAAAAAGAGCAAAACTCCATCTCAAAACAAAAACAAAAACAAAAACCCAACATTTTATTTTGTTGATCTTCTTTATTGTTTTTTAATCCCAGTTTCATTTATTTCTGCTCCAATCCTTATTATTTGTTCCTTGCTATTAATTTTTGTTTTGGTTTGTTCCTGATTTTATACTTCCTTGAGGGTAGGTTATTTGATGCTTTTCTACTTTTTTGATATAGGTATTTATTGTGATAAACTTCTCTTAGTGTTGCTTTTTCCATTTCCCACATATTTTGCTATGTAATATTTCCATTATCATTTGTTTCAAGAAATGTTTCTGTTTCATTCTTTTTTTTTTAATTAACCTACTGGTCCTTCAGGAGCATGCTGTTTAATTTCTATGTGTTTGTGTGTTTTCTGAAACTCCTCATTATTGATTTCTAGTTTTATTTCACCGTGGTCAGAAAAAATACTTGATATGATTTCTATTTTTTTTAATTTGCTTTGAGTGTTCTGTAGCCTAAGATATGCTGTATTCTGGAGAATGTTCTAGGTGCTGAGAAAAAACATGTATTCTGAAGTAGTTGGGTGAAATGTTCTGTAAATGTTAGTTAGGCCTATTCAAACTCCTGTATGGTTTAACTCTGCTGTTTCTTTGTTGATTTTCTGTCTGGATGATCTGTCCATTGCTTAGAGTGGGGTGTTAAAGTCCCCTACTATTACTGTATTGCAGTCTATCTCTCCCTTTAAATCTATTAGTGTTTGCTTTATATACTTGGGAGTTCCAGTGTTGGATGCACAGATATTTTTATAATTGTTATATTCTCTTGCTGAATTGACCCCTGTATCATTATATGGTGACCATTTTATCTCTTTTTACAATTTTAGATTTGTAATCTATTTTATCTAAGTATAAGTATAGCTACTTTTCTTTTTTAGTTTCCAGTTTTATAAAATATCTTTTCCCACCTCTTCAATTTCAGTCTCTGTGTGCCTTATTAGTGAAGTGGGTTTCTTGAAAGCAGCATATAGTTGGGTCTTTTTTTTTTTTAATCCATTCACTCACTCTGTGCCATTTAATTTGAAAATCGAGACCATTTACATCTAGTGTTATTATTGATAAGTAAAGGGACTTACTACTGCCATTTTGTTGCCTGTTTTCTCATTGTTCTGGAACTCTTTCTTCCTTTCTTACTGTCTTCCTTTGAGATTAAGTGATTTTCTTTGGTAGTATATTTTAGTTTGTTGCTTTTTATATGTAGTATATATTGTAGGATTTTGCATTGTGGTTATTATGAGGCTTACAAAAAATATTAGAAATATAAGAAGTTACTTCAAAGAGATGACAACTTATCTTAGATCACAAAAAAAGATAATAGAAATAAGCAAACAAAGGAACAACTAAAAACACTTCTCTACACTTCAGCTCCATCTCCCCCACACTTTGATGTTTAGTTGCTCCAATTTACATATTTTCATATTGCCTGTCTCTTACAGCTTGCTGTAGCTATTTTTGTTTTAGATACATTTGTCTTTTAGGCTTCATATTAGAGCTATGAATGGACTGCACACCACAATTGTAGTATTTGAATATTCTGGGGTTGTCAGTGCACTTATGTTTACCAGTAAGTTTTAACCTTCAAATGTTTTCTTTTCTGCATGTTAGTGTATTTTTTTCTTTCAGATTAAATAACTTATTATAGTATTTCTTCTAAGACCAGTCTGATGGTGGTTAATTCTCTCAGATTTTGTCTGGCAAAGACTTTATCTCTCCTTCACATTTGAAAAATAGCTTTGCCGGGTACAATATTCTTGGATTGCAGGGTTTTTTTCTTTGAGCACTTTGGAAATGTCATCCTACTTCTTCCTGGCCTTTATGGTTTCTGTTGACAAGTCTGTTGCCAGATGAATTGGCATTCCTCTATGAGTTATTTTCTTCTTTTCTCTTGCTGCTTTTAAAATCTTCTCTTTGTCCTTGACCTACGAAAATTTGAATATTTTATGATTTGAGGTAGTCTTATTTGAGTCGAATCTGCTTGGTGTTCTCTGACCTCCCTGTACCTGAATATTTATATCTTTCTCAAATTTTAGGAAGCTTTCTGTTATTATTTCTTTGGATAATCTTTCTATCCATTGCTCTTGTTCAGCTCCCTCCTGAATACCAATAATCCTGAATTTTGGTCTTTTGAGGTAATTTTCCATATCTTGTAGATGATTATAGTTCCTTTTATTCTTTCTTTTCTTTTTTCTCCTCACAGTATATTTTCAAATAGCCTGTCTTTGAGCTTTTAGATTCTTTCCTCTGCTTGATGCAGTCTACTGTTGAAAACCTGTAATTAATTTTTCAGTTCAGTAAATGTATTTCTCAGTTTCAAGATTTGTTTTTTTAAATTACTTCAATGTCTTTGTTTAACTTCTCTGATAACTTTCTGAATTGCTTTTTGTTGCTATCTTGGGGATTGCTTCATTTCCCGAAGATGCTACTTCGAAATCTTGGTCAGGTAGCTCACAGTTCACCATCTCATTAAGGACAATCACTGGTTCCTTGCTTTGTCCTTTGGGGAGGTCATGGTTCCCTGTTTGCTCATTTCTCTTGTGTATGTATGTCTATGTTTTTGCACTGAAGGACTAGCCATTTATTCCAGTCTTCTCTCTCTGGCTTATTTTGTTTTTTTTTTTATTGGATATATTTGCTTAGAGGTTCTTTACCATTAGGTAACTGCCTCCTTTTAGGTTCTAGGTGGCACTTTATGTCTAGGTTTGCCTCAGCTCTAATAAATGATTTGAGGTCCCAAAGGGGATACCTCTTCAGTGTGTCAAGTCTGGGTAGCGATTTGTGCCCAGGGGATCCATAGAACTTACCTTCCACAGTGTAGTGGTGCTGAGCAGCTATTCTGATTTTGTCTCCTTTGGCTGAGTTACAGAGCAGTTTTCAGAGCTGGTAATGGTAGTCCTGCATCCTCCCTATGTCTCTGGCTCTTCTCAGGGATCTGTCTCCTTCAGGCACTCAAGATGCTTCCAAATGTGTTGGCAGGAACAGGTCTACTGCCAAAAAACCCAAGATGGTGGTAAGCTGGTCATTCACCTATATCTCAGCTATTCCAGTGGAGAAGCTGTGAGTTAGGAGGAAATTTTTGCATGGTTGGTGCCAGGCAGATTGTGGGGAAAGGCAGCATGGATATGGAAATTTCATCTGCTCAGAGGTTTTTTACATCTCTGTAGCCCCAGGAACTGTTTCATCCTCATATCTGAGTTCTGGGATATCACAAATGATAATCCTGGCACTATGCATTTGCTTTTGGTTTTTTGTAAGATGGGGGAGTGATGTCAGGTTGCTTCTATGCCACCATTTTGGAACAGGAAGTCAGTATTTATAGTTTTACTGTAATATATTTTAAAACACTTAAATTATTAAATAAAATACACTTTTTCTTAACTTGTAGAATTCCAGATACATTCTACATTTTCTATGGTTTTGTTTTAACAAAATATTTAACCAAGTGAAATATTTATAAGAACCCAATATTTCCCAATATTTCTTCATTTTGTTTTATTATCTCACAGATAGATAATATCTTTGGCATATTTACTCCACATGGAAGAGAAAAATAACCTTGAACTAACACTGACACAAAGCCAAATGTGATTGAGGGAAAGGCAATCCTTCAGTTGATCCTTAACAAAATGTTTTATTGTTGATAAATACTGAACCACAATAATCATATTGAGATAAACTCAACAGATATTAATTTATCTTATTTTTTAATTAGAGTTTCAAACAGACTGCATTCAGAAAAATGTGTAATATCATCATTACATAAACATTTTTTAATGTTCTTCTTAATACTTGCTTTTCCTAATGCAAATTGATACATTAATCTCCTTAAACTTTTTTTTTAAAGAAAGAGGTCTTACATAAACTGTGAAATATTTGACTCAAAAAAAGTGAGCATTAAATTTTCTTATAAATGCTAAGGAAATTTAGGCAAAAGTTAACAGGACATGAAAAGTTATTGAAGATCACGACCCCTTTTGGGTCACAAGACCATTTTCATTTAGGCACTATGATATTTGTTCATTTCATTTTAAACAGTATTTCAAGCAACATCAAAATTGAAGAAAACTGTAGTGGTTGGCAGTATGGTGACGAGGAAATTGGCTGGGTAGGTGGGGAAATGAATAGGTGCATATAGTTGCATGGGGTGGGAAAAAGAACATCAGTGGGAAGGCGGGTAAATTATCGGCTCAGAGAACTAAAGTTGTGGAGTTGGGCGTTTATGTATTTATTTTTTTACTTACTACTTTGTACAAGGAATCGTAGGCAGTTTACAGAAAATATATGAGTGCAGTAATACTTAAACTATTTGTGGTAAAGGCCAGCCTTTTCCCTTCCCTTCCCTCTCCTCTCCTCTCCTGTCCTCTCCCCTCCCCTCCCCTCCCCTCCCCTTCTCTCTCCTCCCCCCAGTCCCCTCTCCTCCCCTCCTCTTCCCTCCCCTACCCTCTCCTTCTTTGCTCCCCTCCTCTCTCCCCCTCTACCCCCTTTTCCTCCCTCCCTCTTCCTTTCCCTTTTCCCCTTCCTTTCCCCTTCTCTTCCCCTTCCCCTCCCCTCCCTTTCCCCTCCCCTCCCCTCTCTTTCCTCTCCCCTCGCCTTCCCTTCCTATTCTCCTCTCCTCTCCTTTCCTTTCTTTTTCCCTCCTTCTCTCCTTCTTTCCTTATCTTCCCTCTGCCCCTCTTCACCTTTTTCTCCTTACTTTCCAACTTCATCAAAGAATTCGACCTTTGACAAAACAGTAAGAATGGATTACTAGAAAATGAAATAAAAAGAAAACACTCAAACCAGTCAACTTCTTTTTCAGCAAGATGAGTTCACTGATCACATGCTTGGATGTCATGACAGTGCCAAATTGCTCTCAATTCTGTGTGCTTTCTCTGTTTATTCTGTCATGGGCTGTGCTTTTAGTAGTACTGTCCTATTTAAACATGGATTCAAATAAAAGAAAAAAAGGCAACCAAACAAAAAATCAGCCAGAGATCCTGGAAAGCCATGACTTAGACTAGAAAATAGTCCTGCTGAATTTGCTCCAGTGCTTGGTGCTTGGCTCTGTTCGCATTGACATAAACCCCAGTGCTTTATCTGTTGTGGTAGTCACTATTTTTTTGGTTTGTAAGTGATATAAATCTAACTAAACTGACAGAAGTTGAAATGTATTAGTTTACATAAATTCTAGGAAGGACAGAGTTAGAACAAATTTCAGAGATCCTCGGAAACCTGGAAATGTGGTTATTACATAATCTACGTTTTCTTTTCCACATCCTTTCTAAACAAGGCTTGGCATTTATTCAGGGAGAGGAAGCAGGTGCAAGAAGGCAGAGTTGGACAATTAGAACTCGATAAGATTAGGTCCTAGTCTGAATCCTACCAGCCTCTGTGTGATAGTGTAGAGGTGTTGTCAGTTTTGGAGGATGACTTGTAGGCCTGTTAGGGACATGATGTTGAACAAGAAGTGCAGATGCCATAAAACTACAGCATGAGGCTGCCATGGCAAGGACTCAGCCAGAGACATTTCTGAGTTTTACAAGTGACAGCTAATGTCCAGGAGGGTGTTGCCACCTATCCACTGCAGGTCATGGACAAGGAAGCTAGAACAACTGTTCCCAAGCAAACGAGGAGAAGGCTATGGTCTTGCAAAGAAATCACAAAGGATATCACTCTGTCACTCTGACCTCTTCTTCATCCCCAGATCTAGAAAGGTTAGAGCCAATAAGAAACAGAGCCCTTCTGTTCAGGGCCATGTGAACTACAAGAGTCACCTGGGCAGAGCAGATGCGGAAAAGATCTGAAATGGATACAGAGTTAAAGTGTTCAAATAAACTGGTCTGTCTCAGAAGCTGCATGAGACCAACTTGTGAGAAGTGACTGAAAACTTAGGAAATCAGGCTGAGATATTGCTCAGGAAGACATTCCCCAGTGGGAAACAATGGCTCAGCAACAATTAGAAAAAGAAAACCGCTTATGTTTGTACAAGTTGAAACACCTTAATAAAATGGTTGCTTAATTAATATTGTGTCTGCTATGTTGAAAGACTGAAAAAAGGCAACCATAGATGTGGAGAGACTAGTTAGAGGACTTTTTGCTGTGCGGTTTGGGTGAAAGGTGACTGTGACCTTGATGAGAGCTATGATAATGGTTATGGATAGATGTAGATGGATTTGTTATGTATTTTGCAGAGAAAATAAACAGGACCTGTTAAAATACTAGACACATATGGTGGGTAGAGGGAGTAATCACTCTCTGTTTACTGGTTGGGAGAGTGAGTGGGTGATAATGCCTTGTAAAGAGACGAGAAAGGCTGAAAGAAGGAGGAAGAATTGGATCAGCATTGAAAGGGGCTGGAATCAAGTTTTGGACTTGCTAAAGTAGAGATGCCTACAAAGCATCTAAATGTAGACATCAAGTGTTCGGTTACATATTTAATTTAGAGCTTAGAGGTTAAGTCTGGGTGTGATATAAAATGGCAACCATTATTTGGAAGGACTTGTACACAGTAGGTTGCAAACAGAAAGCAGGTTTATATTTTCTCCAACTGGTCCTTTTAATTCCTTTCTGTTGAGTTGCTCTTTCGCTCCCGATGAATGGCAAAATGGCATGGCTTTTAAGATAGTATCAGGCAACATAAAAATCCATTGTAGTTTCCAAACTATAAAAATTTCAGATCCTCATCCAATTTGAAACTTTTCCTCTCCCCCAAGCTGTTTTGTATTTGGACTCTTGAACCCCATAGTGGGACATGTCCTCACACTTTCAGTAGCTTATGATTGTTCTGAGCCTCTGCAGATTCCAAGGGGGTTGGGGGATAAAGGATAAATAACTGGTATGATTAAAACATGGGATTGGTGCCCTGTGGGTAGGGCAAAAATAAACAGCTGGTATACCCCTAGTCAATTCCCTGGTAGGAAACTTTCCTCAGCAGGACTATTTTCAAGGTAGCTCATGAAGTCCATATCTGGCACCTGGAAAACGTGTACTGTTGTCCTGAGTCTGTGAACTGGCAACACACCTCAACACAACCTTCTCTTAGAGTAAGTCTGGTACTAGTTCCAGTGTTCTTCCAAACGTGTGTGCTTTGGCCCCATGTGGTGGTTCATGTTTGCAATCCCAGCATTTTGGGAGGCCAAGGTGGAAGGATTGCTTGAATCCAGGAGTTTGTCACCAGCTCAGGCAACATAGCATGACCCTGTCTACACACAAAAAAATATTTTTGAAAGAAACTAGCTGGGTGGGGTGGCATGTGTCTGTGGTCCCAGCTACTCAGAAGGCTGAGGTGGAAAGATTGCTTGAGCCAAGGAGGTTGAGGCTTCAGTGAGCCAAGATTGCACCACTGCCCTCCAGCCTGAGCAACAGCGTGAGACCTCATCTCAAAACAAAAGTGTGTGCTAAACTCTAAATACTTCTCACAAACTCCAACTCACATGGTTGAAGATGAGAGGGGAGTACCTCTCCCCTCCTTCATAGCTGTGTGGAAAACTTGGGGGAAATGGATAGCACACTGACAATTCCCTTTAAAGAAATTATTTTGAAAGTGGCTGCTTCAACCTCCTTTGGATCTGCCACCTTCCTTCACAGATTCAGAAGGCAGGCAACAGACCAATGCTGGCAGTACCAGTTTTATAATCCCTTAGCATGACCACCCCATCTGGTTTAGTATCTTCTCTAGGACGTAAGATACTTGCCTCGTATTGTGTTGCTCTCAGCCTTTGTGGCCTCTGCTCAAGACAGGAAAGCTCACAGATATCATAATGTTATATAAACATAGGATTCATCTGGACAGAGATAGCATTCGAACTATAGGTCTGCCTAAGAACATTGAGGAAGAGAGAGAGAGAAGAAAAGGAATCTCATCTAGGGGATTCAAAGAACTCCGATATTTAGAGTTAAGGTACAGAAAGAATTTTACAATAAAGTTTAAGAGAGATGAGGGGAAAAATACATGGTTGGTATCACAGCATTTTGAAAGGTAAAAGGCAAAGCAATATCGTGATAGATTTTCTTCTACCAGAGAAGAAGTTTGTTTCTGTCACTGTTGATACTTGATAGATATAAGTCCATAAGTTAATGTCGGAATGGGCTGTAGCATTATGAGAAGATTGAAAGCATTGACGAACCAAAATATAAGCTGATTTTTTAAATACAAGTAAGTTGCTTTTAATTCATTAAATCAATAACAAAGTCTTACAAAAGAAAATTACATTTCAATCTTCAAGTTTTGTGGGTCAAGGAGGAGAAGTGAAATAAAAAAGCAAAAAGGAAAACAAAAACAAAAGCAGAAAACGATTAGGAGGGCGGCCAGTATTCATTTTCACTCTCAGATCTAAATGTTAGAACGTAATTGCTGACTCTTCTATTTGGTTTTAAAAGTTGACATTTGAGCTGAGACAACCGTTTCTAAGCTGAAGTAGAATTAAGCATATTGTATACTGACATTTTTCACTGTCCAAATAAGCTTAAAACAAATAATCTTAGAAATGTTTGTTTGGCATCAGTGAATATATAAATGAATTAAGGAATGTATGTAATATGTCCATACCTCAAACAACATGAAATATTTGAGAATGTATGAAAGGTCAAATTTATGTTTTTCCCCCTGCATTCCAAATAACAGCATCATGTTCTAGTTAAGAAATATAGTATAACTTAGTTTAATGTATTTTATGCCCTAAAATGCTTTCATTATAAATTTTGTTTTAACTTTGTAGTTGTTCAAATTATTTTAACTTCTAGTGGAGACAACTATTGTGTATATAGTTTTAAATGGAGATTTAACTATTAGGATTAAGGATTAATTTCTACATTTGTTTAGTTGCATTCTGTTCCTTTAAAAACAAGGGCTTCAACATAAGACAAAAGTGCTTGAGCAATACTTTGTGCATCATTGGAACAATTACTGTCTGTGAAGCCATTTTGGACCAAAAGATAATTTTTAGCATTTTCTAAACTCTAGGGAAAAAAAAGTTGAACTTTGGAACCCAGGAATTTCGACTAAGGCATCAACACTCTTCTCGTAAACAGTGGTAATTAGGGCTTTGCCAAGTAGGAATGGGGCTTTCTGCCACAAAGATATGCTTTTGTGATAATATAAAGTGGTAATTATTTCCATTCAAGGCTATTTTTAAGTTGTTTCCACCTGCTTGCATGTTTATGAAAATCATTTCTGGCCATGGTAAAGCTTGACCTAACTAGATAGCTGGCATAAACATCACTAATGATTTGCTCTGATAAACATGAAGAGAAAAATGTGATTTCCATTTTCTTTCAAATCCTTAATTGTAGGAATTCACATTTGAAATGTTATTATCCTTTGTTCTCAAATCACTCATTCGCCAATCATATATCTTGGTTTATTTCTGCAGATTTCCTACATGTGTGCTGCACTGGGACCAGTCACGCAGAAAGACTGGCTAGACTTTCAGTCTCGGGAGAATAGATCCAAGCATAAGTGGTAAATTTGAAGGTGGCTTGGTTAATGCTAAGTCAACCTGGATAGTTTAATTGCCAGGAAATAGGGAGGTAAAACCAAGTCGAAGAGTTGTCTATTGACAATGGGACCAGGATCAACGACCCCTGAGATTTCCAGGAGTCAATATAGTTTCACATCAACAGGAGTTAAGAATCGTATCCTTGGAGATTACGTGGCGCCAAAAGAGCGAAGGTGGGAAGTTCAGCGTTAAAGAGTCTCTCCAGCCTGGAGAATGAGCAGCAGTTCCTAAAGGATTATGCTATCTTCTGATCAACTTTTGACATTTGACTTAAAATTTTAAACTTGCATAAGTAATTGCATGCACACAATAAAATATTCAAAAGGTTCAAACAGGTGTATAATGAAAGGGAAGTCCTTCTCCAAGCCCTCAGTTATCTTCCTCAGAAGAAACCACTGTCCCAGCAGCTCTGAATCCCCCTTCCAGAGATATTCCCTGTGCCTGAGCACAGTGCCTGTGTATAATTACAACTGTTTAATATACAAATTGTATCTTACTGGTTTGCTCTTTCTTTTCTATTTAACAGTGTGTCTTTGAGTTCATTTTTTATCCCCATTCATTTTAATGGCTTCTGTTACCTTTTTATCTGGTGGTTGGGGCTGTCAGTTTAACTCTATTTCATCTAACTCATTTCACTTAAATAAGCTTTACCTTACATTTAAATTAGATCATATGTAGTTAGCATCTAAAAAATATCTGGCATGGATCAGGCTCTTCCACTTCTATTTGTGTGATATTGAGGAAGTTACTCAATTTTCCTAAGTCTCCTTTTTCTCATGTATATAATGGGGATACTATCTGCCTGACTGACATGGCCAATATGACTGCTATCTATCAAATGTGTGCTCTCTCTTTTACACTAGAGAGTTATATCTGGGAAGAAATAGTACAGCTGGAGGCTCTATTTGCTGGTGCCCATTATAGTGTTATCATGTGACTAAGTTTTGCCAATGGAAGATGAGAAGTAATGATATAGGTCAGTTCAAGCCAAGGCAATTAAAACCACAACTACACACTAAATCATATAATTGGGGTAAAGGGCAAATAAGACAACATAAGGAAAACATTTAGGGCATAGTAATGCTAAGTAAGTGGTATTTATTATTATGAGTATTATAACCCACATTTGGCACTCCATATGAATAACCTGTAGTTTTTCCTGTATCAACTTCAATAAGAACACAATACTTGGTCACATGCTTCAAGGTCAAATGCAAGTCACAATGTAGATTTTAATTGCAGAAATAAAAGAGCAAATTTACATTGCACACATCATAGCAAAGAACTTAGTAACAATCTCCATTAGACCTTTTTTCTCCCAGAGAGTAATTCTTCAGCTGCCAGCCTAGAGATGTTTTTCTTTCTTGATATTTTCCCCATAAATCTCTAAGTTATACTCTATTGTCCCAACAAATTCAGATTCCACTTAAAAAATAATCTCACTTGAAGAACTTCTGAGGTCAACTGGACCCGCCTTCCTTAAAAGGCAAATTGTCAATAACCCATTGTTATTCAACCTGATTTTTGATGGTCTCCATTCTTAGCTAATCATAATATCCAAATATCCAAATATTTACCCAACATTACTAGAGCCTATACCTAGAAGGGGATTTTTTTTTTCTAAGAGAAATATTCTCCCTCCTCACCCAATTTTCGTGGAATTTTAAATGAGTTTCTCATTTGACTCCTGGTTGCATTAAGGAAATGGACCATATTTGGAGATTCTCTCCCCTTTCTGACTAAAATAGCCCTAGAGAAGCCTTGAGTTGCCTCATTAAAGATAGCATCTGCCCACCAAGCTATTTTTTTTAGAGTAACTCTGGCCTTTGCTTGTGTTTGGTCCATTCTTTATCCTCTTCAAAAAAATATAGCTTATGGACATTGTCCCTGCATATGTTGAATTTGGTCTCAACAACGTACTCCTTCCTTCCCTGTCCTGGGAAATTCCTGTCTTTGTATTCTTGATGATGTTCACCTAAGTCTCTTCATTGAAATTCAGCCTCACAGTCTACCCATTTCACTAAACCTCTGGAAGACATGATTCCTACTCCTGTCCCCTGAACAGCACCAGCCCTCTTTACGTATACTTAATGAGTCTTAGTTCTTTCAAAGGAGTTATCATCCAACTAACATCCAGTGTGGCTAAGTCTACCAGTCTGTGGCACAATAAAGATACCACACTATACCTGTGACTAACCATGAGGCAAGTGTGGAAAACACCGAAATTGTTTTATAATATTCATCCCTTGTTTAATAACTGTCTTCATCAATATACTGTAAATTATGCATGGGATGAACCGTGTCTGAATCATTCCTTGAAGTATCCTCAGAATCTAGCACAGTACCTCAGGTATATCAGGGGCTCTGTAATGTTTATTAAAGGAATAAACAATATAGATAACCTATAAGTGAAAGATTAAATCGTCAAATATGTGTTTATCAAAACAAAATCCATACTACATTTAAAAAAATCTAACTCATACTTAATAATTACTACCTTTGTAAATTTAGACAAACTGCTCTTTGGTTCTCAGCGTCCTTTTCTCTAAAATGATGCAGTGAAAAGTAGAGTAAAAGAAATTAGAACATCACAAAAATGCTATCTCAATGTTAGAGATTGTTGTTTTCATTTTTATTGGCAATAGGAGGCTGACAGATTAATTATTACAGTCTAGGATATTAATCACTTCCACTCATGTCTACTGCATTATATGAGAAGTAATGTGTCTCAGAGACAACTTTATAGGAGCTCATTGCCTAGCTCATTGCCCCTGACTTGCTGGACACAGAGGAAAATCACATATTTCCATTCTTTGTCTTTAAAATGAGAAAAATGCATGTCTGCTTCCTGGTTAGATTACATATATCTAATCAAGTACTCCTAATTTAGTGTTTTTCAGTTCCTCCATCCTAAGATTTTCCTTGCCCAGTTTCCTCTGTGGTTAAAAGAAACTGTCAATTATTTTAGTCTCATTTTAATCTGTGTTTCATATTTTAAACCTGCTGTTTTATATTAAAATATAGAAACAAATAACTGTTAAAAATTTATGGAATTAATCTAATGCAGGGGTAAAAATTCTGTTCTTGTTGTTAACAAATTCTTACTATTAAACTCCTAAATGAACTATTCCTTGAACCAAAAGTAACATAAGTATGTTGTCACAAAATATTAAAAACAAAATCCTGTAAAGCAGCCAGTGATGGGTTTCCATCCACATAGGGTACCGAGGAAACTTCCATCATTTATTAAATACCTATAAAGTGAGGGTCACTTCACTATAAAGTGGAGGTTTAGATACATAATAGGCAATGTCTTCAAGGGAGTACCCAAATCTCAGACTCTTCTTATCCTATCAAGGTTGCTAGAGAGTTTTACGTCAGTAGAAAGCCTCCCTCACTGTAGCAATGGAATGGGCAATGGAAAACCTCCCTCAAAATCACAGTGGGGCTGGGTGTGGTGGCTCATGCCCATAATCCCAGCACTTTGAGAGCCCAAGGCAGGCAGATCACTTGGGGCCAGGAGTTTTACACCAATCTGGCCAATAGACTGATGAAACCCCATCTCTACTGAAAATACAAAAATTAGCTGGACATGGTGGCACGTGCCTGTAGTTCCAGCTACTCCAGAGGCTGAGGGAGGAGAATCGCTTGAACCTGGGAGGCAGAGATTGCAATGAGCCAAGATCCTGCCACTGCACTCCAGCCTGGCGACAGAGCAGGACTCCATCAAAAAAAAAAAAAAAATTACAGTAAACACTTTGTGGAAAGGAACACCCTGGTCTCTTAAGACTAAAGGTCATTCCTAGTGGAATGCTTTAAGGTAATGGAGGATGATGAAAGCTAAAACATCAAATGTGTTACTTGAAAGCTGGAGATCCAGGAGCACAGTTATGTGACAGCTGGAGACGGCAAGGTAGGCAGTGCTCTGGACAGGAGCCAGAAGCACCAGAGTCCTTGACTCCAACATAAGGGAGCTCAAACAAATCAGTAAGAAAAAACAAACAAACAAACAAAAACCAGTCCCACCAAAAAGTGGGCTCAGGACATGAATATACAATTCTCCAAAGAAGATATACAAATGGACAACAAACATATGAAAAAATGCTCAACATCACTAATGATCAGGAAAATGCAAATCAAAACCACAATGTAATGCCACCTTATTCCTACAAGAATGGCCATAATCAAAAAATAACAAAACAGCAGATGTTGGCATGAATGCAGTGATCAGGGATCACGTCTACACTGCTGGTGGGAATGTATACTAGTACAGCCACTGCGGAAAACAGTGTGGAGATTCCTTAAAGAACTAGAAAGAACTCCTTAAAGAGCTATTGTTTGATCCAGCAATCCCACTACTGGGTATCTACTCTTAGGAAAATAAGTCATTATACAAAAAAGATACTTGCACACTCATATTTATAACAGCACAATTCACAACTGAAAAATCTTGGAACCAACCCAAATGCTCATCAATTGAGTGGATAAAGCAACTGTGGTATGTATATACCATGGAATATTACTCAACCATAAAAAGGAATGAACTAAGAGCATTTGCAGTGATCTGGGTGAAATTGGAGACTATTATTCTAAGTGAAGTAACCCAGGAATGGAAAACCAAACACAGTATGTCCTCACTGATATGTGGAAGCTAAGCTGTTAGGACTCAAATGATACAATGGATTTTGGGGACTTGGAGGGAAGGGTGGGAGGGGGACAAGGGATAAAAGACTACAAATAGGGTGCAGTGTATATTTCTCAGGTGATAGATGCACCAAAATCTCACAAATCACAACTAAAGAACTTACTCATGTAACCAAATACCACCTGTACCTTAATAACTTTTGGAAAAAATAAGAAGTTGATAGCGGGAGGGTGAGTGGTCAGAATCCCATTGGGGCCTTTGAGTAGGTCTTATGAAAGGAAGGAGCCTAGTTGATGGAGCCTTGAAGAAGTGACCTAACTTCCTTGGGGACAGACCTCAACAGAACTTAGAATTCTGGTAACTAGGCACCCACATTCTAGGGATAGCCCCATATCCAGCCATTGGTGGGGATGCTCAAGACAGCAAGATGTTCTCCTGCTGTATCTCAGTTTGTCTATGTCCTTGTCTCAACAAAGGCCAAAGTGAGAATCTTTCCAGAGACTGCGGACATTGGCTGAACCCTCACCATCGACGCCTCTGGCCATTTGGCAGAAGGCACCCACAGGTAACACAGGGCAGCCCAGTGGCAGGCCCTTCCAGTCCAGGCCTCAGCTGTGATCCAATCAGGGCTGTCCCATATCCTTCCCCATCACCATGTGTTTTAGGGAAGCAAGAGATGAGGGGCCCTCCCTGGACAGGGGCAGGTTGTCAGGGGTTGGGAGCGAGGTGGGTCTGTCAGATTCATACTCTGGTCATGGCTGGCAGGATGGGAAAGGGAGTGTTGGGGACAAAGCTTTTCTTTTCACATGTTCATCCTGAGACCAATCTCTCATCTAGTTTCCTCTCTGACTGGAGATGCTCTGCAGATGCTCCTATGTGCCTGATCTTGGAAGGAAAGTTCTAATCTGGGTGACTGCCTGGGGAAACAGCAAGGCTGGCCATTGATGCCTCTTGGCCTGGCTTTTGGACACTCTCTTTTCAGAGTTCCATGCAGCATATTAAGCAGGAGTTGTTGGATGGATTCACCTTCTCCATCTCCTTCAAAGAAGGGCAGGTGTACCATGTCACCAACCATGACCAGTGGTGCTCTAGGGTGAGAGTAGGCACCGAGTGGTCCCCACAGACAGCCACCAGAGAAGACCAGGGTGGACCCAGGACATATAAATGAATATGGAAATTCCCTGGGCTCTCTCCTAGGGCTTTCCCAATTGAGTAACCCACTGTCTCCTCCCAGAGGAATCTGCCTGACATTATTCCCCAGTGGCAACTTGATTACATGCAAAATCCCTTTCACCACCTTGTAGGAAGATCAGAGAAAACACCATGAGTATCTCTGCTTGTTGCCACAGTTTTGTTTTAACTCCCCACCCTAGATATCTCATATAGCACACAGCTCCATGGCCCTGCTAGACGTCCTCCAAGACTCACAATCCAACATTTACTGGGGAGGTTTTTACACAAAAGTAGGGGGGTTACACAAAAAAGGAGGTGAAGCTACTCCATGCATTTGTCTGTAAAGGGTCATCCCACAGAATTCATCCCTCTAGCCCCATCAGGGAGGAGCCCCATCAGGAAGTGCCCTCACATGGCATCATACTATTCCTTAAGGGAAGCCATTTCCCATAGCGGGTCAGCCTCTCAATGCTGTTGGATCCTGTCATAATAAGATTCCATTTCCATGTAGCCATTCTGCAGGGAGCATCCTATGTGTGTCCTAATAGGCTGGGATAGTTTCCTAGGGCTGCCATAATATGGCACACAGACTGAAGAGCTTAACCACAGAAGTTTAGTTTCTCACAATTTTGTAGGATAGAAGTCCAACAACAAGCTGTCAGTCTGGGGTGGTTTCTCTGAGCCCTCTCTTCTTAGCTTGGAGATGGCTGTCTTCTGTCTCTGTATTCAGAGGGTCTACTTTTGAGCTTTTTTGTGTCCTAACCACCCCTCCTTATAAGACCTGCAGTCATATTAGATTAGGGTACACATCAACAAACTCACTTCACCTTAAAAAAAAGAACCTATATCACAGACACACAATTTAATAGAGGCAGAGTCTGGATTCCAACCTATGCTGTTCCTGATCTTATCCATGATGTTATTGCCCCAGTTAACATCTGGCAGGAATTAATGTATCAGACTGCTTCTGTCACCCAGCCAGAATCTAAGAGAATAAGACATCAGACAGGTTTATTTGATGGAGGTATAAAGTGAAGAAAGAAGGGAAAATGGAGATGTATCATATGGGTATGCTACACAGAAAGTGCAGATAATTGTCAAATAGATTATTCATTTAGCTCCTACCAGTTTTTGCTTCTACTTGTCTCCTGGTCTAAGATTTTGACGTTGATAAACCTGCCTCTCTTCCTTTCTGCCTTTCTGCCATTTGACAGCTCCCTGGGCTTTCATATCTGCATGTTTTCAACTTGGCTTGTCCTGTTGAGCCTGTGTAACCCAGTCCCTCCCAATGTTCTCTGGGTGGGGTGGCAGAGCAGCTAATATTAGGCAAATATTTCTATAACTCTTTGTAGTGTGCTGTAAGAGTAGATACATGTGAGAACTTCTTTTCAGGCATGCATTCTTCTTTTCCTCCATCAGCCAGGATCAACACACTTGAAAGACTCGAATTTGTGCTCTTCTGCTGTGCATTCATCAGTTTATGTGATGCACAACACATACATTTTAAATGTTCTTAAAATTTTAAAATATAATTTTGATAAGAGGTCTGCTTACTTGATTTGCAGAATCTTAACAAAATGGCTAGATGGGGTCTTTCAAGGCTACATCTTCTGAGGAGTTTCATTAACTTAAGACATTATGTTAAAAACAAAAATATAGAATCTAAGAATGGCTGCATTATGTTGTGGACTCAGGAATAATTATGTACATTTGCATGTGTTGCAGAGTAGTCTTTTGATATCATTGTCCTTTGCTATTCAATCCTGTTGAAGGATTAGTAAGAGCTCTAGAGGCAGCAGCTAAGGCAACCATCTCTCTGCTTACTGGTTTCCAGATCTATTTTCATACACAATCCAGATTCTACTGACGTTCTTCTATTAGTCCTAGGTTATTATTTCATTCTCAGCTGTAACATTCACTTGTTTTGTATCAGTATTGAAGAATCCTCAGTTCTTGTTTTAGTTAAAAGTTCACTTTAATTACAGATCTTTAAACTACTAACATAGAAAGGAAATTGCTTTCTTCCAGTGTTTTTGGGAAACACCTAGATATAGCTTTATATTTGTTTGTTTATTTTGCTCACCTCTGAAATTCTGAGCCATGGATATATTTAAAA
This sequence comes from Homo sapiens, assembly GCF_000001405.40. Taxonomy (NCBI): domain Eukaryota; kingdom Metazoa; phylum Chordata; class Mammalia; order Primates; family Hominidae; genus Homo; species Homo sapiens. The sequence goes on along the minus strand of NC_000012.12, from coordinate 15,232,019 downwards.
AGTAAATTGTAAATTTTGGTTTTTGTGTTTCAATAAGCTCCAGTAACTCTATCTTTCAATATTATCATCCAGCTAAAGGTAAGGGGAAAGACATAAGGGCAAACGATATGCGTAATGGAGAAAAAGGCACTGATAACAAGGCAACTGAAAGGTGACTGCACTGGAATCCAGCTTTCATAAAAGTGAGCCCCTGTGCAGCCAGCCTTGCAGGGACACTAATATGCAAAGGACCAGCATGATTGACAGTAGCATGACTCTCATACTCAGTCCCAGAGTTTGACATAAATGGCAGCATCTTTTAATTGACTTCCATGCCTTTCTGTCATCATCCTTCATGAACAAGCTGGCTAAAATAATATTCACAGCCACCAGGGAAAAGCACATGAGGTATCATCTTGACAGTGTTCATTTAAGAGATGTAACTGTAAAATCCAACCATTTTACATTTCTGCATTGATGATCTTGCTGCTGATGGACCAATTTCCCTTGACAAGGTTTTCCAACCATCTCTAGAATACACGTATTCATTTTCCAGTTTATATACTTTTTATTACTTAAAATATGATATAATTTTTATTTTGCCAGCTAATACAATACATATATCTTCATTACAAGATAAGCTAAATAAAACAGATTAAAACATTACAGATAAGCCTAACACCCCCTTATCTACCCACACCAACCCCAGATACTTCTCCAAAGGGACTTTCATCTGTTAGCTTTCTATCCTTCATACATTTACTATGAAGTCATGTGTGTCTCTACATAGAAATTATGTAGACTTCTTTTTTTACAGGAATGGCATCAGATTTTATGTATTGCCCCTTGTTTTGTGTTGGAGATATTTTATGTCAGTATATACGGATTTACCTCATTAAAATGATGAATAATATTTCTAATATAAAAATGTACTTTTAGATGGTTAAAAAATTACATAAATGGTGTTTGGTACATAGTTCCTGAGTACCATGACAACACTGTTGAAATCAGTGAGGTACATCTGTATGTAGTGAAATGAAAAGATCTCTAAAGCACAGTGCATGAGAAAAAGAACAATTTGTACATTATGATTCAATATGTAAGAATTTTTAAAAATGCATGTTTATGGGTGTGTGTGTGTGTGTGTGAGTGAGTACACAGACAAAGGAGGAAGAATATATCCTAAACTGTTAAAGTGGTTTGTTTTGTTTGAGTGTTGGCTTTAGATTTTGGCATGTGTTTTCATCTTTATCAATGTCTTATTTGATGTATATTGGCAGCATTTTGGAAACACTTAGCTGGGGATAGCTAGCCTGATGAAATATTAAACCAGAAATTACTATGTATTTGTTTCATGCTCAATCATCCACAGATCATGCATATTTTATTGTATTTATTTTATTCAACAATAATGAAAATGAATCAAGCTCTATCTCCATGCCAGCTACTATGTAAATAAGTAAATAAGTAAAACTGTAATGTTTTTCACCTTCTACAGTTTTCCCTGAGTTAGCTGCTTATTGGCATCAGTTGGTGGCTGTTATTAAACATTAGGATTTCTGTATCAACTAGATTCATTAAATGATGATTTCATGTAAAAAGAGTTTCTATTTTCAACCCTATATAAGAGACAGAACAGAGGGAAAATTATCCTAGCTCATGTGGCTTCTTAACCTTTTGTAACCATAGATGATAAGTTGGAATTTGTGAGGTTCAAAAAATGTTCCAGTTTGGAATTGTTTTTATGTATCATTAAAAGCAAAGTTAGGAAGTACAAAACCATGTGGACTTTCTTATATAAGTAAATGTGGCTTTTCACATTGACCCTGTGGTAAGCTAAATTTTGCTTTTATTATGTTATTCCAGGTCCCACAAATTGTCAGAACTTTGCAAATGTGTTTCTAATTCCCTGACAGTTTATTAGGTAAAGATCATCCGATATCATCTGAGCAGCATTAACCTCCAGTGGAATATATTATTCTATTTGAATTTATTAATTTCTTCAAGATTCCAACTTACATAGCTGCAATACTTATATAACTAGGATAACTAAAGTGCATTTACTGTTAGCAGATAGTCTCTCTCTCTCTTTCTCTATTGCACAGTACTAACAAGGAGGCATAGGCAACTAATCTTAGAACTGTTCTACTGCCCACTTAAAAGTCAGTAAAAGTGATAGCAATAAGAATTCAAAAAGAAATCCAATTCTTTTAGGAGAATCTAATCTCCAATAGTCTGGAAAAATAGTTTAAACAGAGATGGACTAATAAGAACTAAATTTGGTTCAGAGTATGGTTCAAAGATCTGCTCAGATATGGGCAACTCACTGTCTTCTCCCTTTCCTAAACAAAGTGGGCTGTCATTCCAGCAATCCTGCCCACCATAGGGTATGGCCAGGTGAGTAGGAAGATTCAGAGTGAGGATCTGCAGAAGAGACACAGAATATTGACTACAGCTTACTTTTCTCTAAGCGTGCTCATTTCTAGTATTCCTGTTGTCATGCTCAGAACAACACCAAATGAACTGAGAATGGGAAAGAAGAACGGAGGCCATCAACCTTGGCCAAGACAAAGAAATATTACAAAGGGAGATGAACTTCGCTGTGTTATAAAAGTAGTGAAGCATTATGATTCAGAACACAGGCTTTGGGCTAACTTTCATGTATGGAATGACATGGAAGGAAGGTCAGTTGCAAATTGCCTTTTTCCTTTGGCTAGTGTTTGCATGGAACATCTTTTTCCTTTTTTTTTTTTCTTTTTTACTTTCAATCTATCTGTGCCTTTTTATTTAAGAAGTGATTTTTGTAAAAAGCATACAGTTGCATCAGTTTTAATCCAATCTGAAATATTCTGTCTTTTAACTGGAGTGTTCAGTACATGTACATTTAATGTAATTATTGAGATAGTTGGACGTAAGTCTATTATCTTCTTATTTGTTGACAAATTTTTCCATCTATTTGTTCCTTTATTTCTCTTTTCTTGCCTTCTTTTGTATTAATGGAATATTTATATTTTATTTTATCTTCTCTATTAGCTTTTTTGGTTATACTTTGGGATTCCTTTAGTGTTTTCCTAGAAATTGCAAGTGCATTGTTACATTATTGGTCTAAGTTAGTAATTTTGCCAAATCCCTCAATATGTAAGAAATTTATAACAGCATAACTTAATTTCTACCTCTTACTTTGTTTCCTACTGTCATATATTTTACTTCCAGAAATTATAAACCCACAAGACTTTTTTTTTTTTTTTTTTTTTTTTTTGAGACGGAGTTTCACTCTTGTTGCCCAAGCTGGAATGCAATGGCGTGATCTCGGCTCACTGCAACCTCCGCCTCCCGGGTTCAAGTGATTCTCCTGCCTCGGCCTCCGAAGTGGCTGGGATTACAGGCATGTGCCACTACGCCCAGCTAGTTTTGTATTTTTAGTAGAAACGGGTTTTCTCCATGTCGGTCAGGCTGGTCTCGAACTTCCAACCTCAGGTGATCTGCCCGCCTCGGCCTCCCAAAGTGCTGGGATTACAGGCATGAGCCACCACGCCTGGTAAAGACATTTTTATACTTGTGGTTTTCATTGGTTAATATTCATTTATTTTTACCCATTTATTTACCCTATCAGGAGTTGCTGCCACTACTAGAATTTTTTGGTTTTGCTTCCATCTGAAATCATTTTTTTCATTGTTCTGCTGACAATCAATAAACTATCTCAAATTTTGTCTGAGAATGACTTATTTCAACAAATACAGAATTCTAGCTCAGCACTTTGAAGACGCCTTTTCATTGTCCTAGGTTTTCCACAGTTTCTATTGAGAGGCTATAATCCATTTTTACTGTATTTTTTTCTTAAAAACTGTGTGTCTTTTTTGTTTTTTTTCTGTAGGTGTTTTTAGTATTTTCTCTGTATTTTGCTGATCAGTAAGTTGATGTATGCATGTAGGTTTAGCTTTCTTTTTATTTACCTTGCCTGGGGTTCATGAAACATCTTGAATTGAGGGATTACTACCTTTCATTAGATTTGCAAAATTTTCAGCTATTATTTCTTCAACTATTGCTTTTATCTCATCCTTTCATTCTTCTCTTTCTAGAACTCCAATTACATGTGTGTTATGACTTTTGATCATGTTCTACATTTTTCATTCTCTGTTTTGATCTTTCCATTGTTTATTTTTCCTCTGTGGTCCATTTTGGACATTTTCTAATGACAGATCGTTGGATTTACTATTCTGTCTTCCAATCTTTCAATCTACTGTTAAACCCTTCAAATGGGTTCTTAATTTTAAGTATTTATTTATAGTTCTAAAGTTTTTATTTGATCCTTTTCATAGTTTCTATTTCTCTGTGAAATATCCCCAAATGGATAAAAATATGATAAATACTTTATATTTTTATCTGTCTTTGTCCATTATTTCCTCTGTTGGTTTTAACATAATAATCCTAGCGATTTTGAAGTCTTCATCTAATTACTTCAATATATAGACATCTATCTTGTATTTTTATCTCTTGAGTATTGATAAATTTTATGTGCTTCTTGCCTATCTGGAAATGTTTATTGTCTATGTTATGAACTGAATGTTTGTGTGCCCTCAAAATGCATATGTTGAAGCCATATTCTTAGTGTGATTTTATTTGGAGATAGAACCTTTCCAAAAAAGAATTAAGGTTAAATGAGGTCATAAGGATGGATCAGATCCAATAAGACGAATGTCCTTATAAAGAGAAACACTGGAAAGCTCTCTTTGTCTCTCCACACACTCATACAGAGGAAGTCGTGTGAGCACATAAAGAGGGCCGCCTGCTGGCCAAAAGAAGAGGCTTCAGAATGAAACTTTCTTGGACTTCTTAACCTCCATAAATGTGAGAAATATATTTCTGTTGTTTAAGTTACCCATTCCGGGGTACTTTGTCATGGCAGCCTGAGCAGACTAATTCAGTAGGTTTGACATTGTAGATGATGGTTATACAGGCTCTGGATCCTGTTAACTTTTTCAAGAGTGTTGTATTTTGTTTTGGCAGGCTGTTAATTTGCTGGTGGATTAGATTGCTCCTGTAAAGGTCTCATTTTAGTCTCTGTTGTAGGGGGTTGTCTTTCAGATCCACCCTTAGTCCCAGGTTACAGCCCTTCTGCCTAAGGCATTAATGGTCCTCACTCCTACTTCACAAAGATTTCTGAACGCTGACTGGGCTGAAACTCGGATGTCTTCTCAGCACTCAGAGAACTCTGTAATTCACATCTTGGGATTCAGGAGCTTTCAGACTTTAGGCAGCTGTTCTTTTTTTTTTCAGTCCTTTTTTTTTTTATTACACTTTAAGTTTTAGGGTACATGTGCACATTGTGCAGGTTAGTTACATATGTATACATGTGCCATGCTGGTGCGCTGCACCCACTAACTCGTCATCTAGCATTAGGTATATCTCCCAATGCTATCCCTCCCCCCTCCCCCCACCCCACCACAGTCCCCAGAGTGTGATATTCCCCTTCCTGTGTCCATGTGATCTCATTGTTCAATTCCCACCTATGAGTGGGAATATGCGGTGTTTGGTTTTTCGTTCTTGCGATAGTTCACTGAGAATGATGATTTCCAATTCCATCCATGTCCCTACAAAGGACATGAACTCATCATTTTTTATGGCTGCATAGTATTCCATGGTGTATATGTGCCACATTTTCTTAATCCAGTCTATCATTGTCGGACATTTGGGTTGGTTCCAAGTCTTTGCTATTGTGAATAATGCCACAATGAACATACGTGTGCATGTGTCTTTATAGCAGCAAGATTTATAGTCCTTTGGGTATATACCCAGTAATGGGATGGCTGGGTCAAATGGTATTTCTAGTTCTAGATCCCTGAGGAATCGCCACACTGACTTCCACAATGGTTGAACTAGTTTACTGTCCAACCAACAGTGTAAAAGTGTTCCTATTTCTCCACATCCTCTCCAGCACCTGTTGTTTCCTGACTTTTTAATGATTGCCATTCTAAGTGGTGTGAGATGGTATCTCATTGTGGTTTTGTGTGAGATGTTATCTCATTGTGGTTTTGATTTGCATTTCTCTGATGGCCAGTGATGATGTTTACCAGATGTCTCAGAGACTCACCACGCAATGTGCAGCCCTGAAATTAGCCAAGATCCTAGGGACATTTCCATGCAAATATCTGAGCTTCTGTCTCCGTGGCTGCTGCCCTTTCTGATAGCCTTCTGAACCCAGTTGCTTTAGTAGCCCTGAACCCTAATCTCTCACTGATGTTTGGGCTTCACTTTCATGGATATGGGCCCTTAAAATGCCCCCAACAAGAAAATTTGTGTGCCTGTGAGGCTAAACTCCAGTACATCCCCTCTGTCAGATGTGCAGCCCTGCCTTGGTTGTTTGCCAATGCTTCCAAACAGCTATTTTGTATATTTTGGTTAGCCTTTATAGTTGTTCCCAGTAAACAGGAAAGTTCAATCTCAGCTAAAATCAGTCTTGCCTTTGCCTAATATTTAACTAAATAAATGGTAACAGCAATTAAATACTCATCCCAAAGTCAAAAGATAATCATTAGTAGCAACAAAATAAGGAAATGAGTATAATTTCTTGCCATGTAACTTCAAAATGAAATAAAGAAAATAAACGATCATGATATAGAAAGTCCTGGCTTTCCAGAAGCAGTACTGATGAGTGATCAAATCGTAAGTATTATTTCTCACCAGTTAAGAATGTCTGCAAATTTGGAGTGAAATGAACTGAGCAACTACACTTACCCTTTTCTGATGGGAGGAGAGGGCAGAGTGAGTAGTCATAGTAGAAATGGCTTGGGAGAGAGAGTAGAGGGCTCCAAGAATGAATGAAGAGTGCAATCTCAGGCTTAAGGGAATCTTTCTGAAACAGTATGTGATCCTGATGGCCTGCATTAAATCCTGAGACAGAGTCTTTAGTAAAACCTGAGAACAAAAGCAGAGCATGTAACCTCTCTCAGAGGCTGCACAGAGACTCAGAAGCCCTCACCTTCTCATCTCGGGATGGTAGACAGAATGCAATGCTCACCTTCAAACCATTGCTTTATAGAAAAAACAAACAGGCCTCAGACAAGGTAGGAATGAAGTCAAGCACAATTAACTGAATTTGTATCATAGCAAATATGAGTCTTGATCTAAAAAAGAAACCAATAATAAATATAAAAACACACTACACAGGAAAAAAAAGGAGGAGAAGGTCATTGTAAGCAAAAGTAGGCTAATAACAAATTTAAAAACAACAAGAAAAGGAAGAAACAGGTATTCTCAATTATACAATACAGCACCTGCAAGACCTTCTTGAAAACATTGCTTAATGAAGATATCAAGGGATGAATCAAAATAATCAATAATAGAAAAAACATGATAAAAGAATCAATGAAAGAAATTTATTCTATTTAAATATAGAACTAAGTTTAAACCACTTTGGGAATGAGAGTTATAAGTGGAAAGTGAATGTTACAAATCTTGACAATGAACAAACGAAACCTGTGTAAAAATATAGAAGGAGGGAAGAAAAAAAGAGACATAATAAAAGAGCTATTTTCTTCTTTTTAAATAGCAAACAGTCAGTTGATATTGACTAAAACAAATATATGTTTAAGCATAATGAATTCAGATCTGGTTTTATGTAATAATTCAAACTGTAAAGGAATCTTTAGGGTGAATATCTCATGAAGTAAGTGACTATCTCATGAAGTGAGTAAATATCTAAAGTTTGGTCAGCCTTTAATGTTCACTTTAATTTTGTTATCTTCTGCTTCATTAAGTGTACTTTTAAATTAAAAATAGCATCTACAGGATGATGACACTTAGCATATCTGTGCCATTTCACATACCTGTCCATCAGGATGTCTGTTTTCTACAATATCTGGAATGATGATGGTCCCCTTATGTTAACAATGGTTATTATTTCTGGATAGTGTGATTCTGGGGATGATTTTCTACATCTTTGTATTTTTCTACTGTTTGAATTATTTATAACAAACATGATTAACAGCTACACAGACATACACACACACAATTCCAGTTTCTAACATGCTTTGTGGTTATATCAACACTTCGTCTACTTGTTTTGTGTTAGAGGTTTTAGCTGAAGCCTAAGGCCAGGCTAAGAGACTTGAATGTGACAAGGACTTCCCCTTTCCCCAGGAGAATTCTTGCCCAGCAAACATATGTCATGGAACCGTAAGTACAAAGTGTCCTCTGCCCTTCTTACTGATCCATGAGGCAGGCAGCACAAGAGAGCGTGCCTCTTTTTGCTGCTTTAGAGACAAAGGAAGCAGCCCGCAGAATATAGGATACATACGGAAGATGTAACACAGTGGGAGTCAGGCTCCAAGATAGCTACTTCATCTATCTTAGAGCAGCACATCAAGAACTGCAGATGTGTATGCAAATGCCTCCCTAGTTGAGGGAGGAATGCTGTTGTTATATGGGCTAAGCAGGAAAATGGAGAGAATCAGGTTCCATAGGCAAGTTCCAAAAGAACTACTACAAATGGGACCTGGCTTGGGCCCTCTTCGAAAACTTACTATTATTATTTTTTTCTTGAGACAGAGTCTCTTTTTGTCACCTAGGCTGGAGTGCAATGGCACGATCTTGGCTTGTTACAACCACCGCCTCTGGGGTTCAAGTGATTCTCTTGCCTCAGCCTCTGGAGTAGCTGGGATTACAGGCTCCTTCCACAACGCCTGGCTAATTTTTATATTTTTAGTAGAGATGGGGTTTCACCACGTTGGCCAGGCTGGTCTCGAACTTCTGACCTCAGGTGATCCGCCCATCTCAGCCTCCCAAAGTGTTGGGATTACAGATGCGTGCCACCACGCCTGGCTAATTTTTTGTATTTTTAGTAGAGACGCTGTCTCTACCCATGTTGCCCAGGCTGGTCAATAACTCTTATTAAATAAGAGTGGCAAAGTGGGAATTCCAACTCAAGTCTCTGTAAATAGTATATTTACAGATATAGGGTCACAGATTTTTTTTTTTTTATTAAATCTTGCCCTGAGTATAAGATTTAATGGGGGAAACAAGGTAACATGTGAAACCTGAACACCTTAATGCCACACGATTCCATGTAATTGGAATTCTGTAAGATTCTATATAATGAATCTGGGTAATTATTATCCCATCCCAGACTTCAAAGATCTTCTGCATGCTAAGACACCAAAGTCTCTCTCTTTTCCAGGCCTCTTTCTTAAATGTCGCAGCCCCATACATTCAATTTCTTACTGGATGGTCTATCCTAAATCCAGTATGTAAAAAAGCTCAAACATATCCTATCACAACTTCTTCTTTATCTTAATTCATTCAATTCAGTAGGTATTCTTTAACTACCTACTATATGCCAGGCTGTAGGTATACACACTGTATGGATGATGCTGGGAATACAGAAGTCACACATGGTACATTCCTGGCTTCTGGGAGCTCACAGATTAATGGAGAGGACTAAGGGGCAGAAATGAGTACAACACAAACACAATGATAAGATCACAGGGTCCTGTGAGATACAGAGGGAGGCATCTAATCCAGATGTATGTGGTGTGGAGGGAGGGGTACATTAGTGATCAGGAAACTCATAAACCATACAATGTTTGAGCTTTCTCAAAGAACCAGCAGGGCAGCTCCTGCTCAGCTAGGCAACTCCTCTTTTTGCCATAGATCTAGCTGTTCCATTCAGCCATTCACTCGTGGCTGCAGTGACCTTCCAGGTCAGTCTGGACTCTGGAAATTGCCTCCATGGTTACCTCCCTTCCCATTGATGACATTCTACAGATCGTTCAGTTTGCCCTAGGCCCCTGTCTGTTCTATATAACACTGGTTTTCTGGAAGCCGTTTGGTATCTTGGTAAGAATACCCAGATTTATAAGGGAAAAACAATAACATAAGTGCCTCCTGCTTCTTTGCTCAGATGTTTCAGTTTTTGGGAGATCATTTAGCCTCTCTGAAGCTCACCTCCTCATCTGTGAAAGGCTAGTAATTATAATACTAGTTCTTACATGAAGAGAGGGTGTAAAAATCAAATCAGATGAGGGATATGAAAGCAGGTCCAGCACAGCTCGCATATTAATTGTCTTTGTTAGGGTCTGAGCATAATGGAGTATGACTCCAATGCAAATCCTATAAATGCTGATCCTGTAAGGAGGACGAGAAGCTTTTGGAACTTTCTCAAATATATGAATAGAATTTCAATTGAATTCCTTGTTTGTTTTTCCTAGCATCTCTCAGTTCCCAATCCAGTCTGGATTTCATTCCAGCCATTTACTAGCCTTGCGTTACCTTCTCCTTCAGTTTCCTCTTGGGTATCATGGAGATAATTAAAGATACTTCAAAGAGATATTGCGAGGATCATTTGAAATAAGGAATAGAAAACACCACGTAGTGATGCTTTCTTAGGCAAGGTTTTGACCGAGGAAAGCCGCCCTTCGGTGGGAGCCTGGAGGCTTGGAAATAACCAGTGAAAAAGGGAAGCCCGTCTTGGGTGCAGCACGTTAAAGACCCAAGCTCGCAAGCCTGGGAGGCAGCGCGGCGGGAGGAGCCTGCCCCTGCCCCCAGTAGGGGGCGCCGAAGCGCCGCACTGCAGCATCCTGGCCGCTGAGCGCAGCGGCCTTGGCCGGGCTCAGCTCGCGTCCTGCCGCAGTCCCTCCGCCGCTAGTCGGAGCGAGCGCGAGTGAGGAGACCCCCGCCGGGCCACTGGCACTTGCTTCTGCGGCGAGTCCCACCCACGACCGCAGCCCAGCAACTCGCAAACGCAACCTGAAGCCTGGGCTGCGCAGTGTGGGAGGGCTTCGCGATCTTGGGGGACCCATTCCGAACTTGCAGAGGACCGTAGCTCTCCTGGCCTGGAGAGTGTGAACAGGTGAGTGTCACGCACGTGTCCAGGCAGCTCTTTCGGGACGACTTCCTGCAGACCCATTCCGAGCCCTGAGCGCGCTCGGCCTCTGAGTCGGTCCTCTTGGTCACCGGGTTCTCCTCCCAGGGCGGCTTTGGGGTTCGCTGCGAGGGAGATGTGAACACCAGCAGCCTATCTTGACAGGGCTCTCCTAGCTGAGAGGGAAAATGCCCTTTTGACTTAAGGCTGCATTTTCTCCCTAGCCTGAAAGCAAGTGACTTGCAGTCCACAATGGATTTGTTTATTCTTGCAAGATACCTGTTGAGTTCAGAGCAACATTAAATAGCCAAGGGGCTTATACAATTATCCTGGTTTGCTGTGGGTACTGCGTAGTGATAAGAAGAGGAAGAATTCCTAGTAATGAGACCAGGAAAACTTGATTTCAGAACCAGAGAAGGGGAGGCCAAAAAAGAAGAGAATCTCATTTCCAGGCCTAGACTAGGGTCTTTGCTTCCCTAAATAGCTACACTTGATTTTGATGAGCGCATGCAAACAGAAGTTCCAAGCATGATTACCTTATAAAGACGCTTGCTTGCCCCACCCCCAAGAGGAAGTAGAAAGCATGAACCTTGATAAATATAGCCTTGAGAATGATTTATTAGGAATGAAAACTTTCTTTAAATAAGTAAGTAAATAAGGTTACAGTTATCTAAATATCATAGGTCTAACAGAGTGTAAGCTCTTCGAAGGGAACTACTTTTATTTGTATGTGCATAGCGTGAAAGTGTGGAATAAATCAATGAATGCATCACTAATAATACAGGATTTTAGCTAGCGTTTTTCCTTTTTCCTTTAATTTATGTTTAGGGAAAAAAAAACCTACACCTTCAAACTAAATAGGTATGATTTTACCTTTAGAGTGATAGCAGCTGAGATGTTTTTGTCCTAATAAGCACCATCCACATAAAAAGTGAATGGCAAATTTCAGCCCTACTCAGAATATTTCAGCAGAACATTAGGACAAATGGATTTTCTTAGATCCACGTATGGAAGCTCTCAGATTATGAATTATTTGGAACATCAGAAACTTGGCAACAGTTTACTTATTACAACAATTTACATATTTATTTTTGTTTTCTATCTTGTCAAATGTAACTTTTCACATTTTCATGTGAGAAATAAAATGTTGAAGAACTCCTGTCAGTTTTGTGTCTTCCTTTAAGTGATTTTTCTAAACATAAAATTAGGTTGACAATAACCAGCTGTATCTTTATTAGGTTATAAATGGAAAAAATAGCCCACACAATTTCTCTTTCTTATGTGAAATTCCTATGCCTCTGGGGCCATTTGGGAGTTACTAAAAAATGTGACTTGTCATTTTTTTAAAATCACATTTGATGGCTACTTTCATGAAACATTAATCAGACAGATAATTACTTGCATTTTATATCCATGTATATGAACAGTTTTGCATGAAACAAAATTATTGTTTATACTAGCTGCAGACACTTGCGTGTTCAATGTTTCAAAGAAATACTTGCCAGCACCTCTTCTCATTTATAATTTAAATAGTTAATATATCTCCACATATTATGTTTCTGTGATGAAGCCCTGAACCTTAAAAACATAGGGCCTTTTCTTAATGAATGCATCTAAAGTGACAAATAAGGAAATCTTTTTATCTTTAGCCAAAAATATGGGACTGGACAAATTGCAGATGTTTAAGCTTCTGGTTTTTGCTAATAATGATTACTTAGACACTTTGTCATTATTGAGGATGAAGTAAACAATAGCTAATGTTAATGTTGATTTTTCCTTCCTTCAGAGGAAGCTCTGGCACTTTGAAAATCAGCAAATACAAAACCTTATTAGGTACAGGATGATAGCTTAAATACCTAAGGAAGAAAACAATTACATGATAATGTCTTTGTAGAAATACTTTTTCAGGCGGATTTTCACTTTTTAATTTCTCTCTCAAGAAGCTCTTTGTAAAAATTTATAGATGGAAAAATCTGGCAGGAACATTTAACACATTTAGATAACATATTTGTGTTTAAAACATCTTTACTGCCTTGAAAATGGAATGAATTATGCAGACTGGTGTGATTAAGATTAACACGGGTAAAAGTGCTGTGCTGTATTTAGGTTTAAGCCATTGATTGCAAATGTTCGGAATGAGGGGGTCTGCAGTCCGTGTAAAAGATGTGAGGCTTAATGTGATTGGCTGTGCTACAGTATAACCATGGTGGGCAGATTAACGATAGTGAAAATCTCAGGGAATTTACACCGGGTCAGTTTGTCAGGTCATATCTCAAAGTGGAATGCAGTGGACACCATGCTTTTAGAGTGATTAAGATGTTGAGGAGGCAATGCACATGATGAAAAAGGGAGTGAAGGTCAAAAAAACATAAACGAGAGTGTACATTCCGGGAAGAACAAGTGGACAGGCTGGGCCTCATGTTCCTAGAAAAAAGAAGCCTAGGATGGAGCAAAGGGTCCTACTAGATGCTAGGATCCTTGAACGGTTCTGAGTGAAAGAAAAAGTTGACTTGTTTTGAGTTATTTCATAGAGAGAAATGAGGACAAATGAGTAGAAGCCGCAGGGAGACAGTTTAGAGCTCAATATTAGAAAGATAGTTCCTCCTAATTGGAGAAATGAAGCAGCTTTCAGAAGTAATGAGCCCACCTTTCATACCTGGAAGTGGTAAGTCAGGCATGGAATATGGAATGATTGTTATGTCCTAAGGAAAGATTCTTGCTAGAAGAATGGCTAGAAGATTTCTTCAGATGACCCCCACTCCAGCCCCCACCACCACCAAAGCTCTTTCCAAATTTACGTTTCCATGATCCTAAGAACCTAGATGTCACTCCTAAAGCACCAAACTAAATAAGATGTGCTTACTTTGTACATAATGTTATTTCCCAAGCTTTAAGACAGCACTATAAACAAATTTACTTGAAGTCATCATAGAAAAGGAATAACTTGGAGCATGGCATTTATCGTTTTTGTACCAGGGCATTGTGTCCAGCAAAATATAGAAATGTAATCTATGTATTATATATTGATTCCTAGAACATGTGTATCTGTATCTGTCACAGGAATTCATCATGTGATCAAGTGTGAATTGAGAAAAAATTTAACTTTGAGATGCAAAATTGAATTGTGTTGCATTGGAGTTGACTAATATGAATGTATGTTATTCAACCCAAAGAGACATGAAGAGGCCCAAAAGTGACTCTCTCCATTGCCCCACTGCATGTGTTTGTACACTGAATGCTTACAGATAGATGGTAAATGTGTGTATTCACTTTTACTTTCAGTTACTATCAAGAATCAATACCTTCATAAGAAAATTTCTTGAGGAAGTACTTTAGAAATGCTATTGTGTGTGATAATGCACGTTTTAGTACCAACCAGATCCAAATCCAAGTCCTGAATCTACCATTTATTAGTTAAATCATTTACAGTAAGTTACCATAGACTTCTCACAGGATAGTGGTAAAGATCAAACCAGAAAATGTTGAAAAAGTGAATGGTGGCTGGCATATAGTAGATGCTCAATAAATATTAATTCATTTTCCAGTCACTTATGAATTCCCAAATTTCTTTTGTTTAAGGATTGTGGACTCTTCCAAGATTCACAATGATATGGTGAATCCAAAGACTGGAACCAAAAAGATTTACTCAGTGCTTTAGTTTTAACAACAGTAAATTGTCTACCAACACCCATCATGGCTAAAAGTGCGGAGGTCAAACTGGCAATATTTGGGAGAGCAGGCGTGGGCAAGTCAGGTAAGATTTTCGTTGTGGTTGTTATAGTGTGTGTGTGTGGGTGAGTGTGTTTCTTTATTACTGTTTCTTGGGATTGGGCAGGTGAGTAGTTGGTATTCCTCCTATTTTCATTTCTTACTCTTTTAGATAAAGTCTCTTCATCTAGAACTTTTATTTTGCGTAATCGACTGTTACGTATCCTTTTGCTTATTTATGCTGAAGTAGCTTTGCTGATAACACACAAGATAAAGGATATATCAGAGGTCTTGGCATTCTGATTTTTAACAACCTCCAAAGAAATCAGATGATGGAAATTAAAAAATATATATTTGTTCTTTTCTCTATGTATGAGATCTTGAGGGACTGATTTTACATCTCATTCATTTTGATATTCTCAGCAAACAGTCCAGTGTCAAGCATGTGTTAGGTGCTTTAAAAATGCTTAAGTGAATCTAGCTTTATCAGAAACAGAATTGCATTATTGCCAAACACTCAAAAATCCTGAGAGGATTCCTGAAACTTTAGGAGTGCATGCTCTCAAGCAAGATAGCTATTGCGAATGCCTCTGCAGTGAATTTAAATTAGCAAGTTCTGGCTAACATCAGTAATTCAGAGACTTTGTTCACTATCTGAGAAATCGCTAGCAGACCTTTAAGATTAAGGGTGAAATGGTGGAAGTGAAAAATGTACCTGCTATCTAATTTGAAAAATACATCTTCGATCTTATAATTAAAGAATTCCAAAGTCAACGTTGCTGAAACATTAGGGCAGCATGACCTTTCAGGGTAACCTCTTGCCTTAGTCTCTTACTGGAGGAAGGAACCATAATTAACTGTACACAGAGCTTTTGGTTCTCAGGAAAGGACTCAAACAGATATCTGGTAGGTGCATGTTTGTAGAGGGAAACCTGTTTGGAAATAAACTGTATAATCCAATACATTAGGTAATCCACAAAATCTTAGACAAATACACATAATTGCTTTTTAATTCTGTGACCAACCTTTCTTTTCTAACCTGCTGTCTGGTTTAATTTCAGCAGTAATCTTCCCTCTTCTAAGTCTTTGTCTCTCGTTTTTCTTTTAATTTTCTCAAGAGTACTCTTTCCTGCTACCACCATTTTCTTCTGTTTGGTTTGCTCTTGCCTCTGGCAGAAACCACACAAGGAAAATAGATAGTTGGCAAGGCTAAGAAACTGCCAGCCTTCACAAGATTGAAGATAGTTAAACTCCTCCCTGTTAATCTCCTCAGTGTTTCCTAATGGCGTGAGAACCTAATTTCTGTAGCTGGTAGAAGGATCTGGAGAATGAGGAAATGATTCCTGTGAGTGGAGGATGGAGGGAAGGCAGTGTGGGAGAAGATGTGCACTGCCAGCAAGAGCTTGTCTAACTCCTTGTGAGTGCAGGGTCTAGGCTTGAGGCTGACCATTTATTCCTTCATTCCAGACTTCCAAAGGCAATAAGGGAAGGAGATTTTTTAAAACCTTGTATCATTTGTTAAAATAACCTACATGCGATTTAAGAAGTCAAACATAAAAATGAAAACTCAGCTGAGAGAACCACGTAGCTGTACGTGCGTCCATCCGTTTCCCATCTTCATGATCTCGGAGCAAGCTGGGTGTCTCCTCCTGTCAAGGCTCATGCATCAGCCTGAGCTGGGATGCCTGTTTTCGTTGCCTTTCCCCACATTGTTTCAATTATTCCTCTCATTCTCACCTGACCATTTTTCCTCACGCATGTCTTCGTCCACTGCTTCATCTTTTTCTTTTCTTCAAGCTTATTGAATATGGGTTCTTCCCTTACTGTCTTATCTTTTTTTAACTCTCCCATTCATTGCTTAAAACATAGCCATCTTCTGTTACAACCATGCTACTGAAACTGCTTTTGCTAAGGTCACTACCAAACAATGACCAACACATCTAATGATCATTTTCCAGTTCTGATCTTCTTAGACTTCTTTCTATCATCACACAGCTGCTTATTCTTTCCTGAAATTCCTTCCTTCCCAGGCTCCCATGACATCACACTCTTTGGCTTTGCTGCTCTCTCTCCGTAGCTCCTAACTAGCTGTTTTCATGGGTTTGCTCTTCGTCTGCGCACTTCTCAAAGTTGAAGCTTCCAGGGTTCTATATATCATCCTCTTGCGTCCTTACTCCATACACTGCCCCTAGAAGTGCTACTCACACCCAAAGCTGAAGATAACACCTGCACAGAGAGATCAAATTCTGCTGACCTGAATTTTATTTTATGTAAAATGCACAGGTTGAAATTGCTCACTAAGTTTCTTTCCAACTCTAACATTCAAATCTTCTTTGGACTGTTTTCTCTATTTGCCTTGAATACATTCCACCATTTGTGTTTGTTTTCATTTAGGTGAAAATGACAATGACAGACTACATATCTTTAACAATTGCCTTTTTGTCTGTCATCTATAAACAGACAGTGTTTTCCTATGTCAACATTAAATTATTTTTCTGAGACCTGTAACTGCACCTCACATTTTAAAAGTAGCACTCGTTTGATGCATGGGTGAAAATTGTGAAACCTTTTTCCATAGTTCAGTGAAAACGACCACAAACTACTTCATATCTACCAATTTTATTTTAAGACACTGGGTCTCCCTCTGTCGCTCAGGCTGGAGTGCAGTGGCATGATCATAGCTCACTGCAGCCACCAACTCCTGGGCTCAAGAGATCCTCCCACCTTGATCTCCCCAGTAACTAGGACTACGAGTGTGTCCTACCACACCTGGCTCATATGCAACAATTTTGAAAATAGACTGCAACAATATTGAATTTATGTTGATTCTGATTCTTTGTGAATATGGCTATTTGATGTCTCTGCCTCATCATTGTATCACACATTTATCTTTCTACTGCAGAGACTTTATCAGTCTTATAGGTAACTTTTGCTTGTTTAAGTCTGCAAGAAATTATACCTGCTGGAATGTAATTCGGTAGCTCCTCACTGAATTGTTTCAGAGGCTTAAGTCTTACCTGTCCCCTCTACTTTCCCCACACTTAATACCAGTAGGAATTGGGGGTAAATAAGACCATATTGCCCATTTGCTAACGAGGAGTCGTATAGCTTGGAGTTAAAGAGTGTGAGCTTTTGTTTGCCCTGTGAACTTGGCAACTTTGGCAAGTTACTTAACCAGTCGATTTCTTCAACTATGAAGAACATATAATAGCATCTCAGTTGTTACTAGGATTGAATGAGTTGTTACATGCAAGTGTTCCTGGCACATTGCAAATGCTCAAAATTAGCTTATATTATTATAATTTGTTAAGGTATGCTTTTTTAATTTGTAAGTTCCACAGTGAAAACATACAATTAAAGATATACTTGCATTCAAGTGAGTATTTTGGTTTTCACTAAGTCAGACAGCTTATAAGGTAAAAACTCCACACACGCGCACACACACACACACACACACACACACACACACACACACACATACTTTCTCTGTTTTTCTCTTTCTTGAACCTAAAATCTGGTTAATGTCAATTATAGCTTGACCACAGATGATCATAACAATACTTCGTATGGCTTATATTTAATCTTGTAAAAAGCCAGAAATATATTAGTGTCACCAATAAATTAACACTTTTAAATTTGAAAGTGCTTCTGGTATGTGGCAGATGGCTTCCTAAGCCCAGGTGATAGATAGGCCGTCTATATTTAAAACAGAATTTAACATTTACCAGAACTTTTTCATTGACAGTTTGACCACAGACATGTCAGCAAAGGCAAAAATTTAATAATGTGCTGATTACTAAGGAGCACTGATAAAACATGTGAGGGATGTGTGTATGTGCACGCACATGTGTGTAATATATAAGTGTTTACATGGTCTGCTGTATTGGGGGAATTCTTGTTCCTTCTAAGTTTATCTTGCAGTTCTGTCTTCAAGTGAGCTTGCTGGCATAGGGATAGTACAGTGAACTCTGTGGGGACGCTGCAAAGTGTAGGGTCATGATTTCCCAGCCCTTTCTATCTTTTCTTGCCCCAGCCGGGTAAACATTTACTTTCATTGGCTAAGGGTGAAGCACTAATAATGTGGCATGCAAGGCACAGATTTCCTTACTTGTGTGCATCAGCCTATATTTTGACAAGCTCCAAGTAATTAAAGTGATAAGACTTGCCAATAAGCCTAGAATGCACACATTTTTATTTAAATGCTTCTTGTAGTCGTATTATTCAGATTTGTAGTAAGTGTGGGAGGGGGCTGATAGAGAAACAACTGAAATTGTAAATTTAGCTTCACAGTTGACATTCTCATTTTAGAACTGAAATATTGTGTGCCACAGCTAACTATATTGCTTGAAAGGGCTAGTCTTAAAGTTAATTGAGTAATGCTATCCTGTAATTCAAAAGCCAATTGGTGCACTCATCCATGAAGGCTTAAGTTCATAGACTCAGATTGCCAAGCTATAAACTGGATGCCAAACACAAACAAGCTTGTGATATTTTTTTCCGTGGCACAAAGAGAAGTGATTTTTCATCCTATTTTTTGTTCTTTTTCTTGTCTGCTTTTTTCTCTGTCAATTATAAAGAAGTTTTTAAAAGCTTTTTTCATCTTATTTTTAAGTGGGACAGGGACTATTCTAATTTTAAATGTGACTTTTAAGATAACCGTCAAAACCTGCTTTAAAATATATGTATACTTCAGGCTGAGATATATTTATGAGATCTCACATATATATAATAAAAAAACAGAAACCTCAGTCGCATCTTGGGTAGGTCAGTTTTCTTATGCTATAGAACTACATTTTGTGTTTTAGAACTTCTTCTCTATTTAAGTAGCTATATACCAATTTTTCCCCTTCCTCAGACTAAGTGGCATAGTAGGATGCTTTCTGAATATTGTTTTCAAAGTACTTTTAATAGGAGAAAGAAAAATCTAGGGGGTTTGGGATGTGTAAGCATCTCATAATCATGTAAGTATTTTGCATGTTTTATAGTTATATAAAATATATGCAAAACTTACTATTAATCCCTAATATATCTATGTTTGCTTAAACATAAAAACAATCTGCCCTAAAACTCAGTGACTAAAATGGACTTTTCAGGAAGATATAAAAAGTTTATTCGTGGCCGGGCGCGGTGGCTCACGCCTGTAATCCCAGCACTTTGGGAGGCCGAGGCGGGTGGATCATGAGGTCAGGAGATCGAGACCATCCTGGCTAACAAGGTGAAACCCCGTCTCTACTAAAAATACAAAAAATTAGCCGGGCGCGGTGGCGGGCGCCTGTAGTCCCAGCTACTCGGGAGGCTGAGGCAGGAGAATGGCGTGAACCCGGGAAGCGGAGCTTGCAGTGAGCCGAGATTCCGCCACTGCAGTCCGCAGTCCGGCCTGGGCGACAGAGCGAGACTCCGTCTCAAAAAAAAAAAAAAAAAAAAAAAAAAAAGTTTATTCGTGGCTCTAATATCACATAGGTTTCAGGTCCACTTGAGGACCACAGATATAAGAAGTAGCCTCGGCTGTGCATACCACGTGAATGTGAGCACTGACAACAACCCTGTATCTCAGTTTCTACCTCCTTGAGGACCCAACTAGCCATTAAACTTTTGGAGCATTATTTTCTAAGATTCTATATATTTTTCACCATCACTCAAGGATTTTGTTTTATTTTTAGTTGACAGAGTAACTATAAATGTTTATAGAGTATAATTTGATGTTTTGATACATATATGCATTACGGAATGATCAAACCAGGTGAATTAGCATGTCCATCCCCTCAAGTGTCATTTCTTTGTAGTTAGAATATTTAAAATCCTCTCTGTTAGCAATTTTGAAGTGCACAATACATTATTGTGAACTATAGTCACCATTCTGTGCAATAGATCACCAGAACATCTTCCTCCTGTGTAACTGAAACTTTGTACCCTATGACCAATGCCTTGGTTTTGCCCACTGATACCCCTCCCAGTGACGTTAACCACTGTTCCACTCTCTGTGTCTATGAGTTTGACTTTTTTAGATTCCACATATCAGTGAGATCATATGGTATTTGTCTCTCTGTGCCAGACTTATTTCACTTAGCATCATTTCCTCTATGTTCATCCATGTGGTTAGAAATTATAGAATTTTCTGCCTTTTTAAGGCCGAATAGCATTCCATAGTGTGTGTGTGTGTGTGTGTGTGTGTGTGTGTGTGTGTGTGTGTATAAAATGACATTCTAAAATCCATTTATCCATTGATGGGCATTAAGTTGTTTTCATGTCTTGGCTATTGTGAAAAATTCTGCAGTGAACATGGGAGTGTGGACATAAGATTATATAATCTTTGTGGTAAATTTGCTAAAAACATTAATCAAGGTAAGAAGAGGGGCAGATTATGCTTCCCTCTGCCCATGTGGATGCAGAGCTTGCATGGCCCCTTAACACATGTGTGTATGTAAAGAAGCTTTTCCTAGTTGGTTTATGAAATTGAAGGACTACCAGAAATCCTATTGATTTCTTGTGTAGTTGGTGGTTAGAGGAATAATTGTTTTTTAAATAATTGGACCAAAGGGAGGGAGGTGGTTTTGAGACAAATTTGGGTGTAGTTAGAAAAAAGGAGCCTTTTTGTTGTCCTAAAATATAGTGCTCTGGTTACCTGTGGCTTTACAGGGTTTGTATCTTCCTTTACCTGCAAAGACAGAAAAGCAAAAGGAGGCAAACAGCCTAGATGAGTCCATTGTAATTTGTTTTTTCTACCCCAAGACCAATTAAACCATGTTTTCAAATTGCAGGTATATGCCTACGTATATGTATAAAAGGCAGACCTCTGTGCAATTTTTAAGTCATCACTGACCTTTCTTGTATGCCCAGGAAGAAAAAAGAGAAATGGTGCTTAAGAGGGCATAGGAAAATAAAAGTAAACAAAAATCTAGAAAAAAAAATGAAAGTGAATTGTTACTGGTAGGTGGCTAAGTACTTTGCAGGTTGACAATGATCATTTCTTAGTTAAGGCTTTTCTCTTAAGAAAAATATGATTGGGGGGGAAACAATACTGGAAAACAAAACAAAACAAAATTAAGAATTATTTCTCAAAGCCAAAAGGACATATCTCTGTTCTTGCTTTTTTATTGGAATATATTATTAAAATTCAATTGTCCTTTATTTTAAACTAATGGCTAATTTATTCATTGCAATGTTTCTGTAGTTAAATACCAGCTATCTATTAATTCCATTTTGATCTTGACTTGTTTTCTTGGCAACTTGAAAAGACTAACTTTAAGTGGAGGGAAGAACATTTTAAATCATCCTTGTAATTCCCCTTTTTATTCCTGGTATTTCTCCAACTTATGGGTTTGGGGAAATCAGCCAGATTTTCAAGGTGGTACTGGCCTTGAAGCCAAAATTCCAGTGCAAATGCATGTCTGTTGCTACAGCTGCTTTTGAAAATTGATGTGGTTTCAGAAAAACACATAATTTCTTCCATCCCATGAAAAATGAGTTGCTATATTGTAAAGGCAGGGCAGTCTGAAATAGATAATTTCAGCATGAATAAACAAATATGTAAAGCTTATCCATACATATGAGAGATACATGTGAGAGAGAGATCCTTAGCGAGATCACCCAGCTTGTTGGTGCTAGAGCCAAGTCTAGCATTCCAGTCTATGACTCAATGCAAGGCTTTTGCAACTTTGCTATCAAAGGTTTTCATTTTGTATCATTCAGTTATTTTCCACATCTTCTCAGATATTTTATATTAGAAAATGAAATGACCATTAGAATTTTATCATACAAACTTTGTAAAACCTGATGGATTTTGTTTTTATAAGAAATTCACAGTAACCAATAAATAACCAATGC